>NC_000014.9:48986713-49611713 GCF_000001405.40 Homo sapiens | reverse complement strand
TGGCCTCAAGTGATCCACCCACCTCGACCTCCCAAAGTGCTGGGATTACAGGCGTGAGCCACTGCGCCCAGCCTTACAATTCTTACAATTTCTTTTATGTATGTCTTAGAGAAACAATAGCCTCAGGTGCACCTCACTGCCAAAAGATACTGTTTGGAGTTCCCTCAAATCAGTGGATTTAACCTGAATCATCAGTATCACCTCTGGTGATTTTATTTAATTAACTGATTGACTGATTGAGACGGAGTCTCAATCTGCACTCCCAAGCTGGAGTGCAGTGGTGCCATCTCGGCTCACTGCAACCTCTGCCTCCTGGGTTCAAGTGATTCTCCTGCCTCAGCCTCCTGAGTAGCTGGGATTACAGGTGCGCACCACCATGCCCGGCTAATTTTTGTATTTTTAGTAGAGACGAGGTTTCACCATGTTGGTCAGTGTGGTCTCGAACTCCCGACCTTGTGATCCGCCTGCCTCGATCTCCCAAAGTGCTGGGGTTACAGGCGTGAGCCACCGCACCTGGCCTTCAGATGTTTTAAATGTTTCTCAGGTTATTCTAAATTTGAAGTAACGTCTGAGAACCATTGGTTTAGAGTAAGAGTTCTTACATTGGGGATGGCAAGGAGAGAGGACTGGACTGGGTTTCAGTGGGAGCCAGGTTCCTTTTATGCAAAATTCTGTGTACTCATGTGTACAGTTTTCCAGTTCCTTAACTTTGGTCAGTTTTAAGAGCCCCTCTCCCCTAAAAAAGTTCAGAATTTCTTATTTGAAATATGATCTTTCTACCATTTTATAGGTTCTCAGTAATACTTTGGTCCACATCTTAGCTTCCAGACATGCGTTCAAGAAGCCTGAACAGGCTGGGTGTGGTGGCTCATGTCTGTAATCTCAGCACTTTGGGAGGCTGAGGCAGGTGGATCACAAGGTTAGGAGTTTGAGACCAGCCTGGTCAACATAGTGAAACCCTGTCTCTACTAAAAATACAAAAATTTAGCCGGCCATGGTCATGGGCACCTGTAATCCCAGCTACTTGGGAGGCTGAGGCAGGAGAACTGCTTGAACCTGGGAGGCAGAGGTTGCAGTGAGCTGAGATCACGCCATTCCACTCCAGCCCGGGCAAGAGTGAAAGAGACTGTCTCAAAAAATAAAAAGCAACCTGAACAATGGCTGGGAGTGGTGGCTCATGCCTGTAATCCTAGCACTTTGGGAGGCCAAGCCAGGTGGATTGCTTGAGGCCAGGAGTTCAAAACCAGCCTGGCCAACGTGGTGAAACCCCATCTCTACTAAAAATACAAAAAAATAGCCAGCCGTGGTGGCGGGAGCCTGTAATCCCAGCTACTTGGGAGGCTGAGGCAGGAGAATCACTTGAACCCAGGAGGCACTCCAGCTTGCGCACTGCACTCCAGCCGCTTGCGCACTGCACTCCAGCCTGGGCAACAAGAGCAAAACTCCATCTCAAAAAAAAAAAAAAACCCTCAACAAAATGAATCTGGTGCTCAGGGTCCATGAAACCAAATGCAGTTAGTGTTCAGACAAGGAGAAGAGAACCAACAGCTACTGAATCCTACTATATGCCAAATGCTTTGGCATTACATTAGCTCATTTATCGTCACAACTCTATAAGGTGGGTATTATTCTTCCTGTTTCACAGCTGAGAAAATGAAATCAAAGAGGTTAAATAGGTCAGGTGTGGTGGCTCACGCCTGTAATCCCAGCACTTTGAGAGGCTCACACCTGTAATTCCAGCATTTTGAGAGACCAAGACAGGCAGATCACCTGAGGTCAGGAGTTGGGAGACCAGCCTGGTCAACATGGTGAAACCCCATCTCTGCTAAAAATACAAAAATTAGCTGTGTGTGGTGGCACATGCTTGTAATCCCAGCTACTCGGAAGGCTGAGGCAGGAGAACTCCTGGAACTCGGGAGGCAGAGGTTATAGTTGAGCCGAGATCATGCCACTGCACTCCAACCTGGGCGACAGAACAAGACTCCATCTCAAAAATTAAAAAAATAAGGCCAGGCGCGGTGGCTCACACCTGTAATCCCGGCACTTTGGGAGGCCAAAGTGGGCAGATCACAAGGTCAGGAGTTCAAGACCAGCCTGGACAACATAGTAAAACTCCGTCTCTACTAAAAATACAAAAAAAAATTAGCCAGGTGTGGTGGCGGGTGCCTGCAGTTTCAGCTACTTAGGAGGCTGAAGCAGGAGAATCGCTCGAACTCGGGAAGCAGAGGTTGCAGTGAGCCGAGATGGCGCCACTGCACTCCAGCCTGGGTGACACAGTGAGACTCTGTCTCAAACAAATAAATAAAATGAAAATACAAAAATGAGCCAGGCATGGCGGTGGGCGCCTGTAATCCCAGCTACTCAGGAGGCTGAGGCAGAAGAGTTGCTTGAGTCTGGGAGGCAGAAGTTGCAGTGAGCTGAGATTGGACCACTGCACTCGAGCCTGGGCAACAGAGTGAGACCCTGTCTCAAAAAAAAAAAAAAAAAAAAAAAAAAGGGCCAGGTGTGGTGGCTCAAGCCTGTAATTCCAGCACTTTGGGAGGCCAAGACGGGCGGATCACGAGGTCAGGAGATCGAGACCATCCTGGCTAACACGGTGAAACCCCGTCTCTACTAAAAATACAAAAAAAAAATTAGCCAGGCGTGTTGGCGGGCGCCTGTAGTCCCAGCTACTCAGTAGGCTGAGGCACGAGAATGGCGTGAACCTGGAAGGCGGAGCTTGCAGTGAGCCGAGATCGCTTCGCACCACTGCACTCCAGCCTGGGCGACAGAGTGAGACTCCATCTCAAAAAAAAAAAAAAAAAAAAAAAAAAAGAGGTTAAAGTCATACAAAGTGGTGAAGCCAGGAATCAAATCCAAGTCTGACTCCAAAGACCACCCTTCATCACTATGCGAACTCTCTAATTTTAGAGTACATCAAAATCACTTGGAAGACTCACTAAGACACAGCTGGACCCCACTCTCAGTTTCTGATTCAGTAGGTCTGGAATGTTAGAACCTGCATCTCTAGGAAGTTCCTAGGTAATGCAGATCCTGCTGGTCAGGGGAGCACACTTTGAGAAACAATGCCATTCATTCATTTAACTACTTATTGAGTGCTTAATATATGCTAGGAGCAGGGTATACATGGTTTAGATCCTAGGGAAATAGTGGAGAATAAAACAACATCCATGTGCTGATGGATCTTACATTCTAGTGGGGAAAACTGACAGTAAACAAAAAAAAAAGTTTAAAAATATATATAACAGGCAATGAGTCCTATGACCAAAAAAAAAAAAAAAAAAAAAAAAAAAAAAAAAAAAAAAAATCAAGCAATGTAAGGAGGGAAGGAATAAAATTTAGATAGAATGGACAGGTAAGACCTTTCTGGGATGACACTTCGGCAGAAAACTGAATGAAGTGAGGGAGTGAGCAATGAGACTTCCTGGAGAAAAATCATTCTAAGCAGAGGTAAGGAACAAGAAGACCATTATAGCAAAGGGTCAGACTGTGCATAGCACTGTAAGCAATGTTAGACTTTATTACTCTGAGTTTGATAGGAATATTAGAATGCTATCAAAGACACCACATTACATGACTATTAAAATCTTACCTATTATGTAATATGGTTCGTGCAGAAGATTCCAATAAAGTTAATGGTGCTTGCAGCTTTATTACTGGAAGGACTTTTGGTTGTTCAAAAGTATTTCCAAAAAGATCCAAGTATTCAAGGGATAAATTTCTAAATTCACTAGGCAAAAATGGAAGCTTATTTCGAGCTGCTGACAAAAAGCGAAGGTTTATTAGTTGTCCTATCTTGCAAGGAAATTGAATCAATTCATTATCGTCAAGTTTTAAATTCTTAAGTTCCTGGAGCTGGCAAAACTGCACAGGGAGTGCCTTGATTTTGTTCTTGCTGAGGTCCAAACTCCGAAGTGACTTCTGGAGTGTAGAATGACACAAGGCTACACTAAATGACTCCAAGTGATTGTCATTCAGGTTAAGTTCTTGAAGGTGTATGAGGTCTCCAATTGTAGCTGGAAGCTTTTTTATATGGTTGTGACTCAAGTCTAATTTCCTAAGGCTTTTTAAGCAAAGCATACGCATATCAACTCGGACAAGCCCACAGTAAGAAGTCTGAAGATGTTCCAAGGAATATGGAAAATTCTTACTTAGAGGATAGTCTTTTTTGGATGTGATAACCATTTTAGTTTTAAAGTTTTCAAATTCTGAAGTCTTCACTGGTGTGAGCGTTGAAACTGGTGTATCAACATTACAGCCTCTATGAGCCAGTCTCATAGCTGAAAGGAAACCTTTTAAACTGCTGGAAATGGCCTGAATAAATAAAAGTTGTAGAATTATAAATTCCACTGGAGATAATACATACATGCTAGTTCTTCCCATAACAAATTCTATGGCATTACTTATGAATGTGATACAATGATTTACTGAAATTGACTGTAAAACTTTTTTTTAGTACTTTATTTTGACTAAATTTCAAGTTTAAAAGTTTTTGAAAAAAATTACGTGGAGGGACACATTCTAAATAAAACTGTTCAAAGGGAAGTCATGCCAACACTTTGGGAGGCTGAGGTGGGAGGATCACCTGAGCCTAGGAAGTAGAGGCTGCAGTAAGCCATGATATCACTGCCCTCCAGCCTGGGCAACAGAGTGAGACTGTCTCAAAAAAAAAAAAAAATAACAAAAATAAAGGGAAATCATAAGAGTATAAAATAAGATAGGAAATGATTGACTATTCCACTTAAGATTTGAGTTTAGGTGGGGCGCAGTGGCTCACGCCTGTAATCCCAGCACTTTGGGAGGCCGAGGCAGGTGGATCACTTGAGGTCAGGAGTTTGAGACCAGCCTGGCCAACATGGTGAAGCCCTGTTTCTACTAAAAATACAAAAATTAGCTGGGCGTGGTAGTGCATGCCTGTAATCCCAGCTACTTTGGAGGCTGAGCAAGGAGAATCGCTTGAACCCGGGAGGCGGAGGTTGCAGTGAGCCGAGATTGTGCCACTGCACTCCAGGCTGGGCAACAGAGCAAGACTCTATCTGAAAAATTAAAAAAAAAAAAAAAAAATTTGAGTTTAAGGCCAGGTGTAGTGACTCACGCCTATAATCCCATAACATTGGGAGGCCAAGGCAGGCGGATTACTTGAGGTCAGGAGTTTCAGACCAGCCTGGCCAACATGGTGAAACCCCTTCTCTACTAATAATACAAAAATTAGCTGGGCAATGTGGCGCATGCCTGTAATCCCAGCTAGTCAGGAAGCTGAGGCAGGAGAATTGCTTGAACCTGGGAGGCAGAGGTTGCAGTGAGCCGAGATCGCGCCACTGCACTCCAGCCTGGGCGACACAAGTGAAACTCGGTCTCAAAACAAAACAAAACAAACAAACAAAAAAGGCTGGGACTGGTGGCTCACGCCTATAATCCTAGCACTTTGGGAGGCCAAGGTGGGTGGATCACCTGAGGTTAGGAGTTCAAGGCCAGCTTGGCCAACATGGTGAAACCCCGTCTCTACTAAAAATATAAAAATTAGTGGGGCATGGCGGCAGGCGCCTGTAATCCCAGCTGCTTGGTAGGCTGAGGCAGGAGAGTTGCTTGAAACTGGGAGGCAGAGGTTGCAGTAAGCCAAGATCGCAAGACTGCACGGCAGCCTGGGCGACAGAGCGACTCCATATAAAAAAAAAAAAAAGAAAAAAAAAAAAGCTAATTTTTGTTGGAACATGGAAGCTATGTAGAGCAAAAGATTGGAAATACAGTATGAGGACAGATTGTAAATGAGCTCAGATGCCAACGTAAAGTGGAGGGATTTTAAGTATGAAAGTTACATGACAAGAACTAAATACTATTTTGGTAGCACTGTACACAATGAACCAGAGTAGGGAAAAGTCTGGAGAAGACCTGGGTCAACTAGGTACAATAAAGCATACTGGTTCACAGACTTGGGATTCACCCATATAACAGCTGAACTATCAAATGGAAGGCAGGTATGACAGAAAACAGCAGAGGACTGAAATAAAGCCTTTATTTTGGGGATAGAAAAAAATGTTGCTGGAAGCAAGAGACAAAGAAGTGACTAAGAAAACTGAAGGTAAACCATAGTGCCCTATCATAGATACCAAGAAAAGAAAGAGTTTTATTAAGAAAAGGGTAATTATCATTGTCAAATTCTACAGAGTGCAAAAATAATGAGAAATAATGATACTGTGATAGACAAGTGAAAAGATCAGTGATCTCTGAGACAGTGTTTTCAGTAAACCAGTAAAGGTCAAAAGATAAAAAGTGGAGACAATGAATTCAGCCTTGTCTTTCTAGAAATTTGTTTTCTTTTTTTAAAATCAGTAAGATCTCAGCTTGTTTTTAGATAGAAAGGAAGAATTAGTGAAAGAATAAGCTGCAAGTCAAGAAAAAAAATGAAAAATCACAAGGAGGAGATGGGACAAAATTATTCCATTCAATCCAAACTCCTTAGTTATCGAACTTTTAATGTTGCAGAGCACTTTGCTTGGAGTTAAAAATAATGCACAGTTGGGCCAGATGTGGTGGACCATGCCTGTAATTTCACCACTTTGGGAGGCCAACGTGGACAGATTGCTTGAGCCCAGGAGTTTGAGACCAGCCTGTGCAACAAGGTGAAACCCTGTCTCTACCAGTACAAAAAAATTAGCCTGGTATGGTGTTGTGCCCCTATAGTCCCAGTTACTTGGGAGGCTGAGAAGGAAGGATCACCTGAGCCTGGAAGGTCGAGGGTGCAGTGAGCTGTGATGGTGCCACTGCACTCCAGCCTAGGTGAGAGTGAGACCTTGTCTCATCAAAAAGAAAAAAAAAGCAAGGTTGAACAACGAGACATTGTTTCCACCCATCAGGAAGGGAAAGAGGAATAGGGCAGAGGGCAGAAGGCAGAAAAAAACCACCAGTTTTAAAATTCTAATGGTTTATAAATTTTTTTTGTTTGAGAAAGGGTCTTGCTCTGTCACCCATGCTGGAGTACAGTGGCACAATCATAGTTCACCGAAGCCCTGAACTTTTTTTTGAGACAGGGTCTTGCTCTATCAACCAGGATGGAGTGCAGTGGCTGCAATCACAGTTCACTGCAGCCTTGACCTTCCAGGCTCAGGTGACCCTCCACCTCAGCCTCCCAAGTAGCTGAGATTACAGGTGCACACCACTATGCCTGGCTAATTTTTTTGTAGAGATGGGGTTTCACCATGTCACCCAGGCTGATCTTGAACACCTGGATTCAAGCAATCCGCCCAACTAGGGCTCCCAAAGTGCTGGGATCATAGGCGTGAGCCACCGTGTCTGGCCTCCAGGTTCTAACTTGTGGGATTAAGTGATCCTCCTGCCTCGGCCTCCCAGGTGTGAGCCACTGCACCCAGCCAGTTTATGGTATTTTTGTTTTGTTTTGTTTTGTTTTGTTTGAGACAGGGTCTGGCTCTGTCGCCCAGGTTGGAGTGCAGTGGTGCAATCTTGGCTCATTGTAACCTGCACCTCCCAGGCTCAAGTGATCCTCCCACCTCAGGCTCCCAAGTAGCTGGCACCACAGGTGTGAAAACCACGCCTGGCTAATTTTTTTTTTTTTTTTTGTGGAGACAGGGTTTCACCATGTTGCCCAGGCTGGTCTTGAACTCCTGAGAGCAAGTGATCCACCAGTCTTGGCCTTCCAAAGTGCTGGGATTACAGGTGTGAGCTATGGCACCCAGCCTCAGTTTATATTTTTATAAGAATGATTACAGTCCGGGCACGGTGGCTCATGCCTATAATCCCAGCACTTTGGGCGGCCAAGGTGGGCGGATCACGAGGTCAGGAGTTTGAGACCAGCCGGGCCAACATGGTGAAACCCGTCTCTACTAAAGATACAAAAAATTAGCTGGGCATGGCGGCACGTGCCTGTAATCCCAGCTACTGGGAGGCTGGGGCAGGAGAATCGCTTGAACCCGGGAGGTGGAGGTTGCAGTGAGCTGAGATCACGCCACTGTAATCCAGCCTGGGTGACAGGGAGAGACTCTGTCTCATTAAAAAAAAAAAAAAAAAAAAAAAAAAAGGAATGATTACAGTAAGGGCCAGGCACAGTAGACAAAAATTCGCCAGGAGTGGTGGCACCCACCTGTGGGTTGCAGTGAACCAAGCTCTTCCCACTGCACTCCAACCTGGGTGACAGAATGAGACTCCATCTCAAAAAAAAAAAAAAAAAAAAAAAAAGAAGAAGAAGAAAGAATGATTACAGTAAATAAAATACAAGATGGTTCTAATTGAATTTTTTCCTCTTTTATTACAACAAACTTAGATTTGTAACCTGTGGTTTAGCTGGCAAAATGTAGACCTGTGCAGTTGCCTTATAGAGTTCCAGTCAAAGAACACCCTAGGGCTCCATCTTGAGCACAGAAGCAAACCCAGTTTTCTTCCCATCCTGGGAATCTTACTGAGGCAGACTTTGCCCTTTTAGAAGGCACACAAGCATATTTGGGAAGCTGCCTCTTGTGCCATTGCCTCTTCAAAAAACCTGCAAGAGTCTGTCCCTATTCGGCTATATGGGATAGCAGAATGTGCAAACAGCCTTCTTTAAAGAAAATACAGGCCAGGCTGAGCACAGTGGCTCACGCCTGTAATCCCAGCATTTTGGAAGGCTGAGGTGGGTGGATCGCCTGAGTTCAGGAGTTCAAGACCAGCCTGGTCAACATGGTGAAACCCTGTCTCTACTAAAGATAAAAAAAAAAAAAAAATCAGCCACGCATGGTGGTGGGTGTCTGTAATCCCAGCTACTCGGGAGGCTGAGGCAGGAGAATTGTTTGAACCCGGGAGATGGAGGTTGCAGTGAGCTGAGATCGTGCCACTACACTCCAGCCTGGGCAGCAAGAGCAAAACTCCGTCTCAAAACAAACAAACAAACAAACAAAAAAAGCAAGCAAGCAAGCAAATACACGCCAGGCCAAGTATGGTGGCTCATGCTTATAATCCCAACACTTTGGGAGGCTGAGGCAAGAGGATCGCTTGAGGCCAGGAGTTCAAGGCCAGTCTGGGCAACATCATATCAAGACTCCGTCTCTACAAAAAGTTATTTTAAAAATTTATCCGGGAGTGGTGAGGTACACCTTTAGTCCCAGATATTCAGGAGGCTCGCTTGAGCCTAGGTGTTTGATGCAGTGAGCTATGACTATGCCTCTGTACTTCAGCTTGGGTGACAGAACAAGACTCTGTTTCTAAAAAATAAAGAAAATACAGCCAAATATTAATCATTAATGTTTTTAATACCATACCTTACTTAGACAGATATCCACAGGAGGCTCCTTTAACCGAACAGTGGCTTTCCCCTCATCTACAAATTTGGTGAAGAATTGCTCAATGTTCTCCCTTAGCTGCATAAAACCAATAGAAAAAAAAGAAGAAAACTAATTATTGTTACTCAGTAACATTTATTACAACTAGAATGTGCCAGTTACTTTGCCAGGCTTTGGTTTGGCTTTTAGTCCTTGAGTCTGAGTGTTTTCATTTTAAGTTTTAAAGCTTTTTATCACGCCACTGCACTCCAGGCTGGGCAACAGAAAGAGACTCCTTCTCAAAAAAAAAAAAAAAAAAAAAAAAAAAGTTGTTTTTTTTTGAGACAGAGTCTCACTCACTCTCACCCAGGATGGAGTGAAGTGGTGCCATCACTGCAACCTCCACTTCCCAGGTTCAAGCAATTCCCATGACTCAGCCTCCTGAGTAGCTCGGATTACAGGTGCGTGCCACCATGCCCGGCTAATTTTTGTATTTTTAGTAGAAACACGGTTTCATCATGTTGGCCAAGCTGGTCTAGAACTCCTGGCCTCAAGTGATCTGCCTGCCTGGGCCTACCAAAGTGCTGGGATTACAGGCATGAGCCACGGCGCGTGGCCAAGTTTTAAAGTTTTTTTTTTTTTTTTTTTTTTTAGCAGTTGGGAAGTTATACTCCTCATCTAGCTGGTGGTGGATGTTACTGCTCTGTCTGTCCAGTAACTCTCCTTTGAGAACAGGATCACCATGTTTTGAGAGAATGCTCCTTTTCTCCCATTCCAACTATGTAACTGTAGGAAGAGTTGCCAATAGCAGTTACTTGCCTTCATAACTTCAGTCCATTAGCCTGGGGTGGGCACACCTCCCAGTAGGTTATATACAAACTCCATGAGAGCAGGAATCTTGTCTCCTTTGCTATTCTATCCTGAGTGCTAGAACGATGACTGACACATAATGAGTGCTCAAAAAAAATTTAATGATTATCATCTATATAAATGGCATATTTAAAATTTAAAAAAAATTAATGATTGCTGTTGCATCTGCTTTAGATTTCAACAACTATTGATTCAGAACCCACTATGTACCAGGTACTCTAATAGGGGCTTGGGACATAGCAATGAATAAGACTGACAGGGTAACTACACTTAAAGAGTTGACAATCTGATGAGAGATAGTTATTAAACAAGTACTTATAAGCATAACAAATATCAAGACAAGGCAAGTGCAGGATGCTGTGACCTGATTTTTTTTAAGAAAGCACATTAAGCTTTAATATAGAAATATTTAGGTTACACTTGTGCTCAAGTAATAAAACATTTGTTCTTTTTTGATCTCATACATTCTCTCCTCAGGTATGGCCCATCTCCTGTACGCTTGGAGCGACCTTTGGCTACGTGGCTGGCCTTGTTATTTCACCACTCTGGGTATGCTGGAATAGAAAGCAACTTACATACAAGAACAATTAACTGGAGAAAAGGGAGATATTTCTTTGTGCAGATTCTGTAAGGGCTGTGCAGAAATGTGTATGGTCAAAGCCAAGCAGTTCCATCTACAGCTCTGTTTTTTATGTAGTTACAACATGATGTGATTGTAGCTTTTTAAACTATGAAACCCCTGAGAGATTGTACCTTCTAGTTGAAATAAAGTATTTATAATAGATTGTGGCTTCAGATGCTGCTTACTGCTTCTTAAATCTTTAAGGAACATTCTTAATAAACTTTACAGAATTCTGAGGACAGGTTTTGTTTTCTTTCAAGTTTTGAACTGCTTCATTACCTATAAAAGGTCTGGGTATAGCTGCAGCATTTCATTTGCTTTCTGAGAGAAATGGACAGTTTCCTTGGCCACTGAAGATGTTTCTCACGTAATTAAACAACAGTTTATACATCTTGATCCTATTCTTTTTTTTTTACAGTGTGTTTCTTTGGAGTTAAAATGGCTATGATAGCCTCATCAAAAACAGTCTTCAATCCCTTCTGGGTTAAAGCTGAACATTCCACATAGCAGCATGCTCCTATCTCTTTTGCTAGTTTCTGTCCTTGTTCCACACATATAGGTTTTTCTTTCATATCACTCAGTCTTGCTAAAGTTTTGGGGTCATCTCGGAGATCAATCTGAGCTCCTATTAATAAAAAGGGTACATTTGGTGCGTATTCCTTAAGTTCCGGTACCCACTCCTCCCTCACATTTTGAAATGAGGCTGGATTTACCACCGAGAAGCATATAAGGAAGACGTCGGTCATTGGGTAAGATAAAGGCCTCAGATGGTCATAGTCTTCCTGTCCGGCGGTGTTATAGAGTCCTAGGAGGTACTGCTTGCCCCCCACGGTGACGCTGACTGTGTAGTGGTCGAAGACGGTGGGCACGTACTCCTCCGGGAAGGCGTCGTTGGCACAGCTCATGAGTAGGCACGTCTTGCCCACCGCCCCGTCGCCGACCACCACGCACTTGAGCATCAGCGCGCCGGGCCCGTGAGCCATGATGCTGCTGCCGGCCGGCCTCCGGGCATGGTCCCCCCGGAGCCCCCGCCCCGGCCCCGGGCTCAGCCTCAGCCCGCCTGGAGGGTCCGCCGCCGTCGCCGCCGCTCCACGCCGCGGGGCCGCCCCCCCGGCCCCAAGCAGCGACTCCCCTCGCCGGAGGGGAGAGGGCCGCAGGCCCGCGGCGCTGCCGCCGCCGCGGTCGCCGCCCGGATCCCCGCCCCGGCCCCGGTCGCCGCGCCCGCCCGCTGCCCCCGCCACTCGGCGCCCGCGCCCTCTCCCCGTCCCGGCCTCCCCAGGAGGATCCGCCGGATCATAAGACCGGCCGGCCCCGGGGGAGACGGCAACTGTGGGGAGGGCGGCCGACCTGCTTTTTTAAGCTAGGGAGAATATTGTGGGAGAAAGAATTCACTGAACAGAACTGCAGTTATTTTACTGTTCCCCAACTGGACAGCTGCTTCATTTGCGCTTGTTTCACGCAAAATTTCAGAAACTTGAAACAGGCGGGATTGCCATCCACTACTAAATAGCAACACTGTAAATTCAAAGTCGTAAAAGTGGGGAGGAAAAATAGCGAAAAGGTACACTCTCAAAGCTTTCTTCTTTCGGGTCCGTAGGAAGACGCACAGGACCCTGGGGTCGGGCTGATGGTAGGTCTCAAGGCTGGGAGTTCAGGAACCCCCAAGGCGGGCTTTCGCCTAGGGAGCAGCCGGGAGCATGAGGACCGAGGGTGGCCCGCGTCTCGGCTTCCAAGAAGAACGCGAGACTGACAGGGCCTGCCCACTTCACGCACCTCATAGCGGGTCCCGCGCTTGTCCTTCAGGGTGGAGATGAGCAGGAAGGCTCGGACCGGCGGCTGACTCCTGGAAGTCTGCTGACAGAGGCTCAACACGGCTCGGACGCCCTTGCCCCGGTTCCTAAGCCCCAAGGCGGGCAAGTGCCGGCTGATCACCTCCACCTCACAGTGTAGCTTCATCTCGCCCAACGGCCACAACCACGTCAAGCTGGCTTTGAAACTTCCTCCTTCCCGCCACCCGGCGCCGCCATCGGGGTCCTCGCGCACGCGGGCTGCCCACTGATCTGCCTGCCTGTTGGACTGGTCCGCGACTCGGGCTGTCTTAGCACCGTGTCTGTATGAAGCCCGCGGGAAACGGCTTCCCTTCTCCCTTAGCAGGGCCGGGTTCTCGCCGTGGTTGCGTACCGGGACTGACCACCTGGATCCGGGCTCGCGCCCGGGAAACCGGCAGTCGGCGGGGGCGCAACGTCTTTTCCCCCGAGCGCGCAGCTGGCAGCGGTGGTTGTTTCTGTTCGGGGAGGATTCCGAGGGTTTCAGCTGTTGACGCTTTACGCGTTGCGGGCGCACGTCGGGCCGCTGTTTCCCGAGGGAAGGCAGGTGTGCCTCTGCGTTACAGGGAAAGGCACTTAGAACTGTCTGAGTGGCCCCGTAAGCCAGCGAGGGCGCATTTCCCGGCGCGGACGGGCTGCTGGTGGTTTTGGTGGCTGCTCTCCGGAGGCACACCTGGCACGTCGAAGGGGGGCTTTATATGGCTGTATTTGACTTGGCAATTCCTGCTGAACAAATAATTTTTCATGGCGGGTAGGTGGATGGAGTGTGACTGGCTTAACTGCACCTGAGACGTGGAAAGACCGTCCAGACCGCACAAGGCCTTCGTACTCTTGATTTTCTTGATTGATTGAACTAGGACGGGGCCCGGCTGGGGAGTGGGAAGCGCCTGGGGAGCAAATGTTAAGCAGGCGCTCACGGTCGGGGTCGTGGTCTTGCCTCCTTAAAATTTGTGCTCTAGGCGCCTCTCTCACCTTAACCTAATCCTAGCCGTATATTAAACATTTTATTGTGTCTGAGTTATACTTCCGTAATGGTAAAATGACGTTCAGAAATACCGATTTTTCAATACAACTGTGACAAAATGTGATTTATTCTCAAATGAGCGTCCCTATTTACATGTTGAACCTGAAGTGTTGTCAGTTAATTCCTCATTCTTTGAAACGTAATAGTTCCTGGAAAAAAGTGATTAAGATAAAATTATGGCCGGGCGCGGTGGCTCACGCCTGTAATCCCAGCACTTTGCGGGGCTGAGGCAGGCAGGTCGCTTGAGCCCAGGAGTTCAAGACCAGTTTGGGCAACATGGCAAAACCCAGTCTCTAAGAAAAATACAAAAAAATTAGCCGGGCGTGGTGGCGCGTGTCTGTAGTCCCAGCTATTGGGGAGGCTGAGGTGGCAGGATCACTTGAGCCTGGGGAGGTCGAGAGGCTCCGGTGAGCTGTAATCGCGCACTGGCACTCCAGCCTGAGTGACCCCGTCTCAAAAAAAAAAAAGAAATTACTTTCCCTCCATTTAGTATTCTTATATGTACATCTAGTAGAGCATTAAAACGCGACTCAGCATTTAAGCAAAACTTTATGGCTAAAGAGAAAACGGACACTACAATTTTCAGACTATTAGACTTTATAGGAGTTACCTGCTTTTGTTCTTTGAGAGGGTAATAATGTAGAAAAGATAATAAAACACCAGCCTGAATTATTACAAGTACATTAAATGGACTCTGAACTTATAGGTACAGTTGGGAGCTAGGAAAACTGTAAAAACTGTTATAATTTTCATTAGAGTAGAAATGTTCCGCCAGGTGCGGTGGCTCACGCCTGTAAGCCCAACAATTTGGGAGGCTCGAGGCAGGAGGATCGCTTAGCCCAGAAGTTCGAGATTAGCCTGGGCAATAGTGAGACCTCGTCTCCACAAAAAAATTAAATTAAAAAATTAACTAGGCCGGGCGCGGTGGCTCACGACTGTAATCCCAGCACTTTGGGAGGCCGAGGCGGGAGAATCGCCTGAGGTCGGGAGTTGGAGACCAGCCTGGCCAGCATGGTGAAACCCCGTCTCTACTAAAAATACAAAAATTAGACAGAGTGTTGGCGCGCACCTGTAGTCCCAGCTACCCGGGAAGCTGAGGCAGGAGAATCGCTTGAACCTGGGAGACGGAGGTTGCAGTGAGCCGAGATAGTGCCACTGCACTCCAGCCTGGGCGACAGAGCGAGACTCTCAAAAAAAAAAAAAAAAAAGAAGAAGAAAAAATTAGTTGGGCGGGGCGGCGCGCGTCTGTAGTCCCAGCTTGAGCCTAGGAGGCAGAGGTAGTGAGCGAAGAACTGCCCTCCAGCCTGGGCGACAGAGCGAGACCTTGTCTCAAAAAAAAAAAAAAAAAGCCTCAATCTCAGTCCTTTATTTGGTGTTACTTAGGCTTGGGTTGTTGAAGCATGGATTCAGTAATTAAATAAATAGATGAAAGTTACATAACAGTTCAACGGTGATTTTAGAGTGAAACAGTGGTATATACTGCCAAAAATGTATCTTCCTAATTGTCAGTCTTAAAAAAGGTAGTTTCCAAACTACCTCTTTTTTAAACATCTATCAGTTTTTGGTATCTCATTTCCCTTTCCACATCCTCCCCTTTGTCCACCCAAATTTAATGGTTTAAATACTTGGATGTGACACTCTAGAGTACACCTAAAGTTTTTGGTCTTAGTGGATCGATTGTGGAGCAAAGAGCCCTTTGAACTTTACCACCATACAAATAAAATCTGCCCCTTGATCTCTATCCTTAATTACCTCGAGTCAGTTTTCCTTGTAGACAGACTGAAAATGGAAATACATAAGGAGTTAAAAATAATTGGACTACAAGTTTTTGACAAGAGAAATAAAAGATATAACATTTAGATTTGTTTTTCTTCTATAAAATTAGTTCTTCTTCTACCTGGCCTACAAACTACATTCTTTTCTCTCTTTTTGTTCATATTAATTAATATGATCAAATCCCAGTTCAGTTTCCGCTAAACCTTCTTTAGCATCTTGACCTTCCTTTTTGCAAGCTCCAATTGCACTTTTCATTTATTTCCCTGGCTTTCTGGCACATACTAGGCATTCAACAGATAATGGTTCCCTCCCTCCCTCCCTCCCTCCCTCCTTCATTTCTTCCTTCCTTCCGCTCTGTTGCCCAGGCTGGAGTGCAGTGGCACGATCTCGCCTCACTGCAACCTCAGCCTCCCCGGCTCAAGCGATTCTCCTGCCTCAGCCTCCTGAGTAGCTGGGATTACAGGTGCCTGTCACCATGCCCAGGTAATTTTTGTATTTTTAGTACAGACGGGGTTTCACCATATTGGTCAGGCTGGTCTCGAACTCCTGACCTCTGGTGATCCACCCGCCCCAGCCTCCCAAAGTGCTGGGATTACAGGCGTGAGCCACCGCGCCCTGCCGACAATGGATTTCTTTCAACTTTTCATTTGTAGTCATAGTGAACTTTGCTCACTTTGTAGCTCATTATGTTTGAGCTAGTAAAATCACAGTCACATCAGAATTTTTTTTTTTTTAGTTTAGCTTAGTTTTGGAGACAGGGTTTCACCCAGGCTGGAGTGCAGTGGCAACATTCATAGCTCACTGCAACCTCAAACTCCTGGGCTCAAGCCATCCTCCTACCCCAGCCTCCCGAGTAGCTGAGACTACAGGTGCGTGCCACCATGGCCAGATGTGTGTGGTTTTTTTGTTTGTTTTTTTACTTTTTGCTAGAGATGGGGGTTCTTGCTATGTTGCCTAGTCTGGTCTTGAACTCCTGACCTCAAGCTGTCCTCCTGCCTCAGCCTCCCAAAGTGCTCGGATTACAGGTATGAGCCACCATGCCCCACCCACATCAGATTCTTAAAGAACGAGGTCACAATCTATGGACAGTGTAGACTTGCTTGCCCTAGCACATTTGATCCAGATGTTGGAGTTAGTTTTTTTTTTAGTGGTAAACATCATCTAAGACTCAATACAGCTAAATAGTTAAAAAATATGCACCTAAGCATCAGACCTCTTTCAGTCTCAAAAAAGGGAAAAAAAAGACTGGAGAAAAATATCTCCAAATATGTTGAATTTATTCAGAAATGGGAAGAGAATATTAGAATTCAGGATGCACGAAATGGCAAGCCAAAAGTACGTCCAGTGAGGGAAGGGTAAAAGGAAGCTTTTATTGGCAAAAAGGGCAAGTTCAAATAAAGCTGCTTGGAAACAGAAGCAAGAGTTCTGTTCAATGAACAGAGTTCATTGGTTCCAGAGGCTCAGAGCCAGAGCTGTCATCAGTTCATTGGTGGAGATGCTGTTACTGGGCAAGTGTTCTTTTGAGAGCTTCTTATCTAAATTACTGCAGTCCTAAAGAATGATAAGCCTTGTCATAGAAATATATGTATATGTCTGAAACCTGCCAACTGTGCAAAGGAGGACATGTGTGAAGGATGTGAAGTGATCTCTTGTGGAGTTTTTAGAAAGTCTTCAGAAACAGTTCTTATCTCAGACATACAAACATGAGCCCTTTCCTTTTTGCCTTTCTGGCCCTATTTTGTTTGGTTCTGACAAAAGTGATTTCATCCTGGTATCTGCAACTTTCACTCCTCTAAGTTCTGCCTTTCATCAGTGACACTCTTTGAATGTCTTATAGATTGTGTTTCCACGATTATTTACTAATGAATGACCACCTTTCCATTCTTAGCACTGCCGTATCAATTCAGAGCTGCATTACTTTGCTACAGAGCTGTTGCTAAATTTACCAGGTCTTCTTGCTTCAATACATTTATTCATTCATTTAACACTTAGGATTTTTTTTTTTTTTGAGACAGGTTCACACCCTGTCCCCCAGGCTCTGAAAGTTCTGGAAAACCTTTGAAAAATTTTAAGCGGGATAAAATTCAGACCTGATCAGGAAAGGTTCTTGTGGTCAGTAAAAAGATGATTTTGGAGGTAGAGCAAGCCTGAAAGCAGATGTATCAGTTAGGAGGCTGTTGTAATAATCCACCATCCATACTGCAGCCAAATTAAATTTGTAGAGGGATATCCTATCATAGAATCCTCAAGTTTTAGAGCTGAAATGTCGTTTATAGATATTTTACTTCAATTCTCTCATTTTGCACAAGAGGGAATGGAATTAAGAGTAAAGGTACACTATTTGACCATGACCTCATAGACAGTCAATGTTAGAATAAACAGGACTAGAACTCAAGTCTCAGATGCTGTATTTAATTTCTCCCAAAAACCTTCATGGATTTCTACTCATCACAATTTGATTAAATACAGTTGCCCAAAGGCTTGTCTCTTGCTCCCTTTGGAATCCAGGTTATATGTAATATTACTTAGGAGGACAGATTGCCCCAGGACAGCCTCTGTTTTTTCAGTTCCCACTTAGCACCTGCCCCCAGTATACCCCTTTCTTGTGAGCTCACCTCTGCATTTTAAAACGTCTTTTTTTTTTTTTTTTTTTTTTTTGAGACAGAGTCTTGCTCTGTCGCCCAGGCTGGAGTGCGATGCCGTGATCTCGGCTCATTGCAACTTCCACTTCCCAGGTTCAAGCGATTCTCCTGCCTCAGCCTCCTGAGTAGCTGGGATTACACTACACCTGGCTAACTTTTGCATTTTTAGTAGAGACGGAGTTTCACCATGTTAGTCAGGCTGGTCTCAAACTCCTAACCTCAGGTGATCCACCTACCTTGGCCTCCCAAAGTGCTGGGATTACAGGCATGAGCCACTGCGCCCGGCCAAAATGTCATATTTTATCCAGCACATTTGAGTGTTGACTGTAAGAGGAATTTTATCCTGTTCAAAATATTGCTATATGATTACTTATTTAATGCTTATCTTCACCGCTAGATGATATGCTTCCTGGCTTCTGAGTCATTACTGTTATATGCAAAGCCTAGCATAGTGGTTATATGCAGTCGGTACTCAATGCATATTTGTAGAAAGAATAAACAAATACTGCTTTTCATTTATTCATTTAGCAAATATTTCTGAAAGCATGCATTGTGCTAGAATACAGCAGCCTTACATGCAATTAATACGGCTTGTGTTGGGATAAGTAGCCATTTGGGAGGAGAAAAAAGCTGAATTTCTCCTTCATTCCTGGGGAACAGTGACATAAATTTTAGGTGGTTTCAAGATTTAAATAAAAACTTTAAAAATATCACAGGAAAACACATGTAACCTTTAAAGAATTTTGATGCAAAACCTAAAGGCAGTAGTGTGACAAGTTAATTTTAATTTTTTTTTTTTTGAGATGCGGTTTCGCTCTTGCTGCCCAGGCTGGAGTGCAGTGGCGCAATCTCGGCTCACTGCAACCTCCGCCTTCTGGGTTCAAACGATTCTCCTGTCTCAGCCTCCTGAGTAGCTGGGATTACAGGCATGCACCACCACGCCGGGCTAATTTTGTGTTTTTCGTAGACACGTGGTTTCTCCATGTTGGTCAGGCTGGTCTCGAACTCCTGACCTCAGGTGACCCACGCGTCTCGGCCTCCCAAAGTGCTGGGATTACAGGTGTGAGCCACTGCGCCCGGCAAGTTAATTTTAATACATAGACTTTTGGCCGGCGGGGGTTCAAGACCAGCCTGACCAACATGGAGAAACCCCGTCTCTACTAAAAATACAAAATTAGCTGGGGGTGGTGGCGCATGCCTGTAATCCCAGCTACTCGGGAGGCTGAGGCAGGAGAATCGCTTGAACCCGGGAGACAGAGGTTGAGGTGAGGCAAGATCACGCCACTGCACTTCAGCCTGGGCAACAAGAGTGAAACTCCGTCTCAAAAAAAAAAAAAAAAAAAAACATAGACTTTAAAACTTTTTGCATGGTGCTGGTCCGAGTGCAGTGGAGTTTACAACTAATTAATTACAACCAGTTACAGATTTATTTGTTCCTTCTCTACTCCCACTGCTTCACTTGACTAGCCAAAAATAAAAAATAAAAAAAAAAACTTTTTGCATGGAAAAATATACCATAAACAAATTTAAAAAATAAGTAAGAATCTGGGATGGTGGCAAAGAAAATAACTTTGCATCTTATATGAAGGTCAAAGGTGTATTTCCTTATACATAAGTATTTATAAATATATAAACTAGCTTACCAATGGATTAAAAAAATTGGGCTGTGGACTCAAAAAAGTTCCCAGATAAAGATATATGTCTGGCTTATAAACATAGGAAAATACGCTCTGTCTCATCAGAAAATCAAATTGAATCTTGCTAAGTGGACTTTAAAAAATCAAATTGGGGCCGGGCGTGGTGGCTCATGCCTGCAATCCCAGCACTTTGGGAGGCCGAGGCAGGCGGATCATGAGGTCAGGATATCGAGACCATCCTGGCTAACACGGTGAAACCCTGTCTCTACTAAAAACACAAAAAATTAGCCAGCCATGGTGGTGGGCGCCTGTAATCCCAGCTACTCGGGAGGCTGAGGTAGGTGAATCGTTTGAACCCGGGAAGCAGAGGTTGCAGTGAGCCGAGATCACGCCACTGCACTCCATCCTGGCTGACAGAGCAAGACTCCATCTCAAAAAAAAAAAAAAAAAAATCAAATTGGGCCAGGCATGGTGGCTCATCCCTGTAATCCCAGCACTTTGGGAGGCTGAGGCGGGTGGATTACCTGAGGTCAGGAGTTCAAGACCAGCCTGGCCAACATGGTGAAACTCCGTGTCTACTAAAAATACAAAAATTAGCTGGGTGTGGTGACATGCGCCTGTAATCCCAGCTACTTGGGAGGCTGAGGCAGGAGAATCGCTTGAGCCGGGAGGTGGAGGTTGCCCTGAGCTGAGATTGAGATTGCACTGCACCATTGCCCTCCAGCCTGGGCAACAGAGTGAGACTCTGTGAAAACAAACAAACAAACAAACAAACAAACAAACAGAAAACCTCTAAAAACTGCTAACTTGTTGGTTTGGACAGGGAGACTGGGAAAATAGGGGTCTAGGGTTGGAGAAAGACTTACTTTTGATAATATATTTAATGTATGCATGTATGTATGTATTTTTTTCCTTTTTCTGAGTCCCCTTTCCTGAAGTATGTATGTTTTACTTTAAAATATAATATGTACAGTTAATTAAAATATTAATATTTGCTAAAATCGATATGGACAAACACATAACACTATTGAACAACTGGGCTTTTTTGAAGGGTTAATAATTATTAATAAAGACCTAATTCTGGTTGGGCGTGGTGGCTGATGCCTGTAATCCCAGCACTTTGGGAGGCTGAGGGGGAAGATCACTAGAGGCCAGAAGTTCGAGACCAGCCTGGCCAACATGGCAAAACCCCGTCTTTACTAAAAACACAAAAATTAGCTGGGAGTGGTGGCACACGCCTGTGATCTCAGCTACCCAGGAGACTGAGGCAGGAGAATCGCTTAAGCCTGGGAGGTGGAGGTTGCAGTGAGCCGAGATGGCCCTACTGCACTCCAGCCTGGGTGACAGAGTGAGACTCCGTCTCAAAAAGAAAAAAAAAAAAAAGACCTAATTCTAACCAACTGGAAAAAACCGGGGCATGATACTGAAGTGTGCATATTGTAATAACCAAACATGCGAAACATGTATTTTAGACTCTGTCTATGGTAAAATAGGTTTTGTAAAGTTTAGAGGAAAAGTATGATTCTATTCCCAAAGGTTCCAAAATTGAAAGTAACTCAAGAGCGATGCAGGTTTTTTTGTTTTTTGTTTTTTTTTGAGACGGAATCTCACTCTGTTGCCCAGGCCAGAGTGCAGTGGCGCAATCTCGGCTCACTGCAAGCTCTGCCTCCTGGGTTTAAGCGATTCTCCTGCCTCAGCCTCCAGAGTAGCTGGGACTACAGGCGCCCGCCACCATGCCTGGCTAATTTTTGTATTTTTAGTGGAGACCGGGTTTCACCATATTGGCCAGGTTGGTCTAGAACTCCTGACCTTGTGATCTGCCTGCCTCAGCCTCCCAAAGTGCTGGGATTACAGGCGTGAGCCACCATGCCTGGCCAGGTGTTTTTAAAAAAACTTTTAGTTTCAAGGAAACATGTACAGGTTGGTTCTATAGATAAATTGTGTGTCACAGGGGTTATTATTTCATCACCCAGGTAATAAGCTTAGTACCTAATAGGTACTTTTCGAATCCTCACCCTCCTCCCACCCTCTACCCTCAAGTAGGCCCTGCTGTCTATTACTTTCTTTGGGTCCATGTGTATTCAATGTTTAGCTCTCACTTATAAGTGAGAACGTGGTGTTTGGTTTTCTGTTCCTGTGTTAGTTTGTTTAGGATAATGGCCTCCAGCTCCATCCATGCTGTTGCACAGGACATGATCTTGTTCTTTTCTGTGGCTGTGTAGCATTCCATAGTGTATATGTACTACATTTTCTTTATCCAGTCTACTGTTGCTTAAAAAATTGCTATTTAGGTTGATTCAGTGTGTTTGCTATTGTGAATAGTGCTGCGATGAACATACATATGCATTTGCCTTTACTGTAGAATGATTTATATTCTTTTGGGTATATATCCAGTAATGGGATTGCTGGTCAAATGACAGTTCTGTTTTAAATTCTTTAAGAAATCACCAAACTGCTTTCCACAGTGCTGAAGTAATTTACATTCCCATCAGCAGTGTATACGTCTAAGATGAAGGTTTTTAAATGATTAAATTCTGGATGGATGATCACAGAAGACTGTAAGAATAATTTGAGAAAGAAAATTAAAGACATCTTGAATAATAGTGTCCTAACATGCATATTATTCCAATGTACTTAAAAATAAGATCTATACTTTGCAGTGTTAGAATGCTTCGATCTTACATGTATATTACTTTTAGTTTTTCAAAAGAAAAATATTAGTAGGGTTATCTGGGCAAGGACATTATGGCACTTTTTTTTTTCTTTTTCTTTGCACTTCATTGTACATTTTTTAAAAAACAAAGAACCCAAACCCAATAAATATCCTATTAAAGGAAAATGTGTTCTAAAAGAAGAAGCATTTCAAACCCATGTATAAAAGAGAACTAAGATGGCTCACGCCTGTAATCCCAGCACTTTGGGAGGTCGAGGCGGGCGGATCATGAGGTCAGGAGATCGAGACCATCCTGGCTAACAGGGTGAAACCCTGTCTCTACTAAAAATACAAAAAGAAATTAGCCGGGCATGGTGGCGGGCGCTGTAGTCCCAGCTACTCGGGAGGCTGAGGCAGGAGAATGGCGTGAACCCGGGAGGCGGAGCTTGCAGTGGGCCGAGATCGCACCACTACACTCCAGCCTGGGTCACAGAGCGAGACTCCAGACTCCGTCTCAAAAAAAAAAAAAAAAAAAAAAAAAAGGACTCAGAAACTGTAAGAAGACTACAGGATTAAGATAAAAGCTCTTAGGCCGGGCGTGGTGGCTCACTCCTGTAATCCCAGCAGTTTGGGAGGCTGAGGTGGGTGGATTACTCGAGGTCAGGACTTCGAGACCAGCCTAGCCAACATGGTGAAACCCCATCTCTACCAAAAATGTAAAAAATTAGACGGGTGTGGTGGCACGTGCCTGTAATTTCAGCAACTCGGGAGGCTGAGGCAGGAGAATCCCTTGAACCCAGGAGGTGCAGGTTGCAGTTAGCCAAGATGGTGCCATTGCACTCCAGCCTGGGCGACAGAGTGAGACTCCGTCTCAAAAAAAAAGGAAAAAAAACAAAACAAAACATAAAAGCTCTTGATAAACACCGAGTTAAAATGAACTTTTAAAGCTGTGTTCTCAGTTTGTTGAAAAAGAAATGGATAATTTCATGGTTTGGGATAGATGGTGTCACATTATCTTAAAACTGAAAGGAAGTACGACGTCTTAGCTGCACTTTTGCAATATCTCTATCAAAGAGAATAATGTATAGACTAGAATAAGTATTAAGAATTACTTAAGTATTCAGATTAAGATTGTTGAAGTGCAACTAATTGCTTCTCATTTGTCTTTTTTTCTCTCCTAAATGAATTCACTTCTTTAGGCCCAAAGGCTTATATATCAGAGTACTAAAAATATTAATGGAATTGATCTCAGAACCACTGTAATGTTTTAAATATTGTGGAGACCAACTAGAAGAGGCCTAAGAAAGTGTGGACAAATGTTAGATTAGCTTTTGAGAGGCAAATGGCTTTTGGAAACCACACATTAGTGACTGATATAAATTATAGGAAAGTTGTAAAAGCTTGACATTGGATCTTGCCCAATGAGGCTTTAAAATAAAATACCTTTTCATTCCTATCACTAGGCCTTTTGTCCATCTTCTATTCTAGTTACACAAAGTTGTTCACCTTACCTTGGCTCAAGCGCTTCCTTTCACCAGGCATTCCCTTCTGTCAAGTGCTGCCTGTAGAAATCCCATTCTTCAAGGTCTACCTCAAAGGTCTCTCAAATGTACCTCGAACTGGAATTAATTTCTCTTCTTGGCTCCTTTCGTACTTCATGAGCACACCCATGATTTAATACAGAATATTTTCCTTAGCTGTACATATGTTGTTGGTGCACAAACGTTGTATGTTGAAGTCTTGGAGATAATCCTGTTTCCCACAGATTAGAAAATTTTGAGGGCAAGGAGCAAGTTATATCTAGTTTACAAATCTCTGACTCCCCTCCTTCCTTAATCATATAATACAATGCCTAACTTAATGATTGGGTAGGGGGACCCCACTAGAACCCTGACATAACATACCTTAAAGAAGTGTTGTATTTCAATTTATAAAAGTTTATATGTAAAAGTTTCTGGAATTGTTGCACCCTGTGCTACATTTTATAAATCTAGTTAAAGCTTTGATTTCAGAGCAGTTTTATCTGGAGGCATTATAAATGACCATATGGAATGTAGGTATCTTTCAGCAGAAATTCGTTTATTGACATTGGTTTTTTGCATTTTTGCATTTGCTTTTCATTACTTGTTTTGTCACCAAATTATCTGGTCAAAGCAACATACACTGCACATTACTTGTTTATTACTTTACATTCAGCCAATTACATTTAAGAATCAAATACACTAAATGCCAAAGAATCTCATTTTTTTTTGGAATGGTGTAGGTGTATTTCTTGGAGGAGTGTGTCAAAAAAATAAATTTGAAAACGTACTCTCTTTAACAAAATAAAAGCAAACCCTACCGTTGACTCGTGATCATTACAGCTGATTTTAAGTTGTTTTGTAAATTTATTCCAGTAGGTGTCACTGGTGAGTCGAGGAAAAACTCCTTTCCCAAGTGTAACGTTTTAATTAAAAGAAAGTAAAAGGTTTAATCAATAAAAAAGACTATGAGAATATTCATCTCTTGAGAGTCCAAAATTAACGTATTTATTGTTCAAAAGAGACGGGGTCTCGCTATGTTGCCCAGGCTGGAGTGCAGTGGCTATTCACAGGCGCGATCCCACTACTGATCAGCACGGGAGTTTTGACCTGCTCCGTTTCCGACCTGGGCCGGTTCACCCCTCCTTAGGCAACCTGGTGGTCCCCCGCTCCCGGGAGGTCACCATATTGATGCCGAACTTAGTGCGGACACCCGATCGGCATAGCGCACTACAGCCCAGAACTCCTGGACTCAAGCGATCCTCCAGCCTCAGCCTCCCGAGTAGCTGGGACTACAGGCACGCGCCACCGCGCCCGGCGGTCGGATACCGGCGCAGAATAGCACTAGAAGCTGTGGTATGGTGACGTCATCAACTGGGCCAGCCCACAACGCCTCTAAGATTTCATTTTACTCACCCAGCGAAACAACCTGACCACACTGCGCACGCGTTTCCTTTGAGCACTGCATTCTGGGTAAACTGTCTCAAAAATTTGAAGAGCGCATGCGTGGGCCAGCTTCTTCCTTTTACCTCGTTGCACTGCTGAGAGCAAGATGGGTCACCAGCAGCTGTACTGGAGCCACCCGCGAAAATTCGGCCAGGGTTCTCGCTCTTGGTGAGAAATAGTTTGTGATTTTGGGGAAGCGTTGCCGTGGAGCGCTAGGCTGCTTAAAATCTCAAGTAGAGGAGGCCACGGGCGGCACGAGGGAGCACGCCGACTGGGAGTCGCTGGTGCCGCCATTACAGGCCTGTACTGTGGCTTGGGAGTCCCGGGATGCGGGTAGTAGCCGTCTGAGTGCGGAGTCTTGTAATTTCTATGACCTGCAAAACCGCTGTCTCTTTTCTTACAGTCGTGTCTGTTCAAACCGGCACGGTCTGATCCGGAAATATGGCCTCAATATGTGCCGCCAGTGTTTCCGTCAGTACGCGAAGGATATCGGTTTCATTAAGGTAGGCGTCTGCAGGCGTACTCCATGTTGTTTGGGCAGAGAAGGTTGTGGGGGTTATTTTTTCCGCGAAAGACAAACGGACAGATCTTCCCTGGAGTGGTAATTCTGAGCATTCGACCAAGAGCTTTTCCTCTTTTTTTAGTTGGTAGCTGGTGACAGTGTTGATGGTTTGGGCAATCAAATTAATAGAATGGAGAAGGTGAAGGACTTAGTCTTTCCTACTCCCTTTTTTACCTAGATAGCTTAGCCAGTTTTAGGTGCCGTGTATTGTGTTTGGTGAAATTCACTTTAGAGAAGCCACTAAAATTGTTTTACATTTGTTTCATTTATCAATCTTGTAAGTACCTATTCTCTTTTTTTTTTTTTTAGAGATAGGGTCTCCCTCTGTCGCCCAGGTTGAAGTGCAGTGGCGTTGTTACGGCTCACTGCAGCCTCGAACTCCTCCTGGTCTCAGGCGATCCTCTTGCCTTGGCGTCCCGAGTAGCTGGGACTAAAGGCTCTTGCCACCACGCGCGGCTGTACCTAGATATTTTCTAACCAAATATATGTATTAACCGCTGACCCCAAGTTTTTTTTTTTTTTTTTTTGAGTCGGAGTCGCACTCACCCAACCTGGAGTGCGATGGCGTGATCTCCGCTCAGTGCAACCTCCGCCTCCCCGGTTCAAGCGATTCTCCTGCCTCAGCCTCCTGAATAGCTGGGATTACAGGCGCCTGCCACCATGTCCGGCTAATTTTTTTATTTTTAGTAGAGACGGGGTTTTACCATGTTGGTCAGGCTGGTCTCGAACTGCTGACCTCGTGATCCGCCTGCTTCGGCCTCCCAAAGTGCTGAGATTACAGGCGTGAGCCACCGCGCCCGGCCAACCCAAAATGTTTGAAAGCGTCATACACTGGAATGAACTTAAAGTTTGGGGCCGGAAAGACATTGTTAAGATTCAGCAAACAATGGTCTGCCATTTAGTGCTTCTATCTCTTGATCATCTTAGTCAAGCTAGTGTTTATATGAAACTTTTGACTGTGAAACTTTTGGCTTCTGAAAATCTTTTAAATAGTAGTTTGGGTTTTTTTTTTTAAGGTGAAAACGAATTTATTATTGGCTCTTTGAGATAAAAATCACCAGCTTTCTGATCAATTATTTTGTATTGGATAGTACTGTTCTATAATGATGTAAATTTTTTTTTTTGTTTTGAAATTGGGTCTCCCTCTGTTTCCCAGGCTGGAGTGCAGTGGCGTGATCTCAGCTCACTAGCCTCCCCCTCCCGGATTCAAGCGATTCTCCTGTCTCAGCCTCCCTAGTACCTGGGATTACAGGCGTCTGCCACCACGCCCGGCCTATTTTTATTATTTTGTGGAGATGGGATTTCACCATGTTGGCCAAGCTGGTCTTGAGGTCCTGACCTCAGGAGATGGGCCTGCCTTGACCCCTCAGAGTGCTGGGATTACAGGCGTGATCCACGGCGCCCTGTCTGTTGTAAATTGTTAATATGAATACTGCAGTGCAGCAGGGACAGAGAAAGTACGTTTAAACTCAGGCTTGGCAGCCCTGAGCAAATACTTCATCAGTATATGCTTCTTGTTAAAATGAGGAGGTTCGCCTAATTTGAGAGGTAGTATATCATACGTAAGAAAATGGACCTTGGCCCACGCCCTAGCTCTGTGTCCTAGATGAACTGGGCCAGGCGAGGTGCCTCACACCTGAAATCCCAGCACTTTGGGAGGCCGACAAGATGGGCAGATTTCTTGAGCCCAGGGTTTCCGCAACAAGCCTTGCCAACATGGCGAAAACCTGTTTCTACAAAAATTAGCCTTGTATGATGATCCGCGCCTGTGGTCTCAGCTACTCAGGAGGTTGAGGTGGGAGAATCGCTTGAACCCAGGAGGCTGAGGTTGCAGTGAGTGGAGATGGCTCCATTGCACTCCAGTCCGGGAGACAGCGAGACTCTCTCTCAAAAAAAAAATGATGAACTGTGTAATTATAGTTGCCTACTGAACAACTATCCTGTGCATTTGGTAAAGATCATTTACTAGTGTTTTGGGAAACATTACTTTGATGGAAGAAGTGCGATAGCGTTACTAAAAATCGTTCTAAAACATGGTTGATTCTGGAGTAGGCATTCAGTAAATATTTAAACTACATAGAATCTGGTGTGGTTTGGATAGGTCAAAGGTCCAGTTCTGTAATTCTATAACATTCTATAATGAGCCTTTTTTTTGTGAGAATCAAGTAGAGATTTAAAGCATTTTGAAATAAATCATCTGCTTTTTTTTTTTCAGTTGGACTAAATGCTCTTCCTTCAGAGGATTATCCGGGGCATCTACTCAATGAAAAACCATGATAATTCTTTGTATATAAAATAAACATTTGAAAAAACCCTTCAGTTTATGAGTGTTCTAATGTGACTGGAATAGCTAATTGTTTATAGAAATCTTTTTCTTTTTTTTTTTGAGACTGAGTCCCCCTCTGTCGCCAGGCTGGAGTGCAGTGGCGCGATCTCGGCTCACTGCAACCTAGGTTCAAGCCTCCTGCCTCAGCCTCCAAACCTAGCTAATTCTTCTCTTTTTAGTAGAGATGGGGGTTTCACCATGTTGACCAGGATGGTCTCGATCTCTTGACTTCGTGATCTGCTCGCCTTGGGCCCCCAAAGCTCTGGGATTACAGGCATGAGCCACCGCACCCGGCAAGAAATCCTTTAAAAACTTACATTTTATTACCTTCTCAATAAACTTGTATCAATGGCTTATTTTCTCTGAGTTAACATAAAATCATACCAGCCAGTAAACTGGTAAATGCCAATTTTATTTTTATACTTTACAAAACCTGGCAGGTTCAGGCCTGTAATCCCAGCACTTTGGGAGGTCAGAGTGGAAGGATTGCTTGAGCCCAGGAGACCACCCTGGGCAACATACTGAGACCTTGTCTCTTTAAAGAAAAAAATGTTTTAAGGAATTTATATACATATATGTTCACACACTTTTGAATAGATACAGGGTCTGTCATCTGTCAATGTGTGCATGTGCGTATTTGTGGGGAAAAGCAGTTGGGAGCACTTGGAGGGGTTGTACAAGTTGGACTCAGTAAAAGGTGAAGTGTAGGTATAGTGTGTGGTTGCTTTAACATTGGTAATGCAGGTGGCTGACGTGAGATGGAATAAATGAAGGTAGGTGAAAATTCTTGGGATTTGACACGTTGTCATCTGGAAGCCTATTAGAAATGTGTTGTTAGGGTATACCCTGTGCCTCCTGAATTGGTGTACATTTGAACAAGAGCCCCTACGCAATCCAAGTTTGGAAAGTACTGTTCTACCACTTGTGGATAACAATTGTACAAATACTTGAGTTCTGTATGCCAGATGCAGAATTCTGTAGTGAATGAAAACTTCTCAATTGAATTTATATGCTGATAGAGCAGCAATACATAATAATGTGCATTATTTGAAAAAAAGCAGGTTAAAAGAGGTATATGTGCTAGATGTTGAGGTCAGAGAAGAAAGCCATACTTAAATTTGGCTTATGAACTTAATAGAGGTTACAGCATAGATTCTGTGGGGAAGAGAATTCCTGGATGGAATCAGAGAAATAGCAAAGTTGTGGCTGAAGAGTGAGAAAGCTGGCCAGGGTCTGTAGTAGCCCTGTAGGTTATAGTTAGATATTGTGAGATGAGAATCCATTTGGAAACTTACTTTTGTAGAGGTGGGGTATTACTATGCTGTCCAGGTTAGTCTGAACTCTTGGGATCAACTGATTCTCCTGCAGCCTCCCAAGTACCTGGGACAACAGGTGTGCACTACTGTGCCCAGCAATGAACTTAAGTTCATTTCACTGAGGCAGAGGTAGAAATAAAGCTATTGCAATAGTCTAGGCAAGTGATATTTGCTTGCATTAGGATAGATGGGAGTGGTTGAGATAGTCACTAAGTTTTTTTTTTTTTTTTTTTTTTGGGGGGCAGGGTCTTGCTCTATCACCCAAGCTGGAGTGCAGTGGCGCACTGCAGCCTCAACCTCTTGGGCTCAAGCTATCCTTCCACTTCAGCCTTCTGAGTAGCTGGGACATGGTGTACACCACCATGCCAGGATAATATTTTGTGTTTTTAGTAGAGACGGGGTTTGTTGTCCAGGCTGGTCTTGAACTCCTGGGTTCAAGTGATCAGCCCGCCTTGGTCTCTCAAAGTGTTGGGATTACAGGTGAGCACCACTACAGCCAGCCTTACTGTGGGAGACAAGGTTTGTTGAAGGAACCGATACAGGAGATAGGAGTAGATAATGACTCTTAGGGGCTGGGCGTAGTGGCTCACTCCTGTATTCCCAGCACTTGGGGAGGCCTAGGCGGGAGAATAGCAAAAATTTAAAAGAGAAAATTAGCCGGGTGTGGTTGTGCACGCCTAGCTACTTGGGAGGCTTGTGCCACTGCACTCTGGGCAACAGAATGAGACCCAGTCTAAGAATGACTCCAAGGATTTTGGCCTGAGCAACTGGAAGGATAGAATTGCTGTTGAGATAGGCCTTTCCAGGTTTGGGAAGAATAGAAAGTTCAATTTGGACATGTTGACTTTGAGACTTGTCTTAGACATCCAAGTAGAATCTGTTTTAAGCAGTGACGTGAGTGATCAACTGTATTGTGTGCCTTTGATTAAGACAGAATTGGTAACCCCAGTTTTATCTGAGAGGAGGGGAAGTGTGACAGAAGGGAAGCTGGAATGGAAAGAGCATCTTAACTGGTTGCAGCTAAATTATCTTTGCCAATTTTTTTTTCTTTTTTTTTTGAGATAGAGTTTTGCTCATGTTGCCCAGGCTGGAGTGCTGCAGTGGCTTGATCTTGGCTCACTGCAACCTCCGCCTCCCAGGTTCAAGCAATTCTCCTGCCTCAGCCTCCTGAGTAGCTGGGATTACAGGCATGCGCCACCATGCCCGGCTCATTTTGTATTTTTAGTAGAGATGGGGTTTCTCCATGCCGGCCAATGGCTGTTCTCGAACTCCAGACCTCAGGTGATCTGCCTACCTTGGCCTCCCAAAGTGCTGGGATTACAGGCGTGAGCCACCGCACCCAGCATTTTTTTTTTTTTTCTTTTGAGACGGAGTCTTGCTATGTCACCCAGGCTGGAGTGCAGTGGCATGATTTCAGCTCACTGCAACCTCTGCCTCCCGGGTTCAGGCGATTCTCCTGCCTCAGCCTGCCAGGTAGCTGGGATTACAGGTGTGCCTGTACAGGTCTGCCACCACGCCTGGCTGATTTTTTGTATTTTTAGTAGAGGCAGGGTTTCACCATGTTGGCCAGGCTGCTTTTGAACTCCTGACCTCAGGTGATCCACCCACCTCAGCCTCCCAAAGTGCTAGGATTACAGGCATGAGCCATCGCTCCTGGCCGCCAATTTTTTGAAAACATGTGATTGAACACATTCCTAGTATACTTGCCTTAGAAGGAGCTTGTAGAAGTTAGGGATACTGGAGTTTAAGTTTCATAAGCTTCATAGTAAATCCACCTGTGCTCCTAACCCTGAACCCCAGGTGTATGTGATGATAAAGTTGGTGTTGGGGAAGTGTCTAGGAAAGAGCCAGGTTTCAGTCTGGGTAAGGAGGTGGGAAGAATATTGGGAGATGAGGTTGAGGATGTAGAAAAGATTTATTGGTAATGGGATGAGCTGGTATTGCAGATAGAGTGGATGAGAAGCTGTGTCAGCTAAGCAAATGTAAAAAAGTTTGGGAGATGATGAGAGAAGCTTACATATGTAGTGGTGAGTTAGGTCAAAAAGGGTGTGATATGTGTTTGATTTGGTCATGAGAGTCTCTTGGATGGGCTGGGCTCTGGTCCAGTGTGATGGCCTGGTATAAATTCTGTAAGAGACGTGCAGTGCCTTAGGTAATGGAAGGGAAACACTCCCTAGACAGTCCTATCCCTGTGTATACATGGTGGTAGTGAGTGGGAAGGCTGCTGTGGATAGGTGGTCTAAGTGCTTTATGCACATTGCCTTTTTCCAGTCTTAGAGTACTTTTCAGCAGGTATTATCATCATTACATAGCCAAGGAAACTGAGGCTTAGAGATTAAGTAATTTCCCCAAGGTCTCCCAAAGAAAGAGACAAAACGACTGGAACTGGGTCTGTCTGAAATCAGTGCCTATGCTCTTAATATTCACAACACACTTATTGTATGGTTAGAGGACTATGCATCTCTTATTCCCAAAGATCACTTAGTTACTTGAGGGCAGGAGTAAGTGTTTCCTTTCATATTTACATGCATACCAAGCACATAGCAAGATGCCTTGTAGATTAATAGGTCCTCATTTGTTGGGGAATTGAACTAAATTACTTAGTAAAAGCTCAATAAGTGTTGATGGCAAAAGATGGTAGGTGCTATAGGAGAGGCCCAAACAACCATTGGAACATAGAGGATCTATTCTTTGTTTTTCAAAATTTATTGTAGAGACAGGGTCTTGCAGTGTTGCCCAGGTTGGTCTTATACTCCTGGCCTCAAGTGATCCTCTTGCCTTGGTCTCCCAAAATGCTAGGACTACATGTGTGAGCCACCACTCTGGCAGAGGATATATTCTTAGGTTTGGATTCTGTCTTAGTGTCTTTGGGCCACTGTAACAAAATCCAGTAGACTGAGTGGCTTAAATAACAGACATTTATTTCTCACAGTTCTGGAGGCTAGGAAGTCTGAGATCAAGGTGCTGGTAGATTTCATGTCTGGTGAGAGCTGTTTCCTGACTCATAAATGGTGCCTTCTCATTGTGTCCTTACATGGTGGATAGGGCAAATGAGCTTTCTTGGGCTTATTTTATAAGGGAACTACTCCCATGAGGGTTGACCTCTCATGACCTAATCTCTTTCCAAAATGCCCCACCTCCTACAACCCACAGGCTAGGGTTTCATCATGTGGATTTTATGGGGGACATAAACATTTTGGCTGTAGAATCTCCTTTAATACAACAATTCCCTGAGGTACCGTCCCCATTTTACAAATGAGGTGACTGAGGCACAATGAATAAGTAACTTTCCCAAGATTGTATAGCTAGTAAGAGAGATTCAACCAGGTAGTATGTCTTGAAAACTGCTCTTACCACTAAACTGTAAATGTTCAACAAAAAGTGAAAGCTGGCTGGGCGGGGTGGCTCATGCCTGTAATCCCAGCACTTTAGGAGGCTGAGGCAGGTGGATCACAAGGCCAGGAGTTTGAGACCAGCCTGGTCAACATGGTGAAACCCTGTCTCTGTTAAAAATACAAAAATTAGTTGAGCATGGTGGTGTGCGCCTGTAATCCCAGCTACTTGGGGGGCTGAGGCACAAGAATCGCTTGAACCGGGGAAAGCGAGGTTGCAGTGAATCGAGATCATGCCACTGCATTCCAGCCTGGGAGACAGAGTGAGACCCTGTCTCAAAAAAAAAAAAAAAAAAAGTGAAAGCTTTGGTAAATATTGGTAGTCTACAAAATTGCCGAAAGAAATTTTTTTTATAAAAAGTGAAAAATTGTATATGTGCTACAATTTTATTATGTTAAAAAACAAGTACACAGGGAAAAAAATCAGAAGGAAACATGTCATTATGTTAGCAGCATTTGACTTTGGGTGATGTGATTTATGATTTGATTTGTAGCAGTATCTGATTAAGACTCATTTAGAGATTGAGTATCCAGATACTGCAGTGTATAATGTCCCTGGTACCAATATTGCTAGTGAGGCTTCTGCTCCTCCTAAAACAGCTCATTCTATTTTTAGATTGCTTTGATGGTAAGTTTTTTCTTAGGTTGCTATGATTTCATTCTACTGATTTTGACTGCTACTCATTGATATTAATTCTGTGTTGTCCTGTACAAAACAAGTCTAATCTCTGAAAAAAAAAAGGGCTAAATATTTAGGCATGAAGGCTCTCATGTTTTCCTAGAATCTTCTTATTTCCAGTATAACCATCTCTGATTATTTCAACTGTTTCTCTAAAACATGATTTAGAGTGATCTTTGGTGTTCTCTGAATTAATTCCACTCAATCTAGATCCTGATAGTGACATAACATGTTTCACAGGGCAGGCATGCAGTACAAATTTATTGAATTTGGTTGGGCATCATTGCTTTTTCACTTTTTATGGGTCCTCTTTTACCATTACAGAAAGACCTGAGCTGTCTTCCTTGGCACTGCCTATGGAGGTGACACCCATCTCCTCCATCATGGCCATCCTGAGACCGCTCGCGAAGCCCAAGATCATCAAAAAGAGCACCAAGTTCACTGGGAACCAGTCAGACTGATATGTCAAAATTAAGGGTAACTGGTGGAAACACAGAGGTATTAACAACAGGGTTCATAGAAGGTTTGAGGGCCAGATCTATGCCCAACATTGGTTATGGGAGAAACAAAAAGACAAAGCACATACTGCCCAGTGGCTTCTGGAAGTTCCTGGTCCACAACGTTAAGGAGCTGGAAGTACTGCTGGTGAGCAACAAATCTTACTGTGTTGAGATCACTCATGATGTTTCTTCCAAGAACTGCAAAGCCATCTTGGAAAGAGCAGCCCAGGTGGTCATCAGAGTCACCAATGCCAATGCCAGCCTGCACAGTGCAGAAAGTGAATAGACAGTGAATGTGTTTGTTTTATTGGGGTTTAAATAAAACCAATAAAACTGTAAAAACAAAAACAACAAAAACCAGAGACCCTGGCTTTTGGACAGTTGTTCGTGTGGCTAATGCCCCCAACAGTTTTATTTTTTAAAATTTTATTTATGTATTGTTTTTGAGATGAAGTCTTCCTCTGACTGGAGTGCAGTGATGCAAGCTCAGCTCTCTGCAACTTCCACCTCCCAGGTTCAAGTGATTCTTCTGTCTCAGCCTCCCAAGTGGCTGGGATTACAGGTGCCCACTACCACACCTGACTAATTTTTGTATTTTTGTAGAGATGGGGTTTCATCCTCTTGGCCAGGCTGGTTTCGAACTCCTGACCTCAAGGGATCCTCCCACCTCAGCTTCCCAAAGTGCTGGGATCACAGGCTTGTATTAGTTCATTTTCACACTGCTGATAAAGACATACCTAAGACTGGGAAGAAAAATAGGTTTATTGGACTCACAGTTCCATGTGGCTGGGGATGCCTCACAATTATGGTAGAAGGCAAAAGGCACTTCTTAGATGGCAGCGGCAAGCAGGAAATGAGGAAGACATGAAAGCAGATATCCCTTATAAAACCATCAGTTCTCGTGATACTTACTCACTACCATGAGAAAGTATGGGGGAAACCGCTCCCATGATTCAGTTATCTCCCACCGGGTCCCTCTCACAACATGTGGGGATTATGCGAGTACAATTCAAGATGAGATTTGGGTGGGGACACAGCCCACAAACCATAATCAAGGCATGAGCCACTGTGCCTGGCCTTCAACAGTTTTAAAGCAGCCTGCTTGCATAACCTCTGCTAGGACATCGTTCTTAAAAACTATCTTTAATGGTAATTGGTGTATTAGGGATTTGGGTTTTTAGGTAGGCAGAGAAAAAACACTTCTAGTGGTATGATTAAGAAGGGTATAATAAAGTGTTTTAATTTCCTCAATATTGACAAAAATTGAAAAAAAGAGGCCAGGCAAAGTGGCTCATGCCTGTAATCCTAGCCTTTTGGGAGGCTGAGGCAGGAGGATGGTTTGATGCCAGGAGTTCCAGACCAGCCTGGGCAACATCAGGAGATCCCCTATCTACCAAAATTAAACAAACAAAAAAACCCAAAAACAATTAGCCAGGCGTGGTGGTGCATGTCTGTAGTCCCAGTTTCTCAGGAGGCTGAGATGAGAGGATAACTTGAGCCCAAGAGGTCCAGGTTTCAATGAGTCATGTTTGTATCACTTAAAAAAAAAAAAAAGGCTGCACTATTAGCTGTTTCTCAGGAAGGTTAATGTAGAACATAAAAGGCTCAGTTTGTAGATAGACTGAGTATATGTGTGTGTAGGAATCAAGGCTATACAGGGTCCAAAAATTAGCCTAGATTATGTGTGCTAGTTCCAGGTATCTTCTATCTTTTAGAATTTTAAAAGAATAGAGGCAGAAAGTCACAAGCTTAATCTAGATGAGGTAATTATCATTTAATGTCTTGAACATAAAGTAATTTGCTAAATTAGAATTTATTTTAATTTTTTTGGACATGGCCTTGCTCTATCACCCAGACTGGCATTCAGTGGCACAAACATGGCTTATTGCAACCTCAACCTCCTGGGCTCAAGTAATCCTCCTACCTCAGACTCCAAGTAGCTAGGACCATAAGTGTGCACCACAATGCCCAGCTAATTTTTATAAAATTTTTCGTAGAGATGGAAGTCTCACCATGTTGCTCAGGCTGGTCTGGAACTCCTGGGCTCATGCAATCCTCCCTTCCTAGTCTCCCAAAGTGTTGGGATCACAGGGGTGAGCCACTGTGTTCAGCCAGAAAATAATTTAGAGAAGCCAGAACTGGCTTCCTTTGGTGAAAATTCTTTGAGCAGATTCCAGACTGGACCTTCTGACTGTTATAAATAAATGGTGGATTCCCATTATTTGTTTGTGGGACAGAAATATTGAAGGCCTGTAGAACCATAATGCCTTCCCCTTCCTTCTGTCACTCACCCACTTCATTTCTCCTATTAGGCCCCTTAGAAAGAGATCCCTGATGCCAGGCACAGTGGCTTACGCCTGTAATCCTAGCAGTTTGGGAGGCTGAGGCGGGTGGATCACCTGAGGTCAGGAGTTAAAGACCAGCCTGGCCAATGCAGTGAAACCCCATCTTTACTAAAAATACAAAAAAATTAGCCAGGCATGGTGGCGAGTGCCTGTAATCTCAGCTACTCAGGAGGCTGAGGCAGGAGAATGGCGTGAACCCGGGAGGCGGAGCTTGCAGTGAGCGGAGATCAGGCCGCTGCACTCCAGCCTGGGCGACAGAGCGAGACTCCGTCTCAAAAAAAAAGATAAAGAAAGAGATCCCTGACTGCCTGTATAGTTTGAGAACCACTGATCCTGGGGCAAGGACTCAAAGTCTCTGGCTCTAGAAGTGGCTGGTGTGGACCTCAAATGGACCCTGTTCTAAGAGTCCAAAGGACACATTTCAGGAAGCTGTGCTCTAAGCCTAAATGACCAACCTTGCCTTCACTTTGGACATATACCATCTGATCATCTTCCTCGATTTCTGTTCTTTGCTCAGGCCTTCCAATTTCTTCGTGGGTGACCCCTCCTTACCAGTGCTTTGCTCTGAGTCAGCTCACCAGACCCAGCAGGCTGCCACTAAAGGTTTATTGTAAAACCTTGATTAATTCAGATAACCTTGAAATACTTACATAACATCACTGACAAATAGGAAAGGGAGTGCATTTCCATTGATAGAGACTATGGCTAGAGTTACTAAGGTCTGGAAAAAAGGCAGGAGAGTGAAGTATCTGGAGACGTAGGGAGAGAAAGAGACTGGTGTTAAGAGAAAAATCACGCCTTTTTCCTGCTTGTATCTTACAGTGGTTCTGCCACCAGTAATGCAGGATCCCACTGATCTCTCTGAACACATTTTAGGACAGGTCCATATTCGGGAGCTGACTTTGTAACTTCTTACTGTATATAGTTTAGGTTCGAATGGGATCACCATAGGTGTGCTTATGACCTTAACTGTAACAGCGATGAAATAAAAAAAATGGTTTAGTTTAATAATAATGTTGTAAGAGTGTAAGTACCAGTAGCTTCATGTACATTCTACAACCCAATAATAATTATGCTGACCGTGTAAACAGCTCCCTCGTGTAGACTGAGACTCCATTGCCAAACATCAAGCATTAACAGCAAGTGCTAGAAAAATCAATAAGCCTTTACCCAGGGAACCAAAGATATGTGGGTTACTAAAACCCCTAACAGTTGCCCATAAAGAGTAATATCTCATTATTTTAATGCCAAAGGAGGTTTTTGTTTCATTTCCTAAATAATAACAAGATCGCATATTAAAGGACGAGTTGATGGAGTGATAAACATTCCTGGCAGCACAGACAAATCAACAAGAGACTAAAATAAAAAGAAATGAAACTTGCCTCTTGGCAATCTGTTTAGTTGAATTTCATAGACTGAGTCTGGTTCACCCTGGATTTTCTTTTCACACACCCACACGTCCCATTTCATGATGACACTTGTGCATCTATTCTTCCTTTGATGGTAATTAACTCTTATTAACATTCATGAAGACTAAGTGTGAGCCTCTAGCACAGATGACATATTCAGACAACCACAAAAAGATAGGGTTTATAAAAACTAATGCATATTTGGAACTGAGGCCAAAAGATAAAGATGGTCCACTCCAACAGTGCTGACATGCTTGAGAAATCCAAGGGGTGTTGACCTAATGTAAAAAGGATATAGGAGACAAATTTTACCATTGTGTAATTTTGTCTTAGGCCAGTTCTGTCAAATATAGCTTCTGAAATTCTGAATAGTCCTCTGCCCAGTGTGGTTTAATTGTTGGTGTTGTCAGGACTCTTGGGGAGAAGTCACCTTTCTCTTTTTTTTTTTTTTTTTTTTGATTCTAACTCTGTTGTCCAGGCTGGAGTGCAGTGGTGCCATCTTGGCTCACTGCAGCCTCTGTCTCCTGGGTTCAAGAGATTCTCCTGCCTTAACTTAGCCTCTGGAGTAGCTGGGATTACAGGTGCGCACCATTACATCCAGCTAATTTTTATATTTTTAGTGGAGATGGGGTTTTGTCATGTTGGCCAGTCTGGTCTCAAACTCCTGACCTCAAGGATCTGTCTGCTTTGGTCTCCCAACGTGCTGGGATTACAGGCATGAGCCACCACGCCCAGCCTATTTTTTTATTTTTTGTATTTTCTTTTGGTAATCTCTTTCTCTTGCTTTTTCTTTCTTTCTCTTTCTTTCTTTCTTTCTTTCCTTCTTTCTTTCTTTCTTTCTTCTTTTTTTTCTTTGGAGACAGGGTCTCACTGTGTCATGCAGGCTGGAGTGAAGTCGTGTGATCTTGGCTTACTGCAGCCTCAACCTGCTGGGCTCAATGCAATCTTCCCACCTCAGCCTCCCAAGTATCTGGGACCACAGGCGTGCATCACCAGCATGGCTAATTTTTGTATTTTTGGTGAGACAAACTTTTGCCATGTTGCCCAGGTTGGCCTTAAATTCCTGGGCTCAAGAGATCCACCTGCCTTGGCCTCCCAAAATGCTAGGACTGCAGGCGTGAGCCACCATGCCAGGCCAGGGAAATCTCTTTAAACACAATTTTCTTTAAAGTTTTCTACATGGTCAGGAGACTTCATTATCTGATTTCTGAGTACTATAGCTTCTTTATTGCCAAGGGAGCAAAGCATGATGACAATGACCACTTCTCATTTGTGTCCTTCATTATAGATTTTCTAAATACACTTGTTCCTTGTTAATGACTTTAATTTGTTCCAGAAAACTCCACCACTGAGTTAAAAGCTATTAAGTGAAAAAATTCCATTAAGTTTTCGGAAAAAATTATTTATTCTATGACACTACAGGGTACTTGAGTAATTTTCACAAAAAGAAGAATATACTAGTTAAACTTTGAAAAAAAGCTCATAAAAGTAATGTACAATAATTTGAAAGTATTCTGACCTCAACCGGTATATTGAAATTCAATTCTTGCACTAATTAGGGTTAGAGAAGACCCCACAAGTTAAAGGGCATGATCCCAAACGAGGTTGTCCTCACTTTTGATGCCAGTCACACTTTGGGAGTCCCCAGTCAATTGGCTACAAATCTAGGGGTTTGGCTGGGTGCCGTGGCTCACACCTGTAATCTGAGCACATTGGGAGGCCAAGGCAGGTGGATCACCTGAGGTTAGGAGTTCGAGAGCAGCCTGGCCAACACCGTGAACCTCGTATCTACTAAAAATACAAAAATTAGCCGGGCATGGTGGCAGTCACCTGTAATCCCAGCTACTTGGGAGGCTGAGGCACGAGAATCGCTTGAACCTGGGAGGCAGAGGTTGCAGTGAGCTGAGATGGTGCCACTGCACTTCAGCCTGGGCAACAGAGTGAGACTGGGTCTCAATAAAAAATAAAAATAAAATAAAACAATAAAACGTAGGGGTTTCTGAAGATTTCCTTCAGGTTTGCCGATTTGCTAGAATGACTCACATTACTCAGGAAGATGCTGTATTTACAATTGTTTTATTATGAAGGATATAAGTTAGGACCAGCCAATGGAGAGACACATAAAGTAAGGTCTAGGAGGGCGCTGGATGCGAAGCTTTCATGTCCTGCATTGTGGAATCGGGTGTGTCACCCTCTCAACACATTGATATGTTCACCAACCAGGATGCTTCACCATGCTTCGGTATCTAAAGTTTTTATTGGGGTTTCATTATATATGTATAATTGATTGAATCACTGGCCAAGTGATTGAACTAAATCTCCACCCTACCCCTTACTCTGGGTGTCAGGCTGACTCAAAGCACCAGCTATGTAATCACATGGTTGTTCTCGCTGGTAACTGGCCTCCATCTTGGGTCATCTCATCTTCCAGCCCAAATTCAGGTGTGATCCAAGAGGCTCATGAAAAACAAAGATATCCCTGTTACTTAGGGAATTCTAATTATTTTGAGTCTGCCTCCTAGGAACCAGAGACAAAAGCCAGTCAAATTCTTTACTATAAAACAGAAAGCATGTGAAAACATACTGTGCACGCTATGTCACACAACAAACACAAGTCTATTGAACTTGCCAATGGTGGAGTGTTGGTTGGTAGGAGAGGTCTGAGGGCATCATTCTTTGCAAAGTGTATTCTTTCTGTACCATTTTCTTGACCAATTTTCACCTTTTCTGGGGATTATTCCTGTTTTGCACTCAAACTACTCTTAAAAATAAAGTTACAGTGCAGGAAAACTTCTTTAGGGCACAATAAAGGCTAAACTCGTGGAAATGGTACTCATTCATCTGCACAGAATGAAGTCTCTCAAGATGTTTCCTTTTATTCCTACTCAGTTGGTGCATGTACCCAAAATAAACATTTTGAGTTCATCCAAACACAATTCACTTTTGTTCTATGTGATGGTCTCTGTTTTGTTGTGTAAACTGGTGTCTCTTTGCCTGAAGTTGTAGTGTTGAAAGATGAGTTCTCATAGTCATTTATTTAGAGTGTTTTAGAGCAAAAAAAAAATGTATATTGGTATCCCAGGGGTTCCTAAGACCACTCTCAGACTCAATGATTTACTAGAAGGTCTCAAAGGACTCAAAAAAACTATTATACTCACCGATATGGTTTATTACAGTGAAAGGATACAGGTTAAAATCAGCAAAGGGAAAAGGCACATGGGGTGGAATCCAGGAAAAATTGGGTAGAAACTTCCAGTTTTCCTCTCCAGTGGACTCACACGGACGCTGCCTACTTCCCCAGCAAGGATGTGTGACAGCATGTGCAAAGTGTTGTCAATCAGGGAAGCTAACCCAAGACTTGGTGTTTAGGGTTTTTATTGGGGTCGGTCACATAGACATGCAGCACCCACTGACCTCAGCTCCTCAGACACTGCTCCTCAGAGCTCACGTTGATACAAAATTACCCAAGGCTTCAGCAATAGAAAAACATTCTCAATAGGCTTGATATTCCAAGGGCCCAGTGGTTATCTTCTTGGAGTGGGTCAAGGGCCAGTCCTCCCGAAGACAGGCCTTTCTTTGGAATGTGTAGTGTCTGAGCCACCAGGGCCTGCTGATTTACCACTTTACGGCGTGACTGAGAAAGAAGGTATTTTCTTTTCTTTTTTTCTTTTTTTTTTTTTTTTTTCTGAGCTGGAGTTTTGCTCATTGCCCAGACTGGAGTGCAATGGTGCGATCTCGGCTCACCGCAACCTCCGCCTCCCAGGTTCAAGCGATTCTCCTGCCTCAGCCTCCTGAGTAGCTGGGATTACAGGCATGCGTCACCACGCCCGGCTTATTTTGTATTTTTAGTAGAGATGGGGTTTCACCACGTTGGCCAGGCTGGTCTCAAACTCCCGATCTCAGGTGATCCGCCTGCCTCGGCCTCCCAAAGTGTTGGGATTATAGGGGTGAGCCACTGTGCCTGGCCCAAAAGAAGGTATTTTCAAGAGCCATTATGGTGGCATATCATTTATGAACAGTGGATGTGCAGGATATATCTGTACTTTGTCTGGAAGCTGGAGTCATTGGACCATTCATGCTGTATAGAAAGAACTAAGAACACTGGCTTGGGAGTCAGGATACCCAAGATTCCTGTCATAACCGTGGTGTGTGACCTTGACCAAGCCTCATTTGTATCTCCTGTGAAATGAAAGGGTTATTAGACCTTTAATATCTAAGGTTCTTTCTGGCTACAAAAGTCTTTTTCTACAAAGTCTTGTGTTATGGTTTGAATGTGTCCCTCAAAGTTCATATGTTGACCTCCAATGCAGCAGTATTGGGAGCTTTAAGAAGTGTTTAAGTCACAAGGGCTCCACCCTCACGAATGAATTAATGCCATTATCTTGGGAGTGGGTTTGTTATCTTGGGGCTGGGCTCCTTGTAAAAGGCTGGGTTTGGCCACCTCTTGCACTGTCTCTCTCTTTACCCTTCTGCCATGGGATGACATGGCATGAAGGCCCTCGCCAGATACTGGCACCCAGATCTTGTACTTCCTAGACTCTAGAGCTGCGATAAAATAAATTTATCTTCTTTGCAGATTGCCTAGTCTATGGTTTTCTGTTATACAGCACAAAACAGACCAAGATACCTTGCTAACTTGCTATATGCCATAATACCTGCTTCCTCTGTACCAGATTTCTTACCTCTTTTTCAAAATTTAGAATAGCAGAACCAGGTGACTGATCAGGATTTCTATAACAGGCAGTTGTTAAACAGGCTTTTCTGAGGTAAGAAAGTTAGGACTCTGTGCTGGTTTATATCATGTTGCTGCTTTCTATTCTGTCTCTATGTGAAGAGCAAATGAACAGAATGGCTCTGAGGGTCTCACTATTTCCTGACTCTGTCATTCACTCTTTGTATGCTCAATTTCTTTTCTTTCTTTTTTTTTTTTTTGAGACAGAGTCACGCTCTGTGGCCCAGGCTAGAGTGCAGTGGCGCGCAATGTTGGCTCACTGCAAGCTCCGCTTCCTGGGTTCACACCATTCTCCTGCCTCAGCCTCCCGAGTAGCTGGGACTACAGACGCCCGCCACCACGCCCGGCTAATTTTTTGTATTTTTAGTAGAGACGGGGTTTCACCATGTTAGCCAGGATGGTCTCGATCTCCTGACCTCGTGATCCACCCGCCTCGGCCTCCCAAAGTGCTAGGATTACAGGCGTGAGCCACCACGCCCGGCCTCTCCATTTCTTGACCTCTGTTTGAAAAACATCAGGATAATGTTGACTTCCTACCTCTTTTTTTTTTTTTTTTTGGAGACAGAGTCTCACTCTGTCACCCAGATTGGAGTGCAGTGGTGGGATCTCTGCTCACTGCAACCTCCGCTTCCCAGACTCATGCAGTTCTCACGCCTCAGCCTCCCGAGTAGCTGGGGCTACAAGTGTGTGCCACTACAACCTGCTAATTTTTGTATTTTCTTTTTAGCAGAGATGGGTTTCGCCATGTTGGCCAGGCTGGTCTTGAACTCCTGGCCTCAAGTGATCCACCCACCTTGGCCTCCCAAAGTGCTGGGATTACAGGTGTGAGCCACTGCACCTGGCCCCTACCTCTTTCAATGCAATACAATGTTGAAAAAATGAGACAATATCTATAAAGTTTCTTGAGAGTAATTGGCCCATAAGTGCACATGCTCAGCCTTGTTATAATTGCAGGGGATGCTAGGTTTTGAGAACTTACCTAAACCTAATTGCATTATGTGGATGCCTGAGCCAAGAAGAATCCTCAGGCCTGGCTAGAATTAGTAGGTCTGCTTTTGGGCAAGACTGAAGGTAAATCTTCCTAGGAGATGAGGGAGAGAAGGGTAGAGATGGAGAGAGGTGAAGACAGAGGAGTTGGGAGATGCAATAAGTGAAGCTCATTTCCTGAATTCCTGTAAGGCAGGATAGATCAGCATCTGATCCAGTGGAAGCAACCTCCAGGCAAGAATATTTATTAAACTCTCTCCTGGTTAGTCTGAGACCAGCCTGGCCAACATGGCAAAACCCTGTCTATACTAAAAATAATACAAAAATAATACAAAAATACTAATAATACCCAGGTGTAGGGGTGAGCGACTGTAATCTCAGCTACTCAGGAAGCTAAGGCAGAAGAATTGCTTGAACCCGGAAGGCGGAGGTTGCAGTGAGCCGAGATTGCTCCACTGCACTCCAGCCTGGGCAACAGACAAACAAACAAACAAACAAACAAACAAAACCCTCTCCTGGCTGATATTGAAGGCTTAATTACTTTTTTTCTCTTTTTGATCTGTATTTACACAAAGACTAGCTGGTTTACAGTTATCTAATCACTAAAATAATCCTTCCTGTCCTAGTGAAAAATTCCCAATTGGATAGTTGTTTTCATAATACAATGTCAATGAAATGTGGGTCAGTCCAGAAGATAATCTCATCTATAAAATAAGCACTGAAGTGTTGCAAGTACCAAATGAGTTAATGTGTAAAAAGGGCACAGATAGCTGACTGTGGATGGTTTTGATGGTGCAGGACCTTGAAGGCTGGGGACTTGAGGCATAAATCATCTCCAGGCATCTGAGGACTCAAGGGGAGGCCGTACACACTAGGAGCAAACATCTCACATTGTTGTTTTGTCAGATAATCACCTAGAATGGGAATTACCATGACTCTGGGGGCCTGAAGAGTATGTTGGTCCTCCTGGCACATCTTCAGGGAGCACAATCAACCCACTATGGAGTGAGTGCCTCGGTCACCCCAAGAGGTCACACTTTTTCCAGAGACACCTTCCTATTTTCATTGCCGCTGTTCTCATTCCAGTGGTCCTTGCAACATCCAGGCTCCTGATCGAGAATGTTAGGTCTGCAAATAAAGGGACTTAGCATTTACCAGACTAAAACACTGAGATAATGGACTACTCAATCTCAGGACAGCACACGGGGGAAAACCAAAAGTGAATGAAACCAAACTGCCCAGCCTCCCCAGTAGCTGGGACTACATTCATGCAACACCACATTGGACTAATTTTTTTTTTTTTTGAGACGAAGACTCGCTCTGTCGCCCGGGCTCTAGTGCGGTGACATGATCTTGGCTCACCACAACCTCCGCCTCCCAGGTTCAAGTGATTCTCCTGCCTCAGCCTCCCGAGTAGCTAGGATTACAGGTGCCCAGCACCATGCCCGGCTACTTTTTGTTTTTTTAATAGAGACGGGGTTTCACGATGTTGGCCAGGCTGGTCCTGAACTCCGGACCTCAGGTGATCCACCTGCCTCAGCCTCCCAAAGTGCTGGGATTACAGGCCTGAGCCACCTCCGTGCCTGGCCTTTTTTTTTTTTTTTTTGAGATGGAGTTTTGCTCTTGTTGTCCAGGCTGGAGTGCAATGGCACGATCTCGGCTCACTGCAATCTCTGCCTTCCAGGTTCAAGTGATTCTCCTGCCTCAGTCTCCCGAGTAGCTGGGATTACAGTTGCCTGCCACCACGACTGGCTACTTTTTGTATTTTTAGTAGAGATGGAGTTTCACCAAGTTGGCCAGGCTGGTCTCTAACAATGACCTCAGGTGATCCACCAGCCTCGGCCTCCCAAACTGCTGGGATTACAGGCCTGAGCCACCTCTGTGCCCAGCTTTCTTTTTTTTTTTTGAGACGGAGTCTTGCTCTGTCACCCAGGCTGGAGTGCAGCGGCGCAGTCTTGGCTCACTGCAACCTCCGCCCTCCAGGTTCAAGCAATTCTCCTGCCTCAGCCTCCCAGGACTACAGGCGCCTGCCACCATACCTGGCTAATTTTTGTGTTTTTAGTAGAGATGGGGTTTCACTATGAGCCACCGTGCCTGGCCTCTTTTTTAAAAGATGAGATCTCACTATGTTGCCCAGGCTGGTCTTAAATTTCTGGTTTCAAGTGATCCTCCCCCTTCAGCCTTCTGAGTAGTATCATTTTAGAATCTGTAAATATCTGTTGGTCTTTTGTTTGATGCTTTAAATCTGCAAGGGCTGCATAGGACCATATTGCTTCCACACCAGGGAGGTATTGCTTGGCATACTATAGACCGCCATTGCCTAAACCATGAATTTCATCAGTGTGTTCTATAAGTTCAATTTTGTTTCTTTCCATAGCTGACTGGAATAGACTCCCATTCCTTACAGCAGTAAGGTACAAAAATTTTCTCTAAAGCAGAATCAATTAGAATCCAGAAACTGTTGTCTTCTCCAGTGTACATATCCTTTAAAATCTTCTACAAAGATGCCAGCAAGGTGCTTAAGAGCATAAGAGTTTCTATATTTAGGATGAAAGAGAGAGAATGAGTAAGAGAGAGAAAGAGAAGGAACCAACCTTAAAAAAATTTTGCTTTGTTTTAAAGAGCCAACAATTTTGATTACCCATTAGATGAAATTCCTGGACCAGGAACTTTCCAAGTACCATCTCCTTTTATTTTTTTATTTTTTATTTTTTATTTTTTGAGATAGAGTCTGGCTCTGTCACCCAGGCTGGAGTGCAGTGGCGCGATCTCGGCTCACTGCAACTTCCACCTTCTGGGTTCAAGCAATTCTCCTGCCTCAGCCTCCTGAGTAGCTGGGATTACAGGCGTGTGCCACCATGCCCAGCTAATTTTTGTATTTTTAGTAAAGACGAGGTTTTGCTATGTTGGCCAGGCTGGTCTCGAACCCCTGACCTTGTGATCTGCCCACCTCGACCTCCCAAAGTGTTGGGATTACAGGCGTGAGCCACCGCGCCTGGCCTTCTGCTGATAAACATTTGAGTTACGCCAAAGCAGGCCAATTGGTTGAGCTGAGAAGTTTGAGACCAGCCTAAACAACATGGTGAAATCCTGTCTCTACAAAAATACAAAAATTAGCTGGGCATGGTGCCATGTGCCTGTAGTCACAACTACTTGGGAGGCTGAGATGGGATGTTAGCATGATTTTTTTCCAAGTCTTTTTGTGGACACATGTCTTTATTTATCTTGGATAAATTTCCAGTAGTAGAACCACTGGTTCATATGATAAATGTACATTTAATGTTTTTTTCAGAGGTAGAGTCTTGCTCTGTTGCCCAGGCTGGAGTGCAGTGGCGTGATCATGGCTCACTGCAGCCTCAAACTCGTGAACTCAAGCAATCCTCCCGTCTCAGTCCCCCAAGTAGCTGAGACTACAGGTGTGTGCCACCACATCTAGCTAATTATTTTTATTCTTATTTTAAGTAGAGACAGTGTCTCACTTTGTTGGCCAGGCTGGAACTCCTGGCTTCAAGTGATCCTCCTACCCTGGCCTCCCAAAATGCTGGGATTACAGGTGTGAGTCACTGCACGCAACCTACTCCTGTACTTCAGAAAAATAGATGAATTTGTTTATTTAAAGGTTGTGACCTGGCATAACTACTCTTCAGCTACATCTCAGCTTAAATGTCCAGTTTTACTTATATTGTAATTTAAGACATTTGGAATTAGAAACATTTGATGTGTCTTCATCTTAAAGAATTTTGACAACTTTTTTTATATTGCTATGATTTATTCATATTTGTTGGGTATTTCTATATGTCATCATTTATGACTATTGTATAATGTTCCATTATGTGAATATATCCCAGTTTATTCATCCAGTTTTTTTTTTTTTTTTTTTTGAGATGGCGTCTCACTGTTTCTCAGACTGGAGTGCAGTGGCATGATCTCGGCTCACTGCAACCTCCACTTCCTAGGTTCAAGCGATTCTCCTGCCTCAGCCTCCCAAGTAGCTGGGATTACAGGTGACTGCCACCATGCCCGGCTAATTTTTGTATTTTTAGTAGATACGAGGTTCACGGTGTTGGCCAGGCTGCTCTCGAACTCCTAACCTCAAGTGATCCATCTGCCTTGGCCTCCCAAAGTGCTGGGATTACAGACATGAGCCACCACGCCCGGCCCATCTAGTATTTCTTGAAAGGCATTTGCTTTCTTAGCATGTTTTTGCCATTGTGGAGAGTACTGCTATGTACATTATCATATGTGGTTTTTTTTGGTGTACATTCTTTTGGGTCTATTCCTAATAGTGGATGGAATGCACTTTAGGGTATATATTTAGTTTTAGTAGATATTGTCAAATGTTTTTCCAAAGTGGTTGTATCAATTTACACACCCACTGTTAAGCTTAAAGATATTCCATGGATCTACCTCTTCATTAACACTTGGAATTGTCAGTGTATTGTTTTAATTTTGCCAGTAAAACGGGCATAAAATGATACATTAGAGTCTTGATTGTTATTTTCCTGATAATCAGTAAAATTGAATATCCCTTCATATTTTTCCTGGCCATATGTGTTTCCTATTCTGTGAAATGCCTATTCATGTTGTTAGCCCACTTTTCAATTGGGCTATTTGTCTTTTTCTTATTAATTGTAGGAGTTCCTTATACATTATTATTACTTTTTTTGAGACAGAGCACCCAGGCTGGAGTGCCATGGCAGAATCTCAGCTCACTGCAACCTCTGCCTCCCAGGTTCAAGCGATTCTCCTGCCTCAGCCTCCTGAGTAGCTGGGATTACAGGCGTGCGTCACCACGCCCAGCTAATTTTTGTATTTTTAGTAGAGACGGGGTTTCACCATGTTGACCAGGCTGGTCCTGAACTCCTGACCTCAGGTGACCCTCCTGCCTCTGCCATCCAAAGTGCTGGGATTACAGGCATGAGCCATGGTGCCGGCCCCTTATATATTATTAATACTAATCCTTTTTCAGTTATGCCTATTGAAAGTAGTTCTCCCAGTTTATAATGTCACACTTTCTTTAAGATGTATTTCAATGAATGAAAGTGATGGTTTTAATATATTAAATTTGTCAATCTTTTATAGTTTGTACTTTTGGGTCTTGTTTAAGAAATCCTTGACTTCAGTATAGTATCAGGATACCAAATCAATGTACAAAAATCAGTAGCAGTTTTATATACCAACAATATTTAAGCTGAGAGCCAAATCAAGAAGCAATCCCAGCTGGGTGCAGTGGCTCAAGCCTGTAATCCCAGCACTTTGGGAGGCTGAGGTGGGCGGATCACTGGAGGTCAGGAGTTGGACACCAGCCTGACCAACATGGTGAAACCACATCTCTACTAAAAATACAAAAATTAGCTGGGCATGGTGGCACATGTCTATAATCCCAGCTACTCAGGAGGCCGAGGCAGGAGAATCACTTGAACCTGGGAGGCGGAGGTTGCAGTGAGCTGAGATTGTGCCATTGCACTCCAGCCTGGGACACATAAGCAAAACTCTGTCTCAAAAAAAAAAAAAAAAAAGGAAAAAAAGAAGGAATACCATTTACAACACACACACACACACACACACACACACACCCACATACACACAATACCTAGGAATACATCTAACCAAGGAGGTGAAAGATCTTTACAGGGAGAACTATAAAACACTGCTAAAACAAATAATAGATGACACAAACAAATGAAAAAACATTCCATGCTCATGGATTGGAAGAATCAATATCATTAACATGGCCATACTGCTCAAAGCAATCTATAGATTCGATTCCTATCAAACTACCAATAGCATTTTTCACAGAATTAGAAAAAAACAATGATATGGAACAAAAAAAGAGGCTGAATAGCCAAAGCAATCCTAAACAAAAAGAACAAAGCTGGAGGCATCACATTACCCAAGTTCAAACTATACTACAAGGCAACAGTAACCAAAACAGCATGGTACTGGTACAAAAACAGACACATCGACAAATGGAACAGAATAGCAAGCCCAGAAATATAGCTGCACACCTACAGCCATCTGATCTTTGACAAAGTAGACAAAAACAAGCAATAGGGAAAGAACTCCATATTAAATAAATGGTGCTGGGATAGCTTGCTAGCCATATGCAGAAGAAAAAGACTAGACCCCTACCTATCACCGTATACAAAAATTTACTCAAGATGGATTAAGATGTAAATGTAAGACTCCAAACTATAAGAATCCTAGAAGTTAAATAGCTAATGTATGCAGGGCTTAATACCTAGGTGATAGGTTGATAGGTGCAGCAAACCACCATGGCACATGTTTACCTATGTAAGAAACCTTTGCATCCTGCACATGTGTGTTAGTCCATTTTCATGCTGCTGATAAAAGCATACCTGAGACTGGGCACTTTACAAAAGAGGTTTATGATGGACTTACAGTTCCATATGGCTGGGGAAGCCTCACAATCATGGCAGAAAGCAAGGAGGAGCAAGTTGCATTTACTTAGATAGCACCAGGCAAAGAGAGAGCTTGTGCAGGGAGACTCCAGTTTTTAAAACCAACAGATCTCATGGGACTTATTCACTATCACGAGAACAGCATGGGAAAAACCTGCCCTCATGATTCAATTACTTCCCACCAGGTCCCTCCCACAACACATGGGAACTCAAGATGAGATTTGGGTGGGGACACAGTCAAACCATATCAACAGGTATCCCGGAACTTAAAAAAAAAAAAAAAAGAGGGGTGGGAGAGTGGGGAGGGAAAGCATTAAGAGATATACCTAAGGTAAATGACGAGTTAATGGGTGCAGCACACCAACATGGCACATGTATACATATGTAACAAACCTGCAGGTTGTGCACATGTACCCTAGAACTTAAAGTATAATAATTAAAAAAAAAAGAGGAAAAAAAAAAGAATCCTGGAAGAAAAGCTTGGAAACACCATTCTGGACATCAGCCTTGGGAAATAATTTATGACTAAGTTCTCAAAAGCAATTGCAACAAAACCAAAAATAGACAAGTTGGCCAAATTAAACTAAATAGTTTCTGCACAGCAAAAGAAACTACCAATAGAGTAAATAAACCACCTACAGAATGGGAGAAAGTATTCACAACTATGCATCTGACAAATTTCTAATATCCAGAGTCTATAAGAAACCTAAACAATTGAATAAGCAAAAACCAAATAACCCCATTAGGCTGGGTGCCGTGGCTCATGCCTGTAATCCCAGCACTTTGGGAGGCCGAGGCAGGCGGATCACGAGGTCAGGAGATCGAGACCATCCTGGCTAATAAGGTGAAACCCCATCTCTACCATAAATACAAAAAGAAATTAGCCGGGCATGGTGGCGGGCGCCTGTAGTCCCGGCTACTCGGGAGGCTGAGGCAGGAGAACGGCGTGAACCCGGGAGGCGGAGATTGCAATGAGCCGAGATCGCGCCACTGCACTCCAGCCTGGGCGACAGAGTGAGACTCCGTCTCAAACAAAACAAAACAAAACAAAACAAAACAAAACAAAACAAAACAAAACCCCAAAACCAAATAACCCCATTAAAAAGTGGGCAAAGACATGAACAAACACTTCTCAAAGGAAGACTTACAAATGGCCAACAAACATATGAGAAAATGCTCCACATCACTAACCATCAGTGAAATGTAAATTAAAACCACAGAGATACCATCTCACACAAGTTAGAATGGCTATTATTAAAAAGTCAAAAACTAGCAGATACTGGTGAGGCTGCAGAGAAAAGAGAACGCTTATGCACTGTTGGTGGAAATGTAAATTAGTTCATCCACTGTGGAAAGCAGTTTGGAGATTTTTCAAAGAACTTAAGACAGAACTACAAATCGACCCAGCAATTCCATTACTGGATATATATCCAAAAGAAAACAAATCTTTCTACTAAAAAGACATGCACTCACATGTTCATCACAACGCTATTCACAGTAATAGCAAAGACATGGAATCAACCTAGGTGTTCATCTACACTGGATTGGGTAAAAAAAAAAAAAAGTGGTGCTTATACACCATGGAATACTATGCAGCCATAAAAAGGAATGAAATCATGTCCTTTGTACAGCATCATGGATGCAGCTGGAGGCAGTTATCCTAAGCAAATTAATGGAGAAAGAGAAAACCAAATACTACGTGTTCTCACTTACGAGTGGGAGCTAAACATTGGGTACTCATGGACATAAAGATGGCAAGAATAGACACTGGGAACCATTAAAGAGGGAAGGGAAGGAGGGGGGCAAGGGTTGAAAAACTAACTATTGGGTATTATGCTTAGTACCTGGGTGATGAGGTCATTCATAACCCAAACCTCAGCATTACCCAATATACCCAGGTAACAAACCTGCATATGTATTTTCTGAATGTAAAAGTCTGAAAAAATAAAAAAGAGATTCTTTAATTTCCCACATTCTAAAAGATATTCACCTGTATTTAATACTTAGAGTGTTCAAGTTTGTTTTTGATACTTAAATTTTGACTTCATCTGGAGTTTATTTTTATATATATTTGTAGTTATTCATATGAAAGTAGTCGTTCATATGAAAAGAGATGAAACACCATATATGAATATATGATATATATACCATTTATATATGGTTCTTTTTATTTTATTAAATAGTTCTTTTTGTTTTATTAAATAGTCTCTTTTCTTCCTATTCATGTGTCAAAATAATTACTGAAATGTGGAAATAGCAGAAAGAGATTACTGGGTATCCTTCAAGTGAGGTTCTGGGCTTGACTCTGTAATGGTTGAGCAATTTACAACTCTGTAGGAACAGAGATTAACTTAAATATTTTTTTTCTACTAGAGATGTAAATCATTTCTATCCAATAGAACAAATACTCTTAGAGAAATAGGAACTGGTTTTCCATAAACCTGAAACTACCTAAAATTTCTTTTTTTACATTGCCTCTATACACATCTAACTCATTAAATGTTCTTTGGGCTAATTTTAGCATCTGACAGATTTCCTCATTAATCAATGAATTGAATAAAATCTTTTGCATGAAATAATTTTTTTAATCCATTAGAAAATTATACTTTAACAAATCTAATATGCAACCTCTCTCATATACCGAAGTTTCAAACGTGCTTGGGTCTGTTTCTGAGCTCTATTTTCTATTTTAGTGGTCAATTAGTCTATTTTTGATCATACTGTTATAATTGCTACAGCTTCACAATAAGTCCTCACATTTGGTAGGGCAAGTCTCCCCCTGCCTTTTCTTATTCAGAAATATTCTGGCTATTCTAAAATCTTTACTTTTCCATATACATTTAAAAATCAGCTAGTTAAGTTCAATGAAAAATCCCGTTGGGATTTTGTTTGGAATTTCATTGAATCTGTGTATCAGTTTTGGGAAAATTAATATCTTTATGATAGTCTTCCTATCAGCAAATATATATACATCTAATTTGGATCTTTTTTCATGTCTCTTAATAAGTTTTTATTTTTCCCTGTAGTGTTCTTGTACATCTTTCATTAGAATGAATCTTAGGTACTTGATTTTCTCTAATTCTATTTTAAATGGTGTATTTCTTCAAATTACATTTTCCAGTTTGTTGTTGGATATAGAAAAGAAATACAATTTTTGCATTAAAATCTTATACGTAATCACCTGGCAAACCCTCCGGTTACTACTTATTTTAATGTAGTATGATTTATCAATATTTATGGTTTAAAAAAACTTATTTAAAAAATATTTTCTTCATTAAAGATCATGAGAATGTTTTTCTGTATTATCTTCTGGAAGTTTTGTTGTTGCTATGGTCTCAATATTTGTTCCCAGTCCCCTCTAGCCCCCATCTGTGTGTTGAAACCTAATCCGCAGTGTGATACAGTGTGACAGTATTAAGATGTGGGGCATTTGAGAGGTCATAAGGTCGTGGGATTAGTGCCTATGTTGGTCTGTTTTGTGTTGCTATAACAGAATGCCATAGACTGGGTAATTTATGATGAACACAAGTTTATTTGGCTCACAGTCCCCAAGGCTGAGAAGTCTAAGACCATGGCACCAGCATATAGCATGGGCCTTTGCACTGCGTCATCCCATGCTGGAAGGACAAGAGAGGGTGTGAGCAAGAAAGCAAGAGAGGGCTAGCCTTGCTTTCATAACAAACTCACTCCCTTGATAATGACATTAATCCATTCATGAGTGCAGAGCCCTCATGACCTAATCACTTCTTATTAGGCCCCACCTCCCAATACTTGTTACATTGGGGATTAACTTTCCAACCCTTAAACTTAGGGAACACATTCAAATTATTGCAGTGCCCTTATAAAAGAGGCTCCGGAGGCTGGCCCTTAGGAATGGGGCAGGGGAGGTGTGGGCCTCAAAATGTAATTAAAAGGCTTTGATCACAAAGTCTTCAGCCTCAACTCCTATCCTATTTACTACTGGAAGATAGTATAGTTATATGTTTGTTTGTTTGTTTGTTTGGATATGGAGTCTTGCTCTGTCGCCAGGCTGGAGTGCAGTGGCGCGATCTCGGCTCACTGCAACCTCCACCTCCTGGGTTCAAGCGATTCTCCTGCTTCAGCCTCCCGAGTAGCTGGGACTACAGGCGTGCACCAGCATGCCCAGCTAATTTTTGTATTTTTAGTAGAGACAGGTTTCACCATGTTGGCCAGGATAGTCTTGATCTCTAGACCTCATGATCCACCCGTCTTGGCCTTCCAAAGTGCTGGGATTATAGGTGGGAGCCACTGCGCCCGGCCAGTTATATGTTTTATATAAAATAAGTGTAGAATATAATAACAATAATAACTACCATTTATTGAGGATTTACTATGCATCTGTTCCTGCCAAAGACTTTAAAATTCTCACAAAACCTCTGCGAGGGAATTATTATTAGTTTCATTTAACACATAAGGAAATTTGGGATCCAGAGAAGTTAGGTCAATTACTTCTACAGTGCTACAATAAAAGGTAGAGTTGGGCTTTGAATTCAGGCTGTCTGACTTCAAAGTTCAAGGTCTTAATTACACTGCCTGTAACAATGCACAAAGGGATGTTAAATAAATTGAGTATTTTTTTTCTGAATTTTGTCTCAGTTTTTGGGAAACTCTGGTTACTGTATTGTTGTATGAATGGTCATGGTCATGTCTTTGTTAAGTAAGGAGTATGCTTTTGGAATATTCTTATTTAAGGTAAAGGGAAGTAATCATTGTGCTTAGTACATTGTCTACAATGTGATATTTGAGGTTCCTGACTCTTCTGGGAAAAGCCATGATTCATCCAAGCTGGTTTAATTAGAAAACTGGGAAATCAAAGGGATCCCTGAGCCTAGATGTGACCCCTTCAATGACACTCAGGCTATGAGGCTCAGACCTGAGGCTGAAAGCCTGGCTGGATTGCCGTGTCGCCCCCTCTTTTATTTATTTATTTGTTTGTTTGTTTATTTTATTTTATTTTGAGATGGAATCTCACTCTGTCTCCCAGGCCGGAGTGCGGCGTTGTGATCTTGGCTCACTGCTACCTCTGCCTCCCAAGTTCAAGGGATTCTCCTGCCTCCGGGCCCTGAGTAGCTGGGATTACAGGCATGCACCACCACGCCTGGCTAGTTTTTGTATTTTTATGGTGGAGACGAGATTTCTCCATATTGGCCAGGCTGGTCTCAAACTCCTGACCTCAGGTGATCTGCCCGCCTCACCCTCCCAAAGTGCTGGGATTACAGGCATGAACCACTGTGCCTGGCCTGTTTGTTTATTAAGACAGGGTCTCACTCTGTGGTCCAGGCTGGAGTGCAGTGGCAAGATCATGGCTCACTGCAACCTCAACCTCCCAGACTCATGTGATCCTCCTACCTCAGCCTCTCAAGTAGCTGGAACTATAGGTGTGCATCACTACATTTGATTAATTAATTAATTAATTATTTAAATTTTTTATAGAGACAGCATTTTGTAGAGATGTTGCCAGGGCTGGTCTCAAACTCCTGGGCCAAGAGATCCCCCCGCCTCGGCCTCCCATTGTATTGAAATTACAGGTGTGAGCCACTGCACTTGGCTGTCCCTTCTCTTAAACTGAGTCTGGGGACTTTAGAGAAACCCAGTGGAATATCTAGCCCTTTGTTCTCTTGCTACCTGATTTCCACTCCTCTCCTAAGCTGGCTGGTAAGAAAATAAGGTCTCTTAGAGGATAATTTAAAAAAAAATGGGGCTGGGTGTGGTGGCTCACACCTGTAACCCCAGCACTTTGGGAGGCTGAGGCTGGCAGATCACGAGGTCAGGAGATTGAGACCATCCTGGCTAACACAGTGAAACCCCATCTCTACTAAAAATACAAAAAAATTGGCCAGGTGTGGTGGTGGGTGCCTGTAGTCCCAGCTACTCGGGAGGCTGAGGCAGGAGAGTGGCGTGAACCTGGGAGGCAGAGCTTGCAGTGAGCCGAGATAGCACTACTGCACTACTGCTCTCCAGCCTGGGTGACAGAGCGAGACTCCGTCTCAAAAAAAAAAAAAAAAAAGGTAAATTCGTGACTTTCTTACAGGCATAACTCATTAATTGATGAGGGAACCGGAAAGATTTGACAGCTATTTCAAAGAGGAACTTGAAAGAGTAGAAACAAAAATAGGCGGTGAAATAAATTTACAAATGAATGTAAAACTGGTTTTTCCTACTGACAAAGATTCTTTATTTGACCAAACTTTAGTCAGGTTCTTGAAACTTCTCCTAGGCCTATTTATGCACCTGTAAAATCCAATTTTAGCAAGAACTCTGGTAAGACATTTTAACGAAAACCCCCTACTCTCAATGTCTGATCATCTTTGACCTTTGATCCTCCATCATCCCCCAGGTGATGTCTGATCACCCTGGCCTGTCTTCAGCAAGACTCCTGTTAGGTGGGTTTATGCAGAATCTCCTTTACCCTTGATGTTTCCTCCTAGTAATTTTCCATCCACTGACCTCCACCCTGGTTCTTGGCTGTAAATTTTCACTTGCCCATGCTGTATTTGGAGTTGGGCACAATCTCTCTCCCTCATTACAAAATCCTGTTTTAGTGGTCCCTATACTTATCTCAATGGTTCTGAATAAAGTGTGCCTTACCATGCTTTAACAAGTATCATTGAATAATTTTTTCTTTCTTTCTTTTTTTTTTTTTTTTTTTCTGTTGAGATGGAGTCTTGCTCTGTTACCCAGGCTGGAGTGCAGTGGCACGATCTCGACTCACTGCAAACTTTGCCTCCCGAGTTCAAGTGATTCTTCTGCCTCAGCCCCCTGAGTAGCAGGGATTACAGGCACCCACTATCACACTTAGCTAATTTTTGTTTTTTTAGTAGACAAGGGGTTTGCCAAGTTGACCAGGCTGGTCTTGAGCCCCTGACCTCAGGGGATCTGCCCGCCTCAGCCTCCCAAAGTGTTGGGATTACAGGCATGAGCCACTGTGTCTGGCCATAATTTTTTCTTTCTTTTTTTTTTTTTCTGAGACAGAGTCTCCCTCTGTCACCCAGGCTGAAGTGCAGTGGCACGATCTTGGCTCACTGCAAGCTCCGCCTCCTGGGTTCATGCCATTCTCCTGCCTCAGCCTCCCAAGTAGCTGGGACTACAGGCGCCCGCCACCATGCTGGGCTAATTTTTTGTATTTTTAGTAGAGACGGGGTTTAACCGTGTTAGCCGGGATGGTCTCGATCTCCTGACCTCGTGATCTGGCCCCCTCGGCCTCCCAAAGTGCTGGGGTTACAGGCGTGAGCCACTGCACCCAGCCTGTAATTTTTTCTTTAACACTACAGGTGGAGGGAAATCAGTGTTTCCTCCAAGCAGTCAGAATCTACTTGCATGTCTGTAGACAAGAATTTTTGCTTTGCTATCAGTTATTTACAGAGTTATGAGTAGGCCAGAGATAATAAAACCTAATAGTGAAGCAGCATCATCCATCTGGGGTAATACCTGAAGTACCTCATGCCAAGGAAATCAAGGATGCAGACACACAAAGAGTGAGTTTAAGAGTGGAAGTTTAATAGGCAAAAGAGAAAAGCTCCCTCATGCAGAGGGAGGCGGTTCTGAGTGGATGTCCTGGTTTGTAGTAAGAGGTGGTTGGTTTTATAGATGAGTTTGAAGAGATGGTGTCTAATTTACATAGGGTGCAAAGGATTGGTTGGACCAGGTGTGCCATTTACATTGTGCCCTAATCTTTCACCACCCTAATCCTTTATTATGCAGATAGGTTCTCTACCTGGCCAGCACCATGTTGCCTGCTTCTTTACTGCATACATAGTGACAAAGAAAAGGGAAGATGGAGCCTCCGTGTTGAACATACCTGGCTTCCAGGTATCCCTTTTCTATTTGCACAGCTGCCGGCATTTACCTATGCAGCTTCCAGCTTGCTTACCTGTCTGCAGCTTGATTTTTCAGGCTGCTGTTTGTTAGAAAAGAAATGATTTTGGGGCTGATTTTTATTAAAAGGCAAATCTTGCTGAGGACTCTCTTACCCTCACTATCTGCCTAAATAATTTTTTTCTAGCTCCTGTATCAATAGAATCAGATAAGCCAGGAGAGAGTACTAGAAACAATACATTTTTTTTCCCATTGAAATGTTGATTTAAAAAAACCAAACTCTGGAAAATATTTAAAGAGGTTTATTGTGAGCCAATATGAGTGACCATGGCCCAGGAACAGCCTTAAGAGGTTCTGAGAAAGTTTGCCCAGAATGGTTGGGTTACAGGTTGGTTTTATACATTTGAAGGAGAAAGAAATTATAGCTGAAATTATAAATCAATACATGCAGTGTGTACATTGGTTCAGCACACAGAGGTGAGATATCTTGAAGAGGAGGAACTTACAGATCATAGTTGGATTCAAAGATTTTCTAATTGGCAATTGGTTGAAGAATTAAGCTTTGTCTAAAGACTATAGAAAGAAATGCTTTAGTTAAGATAAAGGGGGTTTAGGGGACTAGGTTCTTTTTATTTTCTTTTCATGACTCAGCAGAAGAGACCAAGGTTCCTGCTATGTAGATGAAGCCTCCAGGTAACAGCCTTCAGAGAGAATAGACAGTAAATGTCTCTTTTTGAATCATGAAAGGTGTCAGACTCTTAGTTAATCTCTTCTATATCCAGGAAAGGCCTGACTATATTAATAAAGATTCTCTAAGATGCAAATTTCCCCTATGAAAGACAGCTTTTCAGGGCCATTTCAAAATATGTCAAATAAATATATTTGGGGGTAACATATTTTCATTTTCTTCAGGGTCTGCTCTCTGTCATGTGATGCTATACCAGAGTCAGGTTGGAATTTGGTATCTTATTGCCACAAAGAGTCTGTTTTGTCAGTCTTATGATCACTGTTTTAATGTTAATGCTTGTCAGTTGTGCCTAAACTCCAAAAGGGAGGAGGGTGTAATGAGGCATATCTAACCTCCTTTCTGGTCATGGCTGGGAGGTCAGGTTTTCAGGTTTCTCTGTGGCTCCCTTGACTCAGACGGAGTCTGTTCAGTTGGTGCAGGGGCTTAGGATTTCATTTTTTGTTTACAGAAAATGCTCAGCTATCTTTTTGGTTCATTCTTCCCATCTGAGTATTAACGACGCCTGACCCTGCTTATCTTCTGAGATCAGATGAGATTGGTGTGTTCAGGATGGTATGGCTGTAGACTTTTTGGTCCATTTCTTTTTTTTTTTTTTTTTTGAGACAGAGTCTCGCTCGTCGCCCAGGCTGGAGTGCAGTGGCGCAATCTCGGCTCACTGCAAGCTCTGCCTCCCAGGTTCATACCATTCTCCTGCCTCAGCCTCCTGAGTAGCTGGGACTACAGGCACCCGCCACTGCGCCTGTCTAATTTTTTGTATTTTTAGTACAGACGGGGTTTCACCGTGTTAGCCAGGATGGTCTCGATCTGCTGACCTCGTGATCCACCTGCCTCGGCCTCCCAAAGTGCTGGGATTACAGGCGTGAGCCACTGCGCCCAGCCTGTCCATTTCTAGGTCTTTCACATTTTTTTCTGACAAATCACATTGTATATCTGATCACTTTATAATTGTTTCTTGCATTACAATTGCTCACTGAAAACTGCTGATGGCATAGGAAGCATACCTTTTTCCTACTCATTTTAAACTGAAAACATCTTAGAATTAGGTGTCTTAACAGAAAGAAATGTGTGTGTGTGTGTGTGTGTGTGTATGTGTGTGTGTTGTGTAGTGGGGCCACTCTGGAAAAACACAGTAGAACACCAAGACCTCCAGGGCAACCGAGTACAAATCCTTTAATCACAAAGGAGCAATTTCATAGGAAAAGATTCAGGTCCCATGTGGTATGAGAATAACCTTGTCTCTATTTGCCACTCATGTGTTCACACTCTGCTGGCAACAGAGTCCCCTACCCTGAGGGAGATGAGGACATTTATTTCCAGATATTGATGACTCTAATCAAGGACAGCGTTTGTTTTTTTAAAAATTTAGTTGGAGGGATCTCACTATGTTGCCCAGGCTGGGCTCAAACTCTTGGACTCAAATGATCCTCCCATCTTAGCCTCCTGAGTAGCTTGGACTACAGATGTGCACCACCATGGCCGGCTCTAAGGACTGTGATTTCATATGGTCTCAAACCCAGGTTCAGGCCAAAAATAGAGATTTTTCTTCATTTCCTAAGGGATATGTTACTATTGTCTAGGAACAATAATAATTTTTAGTAGAGATGGGTTTACCTTGCTCAGCAGGCTGGTCTTGAACTTTTGGCCTCAAGTGATCTGCCGCCTCAGCCCCCCAAAGTGCTAGGATTACGGGCATGGGCCACTGCACTTAACCCTGGAACAGTAATATTTCTATAATAAACACTATTCTGGGTAACTTAAGGGTATGTCCCATGACATACACAGACGACTAGAAAAAGCTTTCTCTTTTCATCTAAATTGATAAGATTTAGTCAAACGACAGATGGATGAATGCTCAGTGATTTATCTGTTGGCCTTTCACGTTAACTTTACACAGTTTAAGTCCAAAATCTGCATTCCAGATACTTGAAAAGAAAGAACACTGTTCAGTTGACCTTTATTTAACAAGAAGAAATTTCAGCTGGCTCAGGGGTTTCTTACAACGTTGTAGATTGACATTTCATACAAGGAGGAGACATGATGATTACTGTTATTGTCGTGTGTGTGTGTGTGTGTGTGTGTGATCATTGAACATTTAAGTAATCTAAACCAAGGCATTTTAAACCAAAGCAGTGCTTATCCCTAATATACCCCAGGAGTATCTCATGAACAGCTATATAGGCTTAGGAAGCTAGATGGCAGAGTAATCACACAGTTAAAAGGCTTTATATGCAGTTGCAGGGAAAAACTAAGCTTTTCTTCAATTAAAAAAAAGAAGACATTCCTGCTTACCTGTCTGAATGGTAAAAAAAGGTAGTCTAATATGATGATTTAAAAGGAACAATTTTTAAGGTTAAAAAATCAGAAAAATTTCCCTTATGTCAGAGATTTGATAATAATAACCAACTTCATGCATTAGCGTTCTTTAAAAGAGTAATGGAGTGCATTTAGAGGCGTGGACTTGGCAGCAGCCTGAATGAGTAGTCTCTCTTAAACCTTTCTAATGATTAGCCTGTTACTTAAGTTTCTACCTATTATATTTCTTTCTTTTCTTTGCGGCTCTCATCTGTAAAGTATGTATCAATACTTTACATTATGATGATCAGGAATAAATCCAAATGACTTGAAAGTACCTAAGATAATTGATGAAAAGGTTATGCAACCAGGGGGAAAATATAATAAGTTAATAGGTACCTAGAGATCAGGAGTTTGAACTACCAAGCTTCAGATTCTCAGTCCTGTGACCTTGGCCAGGTTGTGTAACTTCTTAAATCACTGCTTTTTTTATTAGTAAAAATGAGGATCATAATAGTACCATGTCATAGACTTGTCATGGTTATTGTGAAGATTGACCACCATTATGTTGTAATATAATAAGAAATATATATTTAGTCTCTGCCATTTGATCCCGGCACACAGCTCCTAAATCCCTTGAAATCCCTTAAGTGGTAAGTGTCTTTTTGTATGCTAATGACATGACTGGTGGCCCGGGCTCTCAGCCTTAGGAGTGGGGGTGCTGGTTGCCAGGGATACCAACCATGTGATTAGAGCCTTGGGGCTTTCAACCTCACCCCTCAACTTTTAGATAGGGGAAAGAAGCTGAAGGTTAGGTTGATCTTCACTGGTCAATGATTCAATGAATCGTGCCTATGCAATGAAGCCTTCATAAAAACCCAGAATGACTCAGCTTGGGGAGCTTCTGGATAGCTGAACATGTGCAGATGCCTGAAGCCTGGCTCGCCCAAAAGGGCATGAAAGCTCTACGCCCCTCCCCTGCACCTTGACCAATTCATCTCTTCCATCCAGCAGTCCATCTGTATCCTTTGAATATCCTTTATAATAAGTGGGTAAATGTAAGTAAGGTGTTTCTTTGAGTTCTGTGAGCTGCTGTAGCAAATTAATCGAACCCTGGGAGGAAGTCATGGGAACCCTGATTTACAGCCTTTTGGGCAGAAGCACAGGTCACAACCTGGGGCCTGCAATTGGCATCTGAAGTGGGAGGCAGTCTTGTGAGAGGAGCCCTTAACCTGTGGGGCCTGATGCTATCTCCAGGTTGATAGCATCAGAGTTGAATTGAATTAAAGGGCATTTATTTGGTGTCTGCTGGAACACTGATTGCTTGATGTGTGGGAAGAAATCCCCAAACACCTGGTGTCAGAATGTTTTGTTGAGTCTATGAGAAAAGGAAAAACACTTCTTTTTTTTTTCTCTATCTCTAAGAACCACAGTTCCTGGTGTGTAGAGAATAGTCTGTACGTGATAGTTATTGCTACTACTGCATTTTGTTTATGTAACTTTGCACTTAAGTATACACATTTCTTTAAATCCTCACAACATTTTATCAGGTAAGTATTATTGTCTTCATTTACCTATGGTTGAGACTAGGTCAGACGGGTCATCAGCTTGAAGTGGGAGCCTGGAACTCATCCAGACCCAACTCCATGTCCAGAGCTCTTCCCAGCCACCATTCTGCTTTCCAAAAACAAGAAAAACTGCAAATGAAGAACCTTGGGTTCTTTTTGAAATGCAAGCAATTCTAAACTCTCCAAGAAGTAAAACCTCTTAAGGCAAGACAAGGTAGAAAAAGATGTCCACTAGCAAACCATTCAGAGAGCTGGGGGTCTGTAGGATTAGGGAATACTTATGATTCAGGTGCACAGTATGAACTGCCTGGAGGAGTGGGCAGAGCGTGGCTCAGTCCAGGATCTTGGTGAGCCTGCTATAAGGTCTTTGAAGGCAGATATCATCATCTTTGTACTCCCTGTCTTACTGCTTGGCACAGTAGGTGCCTCATAAGTGTTTGTTGACCTGTACGTACTAATACCCTATGAAAAAACTTCTATTATAATAACTATGTTGGGATGGTGTAAAAATTACTAATGTGAGAGTGTATTAGTCTGTTTTCACACTGCTGATAAAGACATACTTGAGACTGGGCAATTTACAAAAGAAAGAGGTTTATTGGACTTATAGTTCCACATGGCTGGGGAAGCTTCACAATCATTGTGGAAGTCAAGGAGCAGCAAGTCATGCCTTACATGGATGGCAGCAGGCCAAAAGAGAGCTTGTGCAGGAAAACTCCCCCTTATAATAACCATCAGATTTTGTGAGACTTACTATCACAAGAATAGCTTGGGAAAGACCTGCCTCCATGATTCAGTTGCCTTTCACTGGGTCCCTCCCACAACACGTGGGAATTCAAGATGAGATTTGGGTGGGGACACAGCCAAACCATATCAGGGAGTATTCACGGACATTGCATCCCCTATCCTGGAGCCCATTGAAAGAATTCTGCAGGGGCCAGCCCTAGTTTCCTATTGCCTTCTCTGCTGGTAAGTTTTCCTCTCTCTCTCTCTCTCTCTCTTTCTCTCTCTGTGTGTGTGTGTGTGTGTGTTGGACAGTTATAAATTAGACCCCCGTATTTTTCTGCTCAGGCTGCCATAACAGAATACTACAGACAGAGTAGCTTAAACAATAGAAGTTTATTTTCTTATAGTTCTGGAGGCTACCAGTCTAATATCAATGTGCTGGTCGAGTTGGTTTCTGGTGAGAGTTCTCTTCCTGGCTTGCAGATGGCTGCCTTCTCGTTGTGTCCTCATAGTGCCTTTGTGTACATGTATTTCCAGTGTCTCTTCCTTTACTTTTTTTTTTTTTTGAGACAGAGTCTTGCTCTGTCACCTAGGCTAGAGTGCAGTGGTGTGATCTTGGTTCACTGCAACCTCTGCCTCCCGGGCTCAAGCTATTCTCATGCCTCAGCCTCCTGAGTAGCTGGGACTACAGGCATGTGCCACCACGCCTAAGTTTTGTATTTTTAATAGAGATAGCTTTCACCATGTTGGCCAGCCTGTTCTCGAACTCCTGACCTCAGGTGATCTGCCTGCCTTAGCCTCCCAGAGTGCTGGGATTACAGGCATGAGCCACCATGCCTGATCTTCTCTTTCTTTCTTTTTTGAGACGGAGTCTTACTCTGTCGCCCAGGCTGGAGTGCAGTGGCACGATGTCAGCTCACTGCAAGCTCCGCTTCCCGGGCCATTCTCCTGCCTCAGCCTCCCGAGTAGCTGGGACTACAGGCGCCTGCCACCACGCCTGGCTAATTTTTTGTATTTTAAGTAGAGATGGGGTTTCACCATGTTAGCCAGGATGGTCTTTATCTCCTGACCTCGTGATCTGCCTGCCTCGGCCTCCCAAAGTACTGGGATTACAGGTGTGAGCCACTGTTTCTGGCCCTTTTTTTTTTTTTTAAATAAGGACACAAGTTCTATTGAATTAAGCCTCCTTCCTTACAACCTTATTTAATCTTAATTACCTCCTTAAAAGCCCTATCTCCAAATACAGTCACATGGGGGGTTAAGGCTTTAATATGTGGATGGTGGAGGGGGAGCACAGTTCAGTCCATATCAACTCCCTTCAATGCTAATTGACATGTGTGGAGAAAATCTCTTCAAAAATTATTCTGACTACTAACCACTGTACTTTGACTGTGGCACAGTTCCAGGGCAGGCCCATGTGGTTTGCTAGTGCTCACCTTTTTCTACCTTGTCTAGCCTTAAGATGTTTCACTTCTTGGAGGGTTTAGAGTTGCTTGCAGTTCAAGTCTATACCTTACTAGAGTCACAAAGTGTCCTAAGTAGCAGAGCTGCCTTTGTGCATACCAGCACAGCTGGAGAAAGCTATCCTGGAACACAAATTCTCTTTGGCTTTGAAGTTAACAGTTGGTTGACTCACTTTGGAGTCTCATCCTTCACTGGTGTTTTTGATTCCCTCATACCCAAATAAAACCCAGAAAGGGTGGTTTGGCACGGTCTGCATTTGTTGATTGTTTAGTCAATATGTGAACTGCATTTACCTTTTAAACCTCAGTCTCTAATTGCAGGAAAAAAGGCTTTTTAAGAATCAGCAAGTTGGTGGGGAGAGATTTCTTTGGGTAGGGATCCTTGCAATCATCCTAGGCCCCCTTTAATATTGGCCTTGGGAATAGCCCTGATTTAGTCTCTTTGGATAGGGCCAGGAGGAGAGGCGAAGGAGTATGTGGTCTTTCCAGAGGGCGTCCTCAGTTTGTAGGGGCTGCTGAAATCTATTCCTGGGTCCTGGGAAGCCCTGCCCTGGCACCTATGATGTGGTGGGACATCTCTTTCTCCTGACTGCCCCTTCTTGCTGTCTATTGCTGGCCCTCCTTTTCAACTTTACTAACCTTGCCCCAGGTTTTATCTGTTTTAAAGATCAAGACTTCCAGGTGTACATTTTGCAATTTCCAGCCAGATGATCTTAATTAGAAGCTAATGACTTTTATCTGATTACCTTTTAACTGTAGAATCTTCTCACTACCACTCCAGAACACAAGTCTATATCTCTTTTATTATTTCCATTTCTGATGATTTTACTGACAAAGCAGTGTTGGAACTGTATCCTCTTATCAGTTGGACCATCTCTAGAAAACACAAAGGGAGCTGCAAGGAAATCCTGGCCCACTGCTGGACTCTAAATGTGGCTGACACTGATCCGTTCAGTGTTAATCATTGGCGTATCCTTATATTGTTTCAAAATTCAGCATCCACGTGACTGGGCCTATATAAAGGTAAAGTACTTTTTGGTAAAGTACTTATAACAAGTCACAAAATCAGCAAATAAAGCTTGCTCAGTCTAAATGGCATCACGTGTAGAAAGGTAATGAACAGCACTAAGAAGAACACGACAAGTAAATGAGTGGTTAAGACAAGGCCTATGAGAGCTCTAATGAGGAAGACCTCATTGTAGGCTGATGTGGCAAGAAGAGCTTTGCAGAGGGGTGGGCCCTAATGGGCCTATTAGGATCAGCAGGAAGAAAGGGAATGAGAACTTTGAAAGAGGAAAGGAATGTGGCAGCAGGAGGCCAGGATAGCTTGAGAGGAGAACTGAAACCTTGTGAACAGTAATGATCACTGGTTAGTTAACATTTATGGAGCCATTTTCTGTGCCTGGCACATTTTTTGGCACTCTATATACGGGTCCTATTTGACACATACCTGTGACCTTGGGAGGCAGACATTATCCTCATGAGACAACTGGAGCCCAGAAAGTTTAGGTCACTTGCCCAGGGTGACTCATTCTATTCTCAGGCCCATGTTCTTTTTCTTTCTCTTTTTTTTTGAGATGGAGTCTCAGTCTATTGCCCAGGCTGGAGTGCAATGGTGTGATCTTGGCTCACTGCAACCTCCGCCTCCCGGGTTTAAGTGATTCTCCTACCTCAGCCTCCCGAGTAGCTGGGATTACAGGTGTGCACCACCACACCCGGCTAATTTTTGTATTTTTAGTGGTGATGGGGTTTCACCACATTAGCCAGGCTGATCTTGCACTCCTGACCTTGTTATCTGCCTGCCTCGGCCTGACCTGAAGCCTATGTTCTTAATCACCAACTGCCTCCCTGTGGGAAAGCGGTGTAGGCCAACTTGGTAGGAGATAAGATCTCCTGGAATTTAAAACACTGGAGAATTTGGTGCCTTAGGAAAGCGAGAAAGTGTTGGTCAGAATGTAAGTATCCCTGGGCTATAGGCAGTCCTGGACTGCACTGGCCCAGGTAATTCAGACCTGACATTTAGAGTTGTGGCACAAGCCCTCGCTGGGCAGGTAGCTCTTTCTCCTGAAAAGAGATAACAGAATGACTCCACCATGGTTTTTTCAAGGGCAGGCCTGAAGCAGTTACTGGGGAGAAATGTCTCCCATATGGAGGAAGGCAGAGAGGGAGTGAAAGGAAATGGAGAGCAGGCTCTGAGAAGGCAGAAATAATAATGTGAACAACAGGAGAGGAAAGGAGGTGGGCGGGTGGGTGAAAGCACAGATATATCGTTATTGTTATAATCAAAGGGAGAGCGGATACTGGAGAGAACATTTCCTATTAATAAAAGATCTAAAATGACGGAGGAAAGGACAGTAGCTGAGAGGCGGCCTTCTTTGAAAAATATGGCCACTAAAAGGAATTCACCTTTCCAATTTGCACTGTACTTTACAGTTTCCCAAGCGCTTTTTCATCTATTATTTATTCTGACATCAGTGCTGTGAAGTATGGCATTATCAACTCTGTTTGACATATAAGGAGGTAGGTTTCAGAAAGGAAAGGTCCTATTTGAGGTCCTGTGACTGGTTAGATAGAGCTGGGACCAGAACTCAAGTCTTAGCCCTGCTGGACTTCACCCCCATCATAATGCCAGGGGGACAAACAGGGTCATCACATAGTAATTCAAACTTCGGGAAAAAAGCTGCAAGAGCTGCCTAGGAAAAGTTGAACATGGTGGAAAATTTCTGGGGAATCTATTAATGTATAATTATGGAAAGTTTATTGAAATTCATCTAGTTAAGATTGAATTTATACAAACACTTTATTAATTTATATTCAGGTGACCAGAAAAAGCGACTCTGAATACAAAGAGTTTGTATTATCTGGTATTCCTTGTTCTAGCTGCAGAAGAGTAAAGATTAATTCTTGATCTTTTTTAATGGTCTGATGATTTGTCTTTGCTCTCTTTCCCCAAGGGAAAAAGTTTCTGTTCACTTGCTCCTTAATGATAGCACTTTGCATTTGTTTAATGTTACTCAGTTTCTCTTGGTAGTGTACCCCACAGTAACAGAGACCTCAATGAATTTAAGAATCCAGTTTCCACTGAGCTTGCTATAGTTCATATTTCTTTCTGCTTTTTCTATATTGGCATGCTGACATTTGGAGAAGCGTCAGTTTGCTTCTCCCAACGCCCTTTATTCACACAGATAACTCCATTTCCAGTGTAACCCCTCTTATTCCTAGTCTTGGTATTTTGCCCTTATTCTTTAATCAAACTACTGATATCTGGAATTTTATTGTCTTTCCACATTATTAGTTATTTATTGCTGTGTAACAGATTACCCCAAATTTTATAACAAATTAAAAAAAACATTATCTCATAGTTTTTGTAGGTTGGGAACCAAGACACTGGGTTGACGTCTCTCACGAGGTTGCAGTTAAGCTATTGGGCTGCTATTATCTGAAGGGCTCCAGGATCCATTCCCAGTTCTCTCATGGCTGTTGGCAGGAGGCTTTAGCTCATTGCCATGTGGGCCTTTTTATAGGACTGCTTATGACATGGCTTCCCTCATAGTGAGGGATCCAGGAGAAAGAGGGAGAGAGAGAGTGTGAACAGCAGGTGGAAATCCCAGTCTTTGGACAACCTAATCTTGGAAGTGATATTTCTATCACTTCTTCCATATTCTAATCAATATATGTGACCCAGTAAGTTCAGTCCACACTCAGAGGGAAATTAAACTCTACCTTTTAAGGAGAGGCATATCAAAGAATTTATGGACATATGTTTAAAACAATCACATTAAATAATTATTTACAGTTTTCTGAGACAGGGTCTTGCTCTGTCACCCAGCTGGAGTGCAGTGGCATGATCATGGCTTGCTGCACCCACAACCTCCTTGGCTCAAGCGATTCTCCCACCTCAGCCTCCCTAGTAGCCAGGAGCATAGGTACACACTATGGTGCCCTGCTAATTACAATTTTTTTTCTTTTGTAGAGACAGGATCTTGCCATGTTGCCCGGGCTAGTCTCAAACTCCTGGGCTAAAGTGATCCTCCCACCTCAGCCCCCCAAAGCGCTGGGATTACTACAGAGGTGAGCACTGTGCCCAACAATTATTTACAGTTTTATGACTATGTGCTAGACACTTGCTAGGCTTTAGGGATTTAACAAGGTTCTTGACCTTATAAAAATTTAAGTCCAGAAGCCATGCTATTTTCTTCTATTTCCTTTCTACTCCCTTTTGTCCAGGGATACGCCACTGAGATCCAATCTGGGAACTCACCTCTTCTCTAATACCATACTAATGGCAGCTGGTGGCCTAACTCAGTGTCAGAAAATTTTCATTTATCTGGAGCCTGAGCTGGTGGAAAACTGAGGTCCTTTTTAAATATTATGAGTTTATCTGAGATTTTTGGAAAGCCAAAGGTTTTGTGGTTGTCCCACAGTTCTTTGGATATTCCAGTTTGCATTTTAAAATGTTTCTTCTCCTTGTTCTTTAGTTTTAGAAGTTTCTATTGACATACACTGTAGCTCAGAAATTCTTTCCTCAGCTGTGTCCAGTCTACTAGTAGGCTTGTCTAAGGCGTTCTCAATTTTTGTAATGTACCTTTGATCTTTAGCATTTATTTTTGGTTATTTCCCAGAATTTCCTCTCTCTGTTTACATTAACCATTTGTTCTTGCATGCGATCTAATTTTCCCATTACAGCCCTTAACATTTAATCATAGTTGTTTTAAATTCCCAGTCTGATAATTCCAACATCTCTGCCATATCTGAGCCTGGTTGTGATGTTTGCTCTGGTCTCTTCAGACTTGGCTTTTGTCTTTCAGTTTGCCTTGTCATTTTGTTGTTGTTGTTGAAAACTGACATGATATACTGGCTGTATTAGTTTGTTTTCACATTCCTGTAAAGAAATACCTGAAACTAGGTAATTTATGAAGAAAAGAGGATTAATTGGCTCACAGTTCTGCAGGTTGTGCAGGAAGCATGGCAGCATCAGCTTCTCAGGGGAGGCCTCAGGAAACTTCCAATCATGATGGACGGCAAAGGGGGAGTTAAGCATCCCACATGGCCAGAACAGGAGCAAGAGAGGGGGGAGGAGGTGCCACACACTTTTAAATGACCAGATCTCACAAGAACTCACTCACTATCATGAGAACAGTACCAAGGGGGAAACCCACCCCCATGATCCAATCAGTTCCCACCAGGCCCCACCTCCAACACTGGGAATTACAATTTGATAGGAGATTTGGGCAGGGACACAGATCAAAACCATATCATTCCACCCCTGGCCCCTCCCAAATCTCATGTCCTTCTCACACTGCAAAATGCTATCATGACTTCCCAACAGTCCCCCAAAGTCTTAGTTCATTCCAGCATTAACTTGAAAGTCCAAAGTCCAAAGTATCATCTAAAACAAGGCTCATCCCTTCTGCCTATGAGCCTGTAAAATAAAAAAAGGTTAGTTACTTCCAAGATACAGTGGAGGTATAGGCATTGGGTAAATACTCCTGTTCCAAAAGGGAGAAATCAGCCAAAAAAAAGGGGATACAAGTCCCATGCAAGTCTGAAACCCAGCAGGGCAGTCATTAAGCTTTAAAGCTTCAAAATAATCTCCTTTGATTCCATGTTCCACATCCAGGACACACTGGTGTGAGAGGTAGGCTCCCAAGGCTGTGAGCAGCTCTACCTCTGTGGCTGCTTTCATGGGCTGGTGTTGAGTGCCTGTGCCTTTTCCAGGTGCACGGTGCAAGCTGCCAGTGGATCTACCATTTTGGGGTTTGGAGGATGGTGGCCCTCTTCTCACAGCTCCATTAGGCAGTGCCCCAGTGGGGACTCTGTGTGGGGGCTCCAACCCCACATTTCCCTTCTGCACTGCTCTAGAAGAGGTTCTCCACGAGGGCTCCACCCTTGGAGCAGGCTTCTGTCTGGACATCCAGGCTTTTCCACACATCTTCTAATATCTAGGTGGAGGCTCCTAAGCCTCAACTCTTGCACTCTGCAAACCCATAGGGTTAACACTTTGTCAAAACTGCCAAGGTTTATGGCTTGCACCTTCTAAAGGGCCTACAGCAGCCCAAGTTGTACCTGAGCCCCTTTGAACTATGGCTGGAGCTGGAGCAGCTGGGATTCAGGGAGCAGTGTCTTGAGGCTGTACAGGGCTGCAGGGCCTTGGGCTCAGCCCCTGAAACCATCCTTCCCTCTTAGGCCTCCAGGAGGGTCTGCCGAGAAGGTCTCTGAAATGCTTTCAAGGACTTTTCTTCATTGTCTTGGATATTAGTACTTGGCTCCTTTTCACTTATGCAAATTTCTGCAGCCTTTGAGAGAGTTGGGATGGAGGTGCCACACACTTTTAAATGACTAGATCTCATGGGAACCTACTCACTGTCACAAGAACAGCACCAAGGGGGAAATCTGCCCCCGTGATCCAATCACCTCCCACCATGCCACACCTCCAACACTGGGGATTACAATTTGACATGAGATTTGGGTGGGGTCACAGACCCAAACCATATCACTGGGTAAAAATAAATCTCTATAAATAGGCCTTAAGTGATGTGGTGGTAAGGTGTGGGAGGAGGGGAAGCAATCTGTAGTGCTATGATTTGCTGTGACTGGGGCTTTTAGTGTGCCTGTGCTGTTGGACTGTGAACTTCACAAGTGCTTCTCAGTTTATTCCTTTCTGAGGTTGGACAGAATGGCTCGGGAGTGCTGCAGTTGGGTGTTTCCCTTCCTTTGGGTTGGTTAGGTCTAATAAACCCCAATAGGTTAGGCTGTAGTAACCATAGTTTCTCTTGAGGGCAGGCCTTGATAAGAAAAACAAAATGCTCTGGTGCATGTAAAAATGATTCTTTTCCCCCTTTCCTGACTAGAAGCCAGGAGGAATTTTTCTCCAGTCTTCTCTCTGAGAATTTGGTAGAGGTTCTGGAGGTAAAACTCACAAAAATGTGGGGACCCCCTCAATGACTGGATCCCCTAGGAGTTTGTCCACACTGAGGCTCCAGCAATTCATGAGTTTTCCTACCCTAGAACTGGTTCCTGTGGAAGTTTCTGCTCTGATAAGTTGTGATTCTCTGTATCTGTCTGTCTCTCCAATTTTATGGGCAGAAGTTTGCCTCATGACCTCACTTCTCTGACAGATCTAGGAAGAGTTTTTGGTTTTTCAGTTTTTGTTCATATTCCACCTGTTAGAATAGAGTAGTGACTTCCAAACACCTTACATGCTATACCATAAGCTAGGGGTTTTGTAACATCATTACCACAATCATCATATCATATTCTTTCTGGACTAATCATCATATCACATTCTTTCTGGACCATTTTCTGCTCAGACTTATTGAGCAATTACTATGTTCCAGGTGGTATTCTAAGTGTTCTACCTGTATTGTGAACAACCTTATGAGAGTAGCACGTACTGATTTAGTTTGAGTTGCCTAGAGGCAGAGCCTGCAACAACATTTTGTGTACATGAGATTTATTAAGAGAATGCTTTTAGGAAAAACTGGTAAGGGAGAGAAGGAAACAGAGTAAGGAAAGAAGGTGCTACTTAGGGGTGGGATTTCAGGTGTGGTCTCAGCCTGATCCACTGGGAGCTCTTGAGTGTAAATTGCACTATGTCCCGTTGTTGAGGAAGGGGGCAGGGCTATTGTACACTTGTCCTATTAGTTACAAGTCATGGTGAAGGCCTTCCTGCCCTTTCCATTTTTACAAACAAGGGAATTGAGGCACAGAGAAGTTGAAGAATTTGCTTGAGGCCACATGGCAAATTAGTGGTGGAATTGAGTTTGGATCCCAGACATTCTGGCTCTCAAGTTATATTTTTATATTGCATTTTATAAGGAACAACCAACTACTTCTCTTATTTGACCTTCCAAAACTCTATGAGAGAGTTGGACTCCAATGATTATTCTTATTTTTCAGATGAGGAAACTGAAGATAAGATCTAAGTTTTTCTTTTTTTTAAATTCCAGGTCTAGGTCTTCTGTCTCCCTGTAATGTCATTCTCTCATAAATCACTTAGAGATTGTTTCGCTGACCAAATGACATACGATAAAATAACAATCACCTGATTTAGGAACAGACAACTTGAAAACGATAGCGTTTCTGTACTCAGGTGATTCACATGATTTAATGGAAAACCTTATCTGGTCAGTAGGGGAGTGTTCCTAGCTCTTACTCATATGTTATTTTAAATCACTGGCTGGTTTTCTCTTAGGTGAATAAATTTACTGTTTTGTAATTACAAAGTAATAACAAGAACAGCAGTCTGGTATTAAAAAACTATTTATTTATTTATTTAATTTTTTCAAGACAGGGTTTTGCTTTGTTGCCCAGGCTGGAGTGCAGTGGTGCAATCTCAGCTCACTGCAGCCTCAACCTCCTAGGCTCAAGCGATCCTCCTACCTCAGCTTCCTGAGTAGCTGGGATTACAGGCACGTGCCACCATGCTTTGCTAATTTTTGTATTTTTTGTAGAGATAGGGTCTCACTATGTTGCCCAGGCTGGTCTCAAACTCCTGGGCTCAAGTGATCCTCTCACCTCAGCCTCCTGAAGTGCTGGGATTACAGGAGTGAGCCACCACACCTGGCCCAGCATTCTGCATTTAATTCCTGATTAAAGAATAGTTAAACATTTTTATAAGAAGAGCTTATACCAGGAGGGAATTCAGGATGTTATTGGGGAGAATCATACACTTATTTATTATCTTCATTAATATTCTGAGAAAAAAGGAATTATAAGTTAATGAGGAGGTTATAAATTTCAGTAGAAAAGAGGAAGGAGAAACTTGGGAAAAAGCTATTTCATCTCGGGCAGCATAATTTGAAACAGAGCTTTTTAATAAGTAGGCTTTTTGGAATTAGTTTCTTGAAAATCTTAAGAATACAGGAAGAATGCAAACAATGGAAGTTTGCACTGAAATATTGAAACAGAACAAACTGCTGAAATGTGTGGTCTACATTTGCTGCTTCTGTTTCTTATTCCCCAATTCCTTTTAAATCCCTTAAAACCTGATTTCTAGTCATTTGTCAATTGCTCCTAGACTTATTCTCTACTCTTTTCCTGTTTTGTCTGTATCAAACCTACATTTCTGAGTAAGTGTGGACAATGAGAGGAGCTGGCAGAGGATGTCAGGTGGTTTCTTTGGCAGTGGCTCAGTCTCCTCCATGATTCTAGGTTCTACAGCCCTTTTTCTGTAGTCCCAGCTCATGGTAGGTAGCCTCTGCCCTTCTGATTTCCACCGGCAGGCCTGGCTCCTGGCTTTGGTATCACCCCCCTGTCTTGTGTCCTATCAGCCCTAGCAGTGGCAAAACTTCCAGGTATTTATTGCTAATCTCTGCATTAACTTGTTGTCTGTTTAGCTTCTCAGCTCTTCTATCACTCAAGTAATGAATTCCCTGTATTAAATTCTTCCTGCTTGAATTGTCTCCTTTCAATTTTGTTGTTTTTATTATTATTTTTATAGAGATAAGAGCTCACTCTGTTACCCAGGCTGGAATGCAGTGGTGTGATCATAGCTGACTGTAACCTTGAACTCCTGGGCTCAAGCAATCCTCCTGTCTCAGCCTTCTGAGTAGCTGGGACTACTACATGTGTGAGCCACTGTGTCTGGCTAATTAAAAAATTTTTTAGTAGAAATAGGGTCTCACTATGTTGCCTAAGCTGGTCTTGAACTCTTGGCCTTGAATAATCCTTCTGCCTTGGCCTCCCAAAGTGTTGGTATTACAGGTGTGAGCACCATGACTGGCCTTTAATTTTTAATTATTTGTGTCTGTTATAGTTTTGTTCTTGCACTCTTCTTTTTCCCTCTCCTTCCGCCTTGCCTTACCTTGCCTTGCCTTCCTTCGTTCTTTCGTTCTTTCATTCTTTTTTGACAGGGTCTCACTCTTGCCCAGGCTGGAGTACAGTGGCGCGATCTCAGCTCACTGCAACCTCCACATCCCAGCTTCAAGCGATCCTCCCAATGCAGCCTCCCTAGTAGCTAGGACTACAAGTGTGTAGCATCACGACTGGCTAATTTTTGTATTTTTAGCAGAGACAGGATTTCACTATGTTGGCCAGGCTGGTCTTGAACTCCTGACCTTGATCTGCCCGCCTTGGTCTCCCAAAGTGCTGGGATTACAGGCTTGAGCCACCGCTCCTGGCCCCACCTCGCAATGCCACAAAACCTTTGAGCTCTAGATGCCACAAGTTACTTAGAGGACGAAGATAGCTCCTGGGCTCAGAAACATACAGAAGTTTAACACCAGTGGCAGGGTATAGCGATAAGTAATAAAGAATAAAGAATACTGCGGGCAATTACATGAAATTTAGGTGATTTTTCTGTTTTCTACCTGCATGGCTCTGGTCTGGGATCTCAAGCTGAAATACCAGCAGAGTCCAGGCAAGTAACATAATTGAGTGAAGGGATGGGTAAAAACAAATGGTCTCCTTTTCTTTTTTAGGAGATGGAATCTTGGTTTGTTGCCCAGGCTGGTCTCAAACTCCTGGGCTCAAACAATCCTCCTGCCTAAGCCTCCCAAAGTGCTGGGATTACAGGCATGAGCCACTGTGCCCAGCCTTTTTTTTTTTTTTTTTTTTTTTTTTTTTTTTTTTTTTTTTAAAAAAAAACCTTTTATTTTAGGTTTAGGGGTACCTGTACAGGTTTGTTATATAGGTAAGCTTGTGTCATGAGGGTTTGTTGTACAGATTATTTTGTTACCCAGGTATTAAGCCTGGTTACCCAATAGTTATTTTTTCTGATCCTTTCCCTCCTCCCACCCTCCACCCTCTAGTAGGCCCTAGTGTCTGTTCCCCTCTTTGTGTTTGTGTGTGCTCATCATTCAGCTCCCACTTATAAGTGAGAACATGCCATATGTGGTTTTCTGTTCCCGTGGACAGACGGTCTCTTCATTTGTGTTCATTTGATAAAGAAATACTTTGTGTGCATATTAAAACATAGGAATACTCTTCCCTTTCATAAGAAACATGTTCTCTTCCATTTTTCAGGAATAATTCTGCCTTCTTCGTCTATCTTTTGTTTTCCCATTTAGTAGAGACGTAAATACAGAAAAGGACTTTTCTATTATTTTTTTCTTATTTATTTATTTATTTATTTTTTATTATTATGCTTTAAGTTTTAGGGTACATGTGCACATTGTGCAGGTTAGTTACATACGTATACATGTGCCATGCTGGTGTGCTGCACCCATTAACTCGTCATCTAGCATTAGGTATATCTCCCAGTGCTATCCCTCCCCCCTCCCCCCACCCCACAACAGTCCCCAGAGTGTGATGTTCCCCTTCCTGTGTCCATGTGATCTCATTGTTCAATTCCCACCTATGAATGAGAATATGCGGTGTTTGGTTTTTTGTTCTTGTGATAGTTTACTGAGAATGATGGTTTCCAATTTCATCCACGTCCCTACAAAGGACATGAACTCATCCTTTTTTATGGCTGCATAGTATTCCATGGTGTATATGTGCCACATTTTCTTAATCCAGTCTATCACTGTTGGACATTTGGCTTGGTTCCAAGTCTTTGCTATTGTGAATAATGCCGCAATAAACATACGTGTGCATGTGTCTTTATAGCAGCATGATTTATAGTCCTCTGGGTATATACCCAGTAATGGGATGGCTGGGTCAAATGGTATTTCTAGTTCTAGATCCCTGAGGAATCGCCACACTGACTTCCACAATGGTTGAACTAGTTTACAGTCCCACCAACAATGTAAAAGTGTTCCTATTTCTCCACATTCTCTCCAGCACCTGTTGTTTCCTGACTTTTTAATGATTGCCATTCTAACTGGTGTGAGATGGTATCTCATTGTGGTTTTGATTTGCATTTCTCTGATGGCCAGTGATGATGAGCATTTTTTCATGTGGTTTTTGGCTGCATAAATGTCTTCTTTTGAGAAGTGTCTGTTCATGTCCTTCGCCCACTTTTTGATGGGGTTGTTTGTTTTTTTCTTGTAAATTTGTTTGAGTTCATTGTAGATTCTGGATATTAGCCTTTTGTCAGATGAGTAGGTTGCGAAAATTTTCTCCCATTTTGTAGGTTGCCTGTTCACTCTGATGGTAGTTTCTTTTGCTGTGCAGAAGCTCTTTAGTTTAATTAGATCCCATTTGTCAATTTTGGCTTTTGTTGCCATTGCTTTTGGTGTTTTAGACATGAAGTCCTTGCCCATGCCTATGTCCTGAATGGTAATGCCTAGGTTTTCTTCTAGGGTTTGTATGGTTTTAGGTCTAACGTTTAAGTCTTTAATCCATCTTGAATTGATTTTTGTATAAGGTGTAAGGAAGAGATCCAGTTTCAGCTTTCTACATATGGCTAGCCAGTTTTCCCAGCACCATTTATTAAATAGGGAATCCTTTCCCCATTGCTTGTTTTTCTCAGGTTTGTCAAAGATCAGATAGTTGTAGATATGCGGCATTATTTCTGAGGGCTCTGTTCTGTTCCATTGATCTATATCTCTGTTTTGGTACCAGTACCATGCTGTTTTGGTTACCGTAGCCTTGTAGTATAGTTTGAAGTCAGGTAGTGTGATGGCTCCAGCTTTGTTCTTTTGGCTTAGGATTGACTTGGCGATGTGGGCTCTTTTTTGGTTCCATATGAACTTTAAAGTAGTTTTTTCCAATTCTGTGAAGAAAGGCATTGGTAGCTTGATGGGGATGGCATTGAATCTGTAAATTACCTTGGGCAGTATGGCCATTTTCACGATATTGATTCTTCCTACCCATGAGCGTGGAATGTTCTTCCATTTGTTTGTATCCTCTTTTATTTCCTTGAGCAGTGGTTTGTAGTTCTCCTTGAAGAGGTCCTTCACATCCCTTGTAAGTTGGATTCCTAGGTATTTTATTCTCTTTGAAGCAATTGTGAATGGGAGTTCACTCATGATTTGGCTCTCTGTTTGTCTGTTGTTGGTGTATAGGGATGCTTTTCTATTATAAGAAAACACCCTGCAAGCCTGTTGCTGATTGACAACTCAAGGGTGAAAACACCGTCAGCCTCACATGAGAAGGTGGTAGGTCCGGGGGAAAGCTGGAGAGGGCATGCCTTGTCTAGAGCAGCTGCAGTTACTCAGTTCCAGTTGAGTGCTGCCCTACAGAAAATAGATCTGGTGTTGCCAGATTAAAAAAATTTTTTGTTTGTTTTGTTTTGAGACGGAGTCCAGCTCTGTCGCCCAGGCTGTAGTGCAGTGGCGAGATCTCGGCTCACCGCAGCCTCTGCCTCCCAGGTTCAAGTGATTATCCTGCGTCAGCCCCACTAGTAGCTGGGACTACAGGTGCCTGCCACCACGCCCAGCTAATTTTTGTATTTTTAGTAGAGATGGGGTTTCACCATGTTGGCCAGGCTTGTCTCAAACTCCTGACCTCAAGTGATCCACCCGCCTCGGCCTTCCGAAGTGCTGGGATTACAGGCATGAGCCATCGCAGCTGGGGGATCTTTCAGCTTTTAAGAGAAGCCAGGAATCTACATTTTAATATGATTATTTCCCTATTTGAAAACACTTGGAGACGTGTACTGTATCTGATTTTTTTTCTTGGATTTTCCAGTTATATCAGCAAACCTCCGATTTGAAAACATATTTACACTATGTTGTATGGAATGTACTGCATCCATGGCCATTTTCTGGCATCCCATTGGGTTCAGCCAGTGAGAGGAAGAGGTAGGAGGTGGAGGGAGGGAGGAGAATGGCATCTCCAAGCAGATTGCTCTCATGGCTGGGCAGTGAAGATCACTCCTTTTGGACCATGGCTTTGGCTGTCACGGAGGAAATTATTAATCGAATAACATTACAACTTGATGCCTAAAAAAGCTAGATCTACAACTCACTGGCATGTCCTTGACCAATCTTAGTATAAAGTTTTGCTTTCAATTGTTGTTAGAAGCAGGAGTTTACTTCTCATTGGTCCGTTTTCATCAGAAGTGGGATCTTATTTCTCATTGGCTTCACTGCTTCCAGCTTTTTTATATAACAATGCCAGTAACTGGCATGTCTTTTGCAATTAGCAGTTTTAGATGGGTAGAAAGTTACTTTTATTTTTGTTTTTATAAATATTTAATTTTTAATTTTTGTGGGTACACAGTAAGTATATATATTTATGGGATACATGAGATGTTTTGGTACAGGTATACAATGTGTAATAATCACATCATGGAAGATAGGGTATTCATTCCCTCAAGCATATATCCTTTGTGTTACAAAAAAATCCAGTTATACTCTTTCAGTTATTTAAAAATGTGCAATTAAACTATTTTGACTATAGTCATCCTGTTGTGTTATCAAATACTAGGTATTATTTATTCTTTCTACTTTTTTTGTACCCATTAAGCATCTCCACCCCCCCTCTGCCCTCCACTACCCTTCCCAGCCTCTGATACTCATCATTCTACTCTCTATCTCCATGTGTTCAATTGTTTTGATTTTACATCCCACAAATAAGGGACAACATAGGATGTTTGTCTTTATGTGCCTGGCTTATTTCACTTAACATAATGACCTCTGCTTCCATCCATGTTGTTGCAGATGATAAGATCTCATTCTTTTTTATGGCTGAATAGTACTCCATTGTGTATAAGTAGCACATTTTCTTTATCCATTCATCTATTGATGGACACTTAGGTTGCTTCCAAATCTTGGCTATTGCAGACAGTGCTGCAACAAACACGGGAGTGCAGCTGTCTCTTTGATATACAGATTTCCCTTCTTTTGGGTATTTATCCAGCAGTGGGATTGCTGGATCATATGGTAGCTCTATTTTTAGTTTTTCGAGAAACCCCCATACTGTTCTCCATAATGGTTGTACTAACTTACATTCCCACCAAGAGCATGTGAGGGTTCCCTTTTCTCTACATCCTCTCCAGCATTTGTTAGTTATTGCTTGTCTTTTGGATAAAAGCCATTTTAACTGGAGTGAGATGATATCTCATTGTAGTTTTGATTTGCATTTCTCTGATGATTAGTGATGTTGAGCACCTTTTCATATGCCTGCTTGCCATTTGTATATCTTCTTTTGAGAAATGTCTATTCAAATCTTTTGCCCATTTAAAAAATCAGATTATTAGATTTTTTTCCTATTGAGTTATTTGAGCTCCTATATATTCTGGTTATTAATCCCTTGTCAGATGGGTAGTTTGCAAATATTTTCTTCCATTTCGTGGGTTGTCTCTTCATTTTGTTAATTGTTCCCTTCACTGTGTAGTAGCATTTTAACTTGATGTGATCTCATTTGTCCATTTTTGCTTTGGTTGCCTGTGCCTGTGGGGTACTACTCAAGAAATTTTTGCTCAGTCTAATGTCCTGGAGATTTTCCCCAATGTTTTCTTGTAGTAATTTCATAGTTTGAGGTCTTAGATTTAAGCCTTTAATCCATTTTGATTTGATAGGGATCAAGTTTCATTCTTCTGCATATGGATATCCAGTTTTCCCAGCACCATTTATTGAAGAGACTATTTTCTCCAATGTATGTTCTTGGCACTTTTGTCAAAAATGAGTTCACTGTAGGTGTGTGGGTTTATTTCTGGGTTGTCCATTCTGTTCCATGATCTATGCATCTGCTTTCATGCCAGTACTATGCTCTTTTGGTTACTATAGCTCTGTAGTATAATTTGAAGTCAGGTAATGTGATTCCTCCAGTTTTTTTCTTTTTGCTCAGGATAGCTTTGGCTATTCTGGGTCTTTAGTGGTTCTACATAAATTTTAGAACTGTTTTTTCTATTTATGTGAAGAATGTCATTGGTACTTTGATAGGGGTTGCATTGAAACTGTAGATGGCTTTGAATAGTATGGACATTTTAACAATATCAATTCTTCCAATCCATTAATATGGAATATCTTTTTTTGTGTGTGTGTGAAAACGTTTCTTGCATCAGTGTTTGATGGTTTTCATTGTAGAGATCTTTCACTTCTTTGGTTAATTCCTAGGTATTTAATTTTATTTGTGGCTATTGTAAATGGGATTATTTTTTGATTGATTTTTCAGATTTTTGACATTGGCATATAGAAATGTTACTATGTTTTATATGTTAATCTTGTATCCTGCAACTCTACTGAATTTGAATTTATCACTTCTAGTAGTTTTTTGGTGAAATCTTTAGGTTTTTCCAAATATAAAGTTATATAGGCTGGGAGTGGTGGCTCACGCCTGTAATCTCAGCACTTTGGGAGGCTGAGGTGGGCGGATCACCTGAGGTTGGGAGTTCGAGACCAGCTGACCAACATGGAGAAACCCTGTCTCTACTAAAAATGCAAAATTAGCCGGGCATGGTGGCACATGTCTGTAATCCTAGCTACTTGGGAGGCTGAGGCAGGAGAAACTCTTGAACCCGGGAGGTAGAGGTTGTGGTGAGCCAAGATCACACCATTGCACTCCAGCCTGGGCAACAAGAGTGAAACTCCATCTGAGAAAAAAAAAAAAAGATTAAATAATCTGGAAACAATGATAATTTGACCTTTTCCTTTCCAATTTGGATGCCCTTTATTTCTTTCCTTCTCTTGTCTGATTGCTCTAGCTACGAGTTCTAGTACTATGTTGAATAACTGGTGAAAGTGGACACCCTTGTTATGTTTCAGATCTTACAGGAAAGGCTTTCAGTTTTTCCCCATTCAATATGATAGTAGCTGTGGGTCTGTCATATATGGCTTTTATTATGTGGAGATATGTTCCTTCCATACACACTTTTTGGAAGGCTTTTATCATGAAGGGATGTTGAATTTTATCAAATGCTTTTTCAGCATCAGTTGAAATGATTAAATGGTTTTTATCCTTCATTCTGTTGATATGATACATGATATTGATTGATTTGCATATGTTGAACCATCTTGCATTCCTGCAATAAATCCCACTAGGTCATGATGAGGGATCCTTTTTTTTTTAACTTTTATTTTAAGTTCAGGGGTACACGTGCAGGTTTGTTACATAGGTAAACTTGTGTCATGGGGGTTTGTTGTACAGATTATTTCATCACCCAGGTATTAAGTCTAGTACCCATTAGTTATTTTTCCTGATCTTCTCCCTTCTCCTATCCTCCACACTCCAGTAGGCCCCAGTGTGTGTTGTTCCCCTCTATGTGTTCATGTGTTATTACCATTTAGTTCCCACTTACAATTGAGAACATATGGTATTTAGTTTTCTGTTCCTGGGTTAGTTTGCTAAGGATAATGGTCTCCAACTCCATCCATGTCACTGAAGGGGACATGAGATGAGTGATCTTTTTTTTTTTTTTTGAGACGTAGTCTCGCTCTGTCGCCCAGGCTGGAGTGCAGTGGCGCGATCTCGGCTCACTGCAAGCTCCGCCTCCTGGGTTCATGTCATTCTCCTGCCTCAGCCTCCCAAGTAGCTGGGAATACAGGCGCCCGCCACCATGCCTAGCTAATTTTTTTGTATTTTTAGTAGAGACGGGGTTTCACCATGTTAGCCAGGACGGTCTCGATTTCCTGACCTCGTGATCCACCTGCCTCAGCCTCCCAAAGTGCTGGGATTACAGGTGTGAGCCACCGCGCCCAGCCGATGAGTGATCTTTTTAATGTATTGTTAAATTTGGTTTGCAAGTATTTTGTTGAGGATTTTTTGCATCAATATTCATTAGAGATAATGACCTGCATTTTTCCTTCTTTGATGTATCTTTGTCTTGTTTTGGTGTCAGGGTAATATTGGCCTCATAGAATGAGTTTGGAAGTATTCCCTCCTCCTCTATTTTTTAGAATAGGTTGAGTAGGATTGGTATTAGTTTTTCTTTAAATGTTTGATAGAATCAGCAGTGAAGCTATCAGGTTCCAAGCTTTTGTTTACTGGAAGACTTTTTATTATGGCTTTGATCTTCTTACTTGTTATTGGTCTATTCAGGTTTTGGATTTCTTCATGGTTCAATCTTGGTATGTTGTATGTGTATAGAAATTTAACCATTTCCTCTAGATTTTCCAATTTATTGGCATATAGTCGCTTATAGTTACCACTAATAATCTTTTGAATTTCTGCACATCAGTTGTAATGTCTCCTTTTTCATCTCTGATTTTATTTATTTGAGTTTTCTTTCTTGTTTTCTTTATTAGTCTGGCTAAAGGTTTGTCAACTTTGTTTATCTTTTCAAAAAATGAAATTTTTGTTTCATTGATCTTTAGTGTTGTTTTCTTCATTTCAAATTCATTTATTTCTACTCTGATCTTTATTATTTCTTTTCTTCTGATTTTGGGTTCAGTTTTTCTTGCTTTTCTAGTCCTTTTTTTTTAAGATGGAGTCTTGCTCTGTCACCAGGCTGGAGTGCAGTGGCGTGATCTCGGCTCACTGCAACCTCTGCCTCCTAGGTTCAAGTGATTCTCCTGCCTCAGCCTCCCAAGTAGCTGGGACTACAGGTAAGCGCCAACATGCCTGGTTAATTTTTGTATTTTTAGTAGAGACGGGGGTTTCACTATATTGGCCAGGATGGTCTTGATCTCTTGACCTTGTGATCCGCCCGCCTCGGCCTCCCAAAGTACTGGGATTACAGGCGTGAGCCACCGTACCCAGCCACTTTTCTAGTTCTTTAAGATGCATTATTAGGTTATTTTTTGAAGTTTTTTTTGACTTTTACTTTTTAAAAATAGTATTTGCAGTTCATAAACATACTAGGTCTTTGCTCTCATTCCCTCATTTCCCAGGGTAGAATAATCACAATAAAAACATTTTGGGTACCCCAAATTAGAAAACATAAGATCTACCTCTTAACACGTCCTTTAAGATGGTTTTAAAGATCTGCTTGTTTTTGCTCTTTGTACTCTGCAGTTTCCTGATCCCTCATGTTTCTTTGAATTCTGTCAGCCCCTTCCTGGTTTCATTTCTTTATCATTCCAGATGAAATTTCATGGCACATCAATCCTTCAATCTTCCTTGCTGGCATCCTTAATTCCTCTGTTCCCTTGTCTGTTTGTTAGACCTGTCCTGCAACTTCCAATTCATATCTTCTTAACATCTAGGGAGCTCCATCTACAAAACCTGAGAGTCTGAGAAATGCTGGAGGCAGTCACACAACATACACATATACTGGCATAGATGAAGGTTTATAGCATCCAATGTCAAGGCAATGTACAACTCTGGCAATCCTTTAACATTTTCTTCCACCTCTCCAAGTCTTTCCAGGCTCCCAGCTCTCCTCCAGCTACCTCACTTTCTATGGACAATCTTACCTACCATTTTCCCGGGAAAAGACAAACAGTAATTGCTCCATGTCTACATTTGTCTCATCAGCATCAGCCTTCACCTCCTGCTGCCATGCTTTCAGGATGAGTCTCTCCTTCCCACGGCTCATCTGTGAGCTGAAGTACTACCCCTCCAGTCTCTTCCTCACTCTATGAAATTTCCCTTCCATTTTCTGTACTTTTATCCTCTTCCTCTCCAATGGCTTCTTCCTTGCCAAATATAAACACTTTAAAATCTACCCTATAGAAAACAATGGCAACAAACACACATCTGCTGGTGGCCCAATGCCTCTTGTAGATATTCCCCTGCTCACCTCCAGCTCTCTTCTTCCCTTCACAGTCAAGTCTCATCCCAAGGCTGTCTACACTGCCTCACCTTTGTTTACTCTTCAGTCATCAGTAATCTATTTTCTTCCCCATTTTGAAAAGGTTATCAATGACTTCCCAGTTGTTAAATTCAATAGACACATTTCAGTTGACATTTTATTTAAACCTTATGGGGCATTTGACCTTTTTGACCACTCCATTCTTGAAATTCTTCTCTACATTTTCTTGGCACTATTCTCCTGTTTAATCTAGTTGTCTCGTTCTTTCTCAATCTCCTTTGTTTAGTCTTTAAATATTAGTTTCCCTTAGGGAAATCTTCCTCAACCTCTTTCCTCTCAACCTCCTTGTATTCTTATTTTCTACCTTCTTCTTGGGTAGTCTCATCTCTGCTCATGACTTCAATCATTTACATGAGTTACTTCCAAAGTCACTGTGCTTAGTCTACTCTCTCTGGAACTCTAATCTAGCGTATTTGATGTATTTTATTTATTTATTCTTTTGTGAGACGGAGTCAGCTCTGTTGCCCAGGCTGGAGTGCAGTGGTGCAATCTTGGCTCACTGCAACCTCCATTTCCCGGGCTCAAGCGAATCTCCTGCCTCAGCCTCCCAAGTAGCTGGGATTACAGGCGCATGCCACCATGCCCAGCTAATTTTTGTATTTTTGGTGGAGACAGGGTTTCACCATGTTGCCAGGTTGGTCTCAAACTCTGATTTCAAGTGAGCTGGCCGCTTCGGTCTCCCAAAGTGCTGGGATTACAGGCATGAGCCACCATGTCTGGCCTATTTAATATATATTTTAGTGGTATATTGCAAAGGTGCATGAAAACAACACTTTTAAAACTTACCTGAGCTCATTATCTCTCCTTCTAGTGATCTCCATCCCCACCCAACCTTTCGGGAATTCCCACCAGTCCTTATTTCTGTGAAGTACACTATCAAAACCCAAGTTCCCTGGATAGGAAATTTGGGCATCATTCTAAACTCCTCCATTTTTTTTTTCTTCTTAGAGATAGAGTCTTGTTCTGTTGCCCAGACTGGAGTGCAGTGGCATGATTATAGCTCATGGCAGCCTTAAATTCCTGGGCTCAAGCCATCCTCTTGCCTCAGTCTCCTGAGTGTCTGAGACTACAGGTGCACACCACCATACCCAGCCTCAATTCCTCCTTTTACTTTGCTTCTTTCTGAGCTTGAAGTTAATTTATCTTTTCTATTCTGTTTTCTAAAAATCTTTGATACTTTTCTCCTCTTTTCCATAGCTGTTGCTTCTCCTCTTTAAATTTAGACTCTCTTGCTTTTTCTTTTAGAAGATTTGTGAAGCTGTGTGACCTGCCTCCTTGCAACTGCCAGAGCTGCTCAAAGCTCCAAGATTCCCTGCTGGGCAGCCACATACCTGCCAAAGCATTGTGTTCAAGGCTCTCAAGAAACCAGCCATGAAAAGCTTCCCACTTCAGGAAAAATCCCTTGCTTGACTTATTCAGAGATCATGGAGGCCAATACAACTGCAGACCAGAGAAAAAAAATCTGGCTTTGTTGCTGTTAAAACTCAATTCAAAGACTCAGGCTCCTTGAGATCCCTGCAGGGTGATTTTACTATTTTCCCAGAGGTAACCCAATTGGAGTCTATCTGACTGTGCCAGTCCAGATATTCATATTTTGTCTTTTTCCTCTGTCTTATCACTGGGGGAAACAGCTTGGAATTTAGGTTCATGAATACAACCTCCTTACTGTTTTGCTTTTTTTCCCTAGTGTCTCAAATCTTTTCCTGCTTCCCATCCTCTCCTCAGTTGTCAGTGTGATTTTCCTACATTTGGATGGATGTTTTCTTCCTATTTCCCATACACAGCACTTGGCCAAGAACATAAAGGGGAGATGTGGGCTACTGGGCCTGGGGGAAAAACTATAACATGTAGTTCCTCTTGCTCAAACTTTAGGGCTCTGTAATACCAACCTTCTTCATTCCATTAGGCAAAGCTCTAAGCCTATTTTCAGTTTCAGCTCAACCTCAATTTCCACCATGGTTTTCCCAGGAAAACTGTGCCTTCCAGCCTGCTCCTCACACTTTGTGCAAACCTCCCTTGCCCTTCAGCAACCCCTGCATTGTCATTGCTCTTTGCCTGCACGTTTTCTCACAGCAGTATATGCTCTGTGGGGGCAAGGATTTGCTTGCGTTTGCTTCTTGATATTTCCAGAGCCAAGCACATTCTAGGCGGTTTATTAAAGCTTGTTGGATGAATGAGTCAAACTTTACATCCCTCTCCATAAGCAATGCAAAAAACCCAAATCAACAAAACACAGGCATCCTCTCTCATTTGGATACATCACCATCTATCTGGTTATTTAGAAATATTCAAACTTTCATGTTTTTCATTTCCAAAATCCCCAAATTCAAAGTCTTGGTTTTTGCCCTCCTTCTTTTTTTTTTGAGATGGAGTTTCGCTCTTGTTGCCCAGGCTGGAGTGCAATGGTGCGATCTTGGCTCACTGCAACCTCCGCCTCCTGGGTTCAAGCGATTCTCCTGCCTCATATGTTAGTATGGATTCAAGTAGCTAGGATTACAGGTTTTAGTAGAGACAGGGTTCTCCATGTTGGTCAGGCTGGTCTCGAACTCCTGACCTCAGGTGATCCTCCCACCTCGGCCTTCCAAAGTGCTGGGATTACAGGCGTGAGCCACCACGTCTGACCCCCTCCTCCTTAAATGGCCTAGAGTTTACTTCCTATCATCCATTCCATTAGTACCATTTACTACCGTGCTTATCAATTTCTGTTTTCTCTCAGCAGAGATTAAGTAGGTTTTTTTTTTTTTTTTTTTTTTGGATTAAACACTGCTGCTTTAGCTCAGGTTGCTATACTAAATGACCACATATGGGGAGGTTTAAACAATAGACATTTATTTCACACATTTTCAGAGGCTCAGCAGTTTAAGATCAAGGTGCCAGCATATTCAATTTTTGGTGAGGATCCTCTTCCTGGCTTGTAGATGGCTATGTTCTTGCTGTATCCTCACATGGTGGAGAGTAGGAAGAGCTCCGGTGTCTCTTCCTCTTCTTACAAGGGCACTAATCCCATAATGGGGGCCCACCCTTATGACTTCATTTAGAACTAATTATGTCCCAAGGGCCTATGTCCTAATACCTTCACATTGTGGGTTAGGGCTTTGTCTTAGTCAGTTCAGTCTGTTTAAAAAAAAATACCTTAGACTGGGTAATTTACAAATAATAGGTATTTATTTCTTGTGGTGGGGCATGGTGACCCATGCCTGTAATTCCAGCACTTTGGGAAGCTGTAGTGGGAGGATTGTTGAGCCCAGGAGTTCAAGACCAGCCTGGGCCACATAGTGAGACCTTGTCTCTCTCTCTCTTTTTCTTTTTAGAGAAATTTATTTATCATAGTTCTGGAGGCTGGGAAGTCCAAGATCATGGTGCCAGGAGATTCAGTGTCTGGGGAGGGCTTGCTCTCTGCTTCCGAGAGAAGCACTGCATCCCCACTGTGTCCTCACATGGCAGAAAGACAAAAGGGGCTAGCTAGTTCTCTTGAGCCCTTTTGTAAGGACACTAATCTCACTTATGAGGGTGGAGCCCTCATGACCCAATCATTTCTTAAAGATCCCGGCTGTTAATATTATCTCACTGGGGATTAAGTTTCAATGTGAATTTTGGAAGGACACATTCAAACCACAGTAGGCTTCAACATATGAATTTTGGAAGGACACAAACATTCAGTGCATAACAACTACCATTTAGGTGACCACCCTATGTCAGGTGTTGATTTGTTGTAAGATTCTGCTCCAGGGATTTTTAAAAGTTCAGGGATGCCCCAGAGAGTCCTATGAATGGGCTTTAAGATCTGTCAACTCCCTGAAATATTATGCAAAATTTTCAGTATTTTTTTCCCCTTGGACCAAAGGTCTACCTTTCTGCTGAGTTTCAAAGGGGTCTGTGCTACCCTCACTGGTCGTCTCACCTCCAAACCCTTCTCATCCCAACATGGTGTACCTGGGCCAGAACCCCTCCTGAAACATCCCTCTTATACCAATCTGCCATTCAGACTTGTCTGCTTCCTTTCAAGTCCACTTGATCTGGTACCATCCTACTTTTCCAGCCTTAATTTACACTCGTCTCTTGTCCTGAACCCTTTGATCTGGTAGCCTTATCTCCTCTGTCATAGTTTTGACTATTTTCCTGTACTCAGCAGGGATCCTGGGCAGTGGGGAGGAGTAGGGGGCTCTCACTGGAACACCCATGGAGAGCTGCAGAGGGCAATGCAGAAGAGGGAGGAAGCTGGTACACGTTGCTAAATGTGCCTAGTGGATCCTTGTTGTCTGACCCTGGAAAAGTGAAGTTTTAGAGCAGGGGATTCATGGAATATGTGTTTAAGAGAAGAGCTCCCAAAGATTTAATGACCTAGTTTAATCAGCCAAGAAGATGGAAACAGGGTGGTGGTTTGGCTGACATTTTGAACCTGTCTTCTCACGGAGGGTGGCAGGAGGGCTCAGGTGTGGGCAGTAAGGAAGCCGCTGCTGAATGCAGGTGAGAGAGCACAGAGGAGGGTGTATATGGGGCACCATTCTAGGTCAGCATCAAGGAGACCAGTAGAAGGTAGCTGGCCAGTCAGTCAATGAATATGTGTTGTATAGCTACTGCATACCTGGAAGAACTCCATCCATGGGTGTGAATTTCAGAAGCTGGATTTTAGTAACTAGATGGAGACTAAAGGCATAGAGCCTGTGGTAGAGGAATTGGACATTGGGCAGATTATAAAAGCAGGAACAGTTACAGGGGCCCAAGGTTGGAATCTCATTTATCACAGAGTCAGGCAGGAACACAACTGATGTCTTAACTTGAGCATATGAATAGACTATAATAGAGTATATTTAATAGAATATCCTTGACTAACACCAAGGATAGAGTCGCTGCCTCAATCACAAGGGTTAAGTCTTTAACAGGTAGAATTTCAGACACCATGAAAGATAATAGATAATATCTCACATTTGTTGAGCACTTACTATGTGCTAGGTACTGTTCTAAGCACTTAACGTGTATTGTTTTATTCAGTCTTCACAACAACTTTGTGAAGTCAGATGTACTATCATCTTCATTTTTTAGAGGTGGAAACTAAAGAATGGAATGGTTAAGGATTAACTTATTCAAGGTCACGTACACATTTATTTAGTGATGGCAGTGGCATTTGAATCTAGGCTGGCCATTTTTTAGCGGGAGACCCTACTTCAGGCCCTCAAATTCACCGCATAGGTAGTTGACAGCTCTGTGAATCTGACTCCCAAATGTACTGCAGCTTTCAGGGCACAGACAATGCTCAGTGAATATTGCTGTCTTACTAACTGTTGTCTATTGCCTTCACCCCTCTATTTCCACTGCATACCCCCCTACCTTCTACCCTGTGGATGGTCCTGACATTAAGCATTGAAAAGGAAGAGACAGAATGGGGAAGGTTGAGAGTAAAGTAACAGAAATGATTCAGGAAAGGAAGGGATTGAAGTATGTGGAAAGACAAAAAGAGATATATTTATCCAACTGGGTTGGGTGATAGCTAAGAAAGGATGTGAACACCCAAGAGGGCAAAGACTGGGCCAGATCTGTCTTTTCTCTAAGGCACTTTACAGCTCCAGCATCAATACTTCTCTATCTGCAGTCTCTTGCTGAAATCCAACAAGGATTTATTGAGTGTAGGAGGCTTTGCTTTTAGAGTCAATGTGTTTTCAGAGGCTGTGTCTTAAGTGGATCAGTTGCAAGGCAAAAACCCAAGGGCACCTGAGCTAGTGCCTTCATCTGAGCTGATGTATTTTGGCATCATTGTTGGAAGTCATCAGATGAGTGGGATAAGATAGGAAGATATGATTTTTACACCTGAAAGGAACCTTAAATATCACATAATCTTCATTTTATAGGTGCAAAAAAGAAGCTCCAAGCAGTTAAGTGATCTGTGCAAAGTCATATAGTGAATTGGTGATGGGGGCAGTGGGGAGGCATCCTGATTGGAAAGAACATCTTAAACAAAAGCTGCAAAAAAGGGCCAGGTTCACCCATAACACAGATATATTGAGGGACCCCCTTTTACAAAGCCCAATTCTAATCTCTGAGATCTTGCCATGAGTGCGACAGACAAGGTCCCTGCTCTCCTAGTGCTTTCATCTTCATAGAGATGATAGGAGTTGTTGGCAAAGTCCATGTTACACCCCACCATCCTCCTTCCTGGATTGGTACCCCAGTAGCCAAAAGTTGATCGATAAAAACACAGCTCTGTCAAAGGGTCTCTCTTTAATTCATGAGTACCTATCTCAAATGAGCACTCGATATAGCTCAACAGTTTTATTATACTTCTTTAATATTTTTGTTTTTCTTTCCATTTGTAGTGATTTCAAAATATTTCGGCAAATTCTTGGGCATTTCTTCCATTAAGAGATAGAGTCTATGTCCCATTTTCTGGAGTATGGGCAGCTCTTTGTGACTGCTTTCATGACTTGAACACAGCTGAAAGGACATCAGGTAACTTCTGAGGCTAGGTTAGAAAAATCCATGAAGATTCTATTTATTTATCTTAGGGCATTGGACACCTTAAGCTGCCATGTGAATCCACATATATAGCTATATAAACAAATTATATATATATATATATATATGTATGTGTATGTATATGTAGGTGTATGTATATATATGAATACATATTTAAAATATATATATAAAGAGAGAAAGAGAGAGACATTTTTGAGGAGCCTCAGCTGTTGCCTCCCCAGCCCAGGAGATAGGCTTACATGTGAATAGGCCTTCCAGATGACCCCAGCCCCACCCACCATCTGACTGCAAACTTATGAGGGACTCTAAGCGAGAACTGCCTAGCTGGGCATATTTGACTTCCAGAATCATAAGTAAAATAAATTATTATATTCTTGTAAGCCAATGTTTTGGGGTCATTTATTATGTAGCAGTAAATAACTGGACCACCCCCCTCCAAACGTGCGATTTCACACCTTTTCTTTTTTCAAATCTCTAACGGTGCTTTCTCACTTCTCACTTCAAAGGACATGATAGTCCTTTGTCATAATGCATTGAGAAAGCAGAAGCAAGCAATCAGATTTCTTCATCTCCCTTCTCCAAACCTACCTCCCTCCCAGCATCTGTACCCAAACTATCCACCCTCTTGCTAGAGACAATGAAGGGGGTGAGGTATCCCTCCCTCATCCTACCAAAGGCCAACCCTCCACTTGGGCAGATAACCTCACCTTGGCTAACTGGCTGCTTCTGCTCTGAACTTTGAACCTTGATAGAGGAGGACCAGAGCAGACTCAATGTGGCAGCAGAATTGAGGACCCAATGGCTCAGTGAGAGCATCAGTGTGGCCACTGTCTGTGCATGTCCTAGGTGGCGTGGTCATCACCATAAGTTTCTGTGGCATCACGGTGGTGCTCTGGGCTGCCTTGGACCCTGCTCATTTTTAAGCTAGTTCCCCAGCCTTCCCATCAACTTTGTTAGTCATTTGATGCCTTCAGATGCATTTCTTTTCTGTTTAATGTAGCTAGATTGTTTCTAGTTTTTTTCAGCCAAGAACCCTGACATGTAGAGGAGTGATCACTCATTCTAAAAAAGGTCTTGTTAAGGAATTTTTTTCTTCCTTCCATGTTTCCCTCCCTCTTTTCTTTCTCTACTTCCTTCCTTTCCTTCCTTCCCTCCCTCCCTCCTTTCCTGCCTCCCTCCTTTCCTCCCTCCCTTTCTTCTTTCCTTCCTTCCTTTCTTCTTTCCTTCCTTCCTCCCTCCCTGCCTCCCTCCCTCCCTCCTTCTGGCCTTCCTGCCTTCCTTTCCTCTCTCCTTTTCTTCCTTCTTTCTTTTTTTCCTGATGGAGTTTTCTCTTAAAATGTTTATTTATTAAAGGAAGATATAAAGGAGAAAACAAAAGGGCTCATAATTATGCTTCACAATAGCCTTTTGTGGACAGTTTCCATTTCTACTTCGTTAATGAAATAACTGCCACATACATGTGGTTAGAAAATCTAAACAGTGCCAGTAGACATACACTGAAAAGGTGCCTCCTTTCCTAGTCCCTCCCTCTTAAGGAAACTACATTTATATAATCACACACAGATACATCACATACTTTTAAAATAACACCATTTGTGTCATTCATTCATTCATTCATTTATTTTTTGGGTCTAGGTTCTGTTTTAGGGATATACTGATGAGCAAGGCAGATATAATTCCCATCTCCAAAGAGTTTACATTTGTGGGGCATACAGTAACCTTCATGAGGACCTTCAAATGCATCCCTTTTCCTTGCCCAAGTTCTGATCAAATTGAAATATAAAAGATTGACAGATTACATCATTTACCTCTTTTATTGCTAAAGGCTATGTTGGAAGATATAGGATAGTGTGCAAACCGCATGGACTTCCTAACTCGGATGCCCGGAGTTGGGCACCTATACCCACCTAGTCACCGGCAGGGCTGACCATAGCCGACTTCCCTATTGCGGGGACTGCCTGGTGAATATCCTGGACAGAAGAGAGCTCCTGTTCCCTGTGGACTTCTCTCTCTAAAGAAGTAAAAGGGAGTTGCTGAGCAGAGCATGTCTAGTTATTCTTCCGAAATTCGCCAGTCACAAAAGTCCCTCTACCTCCCCTGGGTTGAGCGCCTCAAGGGGCAGAGAGAGGTCAGCAGTGTATCACTGCCAGATTCTCTCCATACAAAAGGAAAATTCAGAAGAGGGAACAAGTGTTCTCTTTTCACAGGGAATAAAGAGAAATCACCCCATAACCAAACATACAGAGGCAAAATCCTACTGTGACAAGTCCCATAAGTGGGGGTACATGGTAATTAATCATTTATTGATGGGCATTTGTCACTTTATTTTACTATTATAGAAATGTAGCAGTGAACATTCTGGGACATTGATCTAATAATATATTGCCACCTAGCTAGTGATAGGTGAATTCCAGGAGTGTAGTTGCTGGATCAAAGGAAATGTGCATTTCAAATTTTGATAGCTATTACCAAATTGCTCTCCAAGAATGTCGTACCAATCTCTATTGTCCTTGACAGTATTAAAAGAAAGTAGTTACAGGTTAAAACAATGGATGTCCAAAGTCTGTTTTATATATATATATTTTCATTTTATAGGCAGAATCATTTTTAAAAAAATTTTTTTACTGGCAGTGTCAACCAGATGCAGCATCAATTTTTTGACTGTAGATGATTTAGAGTTAGGGTCAACTTGTGTTTGGTGAGACGTACTCCTCTATCTTCTTCCTGGGATTGAGCGGTTCTTTGGGTTGATGAGTAGGAAAGAAGTGCTATGAGCTGCTTCCCTGCATGAGCTCCGAGACTTCCTGTTTAAAAGCACTGCGAGAACCGCTGACCCCATTTCTTTCCCGATGTAATTATTCTTTTGGAAAGTTGGAAAGTTGGCGCTAACCTTAAGGTATGTGAAACACAAGGATCCAGTGTGGTTGAAGCTTTAGAACCAAGATAACCATTGCTTTTTCTATCAAACAGCCTGGCAGGGGAACAGTTTGCCCCTTGCCTCTTGCCCTGTCATTTAAAAAAAAAATCAGATATATAGTTTTTATTTATCTATTTATTTTTCCATGGGTTATTGGGGTATAGATGGTGTTTGGTTACATGAATAAGTTCTTTAGTGGTGATTTGTGAGATTTTGGTGCACCCATCACCCGAGCAGTACACACTGCACCCTTTTCGTAGTCTTTTACCCCTCCTCCCCTCCCACCCTTCCCCTCAAGTTCCTAAATTCCCTTGTATCATTCTTATGCCTTTGTGTCCTCATTGCTTACCTCCCACATATCAGTGAGAACATACCATGTTTAGTTTTCCATTCCCGAGTTACTTCACTTAGAATTATAGTCTCCAATCTCATCCAGGTCGCTGTGAATGTCGTTAATTCACTCCAAAGTCTGTTTTAAATGATTCAAATGGAAAGCTCAATTTATAACAAGTAATCTAAAATGGTAACAGGTAAGTTTGTAGAGTGTTTTCTGGGCACTTGACTTATGATCTTATCTAATACTTATTCCTATGAGGTATTATGATTTCCATTTCATAAATGATGATATTGAAGCTAAACATGGTTAAACTGCTCAAGGTTGCAGAGTTTTTTTTTTTTTTTTTTTTTTTTTTTTTTTTACGATAGGGCCTCACTCTGTTGCCCATTGGCATGATCCCGGCTCACTGCAACCTCCGCCTCCCAGGTTCAAGCGATTCTCCTGCCTCAGCCTCCTGAGTAGCTGGGATTACAGGCACACACCACTATGCCCAGCTAATTTTTGTATTTTTAGTAGAGATGGGGTTTAACAATGTTGGCCAGGCTGGTCTCGAACTCCCGAGCTCAGGTGATCTGCCCACCTCAGCCTCCCAAAGTGCTGGGATTACAGGCGTGAGCTACCGCGGCCAGCCCAAGATCACACAGTTTTAAGTAGCAGAGACAATTTAAACCTAGGCTGGTTCCTGCTGTTGTTCTCAACCTTGGACTCCACAACACTGCGTGGCAACTCTGCAAAGAAGAAAAGATCGTAATAAAATGTGGTGCTGAAAGAAGATGAATTCTCTTAAGAAAAGATACTGCTTTCATGCCAATATTCCTGATAATAAAGACTATGAAGGAATCATTGACATTGTATAGCATATGTAAGAAGAACTGCTAAATAAAATGTTTTCCAAAGATTTGCCTGAAACATCAGCTGGGTTTTGATGCTTGCTGGTTGTTTAAAATGTTGATTCATGTTGAACAACGTTTATTTATTGAAAGTACCATCTATTTAAATCAAATTATCTCCATAACTGAATATTTATATGGCTGCTTTATTGAATATTCCTAAACATTTTGCCCAAACCACAAACCATTTATTCACAGTTATAAATGTTTACTTCTTTAGAGTAAAAAATTGGTTAAAAGGAACTTAAAAGCATATTGACATTTCTGTAGTTTGTGAACATCTGCAGTGCGTTCTGCACATTAGCTGCTAGATATTTCTGCCTTAGCAAATGGTTAGATATTCTAATTATTTATGTTCAATAAAATATTTGAAATTTACACAGCATCTCTTTTATTGTGTCATTTAACAGCAGCAGCTCTTGGCTCAGGGACAGGCCACTAGATGGATTTAGAGATTTTTCAAACACCTCAGCTTTGTGCCAGCATTTAATTAGCTGAAACCCCATTTATTTCACTGTACACTCCAGCACCATGAACATTAGGCCTTAAATAACCCTGGGCTGAACAGATGCCAGTTTGAACTGTGCAAAAAGCAATAAACAACGTGATGTAGTGTCTCACAGTTTTATTCACTATACTGACGGTTCCAAGAAACCAGATTTGGAAACCTTACTGATATCTATAAAGGATCATTGACCCTCTGATTGATGGGCAACGATGTACTTATCTTGCTTAGGGGAAGATGAGCGGTCAAGAAGTCCAGAGGACTGGGGGAAGCCTTGATGTCCTCACCTGTAAAATGGGGCTTCAGGGGAGGATGACCAATGGTCCTCTGGATGGAACTTTCGTGACCTCTTTTGCTCTCTCATCTATGACTCCAGTGATTTGACAGGATTCTAATTATTGAGTCCCAAGCCTGAGAGGGACTTTGGTGCTTCCTTTCTTTGTAAGTGTGTCAACTATGTTTTTGCTGTTTGAATGATCCGTATTTTATTGCTCTTGAATCAGATGGGGGCCCTCTTTTCCAGGATTACACTGAACATCTTTGCTTCCCAAACACATGCACCTTTCGGCATCAGCCTTAAAAGTGCCCTGTCTTGGTTTCTACAATAGCAGTAGTGAACATGTTGGGCAAACTGAGAATGAGCCAGGTTGGATCAAAAAGGGACATACCTGCCAGGAAGGTGGCTCGGAAGCCTGACTCTAGATGTCTTAACTAGCCCTCCTCTCTCTCCCACTCCATCCTATGAGCCTCACATTCTTTCTCTCTATCTATAGTTTCTATTACAGAATTTTCATGGAGAAGCATAGGCCTTTTCATTATTTTTCCATTATAATATCTGTGATTATTGATTCTCAGTTACTCCTTGAGAGTGGTGATAATATATTACTCATCTCTGGAATCCTAGTGTGTAGAACAGTGGCCCCTCCCTAAGAAAGAAAAGGTTTGTTGAACGAATGAATGAGTTCTGGAAGGTTTTTAGGGGGCAATAATGATATCTTACATCTGCGTATACAATAGCCCCCCTTATTTTCAGGGGATACATTTCAAGAACCCCCAACTGATGGCTGAAACTGAGGATAGTACCAAACCCTATATATATATATTATGTTTTTTCGATCTGATAACCCAGAAGGTGACTAAGTGACTAATAGGTAGTGTAGACAGTGTGAATATGCTGGACCAAGGCTTAGTTCATGTCCCTGTTGGGATGGAGTGGGATGGTGAGAAATTTCAACATGCTGCTTAAAACGACATGCAATTTAAAACTTATGAATTGTTTATTTCTTGAATTTTCCATGTAACATTTTTGGGCCATGTGGTTAATCGTGGATAACAAATCTTGGAAAGCAAAATCTTGAATAAGGAGGGACTACTATATAGGGCTTTTCCAGTTTTTCAAAGAACTTTGATATTCTCATTTGTTTCTCAAAATTGTCCTATATTTGGGCTATCCAATCTCTCCTATTTTTACAGATGAAGAAATTGATATTCAAAATTCATGATAGAAGTGAGTCTAGGTTTCCTAATACTAAAGTGTCATGTTGTACAGAACATACAATTTTAGTCTTTTTTGTTTTTATTATTTTAAAGTTACAAAAGTAATAGATAAATGTATTTTTGTTGTAAAATTTCAAGTAATACAGAAGTATAAAGAACAAAAGGTAATTTCCCTTGTCCTACTGACCCCATTCTTTGTCCTCCGCACTGCTTCTCCTCACCCAGCCTCTACAGTGTGGTGTGTGTACACATACATCATTTAACAATACATTTTGGAATCTCTTCCATGTTAGACATTCAAGTCCACCTATTTTCCAACAGCTGCTTAGACTTCCCAGTATATGGGCATACCATATATATATATATTTGTAAAAATTGCTTCTCTATTTATTGTATTTAAGGTTGTTTGCAACTTTCAATTTTTACAAACAGTGCAACATTTCAGATCCTTGTACATACATTTGATGTACATGTACAACAATTTCTGTAGGATATGATTCTTATTTCATCTAAGGAGGAATTCAATTGCTAATGGCTGGTTGAGTTTGTGTTTGTTGGTTTTCTCTGTTAAGAAGTTCTTGCTTATTTTCAGTCTAGAACTCCTTTTTAGCAATTTAAGCTTGTTTACCTTGTAGGTGGTTTTACCTCCCCTCATAGGATTCAATGATGGCACATACTGCTTTAATTGTGTCCTAAGAGTAGGAGAGATATTACAGTTTAAGAGAGAAAGAGCATTTTTGGTTTTTCTTCTCCATACCTCATGGCAGAAACTGCTAAATGTCCCCACAACCCAGTGCCATTCACCTCCATGTTCCTTACTAAAAACTCAGATTTTGTTTGGGGCAATACTGGAACAGAGTAGGCTGACGCAGTGGCTCACGCCTGTAATCCCAGCACTTTGAGAGGCCTAGGCAGGATCACTTGAACTCAGGAGTTTGAGAACAGCCTGGGCAACATGGCAAAACCTCATTTCTACTAAAAATACAAAAATTAGTCCGGCATAGTGGTGGGGGCCTGTAGTCCCAGCTACTCGGGAGGCTGAGGTGGGAGGATTGCTTGAGCATGGGAGGTAGAGGTTGCAGTGAGATGGGATCACACCACTGCATTCCAGCCTGGGCAACAGAATGAGACCCTGTCTCAAAAACAAACAAACAAACAAACAAACCCTGTAAAACTAGATTTCCAAGGCTTTCTTGCAGAGTAACAGAATTCTTGCCAGTGGGATGTAAGTCCAGGAATGCTATTCTTTTCCTGAAAAAAGGGGAAGGTTCAGTAGGCACGTATCTTTACCTTTAGTCTTTTGCCTTTCCCCTTCCCTGGAAGAAAGATTCAGTGACTGGGGGTTAAGCAGTCATCTTGTGCCAATGAGGGCAAAAGTCACATGCTAAAAAGGTGGAAGAGCCAGAAGTTAGAAGAAGCCTGGATCCTTTGTGATTTCCTTGTGCAGCTGTTCTCATCATGGTGGGATTGCTTCTGAATTTCTGGTTCTGTAAGAAAAATAAACCATAATTTGTGAAGACAGTGTAGTCAAATATCTATTGCATATAACCAAACTCAATCCTAACAGTCATACCTTAGTTGTTGAACAAATATGACTCTGCCCAAGTGAGTGAGTTATCTAAAAAATTCTTATCTCTGGCCTTCAGAACCATGTGTTCCATGTCAAAGACTAAGTTTTAAAAAATATTCTTGGCTGGGCATGGTGGCTTATACCTGTAATCCCAGCACTTCGGGAGGCCAAGGCGGGCAGATCAGGAGGTCAAGAGATTGAGACCATCCTGGCCAACATGGTGAAACCCTGTCTCTACTAAAAATACAAAAATTAGCTGGGTGTGGTGGCATGCACTTGTAGTCCCAGCTACTGGGAGGCTGAAGCAGAAGAATCACTTGAACCTGGGAGGCAGAGTTTGCAGTGAGCTGAGATCATGGCACTGCAGTCCAGCCTGGTGACAGAGCAAGTCTCTGTCTCAAAAAAAAAAACATATATATATACACACATATATATTCTTATTTATTGCTTATTTTGCTTGTTAGCTTTTAATGTAATTATTTTTTGAACCACCATACAAAAAATTAAAAATATCCTGAGGATCATAACAATCATTTGTGCCTGCTTAGTGGGTTTTTTATTGTTTGTTTGTTTCTTTGTCTTTGGCATTGGGCCTTCTGTTCTATGGGAAACTGCATATAAAACTTCTAACATGGGAGGCCCCTTTTTCTCAGGAGCCCAGGAGGAAAAGAGTGTCACAAGCCTTGTAGTCAGGTTGCTATCTTTAGAGCATATAGAGTGGATTATTTCCTCCTGGTACCAGGTTTGAAGTGGGGTGGTAGGGGGCTGTCAAATGACAATAATGTAATATTGTTTAAAATAAATATTTAATCAAAGTAAAAGCATGTGGGAGAAACATCTCTTTCACTTTGTTGACAGGTTGAATTTGCTTTCATTTAAAAAAAAGTTTGAAAATCCTTGATACTACATACTTTGAAGTGATTAATCTACTGGAGTCATTACCTTCCTGAGTCATTGAGAGAGGAATGAGTGTGTTTGGGTGGGGTGGGAATTGCTGGAGAATGGTGTGGGAGTTAAAATGAAAAAGTTTGGCATATATTATACATTTGGAAAAGAAGGATGTGTCAGTTTCCTGGGGCAGCTGTAACAACAGACTGGGTGGCTTAAAACGACAAACATTTACTGTCTCACAGCTCGGGAGGCCAGAAGTCCCAAGCGGGCTGCCAACAGGGCCATGCTCCCTCTGAAACCTGCAGGGCTTCCTTCTTTGCCTCTTCCTAGCTTTTGGTGGTTTGCCAACAATCTTTGGAGTTTCTTGGTAGGTGGATATATTACTCTAACCCTCTGTCTTCACATAGCATTCTCCCTGTGCATCTTCACATCATCTTTCCTCTGTGTCTGTCTCTATGCCCAAATTTCCTCTTCTTTTTTTTTTTTTTTCTGAGACTGGGTCTTGCTCTGTCACCCAGGCTGTACAGTGGCATGATCTCAGCTCACTGCAACCTCTGCCTCCTGGGTTCAAGCGATTCTCCTGCCTCAATCTCCCAAGTATCTGGGATTACAGGTGTGCACCACCATGCCTGGCTAATTTTTGTATTTTTAGTAGAGATGGGGTTTCGCCAGGTTGGCCAGGCTGGTCTTGAACTTCTGACTTCAAGTGACCCACGCACTTTGGCCTCCCAAAGTGCTGGGGTTACAGGCGTGAGCCACTGCATCCAGTCTCTCCTTTTTTATTAAATAAGACCACCACCATATTGGATGAGGGTTCACCCCCGATGACTCCATTTTGACTCAGTTACTTCTGTAAAGACCCTATTTCCAAAATGAATCACATTCTGAAGTACTTGAGGGTTAGGACTACAACATATTTTTTTGGGGGGGCGGGGTGGGAAACAGTTCAACCCATAACACAGGGTATGATGCGTAATTTTATAGATCAACTGGACTGGGGTAAGGGATGCCCAGATGGCTGGGAAATCATTGCTTCTGGGTGTATCTGCGAGGGTGTTTCTGAAGAGATCAGTATTTGAATTAGTGGGCTGAGTAAAGAAGATGCCCTCACCAATGTGGGTGAGTATCATCCAATCTGTTGAGGGCCTGAGAGAACAAAAAGGTGGAAGAAACGTGAATTTGTTCTCTCTTCTTGAGCTGGGACCTCTATCCTCTCCTGCCCTTGGACATCCATGCTCCTGGTTCTCAGGCCTTTGAACTTGGACTGGGACTTATACCATTGGCTCCCCTGGTCTTCAGGCCTTTGGGTTTGTACTGGGGCTACACCACTGGCTTTCCTGGGCCTCCAGCTTGCAGATGGCAGACTGTGGGACTCCTCAGCCTTCATAATCCCATGAGACAATACCTTACGGTAATTTTTTTTTTTTTTGATACAGGGTCTTGCTCTCTTATCCAGGCTGGAGTGCAGTGGTACAGTCATGGCTCACTGAAGCCTCACACTCCTAGGCTCAAGCATTCCTTCCACCTCAGCCTCCCGAGTAGCTGAGACTACAGACATGCACCACCATGCACAGCTAATTTTTAAATTTTTAGTATTTTTAAATTTTGAGGTCTTGCTATGTTTTCCAGGCTGGTCTTGAACTTCTGACCCCAAGTGATCCTCCTGCCTCAGCCTCCCAAAGTGTTGAGATTACAGGCATGAGCCACTGCACCTGGCCCAATATCTTATAATACATTTTTTTCTATCTATCTATATTCTATTGGTTCTGTTTCTGTGGAGAAACCTGATTAATACAGAAAATTTTCCAAATATAACTTAAAATACTCAGCAAAGAGTTTCTTCTTATAGATGCTCCCTTCCTAGAATTCCCTTACAGGGAAAAAAATTAGTGAACTTGGTGCCCTTTGGTGTAACAGCTTTACCTTTTGTTTCAGGATTCCCTTCCTTGCTGGCATGTTCCTTCTGGCCACCCATTAGGAAAACTGCCTGGTCCTCATCAACTTCCACTCAGGCCTATCCTTCTAGTGGTGTCTCTATGTACTTAGTCTTTCTTGATGCCTTCTTCTCATCAAGAGCACAGGTTTAAAAAAGTCATTTTTCACGGTTACCTCCCTCCACTTAGGTTGGAGTGCCATGGAGCTAAAGTCCATTATGGTCACCATTGTCTATTCTCATAAAGAGGTCTTTCCATCTCTGGGGAGTTACTCTTAAGCAAGATGACAGGTCTCCATCTGCAACTTCTGGTTTCTTCTCCCCTTTCTAGGGTCATGACTCTTTTCCTTATACACTGCCTTCACCTTCAGTCTAGCAAAATGTTTACTACCCTACCCAACAACACCCACACATATTTTTTTCTTTCAGAGTGGGGTTACTGGCTCATCAGGAAGCACTGGAGTTTTCCTCTAGCTAGGCCTAGACCCCGAAACCACAAAAGGGCCCATCCACTTTTCCTGGAAGAGGGCCGTAGCCTTTAGAATTGCTGCAAGAAATGCTCTTTACCTTAGAAGGGAAGAGAGGGAGAAGTGCTTGCAGTCCATTCTGGGGAAGGTTGCTTTATACCCTAGAATGGGCAGGATGACTCCTTCTAATGCAACAAAGAGAAAGACAAACAAAGTGAGTTTATGTTAAAAACACTGGCCTCCTGTCACGGGTTCCTTGGGCCAATCTTGTTTGAGTGGAACTATATATAAACTTCTTGGGGGATGTGGAAGTGGGGAGGCAAGAGGTTTTGGTCATTGATTGTATCAGTCTTTTTGAGCTGCTAAAACAAAATATCACAGACTGGGTGTCTTAAACTATATATATATATATATATATATATATATATCTTGAGACAGAGTCTCGCTCTGTCACCCAGGCTAGAGTGCAGTGGTGTGATCTTGGCTCACTGCGGCCTCCACCTCCTGGGTTCAAGCGATTCTCCTGCCTCAGTCTCCCAAGTAGCTGAGATTAGAGGTGCCCACCACCACGTCTGGCTAATTTTTGTATTTTTAGTAGAGACAGGGTTTCACCATGCAGGCCAGGCTGGTCGCAAACTCCTGACCTCAAGTGATCCACCCACCTTGGCCTCCTAAAGTGTTGGATTACAGGCATGAGCCACCGTGCCTGGCCTAAACAACAGAAATTTATTTTCTCCTAGTTCTGAAGGCTGGAAGTCCAAAATCAAGGTGCTGGCAGGGTTGGGTTCTCCTGAGACTTCCATCTTTGGCTTACAGATAGCTACATTTCCCCGTGTCCTCACATGGTCTTTGCTCTGTGGGTGCTCATCCCTGATATCTCTTTGTGTGTGTCCAAAATTGCTCTTCTTATAGGGCCAACAGTCAGATTGGATTAGGGTTTACCATATGATCTCATTCAATTCAATTATCTCTTTAATTTAAAGGTTCTGTCTCCAAATACAGTGACATTCTGAGGTACTAAGAGTAGCACTTGAACACTTGATTTTTTTGAGATGGAGTCTCGCCCTGTCGCCCAGGCTGGAGTGCAGTGGCGCGATCTCGACTCACTGTAAGCTCTGCATCCCAGGTTCAAGAAATTCTCCTGCCTCAGCCTCCGAAGTAGCTGGGATTACAGGCACTTGCCACCATGCCTGGCTAATTTTTATATTTTTAGTAGAGACAGGGTTTCACCATGTTGGTCAGACCGGTCTCGAACTCCTGATCTTGTGATCTGCCCGCCTCAGTCAGCCTCCCAAAGTGCTGGGATTACAGGTGTGAGCCACTGCGCCTGGCTAATTTTTGTATTTTTAATAGAGATGGGGTTTCACCATGTTGGTCAGGCTGGTTTTGAACTCCCGACCTCAGGTGATCCACCCACCTTGGCCTCCCAAAGTGCTGGGATTACAGGCATGAGCCACCACACCTGGCCCAACACCTCCATTGTAGGAGGACACATTCAGATAACACAGATGTAGTTTCAGTACTTTCCACTGTGTGGACATACTAGTAATTTTTCTCATTAAGAATTGTACTCTTTAAGCCTGAAGTAAACTTAGTTAAGTTTTGCTTAAGAAAACTCCTGTTAGATAATTTGAATCTATTACATATTGCCACTGTAACTAGTTACCACAAACTTGATGGCTTAACACAATAGGAATCTATTCCCTCTGAGTTCTGGAGTCCAGAAGTCCAAAATTAGTATCACTGGATGCAAATCAAGATGTTGGCAGGGCTGTATGCCCTTCACAGGCTCTTTCTTCCAGCTGCTGGTGGCTGCCAGCATTCCTAGGCTTGTGGCCATATCACTTCAATCTCTGTCTCCATGGTCACCTTGTGTCAACTCCTCTTCTGTGTGTGTCCAATCTTTCTCTGCCTCTCCTAAAAGGGTACTTGTGATTATGTTTGGTCCCACATGGATAATACAGGATAAGATAATCTCCCCATCTCAAGATTCTTCATTTTACCTGCAAAGTCTTTGTCATAGAAGGTGACATTTACAGATTCCAAGAATTAGGACCTGATACTGTTGGGTGCCATCACTTAGCCGATTGTAAGTCCTATGCATGACAGACATGCAGCTACATCCTGGCATCAGGGATCCCCTCCACACTGGGCTGCCTGTCTTTTGGATAGGCCTTTGCCCCAGTGGGTAAACACTTTCCTTTTTATTACAGAGGCCCCTACCATTCTCCATGGCCAGTGGCATGAGAGCAGGAAGAACTGTGGAGACTGGTCTTCATGCTGTCAGAGATCTCTGATCTTAACAAAGCCACAGTTAGCAATAAATGGCAGACCAGAGAATCTTAGCTAATTGCCCAGAGATGCACTGAAGGGTGTGTGTATGAGCGTGGTGGCGTCACTGCATCCCTGTTAAAGAGCAACATTTTCTCCCACCAACTTTAGAACTTGGCTTTTGCTCTGGACTCAGGGACAGCAGAGCACTGACTATGGGTAGAGGCTCACAAAAACCTCATTCTAACTGTGAGGTCCCTCTTACCTCTCAACAACAGAGTGTAGCATCCCTTCCTCAAGGTTCTGGTACCCCTGGAGTTCCACTGCCTGAAGGCCATAGGAGGGAGAAGGAAGCCACAGACAGGGCTCAGGATTTCTTGCTCTAGTTCAGTAGAGTAAATTATTAGTTCAGTGCTATTCTATGTAGGGCACTGAGGAAGGTTTTGCTTGGCTTTGAAGTCTTCCTTGAGACCTATTATATCTTGCTGAAAGCCTCAGGGAACATTTTATTCCCCCATCTTGATCCCTGGGATTTGGCTATGCTGTTTGCTATTGATAAGGCTTTGGGAAAATAGTGTAATTTAACAAAGGTTATTGGTTTTACTCTCCTGGTGCTTCTTTAATTAGGCTGCTGACACCATGCAAGGCAGGGTTTTGACATTAAGAGTAAGGGTTAGAGCTGTAGTTAGATCCAAACTTTGAGTCACTAAGGATCTAGGAGGTAACTTTCCTATATCCAATTAGCATTTAAATTTGAATTCGTCAATGTGGCTCTTAGTATGCAGAATTTTACCTTCATTTACCTTTTCCAAACAGGAACTACAGTGGCACGAAGAGTTATCAATATATTAACAAAAATATAGTTAATAGTAAAATACATCTTACTTCTTGCCTTGCTTTATTAATAGTTCTTAATCCCCATATACATTATTCTGAACCTGTCTTTATTCTTCATCTCTCTTCAGTCCCAGGAAAGTCACTTAATCCCTTGCCCTGGGCTATGTTTACTTTGTAGTTAATACCCTTTTATTCATTAGGTTGAGGGAAGATGTATTGTCTTCGGAGTTTGGCTACAGCTCCCTAGGTGTATCCTTTCTGAGTTAATTGTGGTTGGTTTTTGCCTTACTGTATTCTAAACACTGATTTCCATTTTGGGAAATGTAACCAGTGAGGACATTGAGAATGGTATATGAACATCAGCTGCTCTCAGGCTATGATCCTGTGCCTCTGATGCTTTACCTCTGACAAAAGGCAATGACCACACAATAAATAAGTGAACAGATAGAATTATCTCTGTTTTAAGCTCTCCTTCTAATTGTTTTTAAATCATTGGCATCTACTATTGCAAGCAAACTCAAGCACCCAGCAAATCACTGACCAAAGTGCAGGTGAATGTTAATGGGAGACTCTGAGACTGTCCATCTGGCTCTAAGTTGAGAGATGGTTTTTCTGTGGACCCAGGTACTCATAGTTGTAATGCTGCTGAAGAATCACAAGCACTTGCTATATAAAACATAATCTTTTTTTTTTGTTGATAAAATTTTTCCTAAGTTTTTATGATGGAATAAATACATTTCATATTTGCCAGACCCCTATTGACTTCTATAGGGATGGTACCATGTTTGGGAAGCCAAAGAGGAGACCCAGAGCCAGGGAACAAGACATAGGGTTTATTGAGGGGACTTACACATTACTTTTTTTTTTTCCCCCAAGATGGAGTCTCGCTCTGTCACCAGGCTGGAGTGCTGTGGAGTGATCTCGGCTCACTGCAACCTCTGCCTCTTGGGTTCAAGCAATTCTCCTGCCTCAGCCTCCTGAGTAGCTGGGATTGCAGGTGCATACCACCACACCCAGCTAATTTTTGTATTTTTAGCAGAGACGGGGTTTCACCATGTTGGCCAGGCTGGTCTCAAACTCCTGACCTTGTGTTCCATCCACCTCGGCCTCCCAAAGTGCTGGGATTACAGGTATGAGCCACCATGCCCGGCCCACATTACTTTTTACAAACAGTAGTGGTTCTCCTATCCAGTGGCAGCAGGCTGGACAGGAGAACTGCTACTGTTTGTAAAAAGCATGCAGTTTATATAGCATTTTCACTTTGCACCCTCCCCTGAGCAGCCTCCACTGGCAATCTTCATTTAATCCAAAACAAAGGGCCTTGATCCCCTGTATGGCCTGTGTTCCACGGGATGGGCTGGGGTTCAGATGTTCCTCATAGATAAGGAATGAAATTCAGGGTTGGCCACTCCTGAATTCCTTAGGTTGGAATTCCAAACACACATTCTTCTTAGACCATAGCATCATTCTCAGGGTATGCTTAGGTTATTGCTATCAGGTGCATCTGCCATACAATGATGTCAGAAGAAAAGAATCTAAGTGAGGTGGTGTGTCGGAGGCACCTGAAGACTGATGACCAGGTCACTCCCCAGCTGAAGCAGAGTCAGGGTTTTGATTGGGTAGGGAAAGGTTGAAAGCTGTCATTAAACATACCGTTTTAAAAGTTTTTATTATTTATTTATTTTTTTTAAAGCTACACCTGTTGGAATGGGAACTTGTGGTTTTAACAGGAAGACATTTTAACAGAAACTTGCAGTTTGGGACTGTTCTTGCTTTCATGTCCCTTGCTTGGAGGCATAGCCATTGCAACAATATTTCTGAGGTCTTTTTTTTGGTAAGCCTTGTCGCTAGTTGAAGCACAGAGGAGTGGGAGAGATAGGAAGAAAACCAACAAGGCAGAGACTCGGATGTTTTACTCTGTTGGCAACAGAGTAAAGGGCATATTCTGCAAAGGACACTAATGCTTCCAGTCCTTTCCCACTTTAGCATTTTTTGAGAACTACAAGGATACATGATTAACCCAAGTGAATTCCATGTGTTGAAAACTAGAAATAAATTTGTTAAACTCAGCTGTTGAGATTGAAGAATTTGGTAATTTTAGACATACCCAGTCTCTCTTTACTTAAGAACAGAGATAGTGATTCAGCCCAGCCTAATGTAGCTGAAGGTGTTCAATCACATTTATTGAAAACCTTTGTGCCAGGCACTTTACATGTATCTTAAAGATGACTTAGGCTGGGCATCGTGGGTCATGCCTGTAATCCCAGCACTTTGGGAGGCCGAGGTGGATTACTTGAGCTCAGGAGTTCAAGACCAGTCTGGACAACATGGCAAAACCCTGTCTCTACAAAAAAAATACAAAAATTAGCCAGGTGTGGTGGCACGTGCCTGTAGTCCCAGCTACTTGGGGGGCTGAGATGGGAGGATCGCTTAAGTCTGGGAGGTTGAGGCTGCAGTGAGCCATGTTTCTGCCACTGCACTCAAGCCTGGGTGAGAAAGCGGAACCCTATCTTAAAACAAACAAAAAAGATGATATATCTACAAAGTAAAAAGTCTGAGGTTTAAATTTTTGAATAAATATTCTACTCAGGTGTACATGGAACAAATGATTTTGGAGTGATTGTGAATGGTAGTTTTTGCCTCAAGATGGCACTCACGTTGCTCATGGCCCTTGTTTCAATGTTCTGTGTTTGATAAAATTTATAGTACTCTATAAGTTATTTCACAATTTATGGACTTATTTTCCATGTAGTTTTGACAATCCTATTGCATGTCTTTCAATTCCAAGAATTATGTCCCCTTCTGGGCTTGGCAGGATATTACTTTGTCAGTGGGCTGGCAGTGGAAGTTGGGGGCCCTGGTTCCCTCTTTACATAACCTGTATCCCTGATGATATGCATTTACTAGAGATTCTCTGTCCAAGCAATTGTTGTCTTCTAAAGAGATCATAAGATTGATGACACACATTTATTTTTCTGCTGTCGTTGCCTAAAACAGAGAAAATTCTTCTTAGTCTGCCTCCAGAACTAGTATTACGAACCATAAACATTTAAAAATTTGGTCTCATTGCTTTATGGTCATTTTGAATGAAAAAGAAAAGTAGTTTTAACAAGCTTTGTTGCCCACATTATTTATTGGCTTTAACTGGGAATTCTATTTAGCTGTTCTCAATCATCAACTTCTTTCTTTAAAGGAAAAAAATTCCCATTACTTAGGATAGACAAAAGGATATAGTACAAGCCTTGAAGGTAATCGTAAGAATGTCCACAATGTTTTGTGCATCAGCATGTACTATTGTTGGAATAAGGATATAAGCACATGAAGGGGCTACTTTGAACATCGTGGGTTTGTTAAACAGCACAACTCTGCTGTGAATGAGAAGGCACGCGTGCATAACATAAATCAGAGGTGTGTCACAGAGCAAAGTGTCAAGGCCAGGAAGCAAGTACGATGGGTGGAATTACTGTCTTTGGTTTTAGTAAACTCTGGCTTTGGGAGAGGGATACATGGAGGGAGAAGATGGAGCAGAGAAGAAACAATTGTCTCTTAGGGTTAAGACTATCCAGGTATAGCTATGATGGTTCATCACCATAACTGCAAATTTGTACATACGAGCAGTGTTCATATTTGCAGTTTTTTTTTTTTTTTTTGAGACAGAGTTGCTCTCACCCAGGCTGGAGTGCAGTTCAGTGGTGTGATCTTGGCTCACTGCAACCTCCGCCTCCCGGGTTCAAGCGATTCTCCTGCCTCAGCCTCTTGAGTATCTGGGAATACAGGCACATGCCACCGCACCTGGCTAATTTTTGTATTTTTAGTAGAAACAGTGTTTGGCCATGTTGCCCAGGCTGGTCTTGAACTCCTGTCCTAAAGCGATCCGCCCATCTCAGCCTCTCAGAGTGCTGGGATTACAGGCGTGAGCTACCACACCCCTCACAGTGTTTCTATTTGAATTTAGTAAAATTGATTGAAGAATTTGAATGAGAGGAGCTATTTTGCCCCATAGCAAAACTGATTGACCTTGGCTCACTGCAACCTCCACCTCCTAGGTTCAAGTGATTCTCCTGCCTCAGCCTCCTGAGTAGCTGGGATTGCAGGTGTGTGCCACCACGCCTGGCTAATTTTTTCTATTTTTTAGTAGAGACGGGTTTCACCATGTTGACCAGGCTGGTGTCGAACTCCTGACCTCAGGTGATCGGCCTGCCTTGGCCTCCCAAAGTGCTGGGATTACAGGCGTGAGCTACCGTGCCCAGTTATTTTTATTTCTTTATCTCTAAAATAAATGAATCTCAGGCAGAAATGTGGATTGAAAAGAAAGAAATGTAAGTTCCACCTTCTCAGGAAGGTTTCTCAGAAACCTCCTAGCTATATAGATACACAGTTAACAAAGAATGCTGACCACTTGGGATAGCAAGAAGTCTTTGAATCTGAGAGGAAAAACTTCACATTTAGAAAGCATTTCTGATTAATAAGACAAAGACATCTCTTTTCTCTGTATCTTCAGGTACTACTAGACAATTATACAACATAACTAGTCTTGTTGAAAAACTACATTAGAAAAATTGAAATTTGTATTAAAATAATTTTAGATTCACATGCAAGAAATAAGATAGATCCCAGTGTGCACTTTGTCTGGTTTCTGTCAAAGGTATCATTTTGCAAAACAATAACACAACTAGGATATTGACATTGACACAATCTAGCTGGTTTCATTCAGATTTTCCCATCTTTGCTTTTACTTGTTTCTGTCTGTATGTGTATTTAGTTCCAAGCATTCTTTCACTACTTTAACCAGTTTAAAGTGTGTGATTTTGTGGTCTTAGTATATTCACAATGTTGTGCAATGATCACTACTATCTCATTCTGTTCCCATACAATTTTAGCACGTGTGTAGGTTTGTGTATCCACCAGAGGTCAAGAAACCGAACATGTCTGTCATCACAAGGATTCCTTGTGGTGTTGCCCTTTATACATTTACCGTCTTCCTTCCCCTTTCTATTCCTAACTCGGGCCACTGTTGATCATTACAGCATTTTTGTTGTTGTTTTTTAATTCTTAGCACGTGAAATCTGAATGACTACTCTATCAAGAAAAATCATGTAAGCTCTGGCTTTGTGATTCTTAGCCACATACCCATCTGAGAACGCTAAGCACTGGGTCTGGGGAGGGCATTTTAATTGGAGCATTTGTTTTTCATTGGGTCTAGTTATTCAGATGTCTTTGCCTTCATTGTTTTCTGTCTCCTGCTAAGTACCACGGAGGCTGCAAATCACCCTTCTAGGCTGTATGAAATGGTGTAGGGTAAACGCACCTGATAGCAATAATTTAATCACACCCTTAGCATAACCTTGTATGGCAGATGCACCTGAATGTGTGCTCCTGAGCTAGGGAATCTGGGAGTGGCCAATTTGGAGATTCCTTCCGTTTCTATGATTAACATCTGAGTACCCCCGACCCCCACCTCTGTCCTGTCCCGTGGAACACAGGCCATAAAGGGGATTGAGGCCCTGAGGTTTGGGTTAAAGGAAGGTTGCCAGGTGGAGGTTGTTAGGGGGAGGGTGTTAAGTGAAAATGCTATAGAAACTGCATGCTGTTTGCAGGTGGTTGCATATGCCCGGTTCCAACTATTAGAAAGTTCAGCCGCAGACTTCCTTCTACCTGTGGCGTTCTCCCCCGACTCCTCTGGCCGCCCTCCCAAAGGATCCCTGTGGTGCCAGGCAGGAATGTCCTGCTTGGGGACCCAGTGAACTCCCAGGGCATTTCCCGCTGCTTCCTGTACCCCTGTATTTCTCTCGACTGTCTAAATGGACTCAGCCCCAGGTAAGGTTGGAAACTTCTCTCGCAAACTAGACCTTCATTCTCCCCAGTGGAAGTGTGTGTTTCGGAAAGGAGGGTCTTCCTTTCCCACTTCCACAGTTTGTGCACTCACAGTATTTGGGGTGTCTCCCAGGTCCTGCAGGAGCAGTCCCCTTATTTCAGAGGGTCTGTGGGTCCTCTTGGGATTCCTGGTTTGTTCTTGCAGTTGTTCTGGAGCTAAAATTCACAATGCAAGCGTCTGCATGCTGCTCCGTCCATTTGAGTTGGAGCTGCAATCTAGTCCTGCCTTCTATCTGCCATGATGATTGCCGGAATCGTGAGCCAATTGTTAAACACAGCCTTCATTAAAAAGTAAATTATAGAAACTTCTAGTCAAATAAATTATATTTAGAACAAAAGGTCATAAATACTTAAAACTCATCACTTTCTAATTATTCTATTACATTTTTCTGTTATCCATATTCATAAGGCTTATATGAACCTTATTATTTGTGTGCCCACTGAAATTCATGTTGAAATTGAATTCCCCATGTGTAATGGGTCTTCGAGAGCTAATTAGGTCATGAGGATGGAGACCTTATGAATGACATTAGTGCCTTTATAAGAAGAAGCTAGAGTGCTAGCTAGCTCTCTTTCCAGCACGTAAGGATACAAGGAGAACTTGGCAGTCTGCAACCTGGAAGAGGCCCTCACCAGAACCCGACCCTGCTGTCACCCTGATCTCGGATTTCCAGCCTCTGGAACTGTGAGAAATAAATTTCTGCTGTTTATAATCCTCCCAGTCTATGATGCTTTGTTGTAGCAGCCTGAACTGCCCAAGGTTATTTACTGTATTGTCGACTCTGTATGGTGGAATTACTATATAATGGTGTGCTATTGTACATCTCTTCTCAACTCCAGAGGTCAGTGACTTCGCATTGACAGCTTAAAATCAGCCTTGGTAGGAGGGCTTATATTACAGAAATCAGCAAATGTTACAAATCACGCCTTCTCCCTCAACACCCCGTTCACTGAGTCAGACACACTACTCTTAAATAGCTCCTCCTCGCAATAGGGTCCCTCGCTATCTCTCCAGTGTCATTTCATTCTAGTCTCTTCTGCATTGAAATGTATATTCCTGTGGACTGGATGAATGACTTGGCATATCCTTGGTGTGGGTGTTATTTCATGCCCCGTGTCTTCATTTCAAAGGTCCTTCTTTTCCTTGTCTACTTAAATGATTTGTTTTCAAAATCTACCTTAGAGGCCATCTCTGCTGAAGTCTTGCCTCCTTTTTCCAGAATAAACCTTTTTCTCTTTTCAACCAGCTCCGAATTATGTACTTTTTTTTTTTTCCTTTTGAGACAGAGTTTCGCTCTTGTTGCCCAGGCTGGAATACAATGGCGCAATCTTAGCTCACTGCAACCTCCACCTACCAGGTTCAAGCAATTATCCTGTCTCAGCCTCCGGAGTAGCTGGGATTACAGACATGTGCTACCATGCCTGGCTAATTTTGTGTTTTTAGTAGAGACAGGGTTTCTCCTTGTTGGTCAGGCTGGTCTCAAACTCCCGACCTCAGGTGATCTGCCTGCCTTGGCCTCCCAAAGTGCTGGGATTACAGGTGTGAGCCACTGCGCCTGGCTGTGTACTTACTTTTATTTTTGTACCTTCCCCACATTGAGCTGTGATAATTGTGTTTGCAAACTTTTTCCTGCTACATATGGTTGTTGTCTATGAAGATGCATCTTTGTATTCTCAGTGTCTGAATCAGTGCCTGGTGTATATAGCAGGCATACCTTCTTAGAGATGTCTGGAAAGAGTCTAATAAGTAAATAAGCTAACATAGGGACTGTTATGGGCTGAACTCTGCTCCCCTCAAATTCATATGTTGAAGTCCTAACCCTCAGTACCTCAGAATGTGACTGTATTTGGAGAAAGGGCATTTAAAGCAGTAGTTAAAATAACATGAGGTCATATGCATGGGCCCTAATCCAATATAACTGGTATCCTTATAAGAAGAGATTGGGACACAGACACATACAGAGGGAAGACTGTGTGAAGAAGACAGCCATCTACAAGCCAAGGCATATGAGGCTTCAGAAGAAGTCAATCCTGCAGACAACTTGATCTAAACTGCTAGCCTCCAAAATCATGGGAAAATAAATTTCTGTTGGTTTAGGCTGGGCGTGGTGGCTTAGGTCTGTAATCCCAGCACCTTGGGAGGCCGAGGTGGGTGGATCACCTGAGGTCAGGAGTTCGAGACCAGCCTGGCCAATGTGGTGAAACCCTGTCTCTACTTAAAAAAAAAAAAAATACAAAATTTACCCAGATGTGGTGGTGAGTACCTGTAATCCCAGCTATTCAGGAAGCTGAGGCAGGAGAATCGCTTGAGCCCGGGAAGCAGAGGTTGCAGTGAGCCAAGATTGCACCATTGCACTCCAGCCTGGGTGACAGAGCGAAACTCCGTCTCAAAACAAAACAAAACAGTACCCAAAAAACTGTTGGTTAAGCTACCCAGTCTCTGGTACTTCGTGATGGCAGCCCTAGCAAACGAATACAGAGACCATATATAGAGAAGAGGTGTACGAGAGTGGCAATAGCGCATGGTGCGCAGCCTGCGGAGTCTGGTAAACCTTGGCCAAACCCTAGGTATGCCACTTGCAAGTGTATAACCATGGTAAGCTTACTTAAATTCTCTAAACTCATGTTTATTATAAGTAAAATGAGGATAAAAACATCTCAGGATAATCTAGGCTATTTTATTTATTTAACACCATTTACTATATGCCATGCTCTGCTCTAAGCATTTTATAAATATTAAGTGAGAATTAAACAGGAATTATGTAATGTGTTTAGCACAGTGTCTAGAACATAGTAACTGTACAACAAGCATCTGTCATTATCCATATGAGCTCTATATGAAATACTTTTGGGAAAAATTCACAAATATTTCTCTAGAAAATTAAGACTGTTGTTTAGCAACCACCATGGTCTCTAATAGTTAAAGCACAGTATGTTAACCATGGATAATTCTGTCAGTATTTTTCTAGAAATAATTTTTCTATTAAATATGTAATTTAAAAAGGCTTGCTGAATTTTGAAGTGCCAACTTTATAACGTCTCAGATCATTTCAATGTGAATGCATATTTAAAATACTAATATAAATCAATGGAACTATAATTGGATTTGGAAAAATGTCTACATATGTACTTTAGCACTTCATAAAGGAAGGCTCTTCCGCGCCACACAATGACATGCGTTCTTAACTCGTTAACAAAAAATTGTGTGCAGTTCCATATATAGACACTAGGTGACACTCTAGTAAGGCAAACTCAGGCTTCCCTACTGAAAATAAGTCTGGGTTCTGCTGGTAAAGTTTGGTCACTGAGCTGATTCTCTCATTTAGTAGTAAGATGTTCAACCTGCTAAGCGTGAGAAATGGAGAAGAAATTATTTATTCAGATACTCTAAAACAGACATTACAAGTAGCAATCTTGGAACCCCTATGAATACGGGACTTAATGGGGCACCATATTTTGTAGGGTAGACCTAGAACATAAGAAATTATCAAGAACTTTGGTGGAAGTGGGTAGCACTCAATTCTGTTTCGAACATTTTAAGCTCAGTACTTATCGATAAGTCTTTAAAGTAATTTTTCTCATTTCCACTTTGTGCTTCCACATTCTACTGATGCTCTTTGGATAGAGTGGGTACAGAAACAGTGGGAGAGAGAACACGTAGGAATGCAGTCAGGGAAATTTTCTTTTCACCCACACACACTTCAGCATAATTTAGCGTTGTGTATTGCAAATTGCTGCGTAGGTTTAGGAGACCTGGGTCCTGATCAGCTCGCCTATGGAGTTGTGGTGTGTCTTAGGGACCTCAAGTCCTTAGGCAGATGAGAGAGGTGTTTATTTCTACTTTCCTTCTCTTTCCCACTGATCCATCGCCCATGGCTACTCTTCCCTCTCATTCTCTGCTACTTCTTACATGTGCCTCAGCCTTTGTCTTCTGCTGTCAAAAGGAATAAACTGTTTGATTTTTACTAATGGTCATGGAAAAATTGTTATGTAGTCTAAAGATGTGAAAGGAGAATAAGGAAACCATACTAAGGTAATCAAACTAGTTCTTAGTTTTTTTTTTTAGCAATGTTGCTGTGGTAGGATTTCATTCAGGGTGAGAAAGACTTTGCGGGATCCTTGAATTTTGATATTCAAAATGAATTTGCAGGCCAGTCATGGTAGCTCATGGCTGTAATCCCAGCACTTTGGGAGGCTGTGGTAGGTGGGTCACTTGAGCTAAGGAGTTTGAGACCATCCTGGGAAACACGACAAAACTTTGTCCTTACAGAAAATAAAAAAAAAATTTAGTTGGGTGCAGTGGTGCATGCCTGTAGTCCCAGCAACTCAGAAGGCTGAGGTGGGAGGACGACTTGAGCCCAGGAGGTTGAGGCAGCAGTGACCTGTCGTGGTGCCGTTGCATTCCAGCCTGGGCAACAGAGTGAAACCCTGTCTCAAAAAACAAAAACCAAAACAAATAAACCAGAAAAACATTTGCCTTGCTGGCAGGAGGACATATTCTATTCTGTCTTCTCATCCTTTCTTCACATCTTATGTAGTCCACTGAGGATGTGGAGTCTATTTTTACCTTCATTGTTATTTAATCATCCATCCAACCGTCCGTCCATGCATCCCTCCCTCCCTCCCCCTCTCTCTGGCTTCTTTCTCTTAGCTGGCAAACATGCCTCAGTGTACTTTATACAACCACTGTGCCAGGTGAGATCTTATTGAATCAAAGATGAGTCTTCTGATTTTTTCTTTTTAACTTTATACTCTAACTTCTAAGTATTACAAAGAAATTTCATTTCCTCATCAATTTAACCACCAAAAGACATAGGACACTCATTTTTCCAGAACCAAAAGAAAAAAAGAAAAATATATAGATGTGCATATATTATAAAGAAGAGTTTCAGATTATGTAAACAGCACTGAAACCCATTGGCCAAATTCCTACTCCTTTCTGGCTTGGGAGGCTTGAAGTGGCCATGTATGCCTTGCCCTGCCGGCCATCTCCCCCAGTCCTGAGCTAGATTTGAGTCTGGGGAGAGTTTCCATGCTCTCCAAGTAGAAATGTAACTTGGAAGACAGGAGTTGGATTACAGCAAATAGGATAGCTTCATAGCTTTCCTGGTCATCACTTCTGAACTGCCTCTACCCCCACCCCCACCCCCACCTAGCTTATGAAGCTTTAATTTCAAGATTCCATGAAGTTTTGCTGTTCTTTAGTTATCAAGAGGAGATGGGACTCAGTAATGTTCAGGTGACAAAAGTGTGACCCAGCTTCATGCCTAACCTATGGGTTTTGGTTATAGTAGGCAACTGTGGCAGTTTTCTCTCCTCTTAGTTTAAGTGGGTCCTTGCAATATTTTGAGCAGTTGAGCCACAGTTTTTTATTTTTATTTATTTATTATTTATTGAGATGGAGTCTTGCTCTGTCCCCCAAGTTGGAGTGAGATCTTGGCTCACTGCAACCTCCACCTCCTGGGCTCAAGTGATTCTCATGCCTTAGCCTCATGAGTAGCTGGCATTACAGGCGTGTGTCACCAACACCCAGCTAATTTTTGTATTTTGGTAGAGATGGGGGCCTCGTCAAGTTGGCCAGGCTGGTCTCGAACTCCTGTCCTCAAGTGATCTGCCTGCCTCAGCCTCCCAAAGTGCTGGGATTACAGGCGTGAGCCACTGCCCCCGGCCAAGCCACAGTTTTTGGTCAAGGCATTGAGTTTGTTAATATGCAAATCTTTAACTTGAGAAAGTTATCTTCATTATCACCTGTTACGAGAGGTTAATTGATCTGAAAAACTTGCTGTCAGAGAACAAGGTCCTGGGAGAAACACAGCTCAGGAGGTAAGTTTTGACAGAGAAGGGGAGAATCTTCTGGGCTTCGGTTCTTGCTTAGGAAGAAGGCAGGCTCAGAAAGGAAACTGGATAAGGACCCTGAGGGCCTAGTACATGAAGTGGGTGCAGTAAATGCTGACAGAGAGATAGATGGGCATCAAAGACAAATCACAGCTGTCCCACAGTTCCGCTTGGCTCCACCCCAGGGATGCTTGGCCACGGTTTGGCTGGGCAAATGCACTGTCTGCAGCACAGGCCTCTGGATTCCCTTGCTTGTCCATGTTCCCCATAAACCTCATATCTCTTTTGGTCCCTGCCTTGAATTCCAGCAATAACAGTTTATTTGTGCTTTTGAACGGTTTGTGTACACTGCCTCATAATTTAGATGCTGTGACAGAGCTGAGGCAGGGACTCAGCTGTGCAAGGCAGCCATGGGGACTCCAGAGATGCCTTTGAGTGTGAGTGCTTGGGTCACATCAGACTCTGCAGCTTCATCTCAGGCCTTCCGACTTGAGTCATTTCACACGCGATTTCTTCCAATGAGCCCAAACTCCCATTCACCAGGTTATTTTTCTTTTGTGATTCTATCTCTTGCAGTTCTGAGGCTCATTTGGTCCTGGGGCTCTTGGCTGGCCAAGACTTCTCCTGGGAGGGAAGGGAGAGTTTAATTAGAAAAAGATATCTTGCTTATGGTGGTGATTACCATACTTTATCAAGGGGCTCAGTCTTGACCCCATTTTTAGTGCTTTGCTGGAGAAGCCAGTCATCAAATTCCTGTTGCTGATAGAAGCTTCCTTACTGCTGTTCCATGGTTGGAAATGGAAAAGCACCTCTCTCCCCACCTCCATCCCTTTAGCTAAATGAAACAGTTCTGTGAAAAGGCTTTGCACAAGGCTTTAAAACCACTCCACAGTGCTTTAGGTAAGGTCAGAGAGAGTTTTTAGTGAAGATTTTATTAGCCCAAACTTTGAGGCTTTTATTGCCTTTACTGGGAAATAGAATCACATCCTCTCTGGGTGCCTCTACGGTTAAGGCTGTTGAAGTGCATAGAGCCAGGGGCTCAGAATGCCTTCTTCTGATTAAATGTGGTTAGCTGAAGGCCAAACATTTGTAAGAGTTGCAATTTGTATGTTTAAAGAGTAAGCTTGGGTTGCACAGGATAGAGCTTCGGGTCTGGGGATCTGGGAACTGCACATCACAGGTCCTACCTAAATCTTGCTTCTGTGACTTAGAGGTCATGTGCTCTGGCCTTGGCCCTGGCACCCCCCCCCGCTCCCCCCTCCCCCCTTTTTTAAGGCCACTGTTTCAAAGGAAATGGCCTGGCTGCCCATTGGCCCAAACAGAACTCCTCAAAGGGCAGCCTAACTTCCAAAGATACATTCTCCCTGCACCAGAGGCAGGAGAGGGACTGACAGGGCCAAAGATCCCTGGGGGCAGCCCCCATAGGCCAAGGGCCAGTTTCCCTTTGTATCCTCCACAAACTGCATGATCCAGTTGTTAGCAAGCCTTCGTGTTCATAGTGTAATCACATGGCAAGCCCTGTGTTACCTGAACATACAGTCCCTTTTAAAAAGTGAGAAGTGAATGGGGAAGTGCATGCAGGGTACAGTGTGTTCTAACGTTCCTGATGATCTGAAAATCTGGGCATCAAGATAAGACCTTCAATTAAAAAAAAATGCAAACTTTCTGTCATCATGTGCTGTAGTTAGGGTCTGTTTTTTTCAAGGAAAGAATTGGTAGCCGTCAATATAGCCTGTTTCCAGAAGAGGAGGGCTCCCTGACTAAATATCTAAAAATGTTTGTCTTCCTCCCCATTATGGGATCTTTCATTTGGGTAACAGAATTGTTTACTCCAGGGCCCCCTTCACAAAACTCTTAAATCTTGGATAAGTAAAAGATATGCAGCTCTTGTTACTCATGGACACTTTAGCTTGAATTAGTTTGGCTAATAACTTTCTAATGGTAGCTAGCTGAGGGCTTAGGGAGAGAGAAAGTTGCAGGTTAGTGGTGTATGCGCGTGCACTTGTGTCTGTGTGTGTTGGGGGAGTGGTAGTAGGTGGGGAGAGTCTTGAGCACCTGGGTTGGGGGGCAGCATACTCCAATGACAATTTATTGCTCTGTTGAAGTTTTCCTCAGAACACTATTTCTGTGGTATCAACACCCTCCAGAGGGTCACAAGCCATTGTTTTCTCCCTGCCCTTAATGCCAGCCCAATTATTGAGCAATATAGCCAACTAGTTAGACCCAATTACAAGCATTTCACTGTGCCCACTCTCTTCCTTCTTTAAAATGACCATTGCGCTGAATAATTGTATTGTCTTCTCATGGCTTTTTAATCTTTTTTGCTTGTAAATGAATTAATTATTTTTTTGTTTTTGGGAGGAGGGTAGAAAAAAAATCTCCCATCTATGAAAGACTTTAATTTTTTTCTTAATCTCTTCCTTGGGATGGTACCTTAATTCAGGAATCCAGGCTGTAGACAGGCTGTTATTCACTGGCACCCACTAGCATGGCTTGATCAGTTGTTAAAATATTGGTGAACTTTTTCTACTGGTTGGAGTTAGCTGCGGCCCTGAAGCTCCAGGCAGCCCCACCAGCCCCTTCACTGGAAGCTCCCACCTCCCCAGAATTCAGTATTCGAAGGGTTAATGCCTGGCATCACAGAGCTCTCCAGACCTGCTCTAGCTCATTAGCCAGTTGAAAGCTTTTGGGGGATGATATTTTGTGACTCTCCCTTTCCTTGCCAAGCACTATGATTTCAGTGTCATACACATCATTTTCCAAGGGGCTGCAAATCTGGTCTATGGGACAAATCAGCCCCCTTCCTATTTTATAAAAAAATTTTATGTGAACACAGCCATACTCACTCATTTACATAGTGTTATGGCTGCATTCATGTTACAAAAGCAGAATTGAGTAGTTGCAATGGAGACCTCATCACCCCAAAAGGCCAAAATATTTATTTATCTGGACTTTTGCAGAACAAGTTTGCCAATCGGTGTTTATCCATTCCTCAGACCATCAGCAGGTCTGAGTCATTTGCTTGCTGACCTGTAAACACGGTGCCTGTGACTTGGCCAAAGAGCCTCTTGTTTTCCTGGCCCCTCCTTAACAATTTACCCGATATCAATCTACTGCTGATAATAAATGAAAAAGGTAATGAAAAAGGGGAGTTTTTTTTTTTTAAACAAATGTCAAAAAAACCCTTTAAGTATTTCTGACATTAAAAAAAATGTTGTTGGTCCTTCCTTATTTGCATGGAGCTTTATGTGGTTCAGAAAGCCCATCTGTAATCCATTTGAGTGGAAGTCCCATTTGTCACTGCTGTCAGGATGGTAAAACACATTTGAAACCTTTTTGCTTTAAAGAAAATAGAAGGCTTTTCTGCACTTTACATTGAGCTGAAGACTTTGCCACTCTCAGGGAAATGTCAATTCTGAGAAAGACTTGTGCAAAATGAGAGTTGGACAAAATAATTAGTCCTTAGCTACTCGGGAGGCTGAGGCAGGAGAATGGCGTGAACCCGGGAGGCGGAGCTTGCAGTGAGCCGAGATCCCGCCACTGCACTCCAGCCTGGGCGACAGAGCGAGACTCCGTCTCAAAAAAAAAAAAAAAAAAATAATTAGTCTTGAAAAGTGATTTTACTTTTTGCTTAAACACGTTCCATTTTCCCCAAAGTCCCCAGGTTCCTAAAACAACAAGAAGTCATGAGAGGGTGAGGGTTGGGGTTGTCGTCGCAAGCAGTCTTGACTTCATTTATCCACTCAATGGAGGGATCAGCAGCATGAACATTACAAAATGGCAGAGAATCCACACAGCACCTCCATTTAGCATTGGGGTGTGTTTTATAGCCGCTTTTAGAATAAACATTTTGGGCCAGGCGTGGTGGCCTGTAATCCCTGGGATCACACCTGTAATCCCAGCACTGTGGGAGGCCAAATTGTGCAGATCACCTGAGCTCAGGAATTTGAGACCAGCTTGGCCAACATGGTGAAACCCCATCTCTACTAAAAATACAAAAATTAGCCGAGCATTGTGATGCACGCCTGTAATCCCAGCTACTGGGGAGGCTGAGGCAGGAGAATCACTTGAACCCCGGAGGTTGCAATGAGCTGAGATCATGCCACTGCACTCCAGCCTGGGAGACAAGAGCGAAACTCTGTCTCAAAAGAAAAAAAAATGTTTATTGATTTAGGTAAAAATGGGAAGTGTTCTCTATTAAACAAACTCATCAACAGAAAAGTACAATGAAGAAACTTAAAAAAAAAAAAGAGCATTTTAAAGCCCTGGTTTCATTTTTGAGAAAATGTGTCTGATATTTTCGTGCTCCCTTAAATTGAAGATCCATGTTAGGAGGAGCAGAAAACCGGGCCACTTTACCCAAAATCTCCTGGGCACCAGACACTCCTTGGGCACCTTCTTCCATTCTGAGGAGTGACTGTCACAGAAATAACCTCTTCAGAAAACATGTGTCCCTTTACAGTCTTGCTTTTTCTGGAGCAGAGGAATGGCTGCTTTGGTGGCAAGGTTATTTTTCAGCATTTCTGCTTGATCAATTAAGGAAAGATTCTGTTTAGGTCCATTTGGGGGTTTTGTTACCAGACTGGAAGACAGTTAGATAATGGCCAGGTGACTTAGGAGACCCAATCCTAAGGGAAATAACCTTACCGAAGAAGACGAGATCATTGTGCCACCTCATTTCCCACAGGGTCTAAAATAGTGGCCAGCTTAGGCTGTCCAGGCTCAAAGGCAAAATTGACAAAACCTCAAGTGAACTCGCTTTCAATTCGCAGATACTCCGAAGGCTCTTCTTAGGGAATTATCACATTACTATATTATTGTTTCTCTAATGTTCCGTGTCATTTTCTTTTCCCACGTGCTCCCATCCACCTATTCTTTTTCACTCAGATTTTCTACACATGGGTTTGAAAGAGCTGGGAAGAAAGAGAAAATCAGGGAAAGAAGGGCAGAGGTAGTGGGGGATCAGAAGGGTAAGAGAATGGCAGTGATCACACAAATCTTTGAAAAGGAAGGAAGAAAAGAAAAAAATGCAAAAAAAAAAAAAAGACGACAAGACTACTATCATTTTAAGTGGCAAAAGGAATATTATAAATCCATCTAATAGGGACATAATAGGCTTATGTCCTATCACAAGGCAGTACTAGAGGAGCTGTCTCAGAAGGGGCTACTGAGGGCCTGCAGAATATTCAGGGAAAACTTCAGAAACAGGCAATTTTTATAGGTCATTTTATTTCTCTGAATAATGGACTTTTACATGAAAAAGAGTTGGCTTTTTAAAAAAGGAGAGTGAGATTGACAGTACTAAAAGGGAAGAGGAAATAGGTGTGTGTGTGTAGTGTCATGAGAACAGAGAATGGAGGCAGAAGATAGGACATAATACTGTAATACAAGGACAAGGCATTAGGAAGAACAGGCCTGAATTCAAACTCTAGTTGTGCTATTTGTTACCATATGAACCTCAATTCTTTCACGTGTAAAATGGGACCAATAATAAACTCCTACCTTACATAGGACACGGTGAAGATTTAATGAGATAAGATATTTAAAGTGTTTCAAAGTATCACAGATATAACAAATAATGTGTGTGTGTGTGTGTGTGTGTGTGTGTGTGTGTGTGTGTTTTCACTTCCTTTCTTGTTTCTACCTAGGGATCCAGTCTGCTTGTCTTCCTTCCTTTCTCCCCCTTTCCTCTTCCTCTCTCCTTCCAACCTTTCTCTTTCCTTCCCTCCTACTCTCCTCCCCTGATTTTTCTTTCCTTCCTTCCTTTCTCTTTCTTCCCTCCTGCTCTCCTTTCTTCCTCCCCCTACTTTCTCCTTCTTTCCTTCCCTTCTTACTCCTCCACTTTGTCCTTCCTTCCTTTCTCCCTCCTTCCCTCCTTCTCTCCTTTCTTCCTCCTCCCACTTTCTCTCTTTCTCTTTTCTCTCTTTTGGCACCTGGCAGAGAGCAGACCAGCTCAGATCTCATATAGTAGGCCAAGTAAGAATTTTTTTGTTGGAAATATATAAAGCAAATGTTTCTTACTTAGAAGATATATACAAAAAGGAATTGCCACTCTCTTTTTGATGAGAAGCCAGGACTAAGTCTTGAGCACACAACCAACAATTATGGGGGAAAAAAATCTTGATTATCTGAGTGTCAGAAGAAAGAAAGCAGAGGCCAACAGGTTTGAGCTGAGTCTAGTTATGTGCTTAGCGCTCTTCAGGATCTAGTTATTTTTGCTTGCCAACTCATGTTCCCCTGGAGCTCCACTCTTCGGTAATGTGAACTAGGGAAAAGGCAAGGCCAGGTGTCAGTCCCGGTATCCTCCCATGCTCCAGGTGTCAGTCCTGGAGAGTGGGAGGGGCAGTAGGGTTGCGCCCTAGGCACTGCAGGGCTACTGTAAAGCACTGCACTCCCATCTGCCATCGTTGTACCAGGGAGCTCCTCTGATCTTTATAGCTTTAGGAAGGAACATCCTTAGAAGGAGGTGGTCTCCTTAATTTATAATTCACCAACTTTGGTGCTTAGAGGGAAAGCTGAATTCTTGAGGGAACTCATTAGTTATTTTCATTACACGTGAAGACAATATCAGTTTGATTTTTGGAAACTGTTGTAAAGCATTAGTAAGCCTCCTCCAGAATCTCTGTAAAAAGTATACTTTTTTGCAGTATAGGCTTCAGGCTGAGCAGAACTTGCCTTTCCAGTTGAAAACTGGCAAACTTACAAAATGGGGAAGATAGAGGAGTCTAAAGAATTATTATCAGCGGAATAACCTACTGGTGAGGTTGTGGAGTAAAGGGAATGTTTGTACACTGTTGGTGTGAGTGTAAATTAGTTCAATCATTGTGGAAAGCCGTGTGGTGGTTCCTCAAAGAGCTAAAAACAGAACTACGATTAGACCCAGCAATCCCATTATTGGCTATTTACCCAAATGAATATAAATCATTCTACCACAAAGACACATGCATGTTTATAGCAGCACTATTCATAATAGCAAAGACATGGAATCAACCTAAATGCCCATCAATGGCAGATTAGATAAAGAAAATGTGATACATATGCATCGTGGAATACTATGCAGCCCTAAAACAGAATGAGATCACGTTTTTGGGGTAACATGGATGGAGCCGGAGACCATCATTCTTAGCAAACTAATGTAGGAACAGAAAACCAAATACCACATGTTCTCACTTATAAGTGGGAGCTAAATGATAAGAACACATGGACACAAAGAGGGGAACAGACAATGGGGCCTACTTGAGGGTAGAGGGTGGAAGGAGGGAGAGGAGCAGAAATAATAACTATTGGGTACCAGGCTTAGTACCTGGTGACAAAATAATCTGTATAACAAACTCCTATGACACAAGTTTACCTATGTAACAAACTGCACATGTACCCCTGAACCTAAAATAAAAGTTTTTTGGAAAATGAATTACTATCAGCTGCAAATGTGTCTGGTTGAAGACAAGGAAGAAACCCTGGTTTATAGTGACTTGAACAAATAGGAGTTTATTTTTCTCCTACAAAAAGTTTAGAGGCTGATTGCTGTTCCTCTTGTCTCATGGGCTCAGTGATATAAGGGTTGATGTATCTGAGGGTCTTTTAGCTTTTTTTTTGTTCTTATTTCCTCTTAGGAGCAAGACTGGCTGCTCCAACTCCAGAAATCTTGTCGGTAATTGAGCAGAAAGGAGGGAAAAGGGGTCACTGCCAGATACAACTGTCTTCTTTATCAGAGGAGCAAACACTTTTCTAGAAACTTTAATCACACTTCTACTTGTATCTGATTGCCTGGAACTGTGTTACATGGCTATCTCTAATTACAGAAGAGGCTAGGAAAGAAAGTAGAGGGATGTGTCAAGCATAATTTTCAAAGAAATTAAAACATGACTCTCATACAGATAAAGAATAAGTGTGTGTCAGCATTTATTTAATCTATTAATGAGACAACCAGCAGGATAGGTAAAGATGGTTAGAAGGAAAATTTGAGGAATAATTTGCAGAAATAAGTTTGCTAGGTTAGAGATGAAACTGGTTAATGTCCAGTAGGACAATAAAACCATAACCTTTGATGTTATGTTCTCCAATGGACAAAATCATTGGCATGTCTACTACACAAAAGTATATATTAATTAACATGTAACATCACAGAATATGGGCCCTAATTAATAATATCATAAAATTAAAGATATATTCTCCTAGAGAATTAAATAATCCATGGGTGGGCCCATCAGACAATGCTCCAGTATGACATTACAAGAACGTGAGTCATCTTTTTGCCTTATTTCTAAGTTTTGGAAAAGTTTTCTTAAGTCAGGTAGGGAAACTGATGTTGGGTTCATCAGCTAATCATGTCTGCTACAGGGACACTTGTGCAGGTGGCATGGTAAGAATCAACATTTATTATTGGATTTTATGGGTCATGAAGTTTCTGAAAAGGTGGGACAGATATTCCAAATACTTTCAAAATTCATATATTAGTGTCCTACTTTTGGAAAGTTGAGCACCAAAACAAACTTAAAACCATTACATTGAGAGGTATATCTTTTCGTTAGAAATGGATCCTGCCCCTCAGAGAAGAATTTGCCACCAGGATTATATCTATTAATAACTACTCTGATTTTGAAATATTTGATTTATTAAAAAGTGATTACTTCAGCTTTCCAGGAATACATCTCTTGCGTGGAGTACAACACACTTGAATCTGAATTTTGTTATTGTCTGAAGACATCTTTCTTCCTGTCATAATTGTAGAATGCTTTCTTTAAATTGTATTTGTAAGGCTTGCTTTGGAGGCTCCGCAAATCTCCCAACCACAAAGATATTATGGAAAGGGTTTCCCATTGAAAGGAAAAAAAATGTATATTCTTCTAATGTCTGCTGGACTTTTTATGTTGCTAGAATTCAATCAGAATTGGAAAGGACTCCTCACTTCTACAGGGAATAAAATAAATTGATTTATGATTTTTAACAAGCATGGCTGAGTAAGGAATCGTGCCTATATAATTTCAAAGTTATAAAAAGATATTAATCATAATTAAATTTCCCTAAGAAGACATTTGAAATAGAGATCAGATGCCAGGCTAATTGATTACACAACTATATGATAGTCACCCCTACAGAGGCAGGGATAGAACAGTTTAGACTCAGTGTCCAAATATTTAATGCCTGGTGGGAAGCAGGGAAATGGAACAAAGGCTGTAATGAGAAATAATAGAAATCAGCTAGAAGGGCAATGGATGTGTCCCTCTTGATTATGTAGTATGTAAAGAGAAAAAGTGATTAATAGAAATAAAAGAATGAGAAGCAGGAATGACATTTTTTTTTCTCAGCTGCAGACAGAAACTACACACTTGTAAAGGTCATGTCCAGCCATTTAGAAATAAAATATCCATCTTAAAGAAAAGTAATGTTGCTTTAAAATGGAAATGCAGAGACTTTATGTGCTGCCAGATTTCTGAATTCTTGTGTTCCTTTTAGTTGTAAAATAGTATAGTTTTCAGTCAGCTAAACTTTTCTGTATAAAACCAGTGGACCAAATAGTTTTTAGTAGATCTAGCTTGGAATTGCTTAAAAGGAATAGTGGTTTTCATTTTCTGGGTTCTTATATTTTAAGGCTCTTTCTTTTCTTCTTATGCGGGAATTAAATGCCCATGGACTGGAGAGAAAAGAGACAAAAGAAAGTGTTTTTTATGTGGTGAGATGTTGTCTGGAGTGGTCTGGAATGGGTGTCAGAATGAACACTAATTTACCTGAAGCTGCCAAAAGGACTTTTTTTCTAATCGTTTTCATGAGCTAACCATGTGGTTGGCATTTCCTTTTTTGATCTTTGTCCCTTGGTGTTACACATGGCATTATAAACCTGGGCGGGAAGGACAGGGGAGAGACTGCCCTGGTAGAACTATCTGTTCTTGTTACACTAACCATCCATTTCTGCTGTTTGACGAATACTACATTCATCTTTGGCAGTGACCTCTCTTGCACTCCATTACTGGCTGGTGTGTTTAAAAGCTCTGGTACCTTAGATGGATGCTTCTAGAGAGAAACACTTCTTAAACTATTAGTAGCTCCCAGGGAGAAACTTTTGTTTCTGCCCAGCGTCCTTTTTCACTTTCTCATTTTCTTTTTCTCTCTGGAGAGCTCAGAGCACAGTTTTCTCCTAAGGGCTTAATTGTACTGTCTTGTCCTCCACAACTGTTCCATAGGTGGCTGTTGAATTTAGGACACCCCATTTTTCTTGAGAGCTTCTCTTTTGGGAAGGCGTGGAGACAGCCAGTATTTGCTGCATTATAGCTTAGGACATGGAAATGCAGGGAAAGGATGCTAGCCTGAAGTCATGTGGAGAGTTGAAGCCTGAGACCCACCCGGAACTCAGGTCTTTGACTTGATTGACTGCTCTCATGCTTATATTGCTTCTCAATGAATACACACACACTTATGTTGCATAATGCCACTCTTCTACTGACTCCCATGCCTATCCAAAAAAAGAATCTCCAAAGACAAATAAGATGCTCAGTGTAGATGCATGGAGGGCTCACCCTTTGTTTAGGAAGGAATCACTGAGAAAGCTCAGTAATCATGTATGCAAAGCTTGCTAATGAGGCAATTAGCACAAAGTAGATGGTATTCTAGGTTGTAATTTGATGTTTTAAAATGTGAACTTTCTCTATTATTCCTTCCAAATGGAGAAATGCACTATACACACATCACACATTGAGACCCCTATAAGTACATGATGCTCATTTTAGGTGATGGATTGGAAGATTTATGAATCTTAGCAATGGAAGGGATTTTAGACATGAACTGATTAGTGTGAAATATACTAAAGATTCATCTCCCTTAACTCAGGCATTCTACTTCTAGTATATTTTAAATTGTAGGCTCTTCTGATTGTCATGTGAATCACACTGAACTTGAGGTCCAGCAAGACTCCTAGCTCATTTTCTTATAGGCTATTGTTAGGCCAGTTTTCCCTTATCTTGCATTTTTGCAGTTGAAATTTTAGATCTGAGAGCTGCCTTTACATGTCCTTATTACATTTCATTTTCCTGAACAGTAAAAGTAATTTTGAATTCCTATGCTGTCATCTATCAAAAATCTTGGTGTCATTCTTGGCTCCTTGCTTCTTCACACACCGTATACTCATTCTCTGTCACCTCAGCCGTAAAGTCTATTGAATGCAGTTACTTCTCACACATTTGCTATTATCATATAGCCTAAGCCACTGTCATCTCCTGCCTGCAGTGACGTTATTAATAGCCCTACCTGGCCTTTCTGCTTCCACCAGTATTCTCCTAGAGCATTTCCTCCTCCATTGATATAGGTTACGTAATTTCCTCCTGAGAAAGGGCACAGACACATGAAGAACTAGCAGCCTCAGTCATGGGTCAAAGGTAAATACAAAGCCCAATTTGCTGGGTTTCAGCAAAAACTTACTTGTCAGTTTCAGCAGCTCTGGGTCAAGAAGGGGAGGGACACAATGCATGTCAAAGGTGTCCTCAATGTGATGTCCCTTGATCCAGGTGTGGCTCTCTGTTTCAGGGGCACAGAAATTTTCTCTTTTTTATTTTGCATGATTTGAGCTCAAACAACACAATGATTTTACTGATAGTTGGAAATAAAAATGTATGATCAGTGATTGAGGATGTGACCTGAGTGAGTTCCCAACACTGTGATTGAGACCACACGATGATATGGCCATAGTTGCATGACTTAGTGACAAAGAAATGAATGTTCAAGTGCCAGGACACATCAGAAAGACCGCTGACAAATAAAAAGAAAAAATATAAGGAGACTACCAGACTTCCTGTTGTCTGCCACCCAACAGAAACCAGATGGTCAGAGCATATAATTGAAACCTGTCTCCTGAGCATTACTGCCACTTACAGAGGGAATAAAACAGTAGTCATGTGTAAAACAGAACCAGACCTGGCCAAGAACCAGTCTTAATCCAGAAACTGAAAGACAAACAGAAATAGAAACTGAGTTACAGAGAGTTAAAGTTATGTCTCCACAGCTTTTTATTCAAGAAGCTGAAAAAGACAAACTTGGGTGAAACAGATTGAAGTGGTGTATTTCTCAAGTAATATATCTTATTTAGCTCCAGTGGGTGAAAGAACAACTCAGAAATAAAAGCAATGAGAAAGCAAAAGGATTTTTACTTGCAATGTTTTGCAAGAAAGACCAGCCTTCAGAACTGGCTCTCCAGGTAAAGGACATGGCAAGTGTTTATGGAAAGAAACTCTTCAAGGTTATCATTAGTTAACTGTTCATGATGGGAAATGATAGTGGTTTTCTCACATAATTATTACATCTGTAGGGTCATCACATATCTGCCGATGCTGGCATTGCAAAAGTCAGGGGCAAAATATGTTCACTAATGACTTAGCAATTTCTGAGAAAGGGCTCAAGGTCTCATTTATTTTGAGGACTAACTCTAGATGGGAAATTCCTGTTTTTGAAGTTTATTTCATGATGTAGAAGTACTCCTTAAAAAACGTGCTCCCCCACCAGCCCTGACTGTGGTATGTGGTGTGTTTGGTCACTATGGTGGAAGGGCAAAGTGTTAGTTTTGCTTATTCATTATGTTTATTAGATTTTTGTTTAATGTCTATCCTCTGCCTTTAGAATGAAATCTCAATGAAAGAAAAGACCTGGTGTTTTTTGTTTTCTGCTGTATCCCAATGCTTAGAACACTATTTTGGTACATAGTAGGTAAGTATGCAATAACTGTTTGCTGAATGAATGAATGGATTTGAGGTAATAGGTCTTCATTTCAGCTTTGGGTTGTCCCTGAATTTGATAAAACTACTTTCTGTGTCTTCATTCTAGTTGTTGATAATGCCAGTGAACATTAAAGGCAGAATCTTTGAGCAGATCAACATTAGTGGAAAATAATCCACTAATTGACAGCTCTTGGGGACAGTTAAAGGAGTGACTTCTCCCATACCAATGTCTCCACATTGTTTGAAAGCTTCATCTACCTCATCAAAGTAGATGAATTGGTAGAAGAGATTTCATTTAGGGCTACGAGTGAGACAAAACCAGATAGCAATGTCTGCTTCAGAAAAATCCCTACGAGGTAAGAGTTGATTCCTTCTCCTTCCTCACATGGCTGAGTCTGGACAGTACTCTTCACTGTATTGACTATTATCAACATCCTATTAGAAAGTCTGGTTTATGGAATTAAAGTTATTTTTTCATTAAATAGTTTAAAAAATGTTAAAATTAGTTTCATCATAAATTAACCAGCTATTATCAAAAAGTTATTAGGCTAGGGATTAGATATTAAAAAATAAGGGATATATGACTTCTGCCTTGAAAGAGCTAAAAGTTTTATGGGAAGAACCCTGTATAAATAATCATGATTGTGTGTTGAAAGTGTTTACAATGTGCTGTGGGAGTACTCAACAAGACTAGTTAGGGAAGAAGAAAGGCCTCCGTTTAAATTATTCAGGTCATTCAGGATAGGGGCTGTCATGAAGGCAGAGGTAGTAGTTATAGAGAAAAGAAGACAGAAATGAAAAATGTCAAAGCATTTAATGTTTATTTATAGCAAAATTATTGAGCTGCTCCTATACGACAAACATTAGGCTAAGTACTGAATTAGAGAGATGAATAAAATGTAATCTCAACCTTCTGTGGTAGACGGACATGAAAATAAATACAAAGATGGAGGTATGTATAATGAAAATAAATACAAAGATGGAGGTATGTATATATGCTATGAGCTCAAAGAGGAGGGTGAGGTGGCAGGTGGTGGGAGGGGAGATTATTGATGTGCTGTTGAACTGTCTCAATATAAGTTTCCCAGATGGACCAGGTTGAGGAAGGCATCCTAAGAAGAAGAGAGTGTGTTTAGGCAAAGAGGTTCTGGAAAAGTTGAGTCACCTTTACTTGAGGTAATAAACATAGGAGAAGATTTAGATAAGTTTACCATTTAGCTTTTACTGTGCACCAAACCACCCCAAAACTTAGTGGCTTAAAACAACAACTATTTATTTATTTCATGATTTAATGGACCAGCACTTTGGGCTGGGCTCTGATGGGTGGTTCTTCTGGTTTTAGCTGGGATCACTTATATATCTTCCATTGCTCCCAGGGTGGGTGGTGATAGCTGATCTAGGATGGCCTTGGCTAGGATGACTCATTTCTGCTCCAGGTGGTATTCTATCACCCTGTAGGTTAGCCCTGGCTTATTCATGTAGCCACTGGGTAGGATTTCAAGAGTGAGCAGAAATGTGGTCAACTCTTCTGAGGCCTAGGATAAGAACTTGTACAGCATCACTTCTGTGGCATTTTACTGGACAAAGCAAGTCATACAAGATTAGCCTAGATTTGTGGATTGGGGAAATAGGCTTCACATCTTGATGGGAGGAGCTCAAAATTCACATTGCAAAGAGCATGTATTCAGGGAGGTGTGAACAGCTGTGACCCTTTTTGCTATTTACTGCAATATGTTTGAAAATTGAAAAGAAAGATACTGATGAATTCTATTCTCTGCAAATGAGAAATGGGGTAGAAAGCTTGAGGAAAGTGAGGAACGTTTGGAGTACCAAGTTATAAAGAATAGCATAGGGTCATGATTCAAACGAAATGCATAGTTTACTAACATGGAGAGTTCAGTTGTGAATGGAAACTATACGTTGACTTGAAACCATACATTGGAAACCAATCATTATGTTTAGGCAGTTTTCTCCCCTGTTGACTGCAGTTAACAGCAAGGATTTACTTGTATCACCATGACTATAATGGCTTTCTCATAACATGCTTGTAGAATGCTGGCCAAGACTGGAGTTGGCTCTTGTAGCATTATTTAGTGATTAATGTAAAATGACTTGGTGGGGATTTCAGACTAAATTCATTGGAGAGTTTTAGTGGAAGAGTGAAGTGATCCGACTTAACATTTCAAAAGGAGCAAGTGGTGGCTGTCTTGAAAATAGGCTTTACCCTTGAGATGTGAATTAAAGGCAGAAGCTGAGAGACCAGTTAGCAGGCTGTTGCAATAGTGCAAAATAGAAGGGCTGGAGGTAAGCAGTACAGTTGGTGAGGAGTGGTCTTTTTTTTTTTTTTTTCCTAAAGATATGAGGCCTCCCCTGTCGCCTATGCTGGAGTGCAGTTGTGCAATCTTAGTTTACTGTAATCTTGAACTCCTGGGCTCAAGTGATCTTTCTGCCTCAGCCTCCCAAGTAGCTGGCTACAGGCCCATGCCACCATGCCTGGCTAATTAAAAAAATTTTTTTTAGAGATGGGGTCTGTGTTGCCCAGGGTGGCCTCAAACTCCTGGGCTTAAATGATCTTCCCACCTCAGCCTTCTGAGTAGCTGGGATTACAGGCACATGCCACTGCACCTGGCTCAAATTTTAATGCTTTGATCGAAATTATTTTCAGGGCTTATCACATAGATGGTACCATGTTTTCTCTTGGTTCTCTCAAGGAACTTTCTTCACAAGTTTTTTAGGAGTGTATCTTGAACAATCTCTGGTATATGAATGATCTTTGAGTTTACACTTGAAAAACAAAGGATATGAGGAAGAGGATGAGGTGGAAATAAGAACATTACTGAGTCTGATTTGTGCTGGGCCTGGCTCTAGGCACTTTGCCTATATTATTAGTCAAGGAAAAGAGAACATCTTGCCAAAAGTACTGCTTTCGTTTTCAGCTTGTTTGGTTTTATCCTGGTCAAAGAAACTGGACTAGTTTGGCAAACTCTGTTGTAAGATTTTCATGATTAGGCCAGGAGAGTGAACCACGCTGTTCAAATATTTATTGAGCGCTATGTGCCAGCTACAGCGTAGGTGCTGGGGATGTGAAGACAATTATTCGCAGTAACAGCCCTCAAGATACTTGCAGTCTTGTGGTCATACAGATAAGCCTGCAAGTAATTTTAATACATGGCTATGGGTGCACATGAGACAAGCATCTAAGTCAGCTTTGGGACACCAGACAAGAGAGGGATTCCTGGAGAAAGAAGACCAGAAAGATGAATAGGAATTACTTGGGCAAAAGTGAAGGAGTAAGACCATAGTATTTCAGACTGAGAGAACAGAATGTGCAAAGACTGGGAGATGAGAAAGATAAATTCAGAGTGCCTCAAATGAAGGGTGATGGGAAGTTGTGAACGATGAGACCAGATTAGATATATAGGCCCTTGTAAGCCACAAGACTTGCACGATATAATTCTTCCATCAAGTTCCTGTTCCCTGGCCTGTTTTGCTTTGTTTGGTTTTGTTTGAGCTGCTTGGATTTTCCTATTTTCTATCAATAAGGATGTTAGAAATGAATCAAGATGACGCAGGATGCACTATCAGCTGCTGCAGATTTATTACTGATCTTAACAACCTCTGCTCTTAACTTGCTGACTTTAGTGTTTGCTTCTATTGTTTATTCTCGATAAGGATGTAAAGATACCACAGAACAAAGACCCTGCCACTGCAGCTTCCAACTTGTAGTAGATAATATGAAAACAAGACACATGTACACATATTATTGGTGAGTCTATTTTCTTTCCTGTCTTTTATCTCCATCGTTTTATTCTTATTTTATTGGAATCACTCTCCTGTGATGACCAGGGCAGAAACTATGCCTCACGTCAGCCCTGGAAACACATCGAGTCTGTTCATAAAGACTTCATAAAGGGATAGGGACTCTAGGTGAAGGAGAAAATGCAAACTTCAGTTTAGTAAAAACTTCTGCTTGAAGAGGGATAGTTGATAACAGCGACAACAACACATTCTGTGTCCCCTCTCTCTCGAAATCCTCCAGCTTGCTCTGAGTCAGCCTCATCCTGTCCTTCCAGCCCATCCTCTTGCTACCCTGCAGTGAGAGATGTTAGACCCCTCATTTATTCCTAAAGAGACTTTGCCTCTGGAAGCAATTTTACAGGTTATCTGGATTATTGTTCCCCTTCCCACCTAAACCACATCTTTCAAGAGGTTAAAGAACTTGCCTAAGGGCACAGGCCCAGTGACTGCAGGGTCTAGATGAGCCCTTTGACTTGGAGCTGGGGGTTGTGCCTTTTGTCTGTTGACTCTCATCAGAGGCAGAAATCAAATGATGAAAAACAGCAGTCTCAAGATCCTGTGAGTTTTCACTTGAAGTGACTACTTGTTGAGGACATTTAGGCAGCTGGATATTTTTGTTAAAGCAATTGGTCCCTAGACTGTCATGCAAATATATAAAATAGGGCAAATGACATAAATCCTGACATTAACATAGGGATATTGAAAAATGATTAGTTACTGAGCAAAGTGTTTTGCTATAGGTACTCCTTTAATTTTCTAGGAAAAAATATATACATAAACATTAACATGCATATAAATAAAATATAACCATACTATATGTCTATATATGAATATCTATATATCTTTCTATCTCTCTATCCATCTAAGATTTACATGCAACTTTTGTAGGAAGCTAATGCAAGTGAGGCCTGTTCATGGACCAGGATTTTATAACCCATTCTAACTATGTTAAAAGGCTCAATGAAAGTTTTTGATTTTCATGCTAGACTCTGCAGCAATTTGTGGCAAGTCAAGCGTGGCTTATCCTATAGAGTTCCAACTGCGTGTGTGAACCAGCAAACATGGGACTTGGGCAGGAAATAGGAGATGCTTCTGTTATGTGGGGGTGAGAGTGGATATGGCTTACTCTGTCATGACAACACTTTGGCAAGCTTTTCTTATAAAAGGGTACTATGAATCTTTAGGCCAGGACCTATTCTGTGATCATTAAAGCTTTTCAAGTTCTGATATCTATGTATCTCTTCAGTAGGCACCTGTATGTCTTCAAATTTTAACTCTTTATGATGCCGTGATAAGTAGGTAAGCAGTGGGAGGCCACCATAACCATTTCTTCTTGGAGAGTCAGAAGGATAAAGTTTCTTAGTCTATTCAGACAACTTAGACCTGTTTTAACAAAAATAGAAAAATCTTAATGCCTAAAAAACATTGCTAGTGAAAATTTACTAAATATATCCAGCAAATTTTCAAGCTATAAAAAAATCTAGTGATGTTTTAAAGATGTTTAAAAATAGGTTTTAATATTAGCATCAAAGAAACATACATCCTTTATAATTACAATAAATAGTGAGGATCAAAGGCAACTGCTTACTGAAGAATGAGATTACAGTGATATCAATGATATGGTTCTTTCTCACATCCAGGAGTTCAGTTGATGAATCCCCATTCTGTGAGATTAGTGAGATGAGTCACTCTACAGCATTAACTCACTTTTTCTGTAACTTATCCTGTCCGTTCGGATAGTCTAGGTGAAGTGATGGTTAACAAACAACCCTTACATTTTAGTAGCTTAATATAACAAAACTTTATTCTTTCTCGTGCTACAAGACCAGTGAGAATTGGCAGGAGGGTTCTGCTTATCATAGTCACTCAGAAACTCAGACTGATAGGGATTTTAACTCAATATGAGCTTCCATGATCCCCAAGAAGGGTCAATGGCATTCGGCAGAGTCTCATCTTAGTAATTAAATGCTTCTGCCTGGAAGAGACACATATCACTTCTACTCACATTTCACTTGCCAAAGCAAGTCATGTGCCCACACCTAGTCTAAGGAATCAGAGAAACACAGTCCCACCAAGGGCCTGGAAAGAAGAAAACTACCAATGATACAGTTGCATTACTATAGGAGCACATTGAATTGGTAAGATATAATCCCTAATACTTTTCTCTCCTCTTGGCATTTTCAATAAATGAAATAAGAAAGTGATATTTTCCAGTGATAATAGATTGATTTTTATTTAAAAGGCTGAGTAGGTTATTTTAAAACACCCTAATTTATTGCTTCTATATAGTTAAAATGTATGGCCCTTGAGCCCATAATCATTTAATTTATTTATGTCATGCCCAGAAAGCTTACTTAAATATTGAATTGAATTGTTAGTTTTATAATTCCTAGAGTTTGAATTACTCTGTGCTTATTAGATTTCTTCTAGAATTAACATTTTTTTCAATACTTGCGAGTTTCTCACAGAAAAAAAAAAACCACTTGTACACAACAAAACAACCAGAGCCTTAAATCCTAAAGGCTATAGCTTATTGAACACTTACTATGTGAAAGACATATTAGTAGGTTCTTTATGTAAGTTATCTCATTTAATCTCCCCAGTAATTCCATGAGATTGGTATTATGATCCCTATTTTACAGGTATGAAAACAAGGACTCATAATACTTAATCAACTAATCTAGGGACATTTGATTTCAATCACTTTGACTCCACATCCCAGCCTCTGCCCACTGTACTTTGCAGCTTCTGTTACCTATATCAATTCTGTAGCATAGCAACAGTTTTCATCTATGTGGGCCGATAGATTTGCTGATGTTGTTGTTCCTAATAATATATACACAGGCAGACCTTCTAGAACACTACAACTCTGCTAAGGGCCCTAGAGCTACATGAGGAGGTGGCATGACTTAGTGGTTAAAAGCACAGACTTTGGAATCAGCTGGTCTGACGGTTACTAACCTCTCCTGGCCTCAAGTTTTCTCCTGTGTAAAATGGGAATAATAATAGTACCTTACCTACATTATGATTTATGAGGATTAAATGAGCTATTTTTGTAAAAATGGTTAGAACAGTGCCTAGAACATAGTAGGTGTTGTACAGTTGTTTTACATAAGTAAAATCTGGGACACATAGACACTGCGGTTCTTTTGGTTAATGTTGAGGCTCAATGTGGCTGTAAAGGCAGTGAATATGCTTGGCCTAGAATGGAGAAATGGTTTTCAGAGAAGTCGTGTAGGTTCTTTGGGACTTTGAAGAGAGGGAGTGGCATGTGGTCAACGCACTTCCACTGAAGAAGTTGAGTTTTGGTTTGGGGACTTTTTTGCTTTCCTTGTTAAGGGCAACATAAGCAGCATTTCAGGGGATGGGCAGGCGGCTTTCTTCTGCTGGCTGGCTGACAGCGCAGGTGCTGCTGGAGCAGCAGGCACTACAGAGCCAGTGTTCTCCAGTAAGCCCTCTGCCACTGTTCTTTGCTTGTTTCACCCTTGAGGATGGCCTGCATGGAGGTAAGAATATAGGGAGAGTATGAACTTTTCTTATGCCAGCCTGTAATTCTAAAAACAGTGAATTCTGAGATAATTTTGATCTCAGGGTATGGGACTGGGCATTTTGAAAGCTGGATTATAGTTCAGTCCAAGCTGCTGACAGCTTTGCCTCCTCCGGGACTTTTATGAAGTGCCTACTGTAAGCTAGTCATTGTGCTAGGTTTACAAACATTATTATTATTTTTTAAAGTCATATATAGGCAACCCCGTGAAATATGTTTATTTTCCTTTTTTTTTTTTTTTTTTTTAGTTAAGGAAAAACCAGACTTAGAGTGGTTAAATGACTGCCCAAGGCCAGTTAGCTGGTAAAGGGAACAGGATGTAGTTTGAACTCTTGTCCACTCTTTCCACAGGGAGAATATGGGATTGAAGGGGGAGTCTGCTTCATTTCTATGAGTGAATTGTTTTGAAAGTTAAAAATTGCCATGTGTGAGTGTGAGTGTGAGTTTGGGTGAGGCAGAGGTGATGGGGTAGATGTTGCCTTTAAAAAAAATCTAAAGGGTTAGAAAAAATGAATGTCTTTTGTCATTAAAAAAAATTAGAAATCCTGAACAACAAAGAATTCCCAAGAGAGTAGGGGCAGGAAACCAGGAATACCTTTTTCAGGCAGATGGAGGCAATCCAGTTTTTGACAAGAAAAAATAAAAACTATAATCTTCAATTACATTTGGTAGAAGAAAGTGTGGAGATCATCTGTGGTAAGGCTCTATCTACTTTTAGGTGGTCGGCCTTTCTTCTACTCATTTTCTTAGACAGGCTCTACTCTAGAACAGATGCCATAGAGTTACTTGGCTAAAACAGATCAGTACCCCATTTAGGCCCCTAAAGAGAATGCTTCATTACTTGGAAAAATTGGGGAATGAGTTTCTTGGGAGAAGGAACTCTTTGGGTCTCACCCACCTAGCACAGTACCTCATGCGTAGTAAGTTCTTAATGAATGCATGAAACTACAGAAGGCCGTCAAGCAGTGCTTGATGATTTGAGCATTTTTTTCGAGATAAAATAGAATATACCCTCATGGTTAAATTTGCAATTTATTTCTCTTCCTTTTTTTAATTTTAATTTTTTTTTTAAGAGACAGGGTCTTGCCCTGTTGCCCAGGCTGGAGTGCAGCTCACTGCAGTCTTGGACTCCTGGGTTCAAGCAATCCTCCCATTTCAGCCTCCCAAGTAGCTGGGGCTATAAATGTGAACCACCATGCATAGCTAATTATTTTAAATTTTTGTAGAGACCAGATCTTGCTTTGTTGTTTAGGCTAGGCTGAAACTGCTGAGCTCAAGTAATTCTCCTGCCTTGGCCTCCGAAAGTGCTGGGATCATAGGCATGAGCCACTGTGTCTGGTCTCTCTCTTCCTTTAAAGTCATTGACAAGACAGATACTAAGTAAAACTCAGCTAAGAATATTCACTAATACAATCTGAAAGGAGCTCTAGTATTTAGTAGGGATATCCTGATTTATGTTTTCATCTTTTATATAGTGAAATAGGTAATTTTCTATTTTGATATTTATTTGGTGTATTTGGAGTTTTTCTTAAACTTTGTTCATAGGATGACCACCCAGATTTGTGTTATTTAACTATAGTGACTTAAACTAGATCATGATAGCCACTGTGAAGTTACATTACTAACATCAACAACACTGACTGTGACAGCAACAAAAACAAAAAACAGGAGAGTTGTTTTATTTGTATGTTAATGGAAACATAATGTATCTATTTATGTATATTTTTTCAGGTTAGGAATAACATTCCTGTAGAATCAGTGAAACTTAAATTCAATCATTAGAAAATAAGTTCCATTTTATGTATGTTTTTATTTTTCATTTCTGAATTTAAATCTTTTACCTTTTGTATCATTATGTTCTTTCTCTATTCATTTTGTAAAGTTTTAAAAAATTGTGGTAAAAGATACATAACCTAAAATTTACTTAACCATTTTTAAGTGTACAATTCAGTACAATATAATGTGAATATATTCACATTGTTATACAACAGATCCCCAAACCTTTCATCTGGCAAAATAGAAACTCTGCACATTAAGCAACAACTCCCCAGTCCTCCCTCCCCTCAGCCTCTGGCAATCACCATTCTACCTTCTGTCTCTATGAATTTGACTACTGTAGGTCCCTCACCTAAGCTGAATCATACAGTATTTATCTTTTTGTGACTAGCTTATTTCACTTACAGTAATATCCTCAAGGTTCCTCTATGTTACAGCATATGTCAGAATTTACTTCCTTTTTAAGGCTAAACAATATTCCTTTGTATGGATATACCACATTTTGTTTATCTGTTCATCTTATTTTTTATTTTTTGAGACAGGATCTCACTCTATTGCCCAACCTGGAGCGTGGTGGTGTGATCATGGCTTACTGCAACCTCCGCCTCCTGGGCTCAAGTGATCCTCCCACCTCAGCCTCCTATATTCAGGAGGCTGGAACTATAGGTTTGTGCCACCACTTCCAGCTAATTTTTTTTTAAATTTTATATATTGTAGAGACGGGGTTGCATCATGTTGTCTAGGCTGGTCTACACTCCTGGACTCAAGCGGTCTTCCCACCTCGGCCTTCTAAACTGTTGGGATTACAAATGTGAGTCACTATGCCTGGTCCCATGTGTCTGTTGATAAACTTTTGGGTTGCCTCTCCCTTTTGGTTATTGTGAATAAGGCTGCTATAAACATGGGTGTGCAAATATCTCTTTGAGACCCTGCTTTCACTTCTTTTGGGTATCTACTTAGAAGTAGGATTGCTGGATCAGATGGTGATTGCCATTTCTAATTTTTTGAGGCAGCACCATGATGTTTCTGATAGCTTTTTCTTATTCACTTTGAGTTATTTTTAACTTTAACCAAAGCGTCATGTGCATATAAACAATGAGATAATGCTGAAAGGATTTAGGTGCTCTACCCACACACAAAGTAGTTATATCACAAATTTTAAGTGATCAGTGTTTACATTATTATGCCTTATAAATATTTTCCCTGATGAACCCATGTGAGTCAAACATATGACATGTTTCCTTTCTTGTATTAATTTTTTTTCAGACTTACTGGAACATTCCAGGATAATCAGTGAAATTAAACTCAGTCATTAAATTATGATGCCTATTTATTTATTTATTTATTTATTTATGATGTTTCTTTTTATTATTCTTGGAATTGTTAACGTCTTATTTTTCATTTGCTTTGTTTTAGTACCTATTGCTGGATTTCCCAAATGCTTCAAGAGAGCTGCCAAATGCCCATCATTAGTCTTTCTTTTCTGATGCTCAAGAACTTCATTCATTCTCCAGTTATGCTGTTTCCCTCAGCAGTCTTTCTCCTGCAGCTTTCTGCCTTTTTGTTCCACTCTTGCTTGGCGAGGTCTAGGCTTGAAGCACAGCTGATGTCCTGAGAATTCTCTTAGGACATCTTGTGTGTCAGATTCTATGCTTCTTAGTTCTCCTGTCTTATGCTTACTTTTGCTTCACCCCACCCTGCTTTTTTTCTTTCTGGAAACTTTTAGAATCTTTATTCCCGGTGTGAGTCTTTCTTCATTCGTTGTGCTTGGGACATGGACCCTTTCAATTTGAGCGCTTGTGCCACTCTGTTTGGAAATTTTTCTTGTATTATGTCTTTGTGAGATCCTCCCCTCTGTTTTTCTCTGTTCTCTCATAATGGAACTTGTATTATTTCTGTGTCTTTTTTAATTTATAAAGAAAAGAAATTTAATTGGTTCATGGTTCTGCAAGCTGTACAGGAAGCATAAGCAGGCATCTGCGTCTGCGGAAGCCTCTGCAAGCTTACAATCATGGCAAAAGGAGAAGCTTGTGCTTGCAGGTCACATGGCAAAAGGAGGATATTTCAGTGAATGATTCCCTAATTTTCTTATTCATCTCCTATTTTCCATTTCTTTGTCTATTTGTTCTACTTCTGGAGATTTCCTCAACTGAGATCACATTCCAAACTTTATTGAGTTTTTCTTTTTGCTTTCACATGTATTAAAAAATTTCCAACATTTTCCTAGCCCTTATGTCTATTTTTTTTTAAAACAGCCCTCCTTTTTTATTTCATGAATGCACTACGTTCTTTTCACTCTCCGTGGACATTTAATTTGGATTTAATAAATTATTATTATTATTTTAATTGCACATGATATTTGTACATATTTATGGGGTACATGTGATGTTTCCATACATGTATATAATGAGTAATAACCAAATCAGGTTAATTAGCATATCCATCACCTTAAACATTTATCATTTCTTTGTGCTGGGAACATCAAAAACTCTCTTCCAGCTATTTTGGAATATACAATAAATTGTTAACTATAGTCATCCTACTGTGCTATAGAACACTAGAACTTATTCCTCCTATCTAGCTGTAATTTTGTACCTGTTAACCAACCTCTCTGTATCCCTCCCTCCTTCATACCCTTCACAGCTTCTGGTAACTACTATTTTATTCTCTATTTCTATGAGATCAATTTTTTTTTAGCTTCCACATATGAGTGAGAACATAGCATTTGTCTTTCTGTGCCTGGCTTATTTCACTTAAAATAATGGCCTCCAGGCTCATCCATGTTGCTACAAATGACAGGATTTCATTCTTTTTTTATGACTGAATAATATTCCATTTTGTGTATATACTACATTTTCTTTTTCCATTCATCTGTTGATAGACACTTAGGTTGATTCAATATCCTGGCTGTTGTGAATAGTGCTGTAATAAGCATGGAAGTGTAGCTATCTCTTTCACCTATTGATTTCCTTTCTTTTGGATATATACTCGGTGGGATTGCTGGGTCATATGGTATGGTATTTCTCTTTTTAGTTTTTTGAGGAAACTCCATACTGTTTTCTATATGGCTGTACTAATTTGCATTCCCACTAATAGTGTATAAGTTTCCCCTTTATCTGCATCCTCACCAGCATTTGTTATTTTTTGTCCTTTTGATAATAGCCATCCTAACTGGGGTGAGATGTTATCTCATTGTGGTTTTAATTTGCATGTCCCTAATAATTATTGATGTTGAGCATTTTTCTTTTACGTTTCTTTTTTTGAGACAGGGTCTCACTCTGCTGCCCAGGCTGGAGTACAGTGGTGTGATTAAGGCTCACTGCAGCCTTGAACTCCCGGGCACAAGTGATCCTCCTGCCTCAGCCCCCCCAGATAGCTGGGACTACAGGTGCACACCACCATGCCTAGCTGATTTTTTTTGTATGTATAAGTGTATATATATATATATATACACACACACACACACAAATATATATATATATATATTTTTTTTTTTTTTTCTTTTTTTTTTTTGTAGAGATGGAGTTTCACCATGTTCACCATGTTGTCCAGGCTGGTCTTGAACTCCTGAGCTCAAGCGATCCACCTGTCTTGGCCCTCAAAGTGCTGGGATTACAGGCATGAGCCAGCATGCCCAGCTGAGCATTTTTCAGTATACCCGTTTGGCCATTTGTAGATCTTCTTTTGAGAAATGACTATTCAGATTATTTACCCCTCCTAAATTCTGATTTTTTTTTTCTGTTGAATTGTTTCAGTTCCTTATATATTCTGGATATTAACCCCTTATTAGATGGATTGTTTGCAAATATTTTCTTTCATTCTGTATGTTGTCTTTTCACTCTGTTGATTATTTCCTTTGCTGTGCAGAAGGTTTTTAGTTGGCTATAATCCCATTTGTCTATTTTTTTTTTGTTGCTTCTGCTTTTGAGAGCTTATCAAAACAATCTTTGCCAGGCCCAATATCCTGAAGCATTTCCCTAATGTTTTCTTTGTTTTCTTCTAGTATGATAATTTTATAGTTTCAGGTCTTATATTTAAATCTTTAATCCATTTTGATTTGATTTTTTTATATATGGTGTGAGATAAGGTCTAGTTTTATTCTTCTACATATGGATATTCAGTCTTCACAAAACCATTTATTGAAGAGACTGTCCTTTCCCCAATGTATGTTCTTGGAACCTGTGTTGAAAATCAGTTGGCTGTCAATACATTGATTTATTTCTGGGTTCTCTATCCTGTTCCATTGATCAATGTGTCTGTTTTTATGCCAGTACCACACTGTTTTGGTTACTATTGTTTTGTAGTATATTTTGGAGTCAGGCAGTGTGATGCCTCCAGCTTCATTCTTTTTGCTTAAGATCGCTTTGGCTATTTGGATTCTTTTGTGGTTCCGTATAAATTTTAGGATTGTTTTTTCTATTTCTGTGAAGAATATTGTTGGTATTTTGATAGGGCTTGCATTGAATCTGTAGATGGCTTTGAGTAGTAGGGATGTTAAAAATTTCTCTTTTCCTTTCCTTGCAGTTTATTCATTTATGCCAGGTTCTTTTTCTACTTGTGTTTATGATTTCACTTTGTGCTGAAGTTTTTTCTCAAATTTCTAGTGATCCCTGGTTGTCTATTCCCATTTAAATGTGAGCCACAAAAACAATAAAAAACTGTGACCATAAAGTGGGCTTTTCTGTAGGGGATCAGGTTATAAGCAGGAAAGACTTATTTTCCTTGTTTTCAGGAAAGGCTTAAAGATTAGGGTCTTTTGATCTTTTCTTTGGGCCATTCAGTTTCTCCCCAGAAGGATTTTTCAGCTTCCTGCCATGAGGTGTGTGCTTGGCTGGTGGCATCGTGCACACAGGATGGAGTCTCACTCTTTGATAAGCAGATTTTTATTTAATGCCCGTTTTTTGTTTAGCAACTCACCTTTGCCCTCTATTCTCAGCGCCTCTAGGTTTGGTGATTATAATGCCAATTACGCTGCCTTTCTAAAGTGTATAAGTTGATATTTCTTAGTTCTATTGTAATTTGCCTTACTGGTGATATTTGAGGTTCTATGATTAAGTCAATAGAACTAAGAAAATCAAACATATTTAACATTCTGAGAAGATAGCAAATGTTTTAAAACGTTACATGCAATGAGAAAAATTAATTACAGAGAAAGAAGAAAGAGTTTTCTTTAGGCAAAGACATTTTCAAGGGATTAATTTTTGATCTGATAAATGCACGTGATGAAAATAAGGAAAGGCAAGTTACTAAGCTGCTGTTATATGTGATCTAGAAGACATCAATTCATATGTGGGCAGCCATGACAAAGACACAGCTAATTGATTGAAACAAGATCAGAGGATACAGGCCTGGTGCAGAGGCTCACGCCTGTAATCCCAGCACTTTGTGGGGCGATGTGGGCAGATCACTTGAGGTCAGGAGTTCAAGACCAGCCTGGCCAACATGGCAAAACCCCAGTCTCTACTAAAAATACAAAAATTAGCCAAGCATGGTGGCGCAGACCTCTAATCCCAGCTACTCAAAAAAAAAAAAAAAAAAAAAAGACCAGAGGATACAGCATACAAACACTGACAGATGCACACCCTGAAACCTAGAGGTCAGGAGATGCTTGCAGGAGTAAGCAGAAGTCCTTTCTTAAAGCTAAGGGCAGAGAGAAGTTGCAAGAAAGAGAAAAGTGACTGGCTGCACGTGGTGGCTCATGCCTGTAATCCCAGCACTTTGGGAGGCTGAGGCAGGCAGATCATGAGGTCAGGAGATCGAGACCATCCTGGCTAACATGGTGAAACCCCGTCTCTACTAAAAAAAAAAAAAAAAAAAAAAAAAATTAGCCGGTTGTGGTGGCGGGCACCTGTAGTCCCAGCTCGGGAGGCTGAGGCAGGAGAATGGTGTGAACCTGGGAGGTGGAGCTTGCAGTGAGCCAAGATTGTGCCACTGCACTCCAGCCTGGGCAACAGAGTGAGACTCCGTCTCAGGAAAAAAAAAAAAAAAAAAAAAAAGAGAAAGAGAAAAGTGACAGCATAGAGCATGGTATGACTAATGTAGAAGTAGGAGACTTAGGAGCTGAGATCAAAAGGTGTCAAGTGTCAACAATGGTGTTGATCCATGACCATGAACCATATCTTCCTTGCTAAGGGAACAGCAAGACGACCCTGTCCTGGGACTGTGACGCTTAAAAACTACGCTTTTGTGAGGTCCCATTGTAGGAGGGTTCTTTGTTCCCTTGGGTTGGCCCTGTGGCAAGATTCAGGTCTTTCCAATGTCTGGTGGTGAAGTGAGCCTTTCTTTTCTGCCATTAGGAGCAAATACAAGGCCTTTGTAACTAGAGTGTGGGAAAATATTTCTGCTCTTCTGGATGTTAGCACTTCTGACAGCCTGGCTTTTCTTTCTGGAGACTTAATAGTTGCTTTGTAGTTCTCCCAAAGAATCCCTCTCTCACTTCCTCTACTTCTCTTGCAAGTTAACCTCATTTATTTTCTTTCTTCTAGAGAAGGATGAACCAGTTCCTGGGATTAGGCTCTTCCAAAGCTTTCTCTTTCTCATCCCAATCCTTAGGGTCACTAGTCGGGGGGAGAGTGGGTGAGAAGAGTTTGCTCCACTTTTCATGGGGCACCGTGATTCCCTGGAGCAGGTGCTGATGTGTCCTGGTGGCAGGGAGCAGTGGGACTGTGCCCCCCTGGGCAATTTGCCGGGTAGTCCAAGCAACTTCAGTAAGCATCATCTTTCTTTGAAGTCACCTGTTTTGTTTTTGAAAAAAATTATGCAATTACATTTAAATCTATACTATTTTCTAATTGTTCTAATATTTAAGTATTAGAATTACATAAAGATTAGATAAATAATATGATTTCCCTCAAATCTTCAAGTACCTTTGATGCTTGAGCTTTATGCTATGACCATGAGTCCTCTGTGCCTCTCTTCTGTGAATCTCTGGGGACGATGTATAAACTGGTTTGAGAAGTAAAGAATCAGAAAGGACATAGAACTAGACTTCAGATAATGTGGCTCTATTCCTGTTTCTTCACTCATGGGCCATATGCCTAAGGGTCAACTGCTGGGTCTCTGTTTGGTCATCTGTAAAATGGGGAGGTTGGAATAGATATTCTTATCCCTTATTAGCCTTTTCCCTCCAGAATGACCCAGATTGTGTCTCATCATTCTGCTTCATTTTACACAAAATCATAGCCACCCTGTAATCTCTTTGGGCTTCCTTTTATTTGCAATATGTGTGGCTAAATGATACTAGTCCTTCCTGTGAGGTCGTAGGGAGCCATCAAGAGTAAAAGTTATTGCAAAGCTCATATAAAGAGACAGAATCATATAATGTCATGTTATTTAATTTTATGCCCATTTGGTTCCAGTTCCAACCTTGCATTATTTGTTTTTTAAGACAGTGCAGTGTTATAATCATGGCTCACTGGAGCCTTAACCTCCTGAGCTCAAGTGATCCTCCTACCTCAGCCTCCCTAATAGTTGTGACTACTGGTCTGCGCCACCATGCCTGGCTAATTTTTGTATTTTTGGTAGAGATGAGGTCTCACTATATTACCCAGGCTGGTCTCGAACTCCTGGGCTCAAGCAATGCACCCACCTCGGCCTTCCAAAGTGTTGGGAATACAGGCATGAGTCACTGTGCTTGGCTCAACCTTGCATTTTCATTTAAACCCATACGTGTTTATGTATGATGTGTGTATGAGTGTGTGTGTAATTAGGTTTGTCAAATTATTTTCTTGGCTTAAAGTCTCTTGGAGGCATAATGCTTTAAAAAAGTCAAAACAATTAATTAAAAAGTAGAATTGTTTTGACTAATATCATTAGAGAAGGAATGTTAAGATAAGGTATTATTTTATAAGGTATATAAGGTAAGGCATTTTGAAGACGAGTGTATATATGCCTGAAACATGGCTCTGGGTCTTTTATGTGATCAAAGTTGATACAACATCTCAAAAGATTATATTGGGTTTTAGAGATTTATTTTTCTTTTTTATATAGAACTCACTTATTTTTCAGAGGGACAGAAGTCCTGAGGTAAAGCAATTACTCCTTTTATAAGGTATTATTCCATCTTACATGGGACAATCTATAATTTAGTCATAAGATGTGGATGCCAGCTCCATGGGGAAGGAACTTCGGGGACATCGCAGTTTCAAAATTGGGCACTACGCCAAAGGCCCAGAACCTGCAGAGGAAGATTTTAGCAAACGTCTCTGGCCAAGGAAACACCTTAACTGTCCACAGAGACATTTGGGCCACAGTTTTCAGGGTGTTCTTACCCTCTAAGCTCAGTGGAATGAGCAGAAAATGTGCTTTCTGACAATGTGGCTGTTCTCTGGGAGTTTATCAAGGGACAGTGCTGCCTGAACCAGCACACTCTGTAGTCCCATTTCCTGCCATTTCCTGCAGGGGTCCCCAGTCTTTAGCCAGGTTGAAGAATTTGCAATTCCCTAAACAATACCATTGGGTACTCTCATGTTCCTTTCTTCTTTGCCCAGCTGGTGGAATCCCACTTATCATTCAGTGTATGCTTGGGCAGGCTCCTCTGGGGAACTTCTCGCCTGGGGGCTTCTCTGCCCCAAGGAGAGTGAGATGTTCACCTGCCACTGCTAACATCCTCACACATCACTCTTCTCATTTGGATTGTGATTTTAGGATATTGTCTGTTCTGCTGCTAGACTGGGTACTCTAGGAATGGAGGGACTGGACAGATTCATTTTTGTGTCTCCAGGCTGGTCCAAGATGAGTAAATAAATGTTCAAACAACTAGTGAATGTTCCGCTTACTTAGGTTTGTGCTCTCTCTAGATTATTTTGCCTTTAGCCTCTCCAAACCAACCAGATAGGCTTCATGTGGTAGTGGTTTGAGTGCGTGTACTATAAAGCATCTGCTACTTACTAGCCATGTGACTGTTTTAAGCCTCAGTTTCCTCATCTGCGCAATGGGGATAATAATGGTACTTACCTCATAGAGTTGTTACGAGGATGACATGAGTTAGTTTTTGTAATCCTGAAGGTGTATTTTAAATAAATAAAATAATTTTGGGGAGTGTGAATCAACACAATAGACAGAAAGGTGATAACTATGGGTCCAGTCCACAGATTGTATAGACAATGATATTGCCAAAGGATACCATGCAAATTTATGTCCTATATAATGATGGCTAGTGGTAAGTCCAGAATAGCTCATTGTAGGAGTGAACAGTTCTTTATTATCAATAGAAAAACACCACAAACCTTCAGCTCAGGAAAATAAAACTTAAGTTTAGTGCCCTCTTCACTTATTTTTTAACCTTAAACTTTGTAGTTCTCATTTGATCATATCACTACCCTGTTTGAAACTTGATCTTCCTTTTGTCCCAAACCCCTCAGTGTGGTTTCCAAGGCCCTCTGTGACACCCCTGCCCTCTACACCTGCATCTTGACACCATTCCCTTTATCTTTACTGTTCCAGTATGAAGTTTCAGATGTGAACTCTTCTCCATTCCCAAACTTGCAGGGCTCTCTCCGGACTTTCTTCAGTGCTTTCTTTTCTTTCTGTCTGCATAAACATCCCTCCTCAGTGCTCTGCTTTGCAATTCAATTTAAGCACCACCTCTTCTGGCAAGTAGTTTAGGGGTCCTTTGCCACCTGCTCCCCTAGCATACTGGGCTCCCCTTATCAAGCCATTGACCACACTTTAGGGTGTTTTACTGCTTAATTGTCAGCCTTCCCCACTGGATTATAAACTCCAAAGGGCAGGAACCAAGTCCGTTGTGCTTACTCCTGTATCCCTAGTATCTTGAACAAGGCCCAGCATTCTGTTGGCACTCAATAAATACTTATTGAATGAGTGTTTAATTTTAGAAATCAGAAACTTTGAATTCTAGCCCAACCTAGATTTCAACGGGCTGGGTGTCTTTCCCCAAGTCCTCCAGCTTGTTGCAACGAGATTGTCCATTAAGACTGAGAGAATCTGGCTTGAACTTCCACATCCCATTTACAGTGGGTGATCTACTCTTTGGAGATTATTGAAGAATGTTTCCATTACTTCCCAGCATCTCTGCTGATCTTTTACTTCCTGTTCCTGCTGGCCCTTTTCTATGCTGCAGCTCTTTGCTGGACACCATCCCAATTCCTTTATTACCCAAAGTGTCCCATCTCAAGGCTCTGTGTGTCATGGAGTGGTTACTTAGCAGTGCAGCACAATAAGCAGCTTAAAATAAACTATGACAAGTGGAGTGAGGTGGGGGAGAAGTGGGGATGGTTAATGGGTACAAAAAGTAGTTAGAAAGAATGAATAACAACTAGTATTTGATACCGCAACAGAGTGACTATAGTCAATAATAATTTAATTATACATTTTAAAATAACTAAAAGAGTAGAATTGGGTTGTTTGTAACACAAAGGATAAATGCTTGAGGCGATGGATGCCCCATTTATCCTGATGTGATTATTACACACTATATGCCTGTATCAAAGATCCCATATGCCCCATAAATATATACACACCTGCTATGTGCCCACACAAATTAAAAATTAAAAAAACCTATGACACATCCCTTTTTTCAATGGTCCTGTGTCTATTCTTACCGATAAGATTTTTCTTGTTCATCTTTTGAATTTGGGTGACAGGTTCCTGTGATGATTCTGGAACTCCCTTTGTCTTTTCTGCTCCTAAATCCTGAAATTCCCAGTAATTTGTTGTGCAGACCCACCTTAGCTGTTTTATTATCTGGCTATTTACTCATCCAGGCTCTGTCCCTATGATTTTTGTCATAATCAAACATGTTTGTAATCACAAAGGCAGCATAGAGTCGTGTTAAGAGGATATGCACTCGAGCCATACGACATGGTTCTACATGGAGTCTCCACCCTCCCTGGCTGCGTGGCTTTTCCATGTTACTTAACTTCTACCTGCCTCAAGTTCCTCATTTGTAAGATGGCCATTGTAGTGATGCAAAAATGGTAATTGTACTGAGTATCAAGTGGGTTAATATAGGTAAAATACTTAGGAAATTGCCTGGCACACAGTAGGCACCCACTGAATATTAACCATTCTTATTATTAAGGTGTACTTAAGATGAAGACAGCTTTCTCCTTGAGAGAAATTCTTCAAAAATCGATTTAAGTAATAGTTCATTTTTTCCCATTACACTAATTCCAAGTCACCTATTGGCTTTCTAAGATGTGTCTCTAACTATTGTCAGCATAAAGGACCTGGCTAAGAAGCCATCTCAGGAGCAGACTGGACTTAGTGCTTGGTTCCACCTGGTTTCCCTATATGATCTTGGGAAATTTATACCTTTTTTAAAAAATAAAATTTATTGTGTATATTTAAGAGGTTATAACATGATATTATAGGATATAGATAAATAGTAAAAAGATTACTTAGTGAAACAAGTTAATATGTACATCATTACACATAGTTACCCATTTTTAAATTCTTGTGGCAAGAGAAGCTGAAATCTACTCATTTAGCAGAAACCCATATATAGTACAGTTAACTTCTTTAAGATGGTTTCTTCGTCTTTACAGTAGGGACAACACTGCCCCCTAGAGTTTGTGTGTGTGTGAGTATTAAATGAGCTAATGGATGTAAAGCGTTAGTATGGTGTCTGGCATGTAATAAGCACATCATAACTATAAGGGTTTGTTACTATTATATTAGTTTTGCTTTTGCATTTTTTAAATAATCAAGAGCTACAGAATGTGCTTCTGGAAGGCTGAAGGATTAAGTAGCACCTCACTTCATTGCATGTTGTGTGAGATATCTTGTTGATTTAGAAGAGGTTTGAAGTTCAATGAAGCCCTTATAGTAGTGGCAAGGAAAGAGGCATGACATACTTTTTGTGAAAAGATGGTGAAATGGTCCCACCTGGTATTTCCAATATGGGTGGAATTAGAAACTATTTAACAGAAAGCTTCTCTTTTCTCAAGGGGCCACAGCTTCTGCCTAGAGCTTTCTACTCCTTTTGGCTAGTAGTACAGGGATGGATGTAGCTTACTATCCAGCAGGGAGACTGACTGAGTGATACCCTAATGGAGCCACTGGCAAAGGATAAACCAAGATAGAAACAAAGCCGCCTTCCAAATAATGCTCAGTGCCTTTCTTGATAGTTTCCATAATAATTCATTCCCATTAGAAGTACTTTAGACTGTGTTAAAGCTATTTACATTGTAATTTCAGAGCAGACTGTAAACTTAAAAGAACACACACAGTTTCTTAACAGTTCAAAAAAAATGAAAAGAAATATAAGATTTGACATTCAAAATCCAAATTCCAAAACCAGTGAGATGATGAAAAACTGTTCTGCATTTCACTTGAACACAAGGCAACATATTTCAGAAAAAAATGCACACTTTAAATAATGATTCCTGTGCTGATTGTATAAACATATATATCAAAGAGGGTAGAGAATCAAAGATACAAAGGAAGAAAGGACCCTTTAAGAATTGGCTGATGTCGAATTTAGTTTGAATTTTCAGCTAAGATGTGTAAAAAAAGTTTGAACAGTTATTTCTTGTTCAGGTGGCAGTTAAGTTATATGACAAAACATTAGAAGAACAGTGTATCTACTGCAAAAAGCAAGTGCCTAATATGTTATTCAGTGGCACCGATTCTTCTGTATCTGGGCCAAGGGAAAAAAAAGTCTGGGTTAGTTAAATGAAGTCTCTTGCCAAGAGTTTTAAGACACAAATTTTACTAGGTAATAAAATTTATATAGCTATACCATATGGGCACTTTGCAGGCAATCTGTAGTTCAGGCTTACGGCAGAATTTTTTTTTTCTTTTAACAAACATTCTCACAATCAGATTTTTTAATAGTTTTAATTGGAATAGCTTTGGCTTCTAGCAATTTCTTCCTCTGTCAGTAACTACCTCAAGCAGCTTTGGACTACAGGGGGAAGAAGTACAAGGAATAAATAGAACCACATCCTTTATTCTGCTGCCAGATGGTCTCTCTAGCCTGCCCTAAGCTAGAGGAAAGGTCTTCCTTCTCCCCACTCAATCCCCTAGCATCAAGGGGCCCCCTGGTCAACTCAGGACTATTTTTGGGTACAGAACCAAAATTTTCCTGCATTTTCTGTGGTATTGGATGTAGTGCTGAACTTTGGCTTAGCAGGAGATAGTGACCAAAGCTTCAAACCTCAAAACTATGATTTATAAATGGAAAATGATGGAAAGGATCTTAGTGATTATCAGTTCCATGATCTCAATATACAAATAAGAAACCTAAAGCCCAGAAAGTTGAAGTGACTTACTCAAGTTACCTGATGGGTTAGGGTGGGTTGAGAACCAGTGTCTTCTCTGCCTTCAGCTTCCTGCCATTATGGAGGCACCGTGTCCTGTTGTTGGGCTTGTATCTCCTTGAGCTCATCCTGTGATGAAGAGTGGCTACATTGCTTGACACATGGTGGGCTTTATGCAGTCAGTATCCAGTATGCAGTCTCCAGATGTAGGCCCAGGTTCTGGGTAGGTGTGGCCTGAATGTTGTCAGTTACCCACTTCTATAAATATCCCAGTCACATCTACCCACTGATAGCCTCATGGTCCTGGTGGCCCTCCTCACATGTACTAATCCGTGGAATTCTGTAACAGACCTTAGCACCTCCTCATGTCAATAACAGCTTAAGGATTCCCTGGGACATGTAGGATGAAGCTTTATCAATTAAGTTTATTGACTTTTTACCTCTCTTGTTAATCTCTCAAACATAGAGCATGAGCAAGCCACATGTTTGCAACCCCCTTTTAAGTTTTCTGTTTTATTTATTGATTTATTTTTTATTTATTTTTTTCAGGCTAATCGATATTTGGTTCAAAGAGTAGAGATGACTCTAGGTCTTCCTAACAATCACACATGACTCTTCTGCTTACATTCAACTTTCTTTGGTCCTCCACAAAGAGTCCCACTAGAAGCATCCTATTTTGTCTTCCCTCATCCTGCTGGAGATCCTTCATCCTACCTTTGTGATGATACTGAGGTTTTTCTTTTAACTCTATTACTCCTTTCTTTCTCCACATAAATCATGTTTTACATAAACTCCACTTTAACTCTCAGAGAAAAATCAGAAGACTTGTGAAATGCATTTATTTGCATAACAATTCTATAAAATTGACCATTACTATCTCCATTTTATTGATGAGGAAACTGAGAAGTAAGAGATTAATAGCTACTAAGTGGCAGATGTGGGGTTTAGGACCTAGGCTTTTAAGTAGTACAGTATACCAGTCTGTATTAGTCTGTTTTCACACTGCTATGAAGAACTACCTGAGACTGGGTAATTTATAAAGAAAAGAGGTTTATTTGACTCACAGGTCCACATGGCTGGGGAGGCCTCAGGAAACACAATTATGGTGAAGGGGAAGCAAGCACTTTCTTCACAAGGTGGCAGGAGAGGCGGTGGGTGGGAAGTGCCACACTTTAAAAACCATCAGATCTTGTGAGAACTCATTATCATGAGAACAGCATGGGGGAACCCGCCAGCCCCACGATCCAATCACCTCCCACCAGGTCCCTCCCTTGACATGTGGGTATTACAATTCTAGATGAGATTTGAGTGGGGACACGGAGCCAAACCATACCACAGTCCCACCTACCTTAGACTGGTTTCAGCATTTTGAGTCTTGATTTTGAAGTTAAGCACAAAAGTCTGCCATTTCCCATGACTCTTAGTACCACAGCCAAGCCAGGAACACCAAGGAAGCTGGAATTACTCCTGAATTTAAATTCTCATATCTTTAAAATCTCGTATATATTTTTCATCTTTCCTTTGCATTCTCATTTTTTTTCTTTTGTTCCTTAGCTCATGTCCCTTTCTCTATCTTCAAACCAGATGTTTGCAAATCATGTTGCAAATATCTTTGGTACTGAACTATACTAGGACTATTATTATTATTTTGGTTCCTCTGATTCCATGGTCTGTTGGATACATATGGTCTTCACATAGAGAGGGGGGGATGGAGAGGGAGCCCAGCAAAAGTCAGAAGACCTTAATATTCCATTTCACTTATGGCTACCTCTGCTTACGATGGGAAGCATCCCATATTCAAGTTTCAATGACAATGTGGGAAAAAATGGTTGTCTTAGTCTGTTTCGTGATGCTATAACAGAATACCTGAGACTGAGTAATTTATAAAGAACAAAAATTTATTCTTTCACAGTTCTGGAGGCTGGGAAATCCAGATCATGGTGCCAGCATCTGGTGTTGGTGTTGGCCTTCTTACTGCATCTTCCCATAGTGGAAGGCAGAAGGGCAAGGGAGGGGCGAACACTGTGCCCTCATATCACAGAAGAGCAGAAGTGAGTGGATCTACTCCTACAAGCCCTTTTAATAATGGCAATAATCCTTTCATGAGGGCAGAACCTTCATGACATAAACACCTTCCAAAAGACCCCACCTCTTACCACTGTTGCACTGAGGAGTAAGTTTCTAATACAGACATTTTGGAGGGGACACATGCAAACCATAACAATGGTTTTCTTTAACATAATCTTCAAGAACAGATTTTGTATAATTTGGAAGTAGTATTTTCTAGCACAGAAGTAGCGAATGTTTTCCATTTGTATCTATTGTTTTAATTTTTAGTGAATCTGAATATTGTATGGTTCATCTTTGATTTAAAAATTTGCCTTAAAGGGGCTTTACATATTGAAGGAGACAAATTAATGTAGAATATGGTGGTGCATCTTCCTAATTTTTAAAGATGAGCACCTGTAGCAAGACTTTTGCGTGGCTTTGAGTGTGTGAAGTTGTGCACTAGGTATTTTTAGATATAGAAATACTATAGTTTTGGGGACATTTTATTGGCTTTAGGAATAGTAAAACAGAAAGTTTGGAACTTGAAATGTTTGATGAGTGTCTGAGTCTTACACTAGCTATGATCAGAGAAATTTATTTCAATTTGGTTTAAGAGAAGTCAGATGGACTGAGTAGAAGTTTCTTCTGACGTTTGTGTGTCAATAAAAATTCAGCTTCCTGAGACAATACAGGCACTGCCAAACTACCATTTTATCCTAGATAAATGGAGTAAGCAAGCAATCAAATAGTACTGATGTTGAATTCTCCAGATGCGCATAGAGTCTGATTTGTCTGGTGCATGTTCTGATTATATTTAGTCAAAACTCCCCAGAAGGCACCTTTCTATTTTGCCCAAGTTTAATGAGAATGCTTGGCTGTACTTGTTGCGGGAATGCATTAATTTACTTCGAATGGCAATTAGAGAGATCTATCACTATTATCATCATGGGCTCTGTCATCTGTCAATTTGCCAAACATGAAAAAGTAAAATGTGACGGTTGCACAGTTTATAACGGAAAAAATTGAATTCTCCTCAAATTTGTAACATTTTAATCTATATCATGAAACCTCAGGGGGAACTACTACTTGCAATTCTGTGAATTCAATTGGTTTTTGAGAACAAATGCAACCAGAAATTTTCACATCATATAGTCAATTATGTAGAAACTTCACTGAATCTAAACTCTGTAGCTGCTTCTGTTTACTCCTTTATCAAGCAAGCACACAATTTTAGAAATTTACAATATATGCTAATAATTTGATTAAGGAATTTTCTAGAAAGGAAGATCTATCACACAACAGTGTTTAAAAGAATAAACCTCAAGCTTACATAAATTGTGTAAGGCTGGGCTTGAGTTTGTACCATTTTGAAGAAATGAATAAACCCAGCCTCCAGGCGCTTTTATCTAACCTATGTTGACTATCTCTGTGAGGTTGGACTTTAGTCTTTTCAGCCTCTTAATTTTTCCTGTTCCACGTCAGCACCTTCCTTTCCTCCATCCAAAGCTGGGGCAGATCTAATACCAATCAATCACATATGTTTGGTCACTATCTTTTCATTGTGGTGCCATTTCAACTAGGCATTTATATGTCAAGGCTTTTCTTTTCTAATTGGGGAATCCTCTGCCTCCTACTTCAGCCAGATTTCTGACAAAGAATTGTGCTTAGGAGCTTACTCCCTTCATTAAGAGAAGCAATACTATTCTACCACACTAGGCCATCAAATTGTGTAGTAATTTGATGCCCCTAGCAAAACAGTATTAGCCCATCTATTGCCTTCCTAGTAATGGTTACAATGTCTCCAAATAAAGGAATAGAGACTCTCTCTCTCTCTCTTTTTTTTTGAGATGGAATCTCGCTCTGTCGCACAGGCTGGAGTGCAATGGCACCAACTTGGCTCACTGCAACCTCCACTTCCTAGGTTCAAGCAATTCTCCTGCCTCAACCTCCTGAGTAGCTGGGATTACAGGCGCCCGCCGCCATGCCCAGCTAATTTTTGTATTTTTAGTAGAGGCAGGGTTTCACCACATTGGCCAGGCTGGTCTCGAACTCCTGACCTCAGGTGATCACCTTCCTTGGCCTCCCAAATTGCTGGGATTACAGGTGTAAGCCACGAAGGCTGGCCTAGAGACTCTCTTTTTATGGGGATTGATTGGTAGTGGCTTAATATTTCTTAATGATCATATAATTCATATATAATCCATAAACCAATATATTGTCTTTTTATAACTCCCAACCCTTATTGTGTGTTTCTTAGGAATTTCTAACTACTAGACATTCATTTACTTATACATTTGTGCTACTGAATACGAGCAAGTGAACAGTATATGCAAAAAGAGCTGCAATTACAACCCAGTCCATGCTCAATGGCTACCCTCTTGCTTGCTCAGAGAACCTTGCATTCTGATTCGCTTTGAAGTCAAAGGGTTAGTTCTGAGTCGATGTATTCATTTTCTATTACTGTGGCAACAAATGATTACAAACTTAGACTAAACAATGTAAATTTTTTATCTTTAAGTAGTTTGGAAGTTCAACATGGATTTCACTGGAGTAAGATCAAGGAACAGTACGGGCTGCATTCCTTTTTGGGGGTTCTAGGGCAGAATCTGTTTCCTTGCTTTTTTTCAGCTTCTAAAGTCTAACTGTATTCTTTAGTTCCTGTCCCTTTCTCCATCTTTAAAGCCAACAATGGCAGGTCAAGTCCTCACTTTGCATCTCTGTGACCTCTCTTCTGTCATTGCCTCTCTCTCTTTCTCTTACCATAGCTGGGAAAGTTCTCCACTTTTAAGGACTTGTGTGATTAGACTGAGCCCTCCACATCTCAAGGTCCTTGACCTTACTAATTTTTTTTTTTTGCCATGTAAGGTAACATATGTACAGGTTTTAAGAAATAGAATGTGGACATCTTTGGGGCCATTATTTTGCTTACCATAGTAGGGTGGGAGAGGTTATTCAACCCTTATAAAATCTTTTCAAGTACATTTAAAATAAAATAAAAAGTGCTATTTATGAAAGTAGTCTCATTATTTAATAAATAAAAGATGAAGCTACACTCTTTGCTAATTTACTGAAGGGCATGTTAACAGATCTATTCAATGTAGCATTTGGCTCCTAGAGGGCCAAATGCTTTCCATTAGTACAACAGAAACTTACTGAGAGACTAAAATATTAATAACCATAGATTCAGTAAATGGGGAATAAAACAAGATCCACAGGCATGCAAAATTCCAGGAAAATGCAAACTAGTGTTCTATATTGTATTTTGTTTCTTAAAAGACAAAACCCAAATGACTTAACTGAACACAGAAAATTTCACCCGGGGCCGGGTGGCTCACGCCTGTAATCCCAGAACACTGGGAGGCCGAGGTGGGCGGATCACGAGGTCAGGAGATCGAGACCATCCTGGCTAACACGGTGAAACCCCGTCTCTACAAAAAAATACAAAAAAATTAGCCGGGCATGGTGGGAGGCACCTGTAGTCCCAGCTACTCGGGAGGCTGAGGCAGGAGAATGGTGTGAACCTGGGAGGCGGAGCTTGCAGTGAGCCGAGATTGTGCCACTGCGCTCCAGCCTGGGCGACAGAGCTAGACTCCGTCTCAAGAAAAAAAAAAAAAAAAAGGAAAATTTCACCCGGACAAAGACAAGTTTCCATTATTCCAGCACACCTCCCTACATGCTCTCTTTCTCTATATAATTTACTTTCTGGGTGAATCTTGGTCAAAATGGAAGATAGTGGAATGCTTTATTATCCTGCAACAAGCTGGATGAGAATATCTTTTAAATTACGGTTTCCTGATTGGTACACAAGAAAAATGTCTAAAACATTCTGAAAAGTTAAAGAATTTCTAGTGCAGAGATGACAATAATGGAATGTGGATAAGTGAGGTTTTGACCCTGAAAAGGGAATGGGGGATGGAACAGCACTATGGTGTATGTGACTGAGGTGTCAGGCTTAACATGGACCCTCACTTCCTTTTGTTTCAAGTGTAATTTCAGAAGGAGCCCCTGTGCTTTCCTGGTTGTAGGTAGGGATAGGAGTGGAGTAAAGGGGGAAACAAAAAAGCAAATTGAAATGTGAAGATGGGTGAGGAGGAAGGGAAGAGAACACAGATTCTTGCAAACACGCTTGTATGGCCATTTAGGAGAAGGGAGAAAAAGTTCAATCTTGAATTTTAATGAAAATAGTTAATGATAAGAACCACAATGCATTATAAAATGACAAGCACTGTGTTAAGTATGTTACTTGTTTGGCCCGTTCAGTTCTCTACCTTGCGTGAGGTAGGTATTATTCTGATTCCCATTTTATAGATGAGGAAATTGAGATGGAGAAATTGAAGTTGCTCCAGGTCACATGGCTATTGGCACCAGAATTTTAAATTCCATTTGGTCTGTTTCTTGTTCCCTGCCACTCCCAGAATGGTCTGGATCAGGTGGGGAGACAGCATCTCAGGGACAAATGTCTGCCACCTGACTGGCCTCCCAGCGTTGTCCTGAGGGATGGTGCTGTCCTGGAGTTGCTCTGATGTGGCCACTCTTGGGAATTGCTGTCCCTGAAGTGGACTGACTGTTGGTGTGTGTCGATGTTTGGGTGTGAGGACCGATGTGTGCAAAGCACAAGCTTGGGGGTGGGGAGCTGGAGGAGAGCCTTTCCCTATCCGGTTCACCAAGGAAACTGGGCCTTCCCTGTCTGCTTTCAGCTATAGAGGTCCTAGGGCATCTTAGGGGAACAGGGCCTGCAGTGGCTGAGTGGGTGTGACTATGCTTCTTTCATGCCAGGTTCTCAAGCTGGCTCCACATCCCAGGCCCAATGCACAATTCCTGGGAGAGAGGCTGAGAGTCTTCCCCACTTGGCGTTGGACTATTCCCCCCACCATGGTGGGGAGCATCAGGCTCAGTGCTTAAAATGGTGCCATCCCTGCTCATGCAGAGATAGCATGCTGCATGTTAAAATATACACAGAGCAAGGTGCATGCATTTATTAGACTTTTCCTCTTCACAAAAATAAAGAGGAATTGTGGAACCCAAATGAACCTATTGGATTCTGAGTGTATTTACTAAGCCAACAAATGTTAATTCATTGATTCAAAGCATATTCTTTGGCAAGTACCATTTTCAATCCTTTGAGAGACAGCACGAGTGGCACATAGTAGCCATGAGGTGAATGTGAGACGAAGCCACATAAGAAAGTACAGGACATGGTTTCCGCAAACCTCAAATCCCAGGTGGAGGAAATGATATACACGTGAAATCAAAGAGAAACATTGTATTTTTAAGTGGGGCAAACGCTGGAGGAGACATAACATTGTGGAGTAGCATCCCTCAGCAGAGATTTAGTGAGTGTAGGTTAAATCTTGAGGAACACTTGGAAGGAACTGTAGAAATACATTGGGAGAGATTAGGAGGGGCCCATTCTAGGCAGAGGTTTCTGTGAAGGTGTGGGAATGAAAATGACCTGTGGCAGGAAGAACAGTAGGAACTACAGAGGAATGCAGCAGTTCCGAAGCTGCTGGAGGGCTGGCGTGCAGAGCTGATGGGGCACAACCTCCCAAACAAGGGCGGCTCCTGTGGACTAGGAGAGGGTGTCGTTGGACCTAGTCAGGATAGGGCTGTCTCACAGATGGCCTTGGGTAGTATTGGGAAGGAACAGATTCAGTAAGACACTCAGTGTACGCTTGTTTGAATTGGAGACAAATCTAAAAGCAGTATATAGAATGAATCAAGAATTTTAAATCTGTAGCTCTTATTTGAAAATATAAAACTCAGATATTGTTCCCAAAAACCAGAGGAAGTTTTTACTGGAACTAGAGTTGCATGGAGAAATATAACAAGAACAGATTCTAAAAATGTGACACTGTTCTTAGGGGGCTGTGCCCCTCCCCCTTGCATTGCTGGGGAGGCAAGATGACAATAGGAAAATTATTAGCTTTGGGGCTCGGGAGTTCCCTGAGCCTCACCATGGGCCTATGTGGAGGTCTCGTGTGGTTTTCATGAGATGGGTTTTGCGAGACTCTTGGAGCAAAGGGGTAAACAGACAGGCTGTGGGAACCAGTCCAAGACCTGGGTGGAAGCCTGCACATGTCCTCTGGTGCAGAGAAGCTTTTGTCTCCTGAGTGCTGAGCCCATGTTTTCTTCATCTGGCATGCCCCTAGGTCAAGATATAACAGACGCCCTGTGAGGCAGCCACTCTACAGACCTGTGTGGGGCCCATTAGAGCCTCAGCAGTGGCTCCCGGCATGCCCGGGAACAGCAAGACATCCTTTCAGCGACTCCAGTTTGTATCCGCAGCGTGAGAGCCGTTTTAATCTTCACTTTGCCTCCTCGTGCTTCATTGTATTTAGAACCGAGTGTTTTTCTGCCATTATTTGGCGATTTTCTTGCAAGGAAGCCATTTTATGAAAAATGCCTGATTATTGCTGCCAGAAAAATAATATCCCACAATTTGCTTTAAATGACATAGTCTTAAAGTTAGTATTATTCAGACAAATGCAAACACTTTCAATAATTACTCTGCATTGAATCACCACAAATCAGGACCTCCCCATGTCCCTTTTCTCAGCGGCAATAATCGAATGTTTTAGAGAAGTAAACACTAAACAGGGTCTTAGAGGGAAGGTATTTACCCTTTTCCAACATATCTTGTAGGACGCCTGATCCATTTCAGTAGAAACCAGTTGATGATCAGTGATCTTGGATAAATATTTATGCTGTTAGGGCCCAAGAGCTGGTCAAGGGACATCACACACTCCTTCCAAGTGGTGAGGCTGAGAGAATCAAACCTTGGGAAATGATGGATCCCGAAGCAAGATAGTGAGCTGCATTAGGGGTTTTTGTGAGTTGAATCCTCCCTTTGCAAAGATGAAAAGTCCAACCATCAGTGAAACCTTTTTGATGGGAGCAGGCCTCAGAGCTCTGCTCGCTCAGAGGATGTTTGGTGCCTCTGAGAGTTTAAGTGGATCCTGTGCTCAGTGGGGGGTGTGTGGCATAAAGTTTCTCACCAGCTCTCTGAAAGGACTAAATGAATGTTTCTGATGTGCCCGTATCCGGGAAAGTAAATTCAATCCTTCCCAGGTACTCAGCTCACACTCTCACTAACATTTGTGGGCAGAGTAATCACAGCCAAGTATAAAGATCTGGCAACACCTTTTCACATTAGCCAGCAGCAGCCAGAAACTTCTTGCTAGAAGCTTAGAAAGATATTGCCATCATACGAATCTCCAAGGAACTTTCACCACTCCCTTTATGAAGCAAGGATGCAAAACCCATTATAGGGGATTGTTCTTTCCCCTACCTTGTCCCCAGAGGAAATGATAATCTTTGATGACCAAAATGCCGGCTGGATATTAATTACAATCCATGAGATTTCTGAATTGCTGAAATGAGGATGCTAGGTTTCCTCTGCTTTCCAGAGAGGAGATTCCCTTCACATTTATTTAGCACCTACTAAGTCCAGGCAGCATGACTGGCACTTTCCGTGGGTCCTCCCGGGTGTGGGCTATGCATGTGGTTGTCTTGAATGGTGCTACTGTTTCAGACCCCTGTCTCCTGCTGTAAGGGCAGGGTCTATTTAGATGGGATTGTAATACCCAGGGTTCACTATAGATGTGGCCAAATGGAACCCTGGATTCCTGTGTGCACATTATTCTCTGTGCAATGGGCATAATGACAGCAAACCATTTAGCTTGCTAGCAGCTCTCCTTTCAGCAGGTTAAAACATTTTTTTTTTCTCAAATGTGGTTGACAGACCACTTGCATTAGAATCACCTGCTTGTCAAATGTGCACCTATTGATTGAAAGCTCTGGGAGGAGAGCCTGGGGACCTGTACTCTTAACAAGTTCTCTTAACTTTTATGCATCCTGAAGTTTGGGAACCAATGGCTTAAAGGATAAAATTCAAATTTCTACCCAAGGTAGGTGACCTTTCACACCCTGACCTCCGCTCATCTTTCTGGCCTTCTCTCCAGGGTTCTGGGCTTCTCCTGGTCTCCTCCACCACAGGATGGTGTTGTTCCTGCTTTTCTTTCCACCTCTCATGCCCCTTCCTCTTTCTCCACTGAACAGCTTCTATTTGTCCTCCAAGGCTCTGATCAAATGTCAGCAACCTGGTGAAGCTTTTCACACGTCTGGAGGAAGAGTTTTTCACTCCAGTCTGGTCTTCCTCCAGAAGACTCTGGCTGTGAGCTCCTCAGGGTACAGGCTGGGTTTTGGCACAGTGGACATTGCCCCTCAAATCCCATCATGGTGGAAACTGCTAACTCTACTAGTATGAGTATGCTGGAAATATTGGCAAATTGCCAGTATTATTCATTTTAAGCAAAGAAGATGAAATTGTTCTGTTAGTTTGGTGCCCATTCTGAGGCAGGAGAATAGGGAATTAGGGTAACCAAAGGTTAAGGCATAAGCAAAAGAACAGCAGGTGCAGACAGTTCTAAGCAAGATTAGGCAGCATCCAGGCCACACCCTCGCTCCTGTGATAACTAGACAGAGTTTCTACAGAGTCTTGCAGAGAAGGTATTTACCCTTTTCCATCACATCTCATAGGAAGCCTGATCCATTTCAGTAGAAATCAGTTGACTATCAGTGATCCTGGGTAAATATTCATGCTGTTAGGGCCCAAGAGCTGATCAAGGGACATCACACATTCCTTCCAGTTAGCCTCTGACTGACTGTGGGCCAAGTCTCCACTTCAGCCTCTGATTGGTCGCAGGCCAATCCTTCACAGGGCATAATTGGAGGCCTCTAAAGGGCACCTAGGAGTGTTACCAAACTTCTGTAGCTTAATAAAAACCCTTATAGGGGAGGCTCTCGGGCCACCTGCTCCAGCCCGCTCCCACTCTGTGGATTGTACTTTTGCTTCTTTAATAAATCGGTGCTTTGTTTACTTCATCTTGTTTGTCTTTCATTGCCCATTCTTTTATTACTTTGTTTGTGCATTTTGTTCAATTCTTTGTTCAGTATGCCAAAGAAGCCTGGACAACTCACAGTCAAGACCTTCCATCTGGTAACAATTCCACCTGGGTTTCTGAGAAAAAGGGACATGCTGAGAGCTGAGTTTTCTAAGGGAACTTAGGGAATGGAGGAGTTCCACAGCAGGGCACCATTTGCAGAACTAACTTTTCTCCCACCCTCCTTTCCTTTTTTACATTTTTCATAAACAGTATTAATAACTGCTCTTGGATAGCAAGGCCACCAAGAGGAAGGATTAAATAAACACTAACTGAACAAACTAGAACCACAAGGAGAAAATATATTTGTAAATTCAAAAATCTTAGTGCAGGCTCATAGAGCAAAAGGAAGAGCCAGGGTCTTAGGTCCTCTTGAAGAGAACAGTGATGGTACATGTGTCCTGTGTCCCATTGCACATCATGGTATGATGGCGTGTAACTTTTTGAGAGATCTATTACATCTGTGAGTATCTAGAATCAATCTAATGTGCCAATTTTATTATCTATTTCATCTAGAACAGGGGTCTTTACAAGGATCCAAGGATGTACCTCAAGGGATCCTTGTGCCCTTGAAACTATTTATAAAATTTGGTATGAGCTTGTATACATATTTCTGAGAAAACACCCATTGTTTTTTTTCATCTGTTTTAAAAGGGCCTATAAACTTGAAAATTTATAAGAATGCTGTAGAATCCCCCAGTTCTGGAGTTTCATTCTTTAGCAGCCATGAGGAGAAGGGGCTTCAGAGCCAGGCTTCTGGGTTCAGATTCTGTCTTTACCTATTTATTCACCATGTGACCCCGGGCAAGTTATTTATGCTCTCTGAGACTTAGTTTCTTTGGCTATAAAATGGGATGATAATGTTACTTTACAGAATTGTTGTGAGATTAAATGAGTCAGTGCATGTGAGGTGCTTAGGACAATGCTCATATTTTGCAGTCAATAAATGTCAGCTGTGTTCATATTATTGCTGTTTTTATTATTTTATTATTAACATCTAGTGAGTCTTGAGTCTCTGACAGACCTTTGTTTGCCTACTATCCTTGCAAATCTCTGCCTCCTTTATCCCCTAGCTCATTGCCCTATCCTTTGGTCTATGAGTTTAGGGATAGATAGAATAACTCCTGTGTCTTGCATTGAAATACCCATGTTATTCTTGTATTAACAAGATTCTTTAGTAGGTAGTAATACTCAGATCTATTCCTACTTTGCTACTCCTAATCAATGATACTCTGTATTCTCCATTAATGTGCTCTGCATAAATAACATTTTGCATAATTTTGCATTTTCTGCATAATTCTATTTTGCTGCATAACAATGTGTCAGTTCATTTTCCCCTTTCTGTGCCCTGCAAAGAAAGTCATCTGACATGACTGGCAATCTCTCAAGTGTTTGCTCATTAACATTACATCTTTGAAACATTCCCTAGAGGTATGCTAACAGGCAACAAGCAAAACAACAATAAAGAAAATCAAGGGAGAAAAAAATATACATTACTGCAAAACAGATTTGTAGCTTTCAGTGCTTACCAGTCACTCTGCTACTCAGCCTCCAAGCTGTTAATTGTATGTAATTATGAAGTGCTGAACTATGAATGGTCCTCACTTGAAGCTGGGAACGCAGAATAAGACTGTATTCAAATGATGCATTGATCCATGAAGAGTGATATGCTGTTTACAATCTCAGTGAGTCATTTCCCCCTTAGTTTTATAATTCTGTGGATAATATTTTTAGCTGTGGAGAAACTTAAAAATGTTGCAGACTAGAACATGTTCCACATCAGGGGTTTAGGGAATTGAATAAAAATAATATCTGTTTTCATTAGCTTATACCTCAGGACAGAGGATTTTCATTTTGATAATTTGGACCTAAATCTTATCACAAATATTATGCAAACACTCTTTACAGCAAATGCAGAGGATGCTTGGGAACTATAAGAAGAACCAGGAAAGAACAAACAGCTTTAAATGTGAAAGGCTGTGAGCTCTTAGAGGAGGAGAGGACATTTTGAGTTGCCCTGTAAACCAGTCTTGAATAGTTTTGTAGTACGGAGGTTTTGAAAGCTGCCATGATGGTTTCTTCTGAATTGTAGGTAACCTTGAAAGCAATTTAGAGCCAATTAAGAATCTGAATAATGATAATTGACATCAGTGTCATTTAGCTGTTTTTTTATTGTGCTTTCTAAGTCGGGAAAAAGTATTCTTTAGATTGAATCACACTAGAGAATGTTTCTAATCATAAGATGAGTGTAGGTGGTCTGTAGGAGACTTTGGGCTTTTATATTGTTGACAAGTATTGACATATTGATTTCTAGAGTCAGAAGTTCAAGCTCTACCACTAACTAACTATATAGCTTTGGTCAAGCTTCAGTTGCCTCAGTCTGTGAAAGGAATATAGCAATAGGTTTTCCTCCTATCTCGTGGAAATATTCAAAGGATCAAATGAGATATGTGAAAGTGGTTTGTAGACTGTAGTGTTCCAAAATTATTGGTTGTTCCTATGGACCTTTTTCTCCTCCACCTCAGCTGTATAAATTTTCATCCCACCGCTGTAACAGCTGTCATTTTTTTGGTGCTAGAAATTGTGTTAGACACTTAACATATATAGTCTAAGTCGATTCTTGGAATAATTCTGTGAGACAGAGTGCCATGATGTCCCCCCTTTACAAATGAGGAAATTGAGCCTCAGAAAGTCACTTGTTAAAGTCACACAGCTAGAAAGAGGGTGGGGTAGAGATGAGGAATAGCAAGTTTCTCTCACGATTTAGCTGTATTGATGGGTGTAAATATAAGTAATTCAAAAATCTAAGTTGTTGGAACTCTAAATTATTTTGAGCCTTAAAGGAATGCCATTATTGGGCCTGAGTCATGTGACAGGCAGTTGTAACCTTTGTTTCTCGGATTATAGATTAGTCTTCTTCCTTACTTACATTGTTTTGTAAAATGTTGTAAATGACTAAAGGGTGCCAGAGAAGACCCCTTTCTGCTTCACTGTTGATTTTCATTATAGATGATCGATTTATCTTCCCTCTTACTTTTCTTACACAAAGACTTCATTGCTATCACATTGTCTTAATGTGGAATGTTAAATATCTTCTTTTTAAATTGAAAAGGAAATCAAAACAAGCTGTATGGGAAAACAGTGTAACCAATTAAATTGCTGTAATTCATAAATTAGCCTTGTATAGAAAATGTTATAATCCTACTAAAATTCTTTGTTTTCTTCCTATATAAACAAGAAGTTAACTTTTAATGTCAGAGCACCAACCCCTTTTCTCTGGAGTCTGTGTCTCCCAGATGGCTATTTCCAGCTTTTTGTTTGAATAAACTTTTTAAAACTGTATTCTTATCCTTTCATCTATTTCAGTTTAACTCGAGTTAGTAACTTAGTGGGAAATCCATGCTTAATAGAAATAATAATGCTTCAAATCTGCCATAGTTCTGAAGATGGATTTCTACCTTTGGTTTAATTATTTTTTTGTAAAACAGATTATAAACCACATGCTTTGGCAAACAAGATATACTTTAGTCTTGTGATTCTCAGATAATCACTTGAGAAGCTTGTGAAGTTGTCAGATTCTAGGGCCACTGATCTGAGATTCTAAGTAAGGAGGTCTGAGGAGGGGCATTAAAATATGCCTTTTGAATGAATTCTCCCAGGGAATGGGGTGATTGAAGAACCTATGCTAAGAAACATTGAGAGTCTGATTGTTTGAGGGTCTTGGGAACAGAATTTGTTTCTTTGCACAAAACTTTTCACTATTTCCATTTTTTTTCAGTTAAATATCAGATGATGTGGCTTCCTAAAACAGTAGAGGCTCATTCAGGTGTGGCTAATGCTGAAAGGCATTAAGGAAACAAAAACCTATGCTAGTTTTTTTTTTTTCTTTCAGCCTTGCAGAAAAGTAAGTGATAATTGCCATAAAACAAAAATAGAGTAATGAAAAATTAGAACTGGTTTGAATTTTTGAGTCTCAAAAATGCACTATTTTTTTCCAGCTGATGTAAGAATCATTAAGTAGGATGAATCACAAAGGGTGTTATTAGGAAGATTTTTGAAAATTTTCCTTTTATAAGCAAAGGATATCAACAAAGACTTCAAAAGTGAAGAAATTTGGAAGCATCTTCAACTCCAATAATAATCAAGGAAATAGCAATTAAAGCCACAATATATTATTTTTTAACCAAATACGTTGGCAGATATTTTGAAAAATGACAAAACTATAGTTGACAAGAGTGTAAGCACCATTTTAAACACTTCACTTACATTAATTTAATCTGCACAATGACCTTATTAGGTATATACTATTATCTCCATTTTATAGATAAGGAAACTGAGACATATAGGTGACATAGAACCTCTCATGTACTGGTAGTGGGAGGAAAAAGTTATATTATCTTTCCATTGGAATTTGATGATATGTTCAGGAGTCTTGAAAACATTTACCTGCTTTGACTTTGTAATTCCACTTCTAGAAATTTATCATATGAAAACAATTAGAGATTCACACAAAAATCTATTTACAAGGATGTTCTAGTAGCTTTATATAGAATACAAGAATTGGAAATAATCTAATCATTTTACAAGAGAGAAATTGCTAAATAATCGATGGTGTACTTTTAGGATGGAACATAAACTACCATTAAAAATCATGGTTTTTGCATGTTCTCATTTGTAAGTGGGAGCTAAGCTATGGGTATGCAAAGGCATACAGAGTGGTATAATGGGCATTAGAGACTCAGAAGTGGGGAGAGTGGGAGGGAGATGAGGGATGAAAAACTACCTATTAGGGTACAATGTACAATACAGGGTGAAGGATACAGTAAAATCCCAGGCTTCACCACTATATAATTCATCCAGATAACCAAAAACCACTTGTATGCCTAAAGCTATTGAAATAAAAAAATAAAAAAATTATAGTTTAGAAAATAATTTAAAGCCATGGGAATATGTTCACAAGTAATGTTCACAACTTTTTAAGTTAAAAAGAACTCAAAACCACATGCACAGGATTACTCTCATGTTATAAAATGTTAATATAAAACATATGCATGGCTGTCATTCTAAGACCTCTGTAGGCCATATGCACCTTTTTTTTGCATCACATCAGACATAAAACCATCATCTTTGTCATTATCTAATGACATTAATCGCTACTCAATGTTTTCAAGTTAAGGAAATATAGCATCAAGTTAAAGAAACAAGGCTAGCGGCCCCGCACGGTGGCTCATGCCTGTAATCCCAGCACTTTGGGAGGCCGAAGTGGGTGGATTGCCTGAGTTCAGGAGTTCGCGACCAGCCTGGGCAACACGGTGAAACCCTGTTTCTACTAAAGTACAAAAAAATTAGCCTGGTGTGGTGGCGTGCGCCTGTAGTCCCAGCTACTTGAGAGGCTGAGGCAGGAGAATTGCTTGAACCCGGGAGGCGGAGGTTCCAGTTCGCTGAGATCTCACCACTGCACTCCAGCCTGGGTGACAGAGTGGGATTCTATCTCAAAAAAAAAAAAAAAGAAAAAAAAAGAAGCAAGGCTAGATCTGCTAATGAGTCATTCTAAGCTTCTCTTGCCCACGTCTCCTCTGCTGGTGGGCCTGGGATGGGGACAGAATGTCCCTTTTTGTTTAGATTGACCTGGCCAGGGGATGCCGTCAGATGAACTAGGACAAGGTGCTGCCTTCCCAGAACTGTGGCAGAGACTTGTGCTTGTTCCTTTCGGCGCTGGGTTGGCTTGCTGAGCAGGTGTGGGTAAAATGCAGACTTACGTGGTGCTGGGCTTGTACTTGTCATGGCTGCCACCTTTCACACTAGCGTTGTAATCCCAGAATTCTGCAACTTATAAAGCTGATTTGGCTCAAAGAGCGAATGAAGAAACCGAGGACCAGAGAGGAGGGTGATGGGCCCAAGATCACAGCCTAGCAGACCTGGGGATGGGGTCAGTTTCTTGATTCCTAGACCTTGATATTTTGCATGATATCAAATGGCCTTCTTCATCCTAAGATGAGAGGAAGGAAGGAACTCGGTGCCTTTTGCTGGGAAAAGCACTGCTATCTATCTAAGGAGATCACTTAAGGCATGGTTTCCCTATGTTTGGAAGAGTAATATGTATGCTTTTTGGAAGGGGAAAACAGGAGAGTATTCTCTCAGTGGTTTGTGTTCAATGGGGGACACCATTTGGAGTTATCCAGGGGTATCTTTTGTGAGCTTCATGGTATAATGGAGGTGATATAGACAGGAAAATGCATATTTTGGTGTCTTGAAGACCCTGGCCTTCGGTCCCAGTTTCAGCCTTTCACAACAGTGTGGACTTGGGCCAATTATTTTCTTTCTCTCTAAACATATGTTTTCTCTTTGTTAAGATACACTTTGTAATACTTCTAAGGTTTTGGATTTACTAATAAAACAGCAACAGCTTGTATAGTGCTTCCTATGTGCTAGGCACTATGTTGAACACTTTGCTTATATTAACTTTTTTTTTTTTTTTTTTTTTGAGACAGACATTTTGGCTTTGTTTCCAGGTTGGAGTGCAGTGGCATGAACAGAGCTCACTGCAGCCTTGGCCTCCTGGGCTCAAGTGATCCCCCTGCCTCAGCTTCCTGTGGAGCTGGGACCACAGGTGTGTGCCATTGTGCCTGGCTAGTTTTTTTGATTTTTTTTTTTTTTTTTTTTTTTTTTTTAGTAGAGACAAGGTCTTACTTTGTTGCCCAGGCTGATCTTGAACTCCTTGAGCCCAAGCAATCCTCCTGCCTTGGCCTCCCAAAGTGCTGGGATTACAGGCATGAGCCACTGTGCCCAGCCATATTAAGTAATTTAATTTCCACAATTGACCTTATTAGGTAAATACCATTCTTATCCCCATTTTACAGATGTGGAAACTGAGGCACATTGGAGTTAATTGCCCAGGATCAAACCTCTAGGGAGTGGTAGCACTTGGATTTTAATCTAGGTAGTCTGGCTCAAATTTATACTTTAACCATAACACTATCCTGCCTCAAATAAGGCTACATGGATGAGGTAGAGCATCTAGTACATGCATTCTCAATGAGGGCAATATTGCCCTCAAGGGAATGAAAACTGGTTCTTGGAAGGGGGCAAAAAAGCTTTATTCTTTTTATGTATAAAGCCCAGATAGTCATATAGTACACAAACAGATTTATGGTCTGTCTGTGGTATTAAGAATTAATGGGGGAGGAGTGATTAGGAAAAAAGGTAAAAAGCGTCCAGATAATGCCAATAATGTGAAAAAGTATGACAGGCACTGCTCTAGAGCAATGCTAGGCACACAGCAGGCATTTTATAAATTTTCCTTCCTCTTCTTTTGCCATTCAGTTTGAGAAGTGGAAAGTGGCTATATTGATGTGGCCAAAGTGTTCCCCAGCTTGAGGATGAGTTGTGGTCCGAGTTTAACACAAATGGCCCATAGGCAGAGAGCGGATCCAGCCACTGGACCTGCACTGAGCAGAAGGCAGGTAGGGAGTGAATGCACCATGGCTGCTCAGAGGCTGTTTTGAATGCACATTTAGCTTAGTTATTAAGTGAAAATCTTTGGGAAAATTATGCAAGATTTCAATGTTATAATCAGTCTGCTATTCAAGAAAAGATGAATATTCAATCTTAACAAATACATGGGATAAATAATTTCTGCAGTAAGTGTAATGTATCTCTTGGGTCGCAGCTCTGTAGAGTATAGAAAAAAAATACCCCAGACAAATTCCTATGTATGCTTGAAGAAGAAATTATTTTATTTGCAGATAATGTCTATGTATTTATATATAAAATCTCATCTTTAAAAGAAAACATTAATAGTGATACAGCACAATTAAATACCTCCCATTTCCTCCTCTGTTTGGGGGTAATATTGTTTTAATTATTTTACCTGTAAGTATTAGACCTACTTATTCTATTTTCGCCTTTCTGGCCACATTAATTCTCTGTTCTATATGCTCTGGATAAAATTTATGAATATAACTCCTTCTATAATTTAGAAACAATATAGGGCATATAGCAAGCCTCTTAAGGATGTTTTAAATGAAATAGGACCTGCAGGATGCTCTTTGTCAAAGCGAGCTTTGTAGGACCACCTACTTTACCTTTCTTTTGGTTCTATTAATGCACCCCTTGAGTCAACCACATCTCTTATCAGGTACCTGTGGAGTTTCATCATGGCTATTAGGGAGCTGAAAACAGTTATTTGCCAACAGATAGCTTTCTTAGCCAACTTTGCCAGAGGGAGCTGGAGTTCTTTTTCGATAGAAAATGAGGCTCAATTCAGTATCAAAAGGGGACAGACTCTCTCTAACCACTTATGCCCTGAAGGGCTGAGGGCCAGCAGAAGCTCAAGAGAGCCAGTTCTCCTTGGAAAGTGCCATCTAGGTGAATGTCCTCATGAAAGATGTAATCCTCTTCTCCCTCTTGTCTAGGTAAACAGCTGGCAAAGTTTTGAAATGGAAAAAAATTGTTTTCAATTTCCTTGATTCATCTCCCTTGCCTTTGCCAGGTAGCTCACCCTAATCTTGATCTCCCTGGTACAACAGCCTCAGACAACATTCCCTCTTCCTCTGCCCAGGGCTTATTGCTGCCTCCATGGGAGAGGGGAGAAAGGAGAGAATAGGATCTGCTGTCATGGAACCTATTCTATTCTAGATCACATGCTGTAGGGGACTTGGGTGGGAATTCTAAGACATAAGTCAAACAAAAAACAACTAAGCGTTAAGGAAGGTTGTTTGGCTCAGTGTGTCCATATTAGTTTTTTGTGGGACCAAAAGCTATGATGGTTCTCTGTGACCTGGTGTGAGGTGCTAAAATCCTCTGTCTAATGTTGATGCTGGCAGGGCTGGTTCTAGTGCAACATGAGACACTACTGGTTTTCTTCAACTTCCAACCTTTATTTATGTGGCAGCCATGGGATTTGCCTCTGGTCTCTCCACGAAATGCAATCAATGGAAGACCCCAGCTACTGTGCTCTGAAGTCTATCAACACATTTCTGCTGAAGCCGTGCCTCCCATGGGCTGCTCCTGGCCAGGGACTAAACCAGGCTGGAACACTAAGGCAGGCCTGCATCTCGGAGGCACAGAATTCCTCTTTCAAGTGATTTTGGCCTGGGGACTCCCCAGTGGCCTTGTTGAATGTGTAACTGCACTGCAGTCTTACGTGCTTCCTTCTTATCTTCCGTCTTTCCTTCACTCTCCTCTTTACTTGAGGTCAGGTCTTCATTGTACTTCTGACAGTTCTCCAAGTCTCTTCTGGCTCCCTCCCCATGTATCTTCTCTCACAGGCATTTTCCCTAAACAGTTTCTCACACTTCTTGTTTTGGCTCTGCTTTCCAGAGAGCATGCTTAGTGTTTTACCTCCCAACCAGTCATCTCCTGCCTTCTGGCTTCTGCCTTCTCCCCTTTCCACTCTCTTAAAACTTACCCTCAGGTGAAATGATCTAAGATCAGCTATTTTGGATTACTTCTTCCAGTTATATTTGCTTAATGAAATATCTGTGTTTGTGGAATAAAAGTCCTGGTCCCTGTAAAGAAACTTCAGATTCTCATGAGCCTTTGGGTGGCCCAGAGACTATGTCCTGCTGGTGACTTGCTAATCGGCTTGTATGTAGGGTTGGTCTTAGAGTTGGCATCTCTCACGGGGATGTCTGTGGTTTTGCAAGCATGCCACATATAAAATACTTATGGGAAAGCAAGACTTACTGTTCTTTGTAGCTGAGCCCCCACCCACTTTTGACCAGAATTTAGGGAGTTCTTTCATTTAGGGAGTCCAGGTGTTTGGACTCACCTGAAGTGGCACTAGCTATAGACCCTCCATACTCAAAGCTCCCTCTAACTGTGTGATCTGCCTTAACCCAGAAACTGTTTGACTCCTGGGAGTTGTTTGGCAAAGTGGTGTGATTGCTTCTGAAAGACAACAAAGTGGAAGACTCTAGGGCTTTGCAGGGCAGGAAGATGGGGGGAACAGGGACATGTGCCCCCTAGATCCCAGGTAGGCAGTTGTTCTTTACAAGGGCACTAATTGAGAAACAGCTTTCTACTGGCCATATAGTCATGCAATTATGATAAAAATAGTGACAGCTATTATTTCTTGACCATAGGCTGTAAGCCAGGTACCACTTAGTGCTTTACCCGTATTGCCTCATTTAAATCTCCTTATAACCTTGGGAAATGGGGACTAGTCTATCATACTATTTTATAGCTGGGAATCTGAAACTGAAAGAGATTGAGTAACTTGCTGAGGGTCACAAACCTGAGAAATGGCTAAGCCAGGATTCCAACCTAGGGTGTCTAATGGCTTCTACTTCTTGCCAAAAGTGTTAAGCACTGATGTGTTTCATTCTCTGAATGGCATTTGCTTGGAGCTATGGATTGGTGACCTGGAGAGAAGCTCTGGTTGGGTCCTGAGGGGCCAGTCTCTTGGGGAGGGAGGAAAGGCATGGCCTATAGAGTCTTTCAGAGAGTGAGTACAGAAGAAGAAACATTAGTTGGGATGCAGGCAGACATTTCTCAGGCCTCCTTAAAAGTGGAACAGCCATAAAGTGTAAATCAGATGAAAGAATCTGTTCCATTCACTGCCTAGAGTTAGCACCCGAGATGAAATTTTCTAAATAGCTGCTAGATCATCTGTGCCATCCACAGGCACTGTCATTCTGTTGGCATTCACATTCCCTCTCTATTTGTGAGTCTTGGGTGTTGATCTGTATTGTTAATGATGAGCCAGGGAGACATAACATTCGGAATAAGCAAGCATCAGTGATATTTATGTGTGTCCTGTTAGCTAAAAACTTAGTTTTGTGCTGCCAATAAAATTGGGTGACAGCTTTCTTCCAAGAATTTGTTTTCTTCTCCTGTTATCTGAAAATGTTGCTGTGTCTCAGCTGCACTTGGAAGGCAACAAATAGAACAAAACATAAATATGGCATGGTGTCAGATTCTGAAGACATCCATGATAACAGCATGACTTGTTTTTAAACAACAAACAAAGTCCTTTCCAGAGTGAAGAAAAGAGTGGGTGGGGAAACCTGTTTCTCGAAATGAGTTTAGTTGATAGTCGGAATGGAAGCTCTTGTTTCACAACTTTCCCCCAGGATTCACAAATGTCATTGAAGAAAATGCAAGACCTATTCAGGAAGGATGCCGTATATACATACATACATGGGGCACATGCTGTCTTACGCAGGGTAGGTGCCTAATTAATTTTAATTGATAATCGTGGCTGTATTAGTTGTCTATTACTGTGTGACAAATTACCTCAAAACTTTGTTGCTTAAAACAGTAACATTTATTATCTCACATGGTTTCTGTGGACCAGGAATCCAGGAGGAATTAGCTGAGTGATTCTGGCACAGGGTCTCTCCTGTGGTTACTGTTGGCCAGGGCCACAGTCCTCTGAAGGTGTGAATGGAGCTGGAGGACCTACTTACATGGTGGCTCACTCATATGTCTGGAAATTCGTGCAGGTTGTTGGGAGGAGACTTCAGTTCTTTGCTGCATAGACCCTATCCCTAGGGCTGTTGAGTGTCCTCAAAACATGGCAGCTAGTTTCCAAGAGTGGGTGATCCAAGAGAAAGAACAAGATGGGAAATAGTGTATTTTATGACTGACCCTTGGAGGTTATGCTCTGTCATTTCTGCCACAATTTATTTATTCAGAAGAGAGTCACTAAGTACAGACCACACTCAAGTGGAGGAGAATTAAGCTCTATCAAAAAGAGGAGTATCAGAAGACTTGTGGACATATCTGAAAACAACCATAATGATATTTGTGCCAAAGGGACACATTGAAAATAAATTTCTCACTAGAGCAACTTTCATCCGAGGATGAAGACATCTCTGACATCAATCCAGGAAGATTGTCACTGTCATAGAACAAGTCAATAAGAAGAATGATGAACAGAAGCTTATCTTTTTATGGAAACAAATGAGAAGTGAAACCAACTTTCTGATGTTAAATGTGAGAAGGATTCACCCTTCCAACCTTGGATGATGGTTGTCTTAGTTTATTCAGGCTGCTATAAAGAAATACCATAAACTAGTTGGCTTATAAACAAGTTTATAAACAAAATTGCCTCACAGTTTTGGAGGCTGGAAGTGCAAAATCAATGTGCCAGCAGATTCAGTGTCTGGTGAGGACCCACTTTCTGGTTCACAGATGGTGTCTTCTAGATGGGTCATTAGTTTGTGGAAGGAGCAAACTTGCTCTCTGGGGCCTGTTTTATAAAGGCACTAATCCCTACTATGAGGGCTCTTTCCTCCTAATGCCACCAACTTGGGGGTTAGTGTTTCAACATATGAATTTTTGAGGACATAAATATTCAGATCATAGCATTCCGCCCCTGGTCCCCCAGAATTCATGTCTTTCTTACAGGAAAAATACATTAATTTAATTCCAATAGTCCCAAAAGTCTTAATTCATTCCAGCATCAACTCAAAAATCTGAAGTTCAAAGTTTCATCTAAATATCATCTAAATCAGGTACTGATGAGAGTCAAGATATGATTTAATGGTGAATTTATTTTGAATTGAGCGAAAGAGACAAGTTTGAGGTACTGTATTTCGTTCATAAAGATGTTTGAGTATGAGGCTTTGGCCTCTTTATTTGCTCCCTTTTTGCATTGTAATTCGAATCATTCTTCCTCTTGACTTATTTCAAAGCTTCTTCTTTTAAGAAAATTTCTGTTTTTACTATAGAATACAAGACCTAGTCTTCTCCAGGACTGATGTTAAGATATAAATGTGACTGGAAATATAGGATGTGGGTACATTGTCAGAAGGTTGACTGAGAAAAAGACCCTACTTTTTTTTTTAGGGAAAATATTTTATTTTCAAGATATAGTAAAATTGCACTTAAAATTGAGAAAATCTGTAAATTCATAAAGCTCAAGGTTTTAAAAATTAAATGTCAGCAACAATACTCTCACTGATACGAGAATGCAAAATAGCTACAGATTTTTTTTTTTTTTTTTTTTTTTTGAGACGGAGTTTCGCTCTTGTTGCCCAGGCTGGAGTGCAGTGTCATGATCTCGGCTCACTGCAACCTCCATCTCCCGCATTCAAGCGATTCTTCTGTCTCAGCCTCCCGAGTAGCTGGGATTACAGGCATGCGCCACAACGCCCGGCTAATTTTTTTTTGTATTTTTAGTAGAGACGGGGTTTCACCATGTTGGTCAGGCTGGTCTCAAACTCCTGACCTCAGGTGATCCGCCCACCTCGGCCTCCCAAAGTGCTGGGATTACAGGCGTGAGCCACCGTGCCCGGCCATCTACAGATGTTTTAATACCTGGTACAATTTTTTTTTTTAAGGTTTAGGTTCGGGGGTCCATGTGTGTGTTTGTTATAGGGGCTTGGTGTACAGATTATTTCATCACCCAGTTAATAATCATAGTACCCAATAGGAAGTTTTTCTTCCTCTTTTTTTTTTTTTTTTTTTTTTTTTTTGAGAAAGAGTCTTGCTCTGTTGCCCAGACTGGAGTGTAGTGGTGTGATCTCAGCTCACTGCAACCTCCGCCTCCCTGGTTCAAGTGATTTTCCTGCCTCAGCCTCCTGTGTAGCTGGGATTACAGGTGGTGTGCCACCATGTCCAGCTTACTTTGTGTATTTTTAGTAGATACCGGGTTTCAATGTGTTGGCCAGGCTGGTTTCGAACTCCTGACCTCTAGTGATCTGCCTGCCTTGGCTTCCCAAAGTGCTCAGATTACAGGCATGAGCCACCACGCTCTGCCCCAATAAGTAGTTTTTTGATCCTCTCTCTCCTACTACTCTCCACCCTCAAGTAGGACCCAGTGTCTGTTGTTTCTTTTTTTATGTCTGTGTGTACTCAATGTTTAGTTCCCACTTGTAAGTGAGAAAATGTGGTGTTTGGTTTTCTGTTCCTTTGTCAGTTCCCTTAGGATAATGGCCTCCAGTTCCATCCATATTGCTGCAAAGAACATGATCTCATTCTTTTTTATTGCTGCATAATATTCCATGGTATATATGTGCCACATTTTCTTTATCCAGTCTACAGTTGATGGGCATTTAGGTTGATTCCATGCCTTTCCTATTGTGAATCGTGCTGCAGTGAACATACATGTGCCTGTGTCTTTATGGTAGAATGATTTATATTATTTTGGGTATATACTCAAAAATGGAATTACTGGGTCAAATGGTAGTTCTAAGTTCTTAGAGAAATCACCACATTGCTTTCCACAAAGGCTTAACTAATTTACATTCCCACCAGCAGTGTGTAAGTGTTCCCTGTTTTTTTGCAACTTTGCCAGCATCTGTTATTTTTTGACATTTTAATAATAGTCATTCTGACTGGTGTGAGATTGTAGTTTTGATTTGCATTTCTCTAATGATTAGTGATATTGAACTTTTTAAATATGCTTATTAGCTGTGTATATGTCTTCTTTTGAAGTGTGTCTGTTCATGTCCTTTGCCCACTTTTTAATGGGGTTGTTTCTTTTTTGCTTGTTAATTTGTTTAAGTTCCTTGTAGATTCTGGATGTTAGACCTTTGTTGGATGCATAGTTTGCAAGTATTTTCTCCTATTCTATAGGTTGTCTGTTTACTCTAATGTTAGTTTCTTTTGCTGTGCGGAAGTTCTTCAGTTTAATTAGGTTCCATTCATCAATTTTCATTCTTGTTGCAATTGCTTTTGTTGTCTTTGTCATGAAATTTTAGCCAGGGCCTGTGTTCATAATGGTATTTCCTAGGTTATTTTCTAGAGTTTTTATAGTTTTAAGTCTTACATTTAAGCCTTTAATCCACCTTGACATGATTTTTGTATGTGTAAGAAAGGGGTCCAGTTTTAGTCTTCTGCATGTTGCTAGCCAGTTATCCCAGCACCATTTATTGAATAGAGAATCCTATCTTCATTGCTTGTTTTTGTTAACTTTGTTGAAGATCAGATGGTTGTAGGTGTGTGACATTATTTCTGGGCTCTCTATTCTGTTCCATTCCTCTATGTGTCTGTTTTTGTACCAGTGCCATGCTATTTTGGTTATTGTAGACTTGTAGTGTAGTTTGAAGTCAGGTAATGTGATGCCTCCAGCTTTGTTTTTTTGCTTGGGATTGCCTTGGCTATTCGGGCTCTTTTTTGGTTCCATGTGAATTTAAAAATAGTTTTTTTTCTAATTCTGTGAAGAATGTCATTGGTAGTTTGCTAGCAATTGCCTTGAATCTGTAAATAGCTTTGGGCAATATGGTCACATTAACAATATTGATTCTTCTTATCTGTGAGCATGGAATGTTTTTCCATTTGTTTGTGTCATCTCTGATTTGTTTGAGCAGTATTTTGTTTTTTCATTATAGAGATTTTTCACCTCCCCAGTTAGCTGTATTCCTAGGAATTTTTTCTTTCTGTGGCTATTGTGAATGGGACTGTGTTCTTGATTTCATTCTCAGCTTGGATGTTGTTGATGTATAGAAATGCTACTGATTTTTGTACATTGATTTTCTATCCTGGAACTTTGCTAAAATTGTTTATCAGATCTAGGAGTTTTTGGGCAGACACTATGGGGTTTTCTAGGTATAGAATCATATTGTCTGCAAACAGAGATAGTTTGACTTCCCTTCTTCCTATTTAGATGCCTTTTATTTCTTTCTCTTGCCTGATTTCTCTGGCTAGGACTTCCAGCACTATGTTGAATAGGAATGGTGAGAGTGAGCATCCTTATCTTGTTCTAGTTCTCAAGGGGAATGCTTCTATCTTTTGCCCACTCAGTGTGATGTTGGCTGTGGGTTTGTCATAGATAGATCTTATTATTTTGAAGTGTGTTCTTTCAATGGCTAGTTTGTTAGGGTTTTTAACATGAAGGCATGCTGAATTTTATCAAAAGCCTTTTCTGCGTCTATTGAAATGATTACATGGTTTTTGTTTCTAGTTCTCTTTATATGGTAAATCACATTTATTGATTTGCATATGTTAAACCAACCTTGCATTCCAGGGATAAAGCCTACTTTATTGCGGTGGATTTGCTTTTTGATTTGCTGCTGAATTGTTTGCTAATATTTTGTTGAGGATTTTTGCATCTATGTTCATCAAGGATATTGGCCTGAAGTTTTCTTTTTTTGTTGTGTCTGTGTCTTTGCCAGGTTTTGGTATCAAGATGATGCTGGCCTCATAGAATGAGTTAGGGAGGAGCCCCTCCTTCTCAGTTTTTTGTGAGTAGTTTTAGTAGGAATGCTACCAGCTCTTCCTTATATATCTGGTAGAATTTGGCTGTCAATTCATCTGGTCCTGGGCTTTTTCTTGTTGGTAGGTATTTTATTATGAATTCAAATTTAGAATTTGTTATTTGTCTGTTCAAGGATTCAATTCCTTCCTGGCTCAATCTTGGTAAGTTGTATGTTTCCAGGAGTTTATCTGTTTCTTCTAGGTTTGCTTGTTTGTGTGCATAGAGGTGTTTGTTGTAGTCCCTGAGAGTTTTTTGAATTTATATGGGGTTGGTGGTAATGTCTGTTTTTTCATTTCTGATTGTGTTTATTTGGATTTTCTCTTTTTCTTTATTAATCTAGCTAGCAGTCTATCAGTTTTATTTATTCTTTCGAAGAAGAAACTCCTGGATTCATTGATTTTTGTATTTTTTTTTTCTTTTTTGCATCTCAATTTCCTTCAGTTCAGCTCTGATTTTGGTTATTTCTTGTATTCTGCTAGCTTTGGGGCTGGTTTGCTCTTGTTTCTCTACTTCCTCTTGTTGTGATCTTAGGTTGTTAATTTGAGATCTTTCTAACTTTTTGATATGGGTGTTTAGCACTATGAACTTTCCTCTGAACATTGCTTTATCTGTGTCCCAGCAATTCTGGTATGTTGTATCTTTGTTCTCATTAATTTCAAAGAATTTCTTGATTTCTGCCTTAATTTTATTGTTTACTCAGAAGTCATTCATAGCTGATTGTTTAACTTCCATGTAATTGTATGATTTTTAGTGATTTTCTTAGTATTGATTTCTATTTCTATATTATCACACTGTCATCTGACAGTATATTTGCTATGATTTTTTTTTTGTCAAATTTTCTGAGGATTGTTTTATAGCTGATTGGGTGGTCGATTTAGAATGTGCCATGTGCAGATGAGAAGAATGTATATTCTGTTTTGTTTGGGTGGAGAGGTCTGTAGATGTCTGTTAGGCCCATTTGGTCAAATGTTGAGTTTAGGTCCCAAATATCTTTGTTAGTTTTATGCTTTGTTGATCTGTCTAATACTGTCAATGGGGGTGTTGAAGTCTCCCACTATTATCTTGTGGTTAACTAAATATCTTCATAGGTCTCTAAGAACTTGTTTTATGAATCTGGGTGCTCCTGTGTTGGGTGCATATATGTTTAGGATAGTTAGGTCTCCTTGTTGAATTGAGCCCTTTACCATTATATAATGTCCTTCTTTGTCTTTTTTGATTTTTGTTGGTTTGAAGTCTGTTTTGTTTGGAATTAGATTAACAGCCCTTACATTTTTTTCTATTTTCCATTTGCTTGTTAGATTTTTCTACATCCCTTTAATTTGAACCTATTGGTGTCATTGCATGTGAGATGAGTCTCTTGTAGACAGCATACAATTGAGTCTTACATCTTTATCCAACTTTTCCCTCTGTGCCTTTTTTTTTTTTCCTTTGAGATAGAGTCTCGTTCTGTTGCCCAGGCTGGAGTGAAATGGCATGATCTTGGCTCACGGCAACCTTTGCCCCTGGGTTCAAAAGATTCTTCTGCCTCAGCCTCCCGAGTAGCTGGGATTACAGGTGCCCACCACCAGGCCTGGCTAATTTTTGTATTTTTAGTAGAGATGGAGTTTCACCATGTTGGCCAGGCTGGTCTCAAACTCCTGAACTCGCAATCTGTCCCCCTTGGCCTCCCAAAGTGCTGGTATTACAGACATAAGCCACTGCACCTGGCCCTCTCTGTGCATTTTAATTGGCACATTTAGCCTGTTTACATTCAAGGTTAATATTCATATGTGTAGGTTTGATCCTGTCATTGTGTTGCTATCTGGTTATTATGCAGACTTGATTGTGTGGTTGCTTTGTAGTGTTAATTGTCTATGTACTTACATGTGTTTTTGTGGTAGCCATTAACAGTCTTTTCTTTCCATATTTAGCACTCCCTTAAGGACCTCTTGTAAGGCAGGTCTGCTGGTAACAAATTTGCTTAACATTTGCTTGTCTGAAAGGGAACTTATTTCTGGTTTGATTATAAAGCTGTTTGGCTTGATATAAAATTCTTGGTTGGTGTTTCTTTTCTTTAGGAATGCTGAATATAGGCCTCCAATCTTTTCTGGGTGGTAGAGTTTCTGTGGAAAGGTTCACTGTTAGCCTGACCAGGTTCCCTTTGTAGGTGACATGCCCCTTCTCGCTAGCTGCCTTCAACATTTTTTCTTTCATTTTGACCTTATGGAATCTGATGACTATGTTTCTTAGTGATGATCATCTTGTATAGTATCTTGGAGGGGTTCTTTGCATTTTCTGATTTTGAATGTTGGCCTCTAGTGAGGTTGGGGAAATTTTCATGGAGGATATCAAATATGTTTCCCAAGTTGCTTGCTTGCTTTTTTTTTCTTTCAGGGACACCAGTGAGTCATAGATTTGGTCTCTTTACACAACCCCATAGTTCTTGAAGGTTTTGTTCATTCTTTATTGCTTTTATCTTTATTTTTGTCTGAGTTATTTCAGAGAACCAGTCTTCTAGCTCTGAGATTTTTCCTCCAGCTTGGTTGATGCTGCTGTTAATATTTGTGATTATATTCTGAAATTTATATTCTGAGATTTTTGAAGTGAACTTTTTAGCTCTTTCAGTTCAGTTTGGTTCTTTCTCAAAATGGCTATTTTGTCTTTTATCTCCTGTATTGTTTCATTTTATTCTTTAGATTCATTGGCTTGGGTTTCAACTTCTCCTGAATCTCGATGATCTTTATTCCTATCCATATTCTGAATTTTATTTCTGTCATTTCAGCCATTTCGGCCTGGTTAAGATCCACTGTTGGGGAACTAGTGTACTCATTTGGAGATAATAAGACACTAGCTTTTTCAGTTGCCAGAGATCTTATGCTGGTTCTTTCTCACCTGTGTTAGCTAATATTCCTTCAATCTTTGAAGTTGCTCACCTTTGGTTGGGTTTATTTTGCTTTTATCTTGTTTGATGTTCTTGGAAGTTTGATTATAATATAAGGTGGGTTCAGTCAACTGGCTTGCATTTGAATCCACTCCTGGGTCTTTGAGGAGCCTCCTCTGGTTACTCTGTCTGTGTCTGTGTTTCTTTTGTTGGGTGTTCTGGTTGATGAGTCTCCCTTAGGCAGTGGCTGCAGTTGGCAGACAGGCCATATCTCTGCTGGGTTGGCCCTAATCCGCTGTTAATGTGCTTTTCAGGGAAACACAGGGTTGCATCTGCCCCCAGAGTTCAGGCACATGTTGTCTCAGGAAGGGACAAGGTGTTCTACTGCTGGGAGGGAAGCTCTAGCAGGTATGGCTCATCTGGCTGTGAGAAGCAGGGGTGGGTGGAGTTGCCCACTTGACTGTACAGGTGTTTCTTGGGACAACAGGAGGCTGCACTTGCTGGCTAAGTTCAGACAGAAGTGAGACCCCTGGGCTGGAAGCTCTAACAGGCATTGTCTGCCTGGTCACCAGTGGTGGGGTTGAGTGGGTCATCTACTTTGTTCTGTGGGTGCTTCCTGGGGCAATAGGAGGCTGCAGCTGCTGGCTGAGTTCACATAGAAGTGGGACTGCTCGGTCAGAAGCTCTAGCAGGCATTGCAAGCCTGGCTACCAATGGCAGGGATGGGTGTCACCTATTTTGCCTCCCAGGACAACAGGAGGCTGTGCCCTCTGGCTGAGTTCACACAGAAGTGGGACTGCTGTGCTGGAAGTTCTAGCAAGTGATGCCCACCTGGCTACCAGTGGTGGGGGTGGGTAGGGTCACCCACCCTGCTGTCCAGGTACTTCCTGGGACAACAGGAGTCTGTGCCTACTGGTTGAGTTCATACAGAATTGGAACTGCGAGGCTGGAAGCTGATGCCAAGCCCCGTCTGGTGAGGGGAGGTGGAGCAATCTTACCGCTTTGAGACACCATAACTGCAGCCTCTACTGGGGCTATGGCACCAGTGCTGGTCGCTCTGGGGCCCAAGGCTGGTAGAAGTCCCCTTGGACTCCGGAGTTGCCCCCCAAAAATGTCCAGGTGGCCTTTTGCCTCAGTCTAGAAGCATGGTGGGGGATGGGTGGGGGGGGGACGACCAGGGAGATTCTCTCATTCCTAGCCTTACAGTGGTTTCTGTGGAGAGGGTGACTCCCCCAGGGGGCTTTCCCTCACTCACCTTTTCCCATGTTGGAGAGGTTCTCCTGGCTCTGCACTGGGCCCAGACAGGCTGGTGCCCAGCTTTGCTCCTCACTCCTCTCTGTATCCCCTCTGCTGCCTTGATGGATCCCGATGAGGTTTCTCAGATGACCGGCCTGCAGGGTCGGTTGTTTCCTCTCTGTGAGAGCAGTGCACATGAGCTACTTCTAGTCTGCCATGTTGGCCCAACCCAGTAAAACCTATTTTGCTTCCTCTGTGAAGTGGCTCTTCTTTCAATTTGAAAAGTTTATTTATTTTTTCCAAAATGCCAAATCTGATTTTGATCAAAGACTAACTCTGAACTTTGGGAACCTGAGGGCTTTATGTAAGCTATTTAGGACTCTTATTTTCTCAGCTCTAAAGAGAGATCTGAGAGCACTTAGGACTCTCTAATATCTTTTGCAAAAATAATTAGCACATTTCAAAACCAAGCAGAAGATTGCAATTATTATAGAGAGTTTTTTATAGTAGTGAATCAGTCATGGCAATGGGAGAATTTTTAGATGGTAGGAAGAAATGAAATGAATCAGTGTGGAAAGACATCATGTAAATGTACAGGGCTATTACCATTCTGAACGCTTCATATCTGGCAAAGATTTTTTAATAAAATAGCTCTAATTGACACAATTTGAATTAAGAGATGCATTTCTCCAAAGGAAAGGGAGAGAAGCTGACTCTGCATCTAACCTGGATCTCACTGGGGCCTATTTTCATTCCAAGGAAAATCATGCTTGGCTGTGTCAGGGTAGTGCAAATCTTCTGGCTGTTTGACACATTTCTATTTGAGCTACAGGGCTGGGGATTGTAACAGCCCTTCAGTTAATGCAGGCTGGTGATTACATGTTTTCATACTGGTGTTTCCACTGATTTCTGGAGTGTTTATGCCCGTGCCCTGTTCCTGGACTATCATTGACTTCCCCTGGGTAGAGGATTCCCCTTTTGAAATTGGTGTGGAGTGTCATGTTGTCCCCATTAGCTGAAAAGTCAGTCCACAGTGATGCTGTATGTGCATAATCATAATGAAAAGTCAGAATTTTAACATCTCAGGGAAAGCATCCAGGAAGAGAAAGCACAAACTTCATCATGGGATCATGCCAATAGGAGTCTACTTATGGGATTGTCTTTCCTACATATCACCAGGGCATCTGAGTAATTATTCCACATATCACACACACCCTTAGATTTTTTTTTTACCCTCAGACATGTTCCCCAACACTTCTGGGATAAGATCCATAGAATAGAATGAATAATTCTTGTGTGGGCACTGCTGACCTAAATTCAAAGTTGGCATTAGATTTTAAGTAGATGCCCCCACTGCATAGTTAGACTAATCAAGAAAGATTTAGGGGGCTTAACCAGAACTTGAAAGAACAGCTGTTCAATGATAAAAGAAAATTTAGGAGGTTTTTTAGAAAATAAATCTGTGGTTTACTTTTTTCTTTCTTTCTTTTCTTTTTTTTTTAAAGCAAAGCACCTGTGAACTGGAATGGAGAGAGAATTTTAGAGTTTTTATGTTTATGATAATGCCTGCCACTCTGATCTGAAGCCTGAGCCGAAGTCTTTTTCTTTCTGCCATCTTCTGCCTCCCTCTCACTTTTAATCTCTGCTCAGTGCTTGTTGATTTGCATATGTGAATAGTAACACCTACTGATGGGCAGGGCTCAGGAGACGCAATTTGGTTGCCAGCTTTTCTTACCGCAGAGCCCTGTCAGCATCTTGCATTGATTTGGAGTGTAATCAGCGTTCCTCGTTACCACTGTGTGCACCCCTCCCTGGTGCTGATTTTCCTCCTCCGGTGCCCTTCTCTGGCATTGGCATTGCAGTGGATTTCTGGGAAAAGCTCGATTTCACCGTGTGTGGATACCAGAGGGATCAGTCAGGGGCTATTAATATGTACTAGAGGGAAATAGTTCACACTGTCTTTTTTAATCGAATAAATTTCTTGCCTATTTTGTAATTTATCATATCCTTTGTTTGAAATATTACAGATCTCTGGCTAGGAATTACAGACCTCTATAACAGTACCCTTTGAACACCAGCTTGGTATTAGGAGAGTGATGATATGAGCTTCTAATCAAAATTCACTGCATGGGGTTTTGTCTTTTCAATAGGGTATATTTAAAAAACCTGGGAGAGGGGAAAAGCAATAAATATCTCCATGATGGGCAAGTCCATATAATAGTGAAGGAGTCCACTGGAGGAATATTTTTTTTCTTGGAGAAAGCAGTCCATTTTTTTCCAAAGCAAAGCCCCCTGTAGCCTCTAATGCCTGAAAAACTGACGTTCTCTATTAGACTTCTGTGGGGGAAATGCATGTAAACAGTTCTCAGTGACCATGAGGCTAATGGCAGCATCTCTCTGAGAAGGCAGAAGCCTCTGAAAATCTGCATCCCAGGTGTTTCTTCCTCTGACACTTCCCTTCCAATCCATCTGCTGCCAGACAGACTAGCATAATAGCATGACTTGTCAGGAGTTTCTGTGCTGTCTCAGGGCAAGCTTCCTGTGAACTTTAAAATACTTTTCCACCTTTGGACACAGGGGGATATGGTTGGGTCATGAGAGCTCCCTGTGAGATCTGGAGAAATGGCATGAATATCACTTCTTCCCATTATCACAGCTTTTCATCTTTTACTCACTGCTTATTTTGCTTCTCACATAATGTTTTCAAAATAGCTATGGGAGCATTGTCTGAAGTTGCAACAGCCACAGGATTATTCACAGAAAATACCTATTTTTCCCTCAGATGTTCAAGGCTTTGTTTGTGTATTTTAAAATTATCCAGAGTTGTTTCAGATGAATGGCTGTGTCTATTAGCCCCCAAGACCCTGCACCTTTGGCTAGTTCTGTGTGTATGAGAACCTCTTTAAAGATATAAATGTGCCCTGTGAATGCTTTCAACTGTGAAACCTTTTGTGCAGGCTTCAGGCTCCTTTGTTGTAGGAACACCACAAGCTTAATATTCCTATAAAACAGGCCTTGGACTTAAAAAAGGCTAGTTTGTCAATCTATTGATTGCCCCAGGCTAAGCAAACTAATTCCTCAGCGGTACTACTGCATGTATTGAACAGGCTGATCCTTCTAGGTCAAATAACTCACATCACTAAAATAATATTAAGGTTTGTTGTGGCACAAGCCAAATAGCTGAGAAAATCCATCATTATCACCCGATGCCTCTGCCCTTTAATTTATATCATTATAGAAAGATGGAGGAAGGAGTAAGGAAAAGTACAGGGAAATGTATTCAAAGTGATCTACAGTGTTCTTAATAAAATGCCCTTCCTTTATGGGCACCTGAATGGGCATATAAATATAACTAGCAATGGGAATTTTAATCAAAGCTCTACAGCTTTTTCTTTTTCAAGACTTTGACTTCCTGACGAAGTTAACTTCCAGGCCGAGAGAGTTTCTGGCTTCCCTCCTCATCTTTAGAAGACTCTTGCTCTGTTGTTGTGTTGGCTCTTTGCCAGTTTAACTCGGTCTCCTTCTGTATACCTCTAAACGTGGTATTTCGTATAAAATGCCTACTGTGAACATTTCTTAAAATGTTTGAAAACCACTGAAAATGAAAGCAATAGGTTGAAAATTGTCTTACTTATGGGTAGAAGTGTGGTATTCACCGCACGTGATATCATCACATGATAGGCTCATGTGATGCTGTTGGGGCTTCTGGGAGCTGAGAGGTGCATGCTGAAGACGTTCTTCCCAGCTTCGTTGGCTGTGCTGGACCATCTTCTTTTCTATTTAGAATACACAATTCAGGGCTCAACCAGACAGTGTCTCTGCAACATTTACAACTTTGGTCAATAAGAAGAGCTAGGAGAAGTACATCTGAAACATGGGGCAAATCATCAAAGGATTAGGGTGATGTTTCTTCTTTAAAGCTCTGACTCATCATGAGTAAATGGAGAAGGAAACAAACAAGAAACCTCCAAGGAAAAGAAATGTCTAGGGAAATTTGGAGATTTGAGTAATAACCGAGCCCAGTACTAAGCACTTTGTAAAGGTCATTAAGAAATGATCAAATAAAAAAAGATATATGTAGAAAGAAATGAGGATAAGAGGAGAAAAGAGACATGGCCATGAGAGATAGAGGCAAGTAGTTGGAGGTTACTTTTCTTGATGAGTTGTTTTCTCATCTTTTCTTCCTAATAGACCAGAGATCTCAGTTTGAGAATTCGAGCTGTGTTCATCCCTGAATTTATTTGTTCTGTCTGGGCAGGCACTGGCCAAGATAGTGACTCATTGGCTGTAAGTCTCAGTTTCTTGTATGTAAAGTGGATAGCAATTTTACCTGCCTTGTGAGGTGGTGGTGAGGATTAGAGATAATATACTTAAAGCACCTGCCACATATGGTAGTTATCACTATGATTTCTCTTGTTTAGTGCACCTCTCATAAGGAGACACAAATTGTCACTTTGAAGTGTTCATCCATCCACTCATAATTTATTAAGTATGTTCTATGAATTGAGCACCAGGCCAGCTTCTGGGGATGTAGGGAAGCACTGAGCTGGAAAGTAGGTAAGGCTGAAGAAGAGCTATTTCATGGAAGATGTGGTATCAGAATACTTGAATTGGATTGGGTTGTGACTGTGATTTGGAATAAAAAATTATGACTATAAAATTGGACCTCAGCGTTCAAGTGAATATTACACTTGAGCAAGATTCAGCGACATTAAACCTTCTGTCATAAAGACACAGTAATGGCTTTTTGTGGGCAGAGTACTAGAAAAGCTTCTATTGTTAAGTATTTATATAACCCTTTATATTTGCAATGTATGTGCTTTATCATTTCCCAGAAGTTAATATCTAGAAATATTTCCTAGTGGAAAAGGAATGTTCCTAATATGACTGGGCTGTGCCTAGCACTTTGGGCAAATATTAAGGGACACTTAATGAGGCTATATTAAAGAAGGAGGGCAAATCCAGCTTTGAAGTAAGGCAAGGAAAGCTGACAGTCTCTCCTTGCTTCTTTGAGTTGTTTTTCTCCAGCCCTCTCTCTGGGGTGTCTTGGAGAGTAACACAGTTCCCTGCAGACGCAACCCTTCCTCTTGGTGCACCAGACTAAGAGCTTGTTCCTGGGGTGTTCCTGGCCAGGATATATTCCTCCTCTTCCCTATGTGTTGACTTTTGTAGAGCTTTCTTCATTGTTTGAGACAAGGTATGGGGCCATGGAGTGACCAACAGGGCTCATAATGTTACATGAGCAGGGACAAGAGATTGGCATTCATGGTACTATGTAAACATGCAGAGGTTAAGAATATGGAGACTGCTAATTTTTTTCTATGTGAAACTTCTGTTCAATGAATGCCACTACTATATCTTCAACTAAAATGAGAGTTGATTACATTTCATTATTCCTCTGAGTCATGGAATATGGTTTTGCTGTCTAGGTGTTACTTTTCTCCACTTCTGTATTATATGTGTGTAATTATTATTACTGCAGTATCTCTACTTTCCAACCTGAGGTGGAAACTCAAGCATGCCCAGTTTAACCTTCTCAATCAAGTAAAAGCATAGTAGCACCTCTAGATTTCTAATAGGTGAGATGGAAGAAGAAAGAATGTCATATGAAAAAAAGGACATGCAGAGCTTTGTGAGACATGACTGATAATAAAGAGAAAAAAATACCATAGTTACTATTTACCAAATAGTTATAACATTGCAGGCATGCAGCTACATATTTTAATTATATTTTCCATGTTTCAACCTCAAAACAATACCATGGGGAGAGTATTACTATTTTTATTTTATAGATTATGGTAAAGAAACTGGGGCATGGAGAGAATAAATAACTTACTCAAGGTCACATGGCTGGGAAATGTTAGAAACAAAATTTGTTTATTTATTTATTTATTTATTTTTATTTATTTATTTTTTTGAGACAGTGTCTTGCTCTGTTGCCCAGGCTGAAGTGCAGTGGCACTATCTCAGCTCACTGCAACCTTTGCCTCCTGGGTTCCAGCGATTCTTCTGCCTCAGCCTCCCAAGTAGCTGGGATTACAGGTATGTACCACCAAGCTCGGCTAATTTTTTTATTTTTAGTAGAGGTGGGGTTTCACCATGTTGGCCAGGCTGTTCTCCAACTCCTCCTGACCTCAGGTGATCCACCTGTCTTGGCCTCCCAAAGTGCTGCGGTTATAGGCATGAGCCACCATGCCTGGCCGGAAACAGAATTTGAACCTACCAGTGACTCCCAGATATGTGCTTTCGACCACTTTGTGACATGGCTTCTTGTAATGTAATGAAATTTCAAAACAAATGTACCAGAGTATATACATCCAAATAGTGGTTGTGTCCTTCTAAATCATCATCTTGGAAGGCCCCACACTTACTTTAGTGAAGCAGCTATTGCTCAAAACATTTTTAAAATTTAGTTTATTTGTATTTATATTTTTTTATTTTTATTTTCCAAAACATTTTTGACACTTCTTTTTGGGAATCTGTTTGAATGTTGATAAATCTTTAACCTTTGAGGGCAGATTTGATCTTTGGAAATATCTAAAAGTCACTTGGAGTTAAGCCTGATGAATAAAGGAGATCATCATGTTAAATAGTTCTAATTTTCCATTGAAATAAAGTGTGATTATAAAGGAATGCATGAATTAAATTTTCCTGTGTGATTTATACAGTGGTGTGAAGGCAGTCCCAGAAATATTTCAGGCAATGGAAGCATAACTGAACATGTGCATCCTTTTGATTTGAGTACTTTGAAGGCTATTATCAGAAAGTCCACAGAGTCTTATTTCTTGATACTCACACCTTGCATATACACATTTACACATGTACAGACTGAGCTGATGAGCATGTTAAATCATCTTTAAACACTTTTATGGTTTAAAAATTATCTTTTTAAGAGCAATGTGTTTTTTCAACAGAGATTTATGCAGATTCTCTGCAAAACGTCCTATTTATCAAGATGTCCTGAATTGCTATGTATTGAATTCCCTTTTGACTCCTTTGTTCACATTACTTATAACTTTTTCATTAAGTAAATATAGAAAAATGATCTTATACATGCTTCCTGATCTCTTTCCATTTCGTATTTATGAAATAGAGAAAAAGTTAGAAAGGAAGTGTCGAATGAGCAAACATTAATAGACTCACATATCAACCTAGGTAAAAAATATAATTTTATGAAAATTGAAGTTACATGCTTTGATGCACAGTACATTGAAGATAATGAAGCTTAAAGCAAAGTTTGAGTTCAAAAATATATGAAATAAGAACACGATAATCCACAGTAGTACAAAAGTCAGAGGTGTAATATATTGAAGCCCAGAAGAGTTTGAGTTTTTTCCTTCAGGTAAAAACTTCATGCCATAACATCTTCAGAAGGTACTATGGTTGTTGTGCAGTGATGTACTAGAGTCTGCTCATACAAACTCATGTGAGCCTATTGTTAAAATTTCAGGAATTTTGTGAGCTAGTTGATGTCATGTAGACAGTTTTGAAATCAGCCATGGTAGGAGCATTTATAGTATGAAAATTGGCAAATGTAACAAAGAGTGAATTTCTCCCCCCACCCTGAGAGCTGGTTCTTAAGCATTGCTAGAACATTATTAGTTGTACATCTGCTTAAGTTTTACTTACCATTCACCCTCTGTTTGGTGCAATTTTAATTAATTATAATGATATTAGAATATTCATGAATTTCAGATTATGCCTCATCTTTCTACCAAAGACCTGTGGAAACACATCGTGGAAACTAAGGGTTTTCTTAGGTCAATAGAAAAGCAAACTGATTACTTTCAGGACTTCCCAGGTGGCATGCTGTGTTCTGTGACACTGTAAGTACAATTATGTGCAAGGCACTGAGATTCCCTGGAATTCTTATGTTCCAGCAGAGAAGAAATACACTGCTATCTTCAATCCAAGGAAATTGCAAGGATTCACAAGGATAAAAGATAAAAAACTGGCTATAGGGTAATGATGTTGATTTGCATAAATCAGATACCAACAAGTCTCATAATTTGATTTTTTACATCTTACAGGTAGTGTGACTATGATGCAATTAGAATTATTTATTATGTAGACCAGTTCTTCTGTCTGACTGAGTATCATCTCCTTTAAGAGGATCGATTTGGGGCCGGGCGCTGTGGCTCACGCCTGTAATCCTAGCACTTTGGGAGGCCAAGGCGGGCGGATCACGAGGTCAGGAGATCGAGACCATCCTGGCCAACATGGTGAAACCCCAGCTCTACTAAAAATACAAAAATTAGCTGGACGTGGTGGTGTATGCCTGTAATCCTAGCTACTTGGGAGACTGAGGCAGGAGAATCACTTGAACCGGGGAGTCAGAGGTTGCAGTGAGCTGGGATCGCGCCACTGCATTCCAGCCTGGCGACAGAGAGAGACTCTGTCTCAAAAAAAAAAAAAAGTATCCATTTGGGAGGCAGCACACTTACTTGAGTGATACTACTGTTGCTCAAAATATGTTTGGACCTTTTGGAGCTTATCTCACACTCATTTTACAAATCAAACTAACAAAAAACTCATCTAATTACTTTCAGTCACAGCTCATCCTGTACTGAGAATGTTGTTACCTAAGAAAATCATGCTTTTATTCATCAGACTTGGTTTTGAGTAACTTGGGGCAGTTTTCAGAAGTTAAACCTATTCTCAAAAGGTAAAAATTTGCATAAGAGTGTAATTTTGCCAGGCACAATGACTCATGCCTGTAGTCTCAGCACTGTGGGAGGCAGAGGCCGGTGGATTGTTTGAGCCCAGGAGTTCGAGACCAGCCTGGGCAACATGGCGAAACCCCATCTCTACAAAAAGGTACAAAAATTAGCTGAGTGTGGTGGCACATGTCTATAGTCTCAGCTACTTGGGAGTCTGAGGCAGACGGATCCATTGAGCTGGGGAGGTCGAGGTTGCAGTGAGCCATGACAGCAACCACTGCATCACAGCCTGGGCAAGGGAGGAAGACCCTGTTTCAATTAAAAAAAAGAAAAAAAGGAAAAAGAAAAGAGGGTACTTTACACTATTTCTTTTTAGGGTAATTTAGAAATATTTATTAATAATAAATGAATGTACCCTTTTACCAAGTGGATATACTTCTTGGAATTTATCCCACAGCTACATTCATAAAAGTACAGAAGAAATCTTGCACAGAATATTTACTACAACAGGAAAAGATTAGAGAAAACATAAATATCCAACAATAGGAGACAGGTTAGGTAATTACGGAGCATCAGTTAATTAGAACACTATTCTGTCATTAGTAAGAATGAGCCAGAGGTATATATTAAGTGAAATAACTAGGTACATAAGAATGTATTACTGCTTTTGCTAAAAAAGGATATAAATACATAATTTACACACACACATACACACACACACACACACACACACCCCTATACTATCTCTAGAAGGATTTAAAGGAATTAAGAAGCACATGAATTCTAGGGATGGAAACTAGGAAACCAAGGAAAAAATTTGAGAAGGAGATTTTTCATCTTGTAATATTTAGATTTTAAACACATACTTTCCTAAAACAAAAGATTATGTGCCAGGCACAAGGCAATTCTCAAACAATTTTAAAAAGTTTTAAACAGTGGCACTACCAGTGTAATAAGTGTGTTATGAGCCAAGATTTGCTACTTGGAGGGGTCCTAAGATGTATAAGTTGCTTAGATGTAAAATTGTTTAAGAACTGACTCATTACTTTAATCTCATAGGCAGGTTCTACATTGGGAGGAAGGGCTAAAGAAATAAAACAACGACTAATACTTGGACCTTGAGGATTCCACAGGGAAGGGACTACACATGTATATTCATACATAGAGCCTAGAATAGTATCTCTCTGTCAACGTTCTCAGTTGCAAGCAACATAAACCAACTCTGGCTAATTTAAGGAAGAAAGGAGCTTACAAAAGGGCATCAAAGAATTCAGGGAGGGATGAAGGACCAGGCTCTGTGCTATGTAGTCAGGATAATATGCCAATTATCATAGTGTGAAACATCACTACTGATATTGCTGAATTTAAGACGTCAGAGTTGGAAACACTGACACAGTCACATGAGACTCTGGATGAAGCTGCAGATACATGTCACTTTGTTTCCATTTTATTGGTTAGCAATTAGTCATATGACCAGCAGGGAATTGTGCTTATTCTGGGTGGCCATGTACCTAGCTGAAGCTCTCATACTCTGTTACAATAATAGTGGAGGGCACGATGAATATTGCAGGACTATTAGCGGTCTGTCTCAAGACGATGACTCCATGCTGAACTCAAATATGAGCTGGCAAAAAGGGAGGTAGAAAGTGCTGTCTTCGTTTGGGTCTTGATAGGAAATAATTAGACTTGAGTCAGTGTGGATCCATGTTACCAAGATTTTTATTTCCTGCTGAAACATAAAAAGCCATTGGAAAATCAGAATATCATTATATTTTTGTTTTTGGTTCTTTTCTTGAGATTTTTCCTAAATTACCAAGCATAGATCCAGGCATAGGTATCTGTGAGTCTGCTGGCAGTTGGACTGAGGGAAGTGCTATGATAGTTCTGTCTTTCTGGAAAGAGTATTTTTACATTTGAGAGTTGGTCAGGTTAGAATTTTACCTGATTCGGGCAAGTGAGTTTTCCTTTTTCAAGAGCAGTGGAACCCATGAGAGTTCCCCAAACTGCAAGACTAGGCGTGGAGTGGAAATGCTCCAATTCCCAACCCCCTTCCCCTGGGAAGGTTGCCTTTTTTCACTAACAGGGAACTGCTATCTCCTGGAATATGGTACATAGCCAGGTGACATGGGAACTCAAAGTTGCTGTGTGAATGTGTTTTCTCTGCTGAGTATTTGCATTTCCCCTTTTTCTTTTTCCTTGAAGAAAATGACTGCTGGAGATAATCTCCAGGTTTTTAAATAATTTAATAATATTTTTATCATTTGAGTGTGAGAATTATTTGACATGTGAAAGCCTGTGTAAGTTGAGAAATGGGGAGGGGTGAATTCAAGAGGACACTGGAATCCCAGTGGAGACTCTAGTCTTTCTGATGCTAAGCAGTTTAGTTGTAGGAGCAGTTTGTGCTTTGAGGATAGAGATGAATGAAATTGGAAGGTGCCTTTAAATTAGGTAGTCTACCTCCAGAAGGAATTAAAAATAATGGTGGTCATTTCTCTCCAATTCAATGACACTCCTATTTTGATTGGTTGCAAAAAGCTATTAAACATTTATGCAAATCTAAAGGGGTCTCAAAAATTTCCATAAGAAAAAATTAAGCCAATGCTTTCAATACTTTAATGTGCTAGCCTGTTAAGAAAAGCTTTCTAAGTATTTATAATGAGAGCTGTACTCTAAATCATATTCTTTACCTTGCAAAAATACATTAAATAGGTTAAACAAAATGGTCTGCTGATAATTTCGACTGGAGTTTGAGGTTTGATAAGTGTTCATGTCCTATTTTAAATGTTCATATCCCAAAAGGTATCTGACATGCTTGTTTTATTTCATTTTTCCCAAAGTACTCAGAAAAATACTGGTTTTCAATAGTTACTGTTCAGGAACAGCTCCAGCCACTGCGTTTTGCTTCTTTTGCTAGTTTGTCTTAATTTCCTTTATCCCCTTTGTTTATTGGGAATGCTGCCCTTTGTGTCTTTTCTCTGAAAAGACCCATTTCTTGCCATTCTACTGCTTATGGAGTTTGCTTCTGTATTCTGTCATCCAGTCTCTCCTTTCAGGAGTGTCACTATGATGAAAATTGTATTACCTTCTTTAGGTAAATGGATTTTTTCTTTGTTTTAGGGGAAGGCATTGCAATTACTCTTTCTTAATAATTTTTTTTTTAATTTAAAAACTAGGCTCAGCAGTGTGTCGCCAGGATAATACCCCAATTACTGTAAAGTGAAACATCACTACTGATACCTTTAATTTAAGCACTATGTAGCCAGGATAATACCTCAATCATAGTAATACCCCAGTTACTATAATTGAGGTATTATCCTGGCTACATAGTGCTTAAGTTAAAAAAATTTAAATTTAAAAAGTTTTTATTGACAAATAATTGTACATATTTATAGGGTACATAGTGATATTTTGATACATATAATGTATGGTGATCAGATCACGGTAATTAGCATATCCATCATCTCAAACATTTGTGTTACCAACACATTCTTTGTGTTGGTAACATTCAACATCCTCCTTCTAGCTGTTTGAAACTATATAGTATATTATTTTTAACTATGGTCAATTACTCTTTCAAACTTCTTGTCCCTGTCTGTCTTTGTGTAGTACAGAATTGTGATTAAAACAACAGAATACATATTGTAATTGAACTTCTCTGTTGTCAAGAATGACCTTGTACAGTACCTACAATTAACTACAGCAAGGATACAAATGGGGCTGTAAATGACCAGGCTGAAGGTTAATTTAAATACATGAGCTGTTAAAAATGGAAGCGTTTGTCTTTTAGCCAAGCTAAGGAATTTTATGATTCATAAGTGGTTATAAAAAATAAAGATCTGCAATAGGTGGATACCAACTGTAGAACCAACCCTTCACCTTATGTCACCTGAAGCTTGATTTTACTCGGGACAAGCTTGTCACCTGTCTGTATGCACATATTCCTTCTCCCGACTTTTTTATTTATGTAGAAAACGCCAGCAATATCCAACTTACCCAGGTTTCAGATCTGAGTCATTTTGGACCCTCTATTATTTGTCCCATAGTTCTGGTCAGATAGTCCATTCTTCTGTTCAAAATCTGTCTAGGCAGAGGACCTATGCCTTCCTTGCATTTCTCACCTCCACAACCTGGGTTCAAGGCCTTTTTGATTATTGCAGTAGCCATCTCCTTGCTTCAGTCCCTATAGCTTCAATCCATCCTGTGTTCAATATTATCAGTGGGCTCAGTCCTTCCAATATATTGTTTTCCTTAAATTCTATGATCCCAAGCTTCAAAACAAAAACAAAAACAAAAAACGACCCATAGAAAAAGCTCCACATTTCTTGATTTAGCTTTTGAGGGTTTCTTTAATCTGACCCAAATTTATCTCCTCCTCCTCTGTATGGATCCAATTTTCAGGAAAGTGATTTCTTTCCTTTCCTCTTCTTTCACTTCTGCTCACATTGTCCACCGCTCCCTTTGCCCCCATGCCCTGTTATTCAAATCCTACCTGGAAGCACAACTCAAGTTTCACCCTGTGATGAAGTCTTCCTTGTCCATTTTAGGCCACATTGACCAGGCTTTTCTCTGAGCACGGAGGCTCCTTAGAATGTGGAAACTGCCAGAGACCTTAGGTTACTGAGTCCTTTGGATCTTCCTGAAGATCTTGTAGTTCATATGCCTCTTACGGTCTCTCCCACTAAACTTGGAGCCAGTGTCACTATTCCTGTACTTGGCACACTGTGTTTGGCAGTGATGAAATAAAAAGAAATTGAGGTCCAGATCATTGTTGGCAGACCTAAACCAGGGCTTTGGGGTTTTCCTAGTCTGTGTTCTTTTCCGTGTAACTATTGTTTACAGCACTGGATACTTTTTTTTTTTTTTTTTTTTTGAGGTGGAGTTTCACCCTGTCGCTGTGGCTGGAGTGCAATGGCACGATCTGGGCTCACTGCAACCTCCGCTTCCTGGGTTCAGACAATTCTCCTGCCTCAGCCTCCTGAGCAGCTGGGACTACAGGCGTGCGCCACCATGCCCAGCTAATTTTTGTATTTTTAGTAGAGACAGGGTTTCACCATGTTGGCCAGGCTGGTCTCGAACTCCTGACCTCATGATCTGCCCGCCTCAGCCTCCGAAAGTGCTGGGATTACAGGTGTGAGCCACCGTGACCCGTCAGATACCTTTCTTTCTTGTGTGGTTATTTAATAATTCTTAAGTGTAATTCTTCAGCGACCTTATAAGTTCTTCAAGGATCAGGATTGCCTTTTCCTTTTCCTTTGTATCTCTCTAAACCCCAAGCCATAAGAGATCAACTGTTTTGAGCTAAATTGATGACAGTTTTTTGAAGGCTTTTGTACAGTCATGCATCACAATGACTGGGGTATGTTCTGAGAAATGTGTTGTCATTGTGCAAACATAGAGTGTACTTACATAAATTTAGATGGTATAGCCTATTAGATACATTGGTACAGTCTATTGCTCCCAGGCTACAAACCTGTTCAGCATGGCACTGGGCTGAATACTGCAGGCAATTGTAACACCATGGTAAGTATTTGTGTATCTAAATATATCTCAACGTAGAAAACGTAATGTGGTGCACTATGACATTAAAACAGCTATGATAGCTATGATGTCACTAGGTGATAGGAATTTTTCAACTCTCTTATAATCTTATGGTACCACTGTTGTATATGTGGTCCATCCTTGACCAAAACATTGTTATGGGGTGCATGACTGTACTTGTGTCTCTGAGTGAGAACACAAACTTTGGAGTAAGGAACAAATTTTTACTAAAGGATGACCATGGCTGAGCCCTGGCTTTGGAAACAGGTTTTTCTTCCAGTTCCCATTTCTTTTTCTTTTTTTTTTTTTGAGGCAAGGTCTTACTCTGTCACCCATGCTGGAGTGCAGTGGCGTGATCATAGTTCACTGTAGCCTGGATCTCCGGAGCTCAACCAGTCCTCCCACCCTAGCCTCCCAAGCAGCTAGGACTACAGGCATGTGCCCCCATGCCTGGCTGATCTTTTTAATTTTTATTTTTAGTAGAGGAGAGGTCTTCCTATGTTGCCTAGGTTGGTCTTGAACTCCTGAGCTCAAGCAACCCTCCCACCTTGGCCTCCCAAAATGCTGGGATTACAGGTGTGAGGCACCACACCTGGCCTCTAGTTCCCATTCCTGGCACTTTGTATTTATTTATTTATTTATATTTATAATGTTGGCCCCCTGTGGTATTTCACCATTTCTGGCATGTTTTAATCTCAAATTTTCTAGTCGAAAGTGATTTTTGAGTGTTGTCTTACACATTTCTATTAAGAGGACTGGCTCTCTCCTTTCTCTTTCCTCCAGAGTGGTTGAATTCCATCTGCTGTCCGCCTCCTAGTTTGGAGTAGTAACCCAGGTGGCAATTAGACTAGTATCCCATCCCTCCTCACTCTGATATTTGGACTTTATAGAATTAAAGGTCATATAAGCCTTTGGAAATGTGTCATGTTTCAGCTGGCATGGCTATAGAGTACATATCTTATATATTTTCCTGTAGAAAAGTCATTTTCTTCCTGTTGAGCCAGGAGGCAAACTTGTGGAACTCAAGTTTAAAACATTTAATAGGCAATCACTATCATCTCATATCCAATGCACAATCACAGGGTGCTTGGCACTGCCAATGATGCTATAAATAATGGACACTTTACAATTGTACCTAAAATATACTTAGCTAATTTACTGGAGAGACAACTCCTGTCCATGTGCTATTAGAGCATTTTAATGGGCAAAATTCTGATTTGTTTGACTGGTTAAAAGGCATTGAACAGTATCCTGAGGAGGTGAAAGGGGCAGGATTCAAGTCACTCACAAATGATTTCAAAAATTCATTTAAGAAGGGAAGCCAGCTTAGATCTCATGCTCTTCATTAGCTTTCCCAGACCTTCACATTTCCATTGTCACCCTGGAAATGCATCTTCAGCAACCTTCCTCTTCATTCCCACTGCCTTCCTCTTTCTAAGCTTCCTTACCAAAATTGCTACAGAATCCCACTGGTTGCCTTCCCTGACTCTAGCCCCTACTCTCCATTCTGTGTAGCATGTACTCACCAATTCATCTCTCTTAAACATCTCATTCACCATGTCAGCAATGATGGCTTCCTACAGCAAGTCAGAATTTTTGGCCTGCTAGAACCAGGTAAGGGAAGGGTCAGCTGCTCCCCACCCTGAGTGAGGTCTTTGTGAGTTTGGGGGCCTTGCTTCCTTCCCAATATCTCTCACAGCCTGGGACTGGGATACCCAGGAACTGGGAAGGGACAAGAAAGCAAGAGGCCTTGCAGTGCTGAGTTGATATCTTCTCCCTAAAATCTATTACACCTCTATGCATTGCCTCCTTATGGAAGTTTAGAAATCATGTACCCCTGTGTTTTCTCCCTCACACGTCTCCATTCCATAAATGAATGAGTTCAACTCTGGATCCCATAGACACTTGCCTAAGCTCACCCAGCTAGTTATGGCAGAAGGTCTTGACTCTGAGCCATCATTTCTCCTCTTACTCCTCTTCTGCATTAAAAAGGCCCCTTATCACCTGATCTCTCCTGCTAATCTTTAGTTCTTACAGCTCTCTGACTTAGCCTGCCATTCTGATTAGGGCAGACTTTCACTGTCATGTGAAAATGAAAATCCTGCCTCTGTGCCTATAGTCTTAGCTTTCCTTCTGCCTACAATACTATCTTCTCTTCCTTTTAGCTGTCTAAATTTTACTCATTTCTGCCATGTGGGTTTTAGGACAAGGTATTTAATCAACTACTACTTGAATGATCATGGGCGAGGTAATGAGTTTGTTTTCTCATAGGATAGTTGGATTAACTGATGTAATACGTACAAAGGCATTGTTCAGGTCCAACCAACATCAGTTTCTTTCTTCCCACCATGTCCACATGGTTCGTGGTGCTTTTTCTCATTCATCTTGTCTTTCACCTTATAGGATTCCCATAGCCTCTCACTTTGCCCCATAATTATCTTATGTTTTCTGATATTAGCTCTTTGTGGTAATTATTTGTTTTCTCTACAACTTACTCCTCTTTCCTTGTAACAATCATCCATCTCCACCTCATTGGTGTTGGCCTTGATCGTGTGACTTGCTTTGACCAATGGAATGTGAACAAATGTGACATAGGCCATGCTTCTCTTAGAGAAATTATTTACGTTTCTGCCAGCTAACTCTCTCATCCTTTCTGCCACAAGAATGGCTTGTTGCAAATAGGGGCTGTTGGTTCAGCTTGAGTCCTAGTTGAGAAAACACGTGGTGCTGCAGAAGTTGACTTGAAACATGAGCACAAAATAAATGTTTATTGTTATAAGCCTGTGAGATTATGGAGATTGTTCTCATGACAGATTCACCAATAAACGTCTGTTTTCTCTGTGGTAGTCTTATGCACACACTACCTTAAAATCGCTACCATTATTATGAGGGTCCAAGGCCCTGGAGTAGCAGGTTTCATTCAGATGGCCATCATCCTTGTAGACATGACTCCTCCAGGTCTGATGGCTCCCTGTGGCCATGCATGGGAATCTGCAGCAGAGCTACCCATGATCCAGATGTGATCCGTGGCCACTCCTCTCTCTCCAACTCTCGGATGCTGCCAGGAAGCAAGGCCCGGGTGCCTTCTGTACTTGGGACACACAGATTCTTTCTGTCTTTCCTATCTCCCCTAATCCAGAAGCACCTCTTTTCAATCTTGGGTAAGCACCTCTTTTCAGTCTTTCAACTTTCTCCAGGAAATTTGGTCTTTGCTCTCAAATCCTCTTCCCACAAAAGTTGGAAAGCCTTGGAGGCCTCTGTTTTCTTGCCATGTACCTGTTTGTCCCAAGGCAAGGGACATAGAGCGGACTGTACCAACTTGATCACAGTGGAAAAGAAAGGGAAACATCACAGAACAAAAATAGGTTAGCATTTCAAATGATTATTTGATCACATTTCTGATTCAGGGCAAGGTTTCTCAACCTCAGCACTACTGGCATTTGGGGCTGGATAAATCTGTGTGGGGAGCTGTCCTGTGTACCGTAGACTGTTTAGCAGCATTCCTGGCCTCCACCTACTATAGGTGCCAGCAACACTCCTCCTTCAGTTGCGACAACCCCAAAATATCTCCAGGCATTGCTAAATGTCCCAGGGTGAGTGGCAGGTGGGGTGGGGCTGATTTAAGTGAATGAACTGAGCTATAACCTTTGCTTTCCATGGGACTTAGTACAGTATTTAACCCACAGTAGGTACTTAGTAGATATTTTCTGATTGAAGGAATAAAGTAGTGCATTTATTTGTATTTTGGCTGGGGGCTGCAGTTCATCTTAAAGGATGTGAAGTGAAGGGAAGTGAAGGGAAATAAATGAGTTTTTCTTAAAAACACGTTCTACTTCCCTGCCCTTTTGTAGGTATGCAATGCATATGGGTGAATGCTCAGGCTAATTACTGTTACTGAGCAATTCTAATGAAATTCTAAATTAAGTCACTCAACGAGAGTGGTGACTAACAAAGAGTTGGTTGGGAGAGAATATTTGTGAGAAGGAACAACAAAATAAATAATTTACGTGCCAAATAATATAATTCCTGGAGGGCATGGGTCAATTGTAGAGTTCTGCCAATGTCACACTCCCAGAGTTGGGTGCTTGAGGGATTTGCAAGAGTGGAGAAGGATGAAACGGTGAATTGAAATCCCCTGTGCTAATAAAGCTGCAAATACTGTCATGGATCTGGTGCCTCAGAAGACCTTTGTACAGTGAAAGGAGCTTTTCCTTTGAAAGGTGAGGGCTTCCAACATGAAGTTACCTTAGCAGGGGTGAAGATTCTACATTGGACAAGAGCCAAGTAAAAGAGGTACATCTTGTATGTATGCATGTTAGAGTTGAGGATGGAATTACAGAAGAATTATTATTTATGACATATAGGAAATTAATTCTACCTCTTTTCTTGGACACAATGGCAACCCAATTTTGAAGGTAAAAAGGCTAGCTGGGGATTAGCATCACTCATATCTCATGCTGCTTATTGCCTGGCTATAATGAACATAGGTGCTTTTATCTTCAGACACACAACACATAGTCTGTCATCTCAGGCTTTTAGAAATTTAAATATGCAAGCACTTGGCAGAGCAGGTATCTTTGCAACCTTTCTTAATAATGACAGACTGCTGTTCAGCGCCTGGGGTACAATTTAGTGGGTACATCTCATTTTGCCATATGTGTGAAAAGGAAAACCCTGTGTGGTAGGATTACTTTACCAATATGATATTTCAGAAATAGCTGAGATTTAAGTTACCATAGGGCTGTATTATTAAAGTGAGAGATTTATTCGGTTTACACTGCAAATCCCTGGAGAGATAAGTGTGCTTATATTATAGGTAAAATCGGGAAGGTAAATAGCAAGTCTGGACACCATTTTCTTTAAGCAGTATTTTGGTTGTATGATGATTTCTTAAGGGCAAGAGCAGATAGAAGAGTGTTTAATCAGAATGTGAAAAATTAGACTTAAAGGGAACCAAGAATTTAAAAAGAAGCTTATTTTTTAGACAAGATATGACTGCTGACTCTAGAATAGAATATTTTTAAACTAAAAACAGATATTTTAAATAAAAGGACTCTATCAGGTGTGGTATGTTGTTAATTTGGTGACTTACTGGTTCTTCTCCTTCCTGATCATTCTCACTGTCAATGGGGATCCCACTTCTGAGAATACTTACCCCACAAAGTACTTGTGGACACAACTTGTCCCATCAGATTTTCCTCCCTTCCTTCACTGCCAATTGGAAGAAGTGTCAGACTCACCTTTCCTGATCTCACCACCCTAAAAGCACCCCTTGCTTTCTCTCTCCCAGCTGCATGCATTGTTTTCTTGAGGTCAAGCACCAGCCTTCCCTTATTCAGAGTCCTCCTTAACTTCCACTGCTGGGTGGGAAAGAGATGGAAAGAGATGGGAAGTTGGGAAAGAGGTGGAAATAGGCATAATTATTTATAAATTCAACAAATATTTATTGAGCATTTACTTTGTACTAGAGATAGGGTTCATAGGAATGAAGTCAATAAGCAGGACCCACAAAGCTAGCTGAAGTTGAAGTTTGGAGTGGAGAGGAAGATAATGGAGAAAATCAGATACTTAAGACATTTGCTGATGCTGAGACAGGTGAATGGGGGTGGCCCATCAGAGTAACTCTGCTCATGAGCACCCTGGTGCTTCCACCCTGGAGCCAGAGACAATTTCTGTAATTTCTAAGCCCCAGTGCCTAGCAGGATGTGGGCTGTCAAGATATTGCCTGGCAAATCAGTGAAAGCACAAACAGCTGGAGTTGACCAGAAGCTGACATTACTGTCCATGCCAGGATGGAAACAAGGAGCAAACTCCTTGCTGCTTAATGGTTTCTTGAGTTTCAAGAGCAGAGAGACCCATCATACTAGATGAACTCCCTTGCTAATTTCTTCTCATTTGCCGATCACATTTCTACAACCATTTTTTTTCTCCTTTACCTCTTTCCTGAATTAACTCCCACTGACATTCTTTTATTTCCAATCACTCTTCAAAGACAGGCATATTGAAGTACTTAAAAAAAAATAAGGCAATTTGAGCCCTCTGAAACAGTTCCTTATGCTTCCTGCCAAGAATGTTCTATGTCCACAGCAGGAAGTTCAATTAGCAAATCCATGAATCAGGATTTTGATTATACATTTATCTGGAAGGAAAAATGCTAGCTTCATTTTTACCCTATACCTTACTTGCAGGAATCACAGCATGACATTGACTGAACCTGGGTCCCTGTGGTGAAATGTGAGGTGGTGAAATGCAAACACATTGGTGGAAATGCACTCGAGTTTGTTCATAGGTATTTCTGTATTTAATAAATAGCAACAATTCTTGGTTGTATGAAAAAAACTAAAATTGACTCTAGAAGGTTAAGAAGTATCCTAATTAAGAAATTTGCTAATTGCCATTCCCTGCTGTGTCTATAGGCCATATTTGGTTTTAAGTCATGACTAAGCATCTGAACAGTATCTTTTACTGGAGCACACTCTCTGCTGTTATCTTGCCTTCTCAGCTAGATGGAATGAATTCTCTTTAAGGCTGGAGACATTTCTTCCTCCTTCTCTTCTTTTTCTTCCTCTTTCTCCTCTTTCCTCCTCCTTTTTCTTCTTCCTTTCATGTTTTCCATTGCAGCTCTTGAACCTAGATGCCCCAAAATGCTTATTGAGTGTCTCCCATCAATATATTTATAAGAACACTGCTTTCAATGGCTCTAGGATTAAATATATCATCACCTGAGTGGGAGCACTAATCAAAGGACTGGATATTGGGGGAAATAAGGCCCGTCCTTTCTGTAGATGGTAGCACACATTGTCCTGGGTGAAAAAAGAGAAACACCATTTGTCAGAAAGGATCTTAAGAGGTTTTTGTTGACCACATGAGGTCAGTCATCTCTCAGAAGCTGGAGGTGGTTCAGAGAGACAGAATCTCTGAGTAAGGTCTGAACTCCAGACTTGCAATATTTCCCCAAGTCCTCTACAGCAATCAGCAGGTCCGTTCTTGTGAAATTGCCGGAATATAGTTACTGTTGTTACAGGATACATGGATGGCAACCTTGAATCTTGGTCTTTGGAGGTTCAATTTAATTTAATTAAATTTTTTTGTTTTTTGTTTTTTATAGAGATGAGGTCTTGCTCTGTGGCCCGGCGTGGAGTGCAGTGGTATGACGATAGGTCATTGCAGCCTCAAACTCCTGAGCTCAAGCAATCCTCCTGCCTTAGCCTCCCAAGTTGTTGGAATTACAGGTATGAGCCACTGTGCCTGGTTCTAATCTTGATTTTAAACAGTCCAAAGCCATGACCAGATTCCTTGGCTCCCCATGCCAAATATTATAAAATTAAATTATTAATTTTATATATCAGATGAATATGAGGGAAATTGGCATTTTCCCCCTCTCCCTTTTATTCCTGTTTACAGAGATTTAGCAGGGCTCAAGACTTGCAGACATCTTTGTTTGACCCAAGGAAGAACAGGAGTGAAGGAAAACTATTGAGGGATGTCGGGCTACTCCAAGCCATCCTGCCTTAAGATGTTCACTAGCAGTGAATGGGGAGAGGACCAAAAAGTGAAAGTTTTCTGTTCCCTCTAAGCTCACTGCTAGTTTCATTGTAATATGACATATATATCATATTTCCACACTGTTTGAGCATACTTATAATAGGAAAGGATTTGTGGGACAGTGAGGAAATAGAACTATCTCCTAAAAGGGTAAGTCTGAGATGTTTAAATAAGAAATAAAAAAAAAGATGTAGGAATCAAAAAGTAATTCTCCTAGAGGCAGCACTGGGCTAAGATTTAACCAAGACATTGTGAACTTTTGGGATATTTTTACTAAAGACCATTAAATCTAGGCTATAGGAATAAACATGAAGAAGGATAAAAAGAGCTTTGGAGTTTCTTCATAGATATTATCTTCATTTTTTTTTCCTTGCGTGCTTCTAAGGAATTCGTTTCCACATTATTATTATTATTATTATTTTTGAGACAGAGTCTCACTCTGTCACCCAGGCTGGAGTGCCATGGTGGGATCTTGGCTCACTGCTACCTCTGCCTCCCGAGTCCAAGCAATTTTCGTGCCTCAGCCTCCTGAGTAGCTGGGACTATGGTTGCCTGCCACCACACCCGGCTAATTTTTTTATTTTTAGTAGCGATGGGGTTTCACCATGTTGGCCAGGCTGGTCTCGAACTCCTGACCTCAAGTGATCCACCCCCGTCTGCTTCCCAAAGTGCTGGGATTACAGGCGTGAGCCACTGCGCCCGGCCCCTTTCCACATTTTTAACTTTTTAAATCTTTAACTTCTGAAATTTTCAATGTAAGTTTAAGTAGATGTGTATGTCTTAGTCAGTTTGGGCCTCTATACCAAAATACCACAGACTGGGTGGCTTAAACAAGAAACATTTATTTCTCATAGTTCTGGAGGCTGGGAAGCCCGAGATTGAGGTGCTGGCAGATTCGGTATCTCAGGGCTCTCTCCCTGGTTTGCAGATGGCTACTTACTTGCCATATCCTCACACAGTAGAAGGAAAGGGCTCTGGTCCTCCTCTTCTTATAAGGAGACTAATCCTATCATGAGTGTCCCACCCTCAAAACTTCTTCTAAACCTAATTACCTCCCAAAGGCCCCACATCCAAATACCATCAAATTGGGAATTAGGAGCACAACATATAAATTTTGGGGTGACACAAGCATTCAGTCCCTGGCAGTGTAACTTACTATGTATTGTAAATATGAGCATTTCAAAATATAGCTATTGCATTCCTCTTTTAAAATAATTTTATTTTATTGCATTCCTATTAAACGCATCAAATACATTTAAGAGTCTAAATACTGCAGCTATTTATGTTGAAGTTGAATTTATCTTAGCATATTTCTCTCACCATAAGTTTCAAAGTATTAACTTTTTTTGTACAGATTATCATTACAGGTTGGGGTATTTATTAAATATAAAAAGTAAAATTAATTGGAAATAAGTCTCTTAAAGAGATGGAAGTTTTTAAAGTTAGTTCTTGTATCTGTGGATTAATAATGCTAGAATGAAACCGAGTTAGCATCAATGTTACATCTATTTTTCATTTTTTATATTTGTAAGCAATGAGAAACCTTGTTCATAAATGAATAAATGGAAAGTTTTGTTATTTCAGTGCCAGTCAATTCTTTGGACTCCTTTCAAGTTAGATGCCAAAAAATCATCCAGTGATCTTTCATAAGAACAGGAAAAGAAAGTTTTTTTTAAATCAGTGGATTGTTTGACTCAGTCTTTATTTAGCTAGATTAAAATAATAAATTAGAAACCATCTGACTCATAAAAGGATACATAACCCAGTTAGAGAGTCACTCACTTTCTCAACAACAAGGTCAACAGCAATGTTTTGATTTGTCCGTTTGTTGCTCCTGAGGCTTCTTCATTGCAGAGTAATGCACAGCTGTAAGATGCAGCAAGGGTGAGGTCTGCCTTTCTTTCACAAAACAGGACAAGGGCTATTATGAAAGAGGAGGAGGGAACGAGAGCCAGCATGGTGCTCTGATTACATTTGTTCTCAGGAAGGTCATTTTTAGGAAAGAGGATAGACGGTGTCTGAGAATCTGGAAATCGACTCTCACAGGACTCTCAGAGAGCCTAAGGAAGAGTTTTTGCATCCACACACCCTAGTTAGGAGACCACTCATTTAGGAAAGATGAGTAGATTTGCTTATACTATTGGAAATAGGCCCTTTGAATAATACTGCAAGGATTTGGAGTTATTTAACTTGTGAGAAAAGTAAAAGAAGAGAATGGAATAGAATATAATATAGTTTGGTGGGTGGGTGAAGTTACTCTATTCTATTGAAAACATAATAAGAATCAGTGTAATGAATTTAGGCTATAATCACAACAAGTTCAAGCACTTGGGATGTACCATCAGTCCTTTGCTGAGGGTTACTAGGGAAGTCATAAACTGATTTGATGATAAAATTTTCCAGGTTTGGGAGAAGGCTAGTAACATATTTTCTCTTTTTGATCAAGGATAGGCCAGGATAAAAAGCAAAGATAGGGTAAAAGCTATTTTCAATAACATTTTGCTTGATTTGACTATATGGAGAAGAAGTTACTTGCTGGTAGTAGTAGTACAGTGGGCTTGTTTTCAAATAAAGTTCTGCTGTGGTCACTTACTGGCTGTGTGACCCTGGGAGATTTATTGGTGTCCAAGCCTCAGTTTCCTTATGTGTAAAACAAGACCTACTTCATAGCTTAGTGAAGATTAAATGAGATAATATGAAATGATTAAGTGCCAGTGCTTTGCATGCTGCTGGCATGTACTAGTGGCTCAGTAAATAATAACTATTAGCTGAAGACCAGAGAGAGCTTTAGAAAAAGAGCCTCAATCTCTAGAGCTTGTATGAGGAAGTCTTTGGCCTTTGATAGCCTCTACATTTTGCAGTTTTTGTTCAACTGTCAACTATCTGGCAACTTCTTTGTGTATAGGAGTGGATGTCAGGGTCCCCAATATGAGAAGCAGTGCTGAAATGCACAGTGATGATGCAGTGACTCTTTTATCCCTTAAATGTGCTGAAGAATATAGCACAATGGAGAGAAGAATGGCTTGGTGGTTGAGAGTCTCTGGTTCTAGCCTTTGGTATTGCCACCCACCAGAAATAGATCATGGTCAGATTATTAGTCTCTTTGGACTTCGGTACCATTTGCTAAGAAGTGAAGCTATTTGTCAAACCCACCTGTGTGCAAGAAGCATGTGATTAGGGTAAATGGGTGAGGTTGCAGGGATGTAATATGGTAGATACAAAACTGCCTCAATTGTGGTACAGGATGATTCCTGTCCTGTGACAGGTATCATCTTTTAAAAAGCTTGAGCTGCCTTTGCAGAGCAGTCAAACAGAAGTCCCTCTGGGGGATGCATTCTGAGCAGGACTTTCAGTTTGTGCTCTCAGATGTGGAAGGATCTTAAAGCTCCCTTTCAGCTCTATAAATCTGATTCCTTGGATACGTTTCATCCTTAAGAACACAATAAAATAAAATCAATTGAATTTGATGTCCTCTTGAATTTTCTCTTATCAGTACTTGAAAGGAGATTCTTTCATATAATAGACCAAATAATGTGAAAAAGAAAAAAAATGCAAATATAAAAACATAAAAAGATGTGTCAGAAAAAATTAAAATTATGTTGACAGCTTTCTTCTTTTAGAACAGATGAAACTTTTCTAAAAGATGAAAATGGTTGGTTATATGAAGTCAACATTTAATAAACGAATATAGGCAGAAGGCACTTGCAGGGCTGTCAGATTCTGATGAAAATATGTTTAAGAATAGATGTGATTTTTCAGTCCAAAAATTTACATTTGTCAGAGAAGCACTTCTATAAGGATTCCAGAAGTACTCTTGTCCTATCGGTCTCCTTTGTCTTTTTATAGCTTAAGCCCTCCAACTGAAGTAGGAGCTGCTAACTAGCACAGGCACAAATCTTCACCTTGTAACTCTGCTTAAATCTTCAGAAGAATAAACTCGAGTTTTGGAAGGCTGCAGAACAAAGGCAGTTGCCCGTTTTTCTTAAATAAAAAAAAGTGAAAAGTGACTTGAGGCTAACTTTCTGTTTCCGGGGAAATCCCAGAGTAAGAGTCTCGAGGCAGGCACATTCCCTTTGAACTGAGAACTGGGTAAAATGGATGGTCCAGTTGCTTCCAGGATGTTCCATTTCATAATTTAGAACATTGAAAAAGCGCCATAGCTCATCTAAATACCACTTTAGAAATCTCCAGTTTCCCTCCTGAGGGCAAAAGAGGCAAAGATGTGCTCATTATCACTACACATGACTTCTGACAATTAACTGTATTCCAGAAACATCGTCAGAAGTCAGGGTGAGCCTTTCTGCAGGGTGAATTGAGGGTTCCACATGCCTAATTAGCCAGGATTAAATTATTCAGCATCAAATGGAAAACCAGTCAGAACTTCCAATTATAATTCAAAATGTTTTCTGTTTTACACTGCAATAAAAATAACATTCTGGGGTGAAAGAATCAGATAAGGCACAGTTACAGGAAATGCTGGGGGAATAATTACCAAGAAGTGAAATTAGAAAGTTTTAAGTGGATTGTTGAAACCTGACTGGAATCAACATAGCCTTCCTTTGGATAAATTGCTGGTGAAATGGACCTCATGAAGACAGTGACACCTTTAGCCAAGTCATGAACATTCCAGGAACAATCCAGTTTTTATAAGATTGGTTTAATCACGAATGGGGTGGAGGAGGGCATAAAATTCTCACTTAACTTACAGCAGTAAAGAAAGTAAACTCTTAACCAATGTTACTGCAACAAAAATATTTCTTTAGGGTTTTACCTCATATAATAAAAGCTAATGGTTTAGGACCTGTGGGACAAATAAAAAACTGCTCACTTGATTTTTTCTTCTGATATTCTAATGGAAAAGCAATGAGAAATAGCAGTTTGGTGATAAGGGTTGAAATTCTGAGCAACATTCCCAGACCAAACATTGTCACAGTGGACAATCCACTTCACTTCAAAAGATTTCTTTATGGCTACAGTTAGGATGGAGCGGGAGGCAGACGGGTTGGGGACAGGAAGGTGGGTATTGGTAGGAGATGGTAGGACTAGAAGTATTGACTAATATAATGTGGCCTGATTTTCTGATAATTTCTGAATCAAGACTTTTTTTGCCACTTAACATGGCTATAGGACTTTACATTACCCAAAGGTAATGAGATAAGTTATAAGGATGTCTGAGGTTTTGACCAAGAGCATGGGAAGAACCCAACCCACTGAATATATTGTAATAAAAGAGTGAGAGACAAAATTAAGTTGTATTACAAATTGCTAACATAAATATTTACCATGTGCCAGCCACTGTGCTAAGTGCTTTTTAATCATATAGGCCAGTGGCTAAGGGTGTGGCCCTTGGGGTCTCACTACCTGGGTTCAAAACTCACTGTGAGGCTTTGCCCAGTTATGTAACCTCTCTGTGCCTACCTTATAGTTAGAAGTTGTTTTACAGAAACATAGCATAAATCACAGGTGTAATTTTACACATGTCAGGTTCATATAGCCACATGTAAAAAAGAAGTAAAAGAAACAGGTTAATTTAATTTTAATAACATATTTTATTTAATCCAACACATAAAAATGTTATTTCAACATCCAATCAATATAAAAATTATTAATGAAATATTCTGCAGTCTTTGTATTGCCTTCGAAATTGGGTGTATATTTTTCACTTAGAGTACTTCTAGGGTTCAACAGCCACATGTGGCTGGTGACTGCTGTCCTGAACAGCATAACTCTTCACTCCAGGTTGCCAAGGTCACCTGTCTGAGGGTGCGATTTGTTTGCAGCATGCACTGAAGTTGTGTTTCCTGAGGTTAGACAAAAACCCAAGACTCTCTTGCCAGATGAGAGGATTGAAGGTTTTTTAGAAACTCTCTCAAATTTTCAGCAAAGATTTCAGCCCCTTATAGAAAACTTGCTAAAGGAAATTAATTCAGTTTTTGAATTTTGTAATTCTTTGAGACCTGCAGTTGGTTCTCTTTGTGGATTTGGCCTTGGGCTTCTTACAAGGTACAATGAGCTCAGGCTACCACCCTGATCTCAGACTCAAAGCCATGAGTGTAAAACAGACATTCAGAGGGCATACCCCCAATTTCTGATGCCTCCTTTAGGACCAGAATTTTCTCCCTTTTGGAAACAGTTATTTTTTAAAGTGACATTAGGAAAATTCAGGAACTAATCAAATTTGGATTTGATAAGTTCAACATACTCTCTTCCAGTTAGGTATAAACATAATGCCTGTACTCAAGGGGGCTCACAGCCTGGTGGGAGAGGCTATAGAGAAAGCCAGTAATCACATCAGCATTCCTGGGTAAGTCTATGAGAGAGATCAGTACAGGTAACAACAGAAATAAAAAGGAAGAGCACTCTCCCATGTGTGGGAGAACTTTGCCATTCAGGGGGTGCCTCACAGAGTTTAAATCTCCAGTGGGACATAGCCAGGTGATGCATGGCAGAAGGGTGTTCCTGGCTATGCATTGTATTTTAATAAATGGCAGTGATGAGTTTATTAAACAAAGGAGACTCCAGTTTAAGCCAACAAATGATTACAGTTGATAATGAATGTGCTCTTCCCTAATTAGTGAAAATATTAATCATTGCCTTTGCATTGGATCAGGCTATTTATTAAGGACAGAAATGCTCAATAGTGAATATAAAAATCTGTCCTTTTTAGGTGATGGAAAGGAGGAGGTAAGAAATTGTGTAGCAATTCATAGTTTCAAAACTGGCATCTACAATTATAAGACTCCGATCTTCAGAGTCAATTCAATTGTCTTCTATCCAGACACAGCATTTTGGTGAGAGAGAAATGACATTGGGACTTAGAAGAAAATGCCTTATAATATTGTCTATGTCTTAAACTACATGGTCTAAAATTGTGTCTTGAAGTCTTGTATTTACATAATTACATTTGAGTATATTTATCATAATTTATGAAATTATATATTGAAGTAGTGCTATCTCAAGTGCACTGGGCAGCCAAGGACATTCAACCCTCGGATATTCTCCCCATATAGGGAGATAGATGATGCTCAGATGAGGCTGGCATATGCCAAGAACACTCTTACAGATACTAACTCATTTAATCCTTATAGTACCCCTAAAATAATAGTGCAATTGCTTCCTATCACTGCTACAACAGATAACCACACATTTTGTAGCTTAAAACAATACACATTTATTAATCTTACAGTTCTGGAGGTTAGAAGTCCAAAATGGGCCTTGCTAAAAATCAGGGTGTCAACGGAGCTGTGATCTTCTGGAGGCTTTAGGGGAAAATCTATTTTCTTCCCTTTTCCAGCTTCTAGAGCCTGCCAGCATTCCATGGCTCATGTCCCACTTCCATCTTCCAAACCAGTAGCTGATGGAGTCTTTCTTTCACTCTATCACCTTGACATGGACTCTCCTACCTCCTTCTTCTGAATTTAAGTACTACTGTGGTTATATTGGGCCTACCCAGATAAACCAGAATAACCTCACTCTTTTTTTCCCTGATTATTTTATTTTATTTTAAATTTATATTTATTTTTAAACTTTTAGTTTCAGGTTACATGTGCAGGTTTGTTAGCTAGATAAATTGCTTGTTTTGGGAGTTTGGTGTACAGATTATTTCATCACCCAGGTAATGAGCATAGTACCAGACAGGTAGTTTTTGGGTCCTTACCCTCCCTCCACCCTCCGCCGTTAAGTAGGCCCTAGTGTCTAATGTTTCCTTCTTTCTGTCCATATGTACACAATGTTTAGCTCCCACTTGTGAGAACATGTGGTGTTTAGTTTTCTGCTCCTGTGTTAGTTCACTTAGGATAATGGCCTCTGGCTCCATCCATGCTGGTGCAAAAAACATGATCTCATTAAATTTTTTTTTTTTTTTTTTGAGACAGGGTCTCACTCTGTCACCCAGGCTGGAATGCAGTGGCACAATCTTGGCTCACTGCAACCTCTGCCTCCTGAGTTCAAATGATTCTCTCACCTCAGCCTTCTGAGTAGCTGGGACTACAGGCACGTGCCACAATGCCCGGCTAATTTTTGTATCTTTTGGTAGAGATAGAGTTTCACCATGTTGGTCAGGCTGGTCTCAAACTCTTGACCTCCAGTGATCCACCTGCCTCGGCCTCCCAAAGTGCTGGGATTACAGGCATGAATCACTGCACCTGGCCAATCTCATTTTTATTTTATGGCTGCATAGTATTTCATGGTATATATGTGCCACATTTTCTTTATCCAATCTTCTGTGGATGGGCATTTAGGTTGCTTCTATGTTTCTGCTACTGTGAATAGTGCTGCAATGAATATACAGGTGCATGTGTCTTTATGGCAGAGTAATTTATATTCCTTTGGGTGTATACTCAATAATGGAATTGCTGGGTGAAATGGTAGTTCTTTGAGAAATTGCCACTTTTTTGGCTTTTTAATAATAGCCATTCTGACTGGTGCGAGATGCTATCTAATTGTGGTTTTGATTGTATTGCTATAATTAGTGATGTTGAACATTTTTTATATGCTTACTAGCTGTCTATGTGTCTACTTTTGAAGAGAGTCTGTTCATATCCTTTGCCCACTTTTTAATGGGGTCGTTTCTTTTTTGCTTGTTAATTTGTTTAAGCTCCTTATGGGTTTGGGATATTAGACCTTTGTTGGATGCATAGTTTGCAAATATTTTCTCCCATTCTGTGGGTTGTCTATTTACTTTGTTGATAGTCTCTTTTGCTGTGCAGAAGCTCTTTAGTTTAATTAGGTCCCATTTGTCAATTTTTGTTTTTGTTGAGATTGCTTTTGGCATCTTTGTCATGAAATCTTCGGCAGGGCCTATATTCAGGATGATATTTTCTAGGTTATTTTCCAGAGTTTTATAGTTTTAGCTTTTTACATTCTTTAATCCATTTTGAGTTGATTTTTGTATATGGTGTAAGGAAGGGGTCTAGTTTTAATCTTCTGCATATGGCTAGCCAGTTTTCCCAGCACCATTTATTGAGTAGGTAGTCCTTTCTCCATTGCTTGTTTTTTTCAACTTTGTTGAAGATCAGTTGGCTAGAAGTGTGTGGCTTAATTTCTGGGCTCTCTATTCTGTTCCATTGGTCTATGTGTCTGTTTTTGTACCAGTACTATGCTCTTTTGGTAATTGTAGCCTTGAAGCATAGTTTAAAGTCAGGTAATGTGATGCTTTCAGCTTTACTCTTTTTGCTTAGGATTGCCTTGGCTATTTAGGCTCTTTTTGGTTCCATATGAATTTTAAAATAGTTTTTTTCTAACTCTGTGAAGAATGTCATTGGTAGTTTGATAGGAATAGCATCGAATTTGTAAATTGCTTAGGACAGTATGGTCATTTTAATAATATTGATTCTTCCCATCTATGAGCATGTAATGTTTTTCCTTTTGTGTCATCTCTGATTTCTTTCTGCAGTGTTTTGCAAATCTCATTGTAGATATTGTTCACCTCTCTGGTTAGCGGTATTACTATGTATTTAATTTTTTTGTGGTTATTGTGAATGGGATTGTGTTCTTGATTTGACATGCAGCTTAGATGGTATTGGTGTATAGAAATGCCACTGATTTTTGTACGTTGATTTTGTATCCTGAAAGTTTGCTATAGTTATTTATCAGATCTTAGAACTTTTGGGCAGAGACTGTAGGGTTTTCTAGGTACAAAATCATATGTCTGCAGAGATAGTTTAACTTCCTCTCTTCCTATTTGGATGCCCTTTATTACTTTCTCTTGCCTGATTTCTCTGCTAGGACTTCCAGTACTATGTTGAATAGGAGTGGTGAGAATGAACATCCTTGTCTTGTTCCAGTTCTTATGGGGAAACCTTCTATCTTTTGCCTGTTCAATATGATGTTGGCTGTGGTTTGTGATAGATGGCCCTTATTATTTTGAAGCATATTCCTTCAGTGCCTAGTTTGTTGAGGGTTTTCAACATGAAGGGATATTGAATTTTATTGAAAGCCTTTTCTGCATCTATTGAGATGATTATGTGTTTTTTGTTTTTAGTTCTGTTTATGTGATGAATCACATTTATTGATTTACATATGTTAAGCCAACCTTGCATCCCAGAGATAAAGCCTACTTGATCATGGTGAATTAGGTTTTTGATGTGTTGCTGTATTAATTACCCAGTATTTTGTGGAGGATTTTTGCATCTTTGATCATCTCACCTTGGTGAGAGACTGATATATTGGCCTGAAATTTTCTTTTTTTGTTGTGTCTTTGCCAGGTTTTGGTATCAGGATAATACTGGCCTCATAGAATGAGTTAGGCAGGAGTCCCTCCTCCTCAATTTTTTGGAACAGTTTCAGTTGGAATGGTACCAGATCTTCTGTGTATGTCTGGTAGAATCCAGCTGTGAGTTTGTCTGGTCCTGGGCTTTTTCCAGTTGGTAGGCTTTTTATTACTGATTTGATCTGGGAACTTGTTATTGGTCTGTTCAAGGTTTAAATTTCCTCCTGCTTCAGTCTTGGAAGGTTGTATATTTCCAGGAACTACCCATTTCTTGTAGATGTATAGAAGTGTTCATAATAGTCTCTGATGGTTTATTGTATTTCCATGTGGTTGGTGGTAATGTCTCCTTTGTTATTTCTAATTGTGTTTATTTGGGTATTCATTTTTTATTAATCTAGCTAGCTGTCTATCTTATTTATTCTTTTAAAGATCTGATGTCTGGTTTGTTGATTTTTTGTGGTTTTGTGTGTGTGTGTGTGTGTGTGTGTGTGTGTGTGTCTGTTTCAATTTCCTTAAGTTCAGCTCTGATATTGGTTGTTACTTGTCTTCTGCCACCTTTGGGGTTGGCTTTCTCTTGTTTTTCTAGTTCCTTAAGGTTTGGTGTTAAGTTGTTTACTTGCGATCTTTTTATTTTTTTAATTTTTATTTATTTTATTTTTAATTATACTTTAAGTTCTGGGGTACATGTGCAGAACATGCAGGTTTGTTACATAGGTATACACGTGCCATAGTGGTTTGCCACACCCATCAACCCATCATCTACATTAGGTATTTCTCCTAATGCTATCCCTCCCCTAGCCCCTCATCCCCTGACAGGCCCTGGTGTGTGATGTTCCCCTTCCTGTGTCCATGTGTTCTCATTGTTCAACTCCCACTTATGAGTGAGAACATGTGGTGTTTGGTTTTCTGTTCTTGTGTTAGTTTATCAAGAATGCTGGTTTCTAGCTTATCCATGTCCCTGAAGAGGACATGAACTCATCCTTTTTATGGCTGAATGGTATTCCATAGTGTATATGTGCCACATTTTCTTTATCCAGTCTATCACTGATGGGCATTTGAGTTGGTTCCAAGTTATGCTATAGTGAACAGTGCCACAATAAACATACAAGTCCATGTGTCTTTAGAGTAGAATGATTTATAATCCTTTGGGTATATACCCAGTAATGGGATTGCTGGGTCAAATGGTATTTCTGGTTCTAGATCCTTGAGGAATCACCACACTATCTTCCACAATGGTTGAACTAATTTACACTCCCAGCAACAGTGTAAAAGCCTCCACATCCTCTCCAGCATCTGTCGTTTCCTGACTTTTTAATGATCGCCATTCTAACTGGCATGAGATGGTATCTCATTGTGGTTTTGATGTGCATTTCTCTGTTCTGTTCCATTGGTCTATATCTCTGTTTTGGTAGCAGTACCATGCTGTTTTGGTTACTGTAGCCTCATAGTATAGTTTGAAGTCAGGTAGCGTGATGCCTCCAGCTTTGTTCTTTTGGCTTAGGATTGACTTGGCAATGCTGGTTCTTTTTTGGTTCCATATGAACTTTAAAGTATTTTTTTCCAATTCTGTGAAGAAATTCATTGGTAGCTTGATGGGGAAGGCATTGAATCTATAAATTACCTTGGGCCATATGGCCATTTTCACGATATCGATTCTTCTTATCCGTGAGCATGGAATGTTCTTCCATTTGTTTGTGTCCTCTTTTATTTCGTTGAGCAGTGGTTTGTAGTTCTCCTTGAAGAGGTCCTTCACATCCCTTTAAGTTGGATTCCTAGGTATTTTATTCTCTTTGAAGAAATGGTGAATGGGAGTTCACTCATGATTTGGCTCTCTGTTTGTCTGTTATTGGTGTATAAGAATGCTTGTGATTTTTGCACACTGATTTTCTATCCTGAGACTTCGCTGAAGTTGCTTATCAGCTTAAGGAGATTTTGGGCTGAGATGATGGGGTTTTCTAAATATACAATCCTGTCATCTGCAAACAGGGACAATTTGACTTCCTCCTTTCCTAATTGAATACCCTTTATTTCTTTCTCCTGCCTGATTGCCCTGGCCAGAACTTCCAACACTATGTTGAATAGGAGTGGTGAGAGAGGGCATCCCTGTCTTGTGCCCGTTTTCAAAGGGAATGCTTCCAGTTTTTGCCCATTCAATATGATATTGGCTGTGGGTTTTTCATAAATAGCTCTTATTATTTTGAGATACGTCCTATCAATACCTAATTTATTGAGAGATTTTAGCATGAAGTGCTGTTGAATTTTGTCAAAGGCCCTTTCTGCATCTGTTGGGATAATCATGTGGTTTTTGTTTTTGGTTCTGTTTATATGCTGGATTACACTTATTGATTCGTATATGTTGAACTAGCCTTGCATCCCAGGGATGAAGCCCACTTGATCGTGGTGGATAAGCTTTTTGATGTGCTGCTGGATTTGGTTTGCCAGTATTTTACTGAGGATTTTTGCATCGATGTTCATCAAGGATATTGGTCTAAAATTCTCTTTTTTGTTGTGTCTCTGCCAGGCTTTGGTATCAGGATGATGCTGGCCTCATAAAATAAGTTAGGGAGGATTCCCTCTTTTTCTATTCATTGGAATAGTTTCAGAAGGAATGGTATCAGCTCCTCCTTGTACCTCTGGTAGAATTTGGCTGTGAATCCATCTGGTCCTGGACTTTTTTTGGTTGGTAGGCTATTAATTATTGCTTCAATTTCAGAACCTGTTATTGGTCTATTCAGGGATTCATCTTCTTCCTGGTTTAGTCTTGGGAGGGTGTATGTGTCCAGGAATTTATCCATTTCTTCTAGATTTTCTAGTTTATTTGTGTAGAGGAGTTTATAGTATTCTCTGATGGTAGTTTGTATTTCTGTGTGATTGGTGGTGATATCCCCTTTATCATTTTTTATTGTGTCTGTTTGGCTCTTATCTCTTTTCTTCTTTATTAGTCTTGCTAGCAGTCTATCAGTTTTGTTGATCTTTTCAAAAAGCAGCTCCTGGATTCATTGATTTTTTTTGAAGGGTTTTTTTGTGTCTCTATCTCCTTCAGTTCTGCTCTGATCTTAGTTATTTCTTGCCTTCTGCCAGCTTTTGAATGAGTTTGCTCTTGCTTCTCTAGTTCTTTTAATTGTGATGTTAGGATGTCAATTTTAGATCTTTCCTGCTTTCTCTTGTGAGCATTTAGTGCTATAAATTTCCCTCTACACACTGCTTTAAATGTGTCCCAGAGATTCTGGTATGTTTTGTCTTTGTTCTCACTGGTTTCAAAGAACATCTTTATTTCTGCCTTCATTTCGTTATGTACCCTGTAGTCATTCAGGAGTAGGTTGTTCAGTTTCCATGTAGTTGAGCTGTTTCGAATGAGTTTCTTAATCCTGAGTTCTAGTTTGATTGCACTGTGGTCTGAGAGACAGTTTGTTATAATTTCTATTGTTTTACATTTGCTGAGGAGTGCTTTACTTCCAACCATATGGTCAATTTTGGAATAAGTGCGATGTGGTGCTGAGAAGAAGGTATAGTCTGTTTATTTGGGGTGGAGAGTTCTGTAGATGTCTATTAGGTCTGCTTGTGCAGAGCTGAGTTCAATTCCTGGATATTCTTGTTAACTTTCTGTCTCGTTGATCTGTCTAATGTTGACAGTGTGGTGTTAAAGTCTCCCACTATTATTGTGTGGGAGTCTAAGTCTCTTTGTAGGTCACTCAGGACTTGCTCTATGAATCTGGGTGCTCCTGTATTTGGTGTGTATATATTTAGGATAGTTAGCTCTTCTTGTTGAATTGATCCCTTTACTATTATGTAATGGCCTTCTTTGTCTCTTTTGATCTTTGTTGGTTTAAAGTCTGTTTTATCAGAGACTAGGATTGCAACCCCTCCTTTTTTTTTGTTTTCCATTTGCTTGGTAGATCTTCCTCCATCTCTTTATTTTGAGCCTATATGTGTCTCTGCATGTGAGATGGGTCTCCTGAATACAGCACAGTGATGGGTCTTGATTCTTTATCCAATTTGCCAGTCTGTGTCTTTTAACTGGAGCATGTAGCCCATCTACATTTAACGTTAATATTAACCAGTCCCTGTGAGATGAACCAGGTACCTCAGTTGGAAATGCAGAAATCACCCGCCTTCTGCGTTAATTTTGCTGGGAGCTGCAGACCAGAGCTGTTCCTATTCAGCCATCTTGCCAACCACCCCTACTTGAGATCTTTTTAATTTTGTGATGTGGACATTTAGCACTGTACATTTCTCTCTTAACATTACTTTAGCTCTGTCTCAGAGATTCTGGTATGTTTTATCTTTGTTCTCATTAGTTTCAATGAATTTCTTGATTTCTGCCTTAATTTCATTGTTTACCCAGAAGTCATTCAGGTGTAGGTTGTTTAATTTTCAGGTAATTATATGGTCTTGAGTGATATCTTCTTATTACTGACTTCTGTTTTCATTGTGCTGTGGTCTTAGAGTGTGGTTTGTATGATTTTGAGTTGTTTTGAATTTGCTTAAGATTCTTTCATGGCTGATTGTATGGTTTAGAGTATGGGCTATAGGAAGATGAGAAGAATGTATCTTCTGTTGTTTTTGTGTAGAGGGTTCTGTAGATGTCTCTTAGGCCCATTTGGTTAAGTGTTGATATTCGGATCCTGAATATCTTTTTAGTTCTCCACCTTGAAGATCTGTCTAATACTGTCAGTGGTGTGTTGCATTCTCCTGCTATTATTGTGTAGTCATCTAAGTCTCTTCATAGGTCCCTAAGAACTTATTTTATGAATCTGGGTGGTCTTGTTTTGGGTGCATAGATATTTAAGATAGTTAAGTCTTCTTGTTTGATTGAACATTTTACCATTATTTAATGCTTTTCTTTGTGTTTTTTCATTGTTGTTGGTTTAAAGTCTGTTTTGTATGAGATCAGATTATCAATCCCTAGGCTGGGCATGGTGGTTCATGCCTGTAAAGCCAGCATTTTGAGAGGCTGAGGTGGGAGGATTGCTTGAGCCCAGGATTTTGATACCAGCCTCGGCAGCATAGGGAGACGTCATCTCTACAAAAAATAAAAAAAATTAGCTGAGCCCTGGTGGTGTGCACATCTGGTCTCAGCTGCTCATGGGGCTGAGGTGGGAGGATCACATGAGCCCTGGAGATTGAGGTTGCAGTAAGTTGTGTTTGCGCCACTGAACTCCAGCCTTGGTGAGAGACTGAGACTCTGTCTCAAAACAACAACAACAACAACAAAAAAGAATAGCAAGCTCTGCTTTTTTGTTGTTTTCCATATGTTTGATAGATTTTTCTCCATCCCTTTACTTTGAGCCCATAGGTGTCATTGCATGTGAAATGGGTATCTTGAGGACAGCATGCAGTTGGGTCTTGCTTCTTTGTCCAACTTGCCACTCTGTGCTTTTTAATTTGGGCATTTAGCCCATTTACATTTGAGGTTAACATTGATATGTGTGGACTTGATTTGATCTTGTTGTGTTACATGTGTTGTTGGCTGGCTATAATGCAGTCTTGATTGTGTGGTTGCTTTGTAGTGTCAATGGTCTATGTACTTAAGTGTGTTTTTGTGGTGGTCAATAATGGTCTTTCGTTTCTATGTTTAGCACTCCCTTAAGGGCCTGTTGTAAAGCAGGTCTGCTAGTAACAAATTCCCTTAGCATTTGCTTGTCTGAAAAGGATCTTATTTCTCCTTTGCTTATGAGGCTTAGTTTGGCTTGATATGAAATTCTTGATTGGGGTTTTTTTTCTTTAAGAATGTTGAATATAGGCTTCCAATCTTTTCTGGCTTTTAAGGTTTCTGCTGAAAAGTCCACTGTTCCCTTTGTAGGTGACCAAAGGGAGGCTCATGGGGTTTCTTTTCTATTTAACCTGCCCTTTCTCTCTAGCTGCCTTTAACATTTTTCTTTCATTTTGACTTTGGAGGATCTTGTGACTAGTTTTTTAGTGATGGTTGTCTTGTATAGTTTCTCTCAGGCATTCTCTGCATTTTCTGGATTTGAATTTTGGCCTCTCTAGTGAGGCTGAGGACATTTTTATGGATGATATCCTCAAATGTGTTTTCCAATTTATTTATTTTCTCTCTTTTTAGGAGACACAATGAGTCATAGATTTGGTCTCTTTACATAATCCCATATTTCACAGAGATTTCTGTCATTCTTTTTAAATTTTTTTTCCTTATTTTTGATTGACTGAGTTATTTTGGAGAAAAGTTTTTGAGCTCTGAGGAGATTCTGTTTTCAGCTTGGTCTATTCTGCTCTTAATCTTGCAATTGTAGTATGGAATTTTTATAGTATTTTTTCAGCTCTGTCAGGTCAATTTGGTTCTTTGTTAAATTAACCATTTCATCTTTGATATCCTGTATCATATTATTTTTTATTTATTGATTTTATTGTACCTTAAGTTCTGGGATACATGTGCTGAACGTGAAGATTTGTTACATAGGTGTACATGTGCCATGGTGGTTTGCTGCACCTATCAACCCATCATCTAGGTTTTAAGCCTTGCATGCATTAGGTATTTGTCCTAATGCTCTCCCTCCCCTTTTCCCCCAACCCCCAACAGGCCCTGGTGTGTGATATTCCCCTCCCTGTGTCCATGTGTTCTCATTATTCAGTTCCCACTTATGAGTGAGAACATGTGGTGTTTGGTTTTCTGTTCCTGTGTTAGTTTGCTGAGGATGATGATTTCCAGCTTCTTCCACGTCTCTGCAAAGGACATGAACTCATTCTTTTTTATGGCTCCATAGTATTCCATGGTGTATATGTGCCACATTTTCTTTATCCAGTCTATCATTGATGGACATTTGGGTTGGTTCCAAGTCTTTGCTATTGTAAATAGTGCTGCAATAAACATACATGTGCATGTGTCTTTATAGTAGAATGATGTATAATCTTTTGGGTATATACTCAGTAAAGGGATACCTGGGTCAAATGGTATTTCTGGTTCTAGATCCTTGAGGAATCACCACACTGTCTTCCACAATTGTTGAACTAATTTACACCCCCCTGTTGCGGGAAGTCAAGGACCCCCAAACGGAGGGACCAACTGAAGCCATGGCAGAAGAACATGGATTGTGAAGATTTCATGGACATTTATTAGTTCCCCAAATTAATACTTTTATAATTTCTTATGCCTGTCTTTACTGCAATCTCTAAACATAAATTGTGAAGATTTCATGGATACTTATCAGTTCCCCAATCAATACCCTTGTGATTTCCTATGCCTGTCTTTACTTTAATCTCTTAATCCTGTCAGCTGAGGTAGATGTATGTCACCTCAGGACCATGTGATAATTGCATTAACTGCACAAATTGTAGAGCATGTGTGTTTGAACATATATGAAATCTGAGCACCTTGAAAAAAGAACAGGATAACAGCGATTGTTCAGGGAATAAGAGAGATAACCTTAAACTCTGACTGCTGGTGAGCAGGGTGGAACAGAGCCATATTTCTCTTCTTTCAAAAGCAAATGGGAGAAATATTGCTGAATTCTTTTTCTCAGCAAGGAAAATCCCTGGGAAAGAGAATACACGCCTGGGGGTATAGGCCTATAAACAGCCCCCCTAGGTGTGGCCGTCTCCTATGGGTCTGTAGACTGTAGGGGTGAAATAGACCCCAGTCTCTCATAGCACTCCCAGCCTTATTAGGAAGAGAAAATTCCTGCCTAATAAATTTTTGGTCAGACTGGTTGCTCTCAAAACCCTGTCTCCTGCTAAGATGTTATCAATGACAATGGTGCCTGAAACTTCATTAGCAATTTTAATTTCGCCCTGGACCTCTGGTCCTATGGTCCTGTGATCTCACCCTGCCTCCACTTGCCTTGTGATACTCGATTACCTTGTAAAGTACTTGATGTCTGTGACCCACACCTATTCACACACTCCCTACCCTTTTGAAAATCCCTAATAAAAACTTGCTGGTTTTTGCGGCTTGTGGGGCATCATGGAACCTACTGACATGTGATGTCTCCCCCGGATGCCCAGCTTTAAAATTTCTCTCTTTTGTACTCTGTCCCTTTATTTCTCAAGCCGGCCAACGCTTAGGGAAAATAGAAAAGAACCTACGTGAATATCAGGGCAGGTTCCCCGATACCCCCACATACAGTGTAAAAGCATTCCTGTTTCTCCACATCCTCACCAGCATCTGTTGTTTCTAGACTTTTTAATGACCACCATTCTAACTGGCATGAAACGGTATCTCATTGTGGTTTTGATTTGCATTTCTCTAATGACCAGTGATGATGGGCTTTTTTTTCATATGTTTGTTGGCTGCATAAATGTCTTCCTTTGAGAAGTGTCTGTTCATATCCTTTGCCCACTTTTTGACGGGGTTGTTTTTTTCTTGTAAATTTGTTTAAGTTCTTTGTAGATTCTGGATATTAGCCCTTTGTCAGATGGGTAGACTGGAAAAATTTTCTCCCATTCTGTAGGTTGCCTGTTCACTCTTATGATAGTTTCTTTTGCTGTGCAGAAGCTCTTTAGTTTAATTAGATCCCGTTTGTCAATTTTGGGTTTTGTTGCCATTGCTTTCAGTGTTTTAGATATGAAATCTTTGCCCATGCCTATGTCCTGAATGGTATTGCCTAGGTTTTTTTTCTAGGGTTTTTATGGCTTAGATTTTATGTTTAAGTCTTTAATCCAGCTGGAGTTAATTTTTGTATAAGGTGAAGAAAGGGGTACAGTTTCTGTTTTCTGCTTAAGGCTCACCATTTTTCCTACCACCATTTATTAAATAGGGAATGTTTCCCCATTGCTTGTTTTTGTCAGTTTGTCAAAGATCAGATTGTTGTAGATGTGTGGTGTTATTTCTGAGGCCTCTGTTCTGTTCCATTGGTCTATATCTCTATTCTGGTACCAGTACCGTGCTGTTTTGGTTACTGTAGCCTCATAGTATAGTTTGAAGTCAGGTAGTATTATACCTCCAGCTTTGTTCTTTTTGCTTAGGATTGTCTTGGCTATGCAGGCTCTTTTTTTTGGTTCCATATGACATTTAAAGTAGTTTTTTCTAGTTCTGTGAAGAAAGTCAATGATAGCTTGATGGGAAAAGCATTAAATTTATAAATTACTTTAAGCAGTATGGCCATTTTCATGATGTTGATTCTTCCTATCCATGAGCATGGAATGTTTTTCCATTTGTTTGTGTCCTCTCTCATTTCCTTGAGCAGTGGTTTGTAGCTCTCCTTGAAGAGGTCCTTCACATCCCTTGTAAGTTGGATTCCTAGATATTTTACTCTTTGTAGCAATTGTGAATGGGAGTTCACTCATGATTTGGCTCTCTGTTTGTCTATTATTGGTGTATAGGAGTGCTTGTAATTTTTGCATATTGATTTTGTATCCTGAGACTTTGCTGAAGTTGTTTATCAGCTTAAGGAGATTTTGGGCTGAGACGATGGGGTTTTCTAAATATAGAATAATGTCATCTGCAAACAGAGACAATTTGACTTCCTCTCTTCTTATTTGAATACCCTTTATTTCTTTCTCTTGCCTGATTTCCCTGGCCAGAACTTCCAATACTACGTTGAATAGGAGTGGTGAGAGAGAGCATCCTTGTCTTGTGCTGGTTTTCAAAGGGAATACTTGTAGCTTTTGCCCATTCAATATGATATTGGCTATGGGTTTGTCATAAATAGCTCTTACTATTTTGAGATATGTTCCATGAATATGTAGTTTATTGAGAGTTTTTAGCATGAAGGGGTATTGAATTCTATTGAAGGCCTTTCCTGCATCTATTGAGATAACCATGTGGTTTTTGTCATTGGTTCTGTTTATGTGATGGATTACATTGTTCGATTTGTGTATGTTGAACCAGCCTTGCATCCCAGGGATGCAGCCACCTTGATCATGGTGGATAAGCTTTTTGATGTGCTGCTGGATTTAGTTTGCCAATATTTTATTGAGGATTTTCACATCAAGGTTCATTAGGGATATTGAAATTTTCTTTTTTTGTTGTATCTCTGCCAGGTTTTGGAATCAGGACGATGCTAGCCTCATAAAATGAGTTAGGGAGGAGTTCCTCTTTTTCTACTTCTTGGAATAGTTTCAGAAGGAATGGTACCAGATCCTCTTTGTACTTCTGGTAGAATTCTGCTGTGAATTCTTCTGGTCCTGGACTTTTTTTGATTGGTAGGCTATTAATTACTGCCTCAATTTCAGAACTTGTTATTGGTCTATACAGGGATTTGACTTCTTCTTGGGTTAGTCTTGGGAGGGTGTATGTACCCAGGAATTTATCTGTTTCTTCTAGATTTTGTAGTTTATTTGTGTAGAGGTTTTTTATAGTGTTCTCTGATGGTAGTTTGTATTTCTGTGGGATCAGTGGTGATATCCCCTGTATCTTTTTTTATTGTGTCTATTTGATTCTTCTCTCCTTTCTTCTTTATTAGTGTGGCTAGTGGTCTGTCTATTTGGTTAATCATTTCAGAAAACCAGCTTCTGGATTCATTTATTTTTTTTGAAGGGCTTTTCATGTCACTATCTCCTTCAGGTCTGCTTTGATTTTTGTTATTTCTTGTCTTCTGCTAGATTTTGAATTTGTTTGCTCTTGCTTCTCTAGTTTTTTTTTTTAATTGTGAAGTTAGGGTGTCGATTTTAGATCTTTCCCGCTTGCTGATGTGGACATTTAGTGCTATGAATTTCCCTCTAAACACTGCTTTAGCTGTTGTCAGAGATTCTGGTACATTGTGTCTTTGTTCTCATTGGTTTCAAATAACTTAGTTATTTCTGCCTTAATTTTGTTATTTACCCAGTAGTCATTCAGGAGCAGATTGTTCAGTTTCCATGTAGTTGTGTGGTTTTGAGTGAGTTTCTTAATCCTGAGTTCTAATTTGATTGCACTGTGGTCTGAGAGACTGTTTATTATGATTTCCATTCTTTTGCATTTGCTGAGGAGTGTTTTACTTCCAATTATGTGGTCAATTTTGGAATAAGTGCAATGTGGTGCTGAGAAGAATGTATATTCTGTTAATTTGGGGTAAAGAGTTCTGTAGATGTCTATTAGGTCTGCTTGGTCCGGAGCTGAGTTCAAGTCCTGAATATCCTTGTTAATTTTCTGTCTCATTGATCTGTCTAATATTGACAGTAGGGTATTAAAGTCACCCACTGTTACTGTGTGGGAGTCTAATTCTCTTTGCAGGTCTCTAAGAACTTGTTTTATGAATCTGGGTCCTCCTGTATTGGGTGCATGTATATTTAGTATAGTTAGCTCTTCTCGTTGCATTGATCCCTTTACCATTATGTAATGCCCTTCTTTGTCTCTTTTGATCTTTGTTGGTTTAAAGTCTGTTTTATCAGAGAATAGGATTGCAACCCCTGGTTTTTTTTGCTTTCCATTTGCTTGATAAATATTCCTTTATCTCTTTATTTTGAGCCTATGTGTGTTTTTGCACATGAGATGGGTCTCCTGAATACAGCACACTGATGGGTCATGACTCTTTAATTTGCCTGTCTGTGTCTTTTAATTTGGGGCATTTAGTCCATTTACATTTGAGGTTAATATTGTTATGTGTGAATTTGATCCTATCATCATGATGGTAGCTGATTATTTTGCACATTAGTTTGTGTGGTGTCTTCATAGTGTCATTGGTTTTTGTATTTTGGTGTGTTTTTGCAGTGGCTGGTACCAGTTTTTCCTTTCCATATTTAGTGCTTCCTTTGGGAGGCAGGCCTGGTGGTGACACAATCCCTCAGCATTTGCTTATCTGTAAATCCTGTATCATTTTATTACAAGCCATAGATTCCTTGGATTGGGTTTCAACTTTCTCCAGAACCTCAATGACCTTTGTTCCTACTCATATTCTGAATTCTATATTTGTCATTTCAGCCAGTTCAGCCTAGTTAAACACATGTTCTGGGGAAGTTTGCAATTGCTCGGAGGAACGAAGACACTGGGACTTTTAGAGTTGCCAAAGTTCTTGTGCTGGATTTTTCTTATGTTTGTGTGGGTGTTCCTTTAACTGTGTTGTAATTTGGGTATAGTAAGTTGACTTTATTTCTAGATGTTTTCAGAGGGCTGAGGCTTTATGCAGGGTCTTTATTTGTGGCTAAATTCTTGTCCTTGGCTTCACAGGGGGGTATATTAGCAAAGTATTTTTGGTATTGAAGCTTGGGCTGTGATCCAGTAGATGATGCTTAAGTGTAATGGCCAGTAGATAGGCCTCTTGGTCAGCCACATGGTTTCTGTGTGTTTTCCTCATGTTCTCAGCTGTGCTCCCTCTCAGTTCTCTGGGAGTGTGGGCTCCTCTCCTACTCGAGTGCTGGCTGCAGACCTTGGCTTGGCATTCCTAGGCTGCACACTGCAGCCTTGGGTGAGCTTGGGTTTGTGTTCCCTCCTTAGCTTGGATGCAGCAGGGGCAGGGAACTTGGCAGTGGCAATGGCAGCGGGCCTTTCGCTTGTCTCCTGAGGCTCTACCCAAGAGAAATGCAGAGCTGCTGCCAATAGAAGCAATCAGCCCAGGGTAGGGGTGGCTGCTTTGTGGGCCTAAGCCAGGGGGGCCCTCCTGGTGATGAGCAGGGTGGTGGGGGCGGGGCTCAGGGGGAAGACAGACTGACCTCTTCTCCTTAGGATGACTGTGGTGTGCTGGAGGTATGTAATCTCATTATTTTAAGGTGAGCTGATTAGTGACCTTAATACCATCTGCAACCTTAATTCTGCCTTGCCATGTAAAGGAACATATTTATAGGTTTCCAAAGATTAGGAAGTAGACACATTTGGGTGGCTGTAATTCTGTCTACCAGGTTAAGCATTATTATTACCCCATTTAACAGGTGATAAAGAACAGTGATGTTAAGTAACGTGCACAAAGTCACATAGCTAGAAAGGATCTGGTGTAAGATTTGAACCTGGTATCAAAGTCTATTCTTTTAATCAGTATACTATACTACCTCTTCTGATGTCTTAGAAGCAGGGGATTGGATCACCCAATCTCAAGACTATCAACATGACCTTTAGCTAGAATCTTCAAATTCTCCATATCATAGTCCTGGGTTTCCTACTCTAGAGGAGTGCTAGAGTGACTCCATCTCTTTCAGAATAGAACTTGCCAGCTTTGCCCTGTCATAATTTTAACCTAGGTAAGACAACACAGAGCAGGTAGTTAATCCTCCCAGAGTAAGTTGTATCTTTCTTACCTCATTAACATGTGTTTATCAAATACTTATTGAGAATTTATCAGGCACTATGCTTGGCTTTGAGGAATCACAGATGGTGAAGTATTGCTCCTGCATTTAGAGAGAGGTGGAAGTTATTGGCAGAAAGAGACAAAGGAACAGTGAAGAGAGAATGTGGTAACTGCTATTTTAGAACTGTGAAAGGTAGAACTCAATTAATTCTGCCTCCAAAGTGTTCCTCAACCCTGTTTCTTTTCCACAGCCATCCTGTAGCCTGCCCAAGCCACTGTCTCCTTTACCTAAACACTAGTTTCCTAACTTGTGTCTCTGCCTTCCTTTATGAACCCCTACATCCAGTCTCCAAAGATCCATTTGAGTAATTAAAAAAAAATGCAAATCAGATCCTATTATTCTCTGGCTTAAAACCTTTCAGGAGCTTCTAATGTACTTAAAATACACCCAAACTCTAACAAGTTCTGAAACCTCCTTTGCAGTCTGGCCTGTGTTCATCTCTGCAAATTTATCTCATGCTCCCCTCCATCTTGCTCACTGTTTTCTCACAAACCCACCTTCTTAGATGGGGTCTCACTATGTTGCCCAGACTAGGCTTGAACTCCTGGACTCAAAGGATCATCCTGCTGCAGCCTCCTGAGAAGCTGGGAGTACAGGCATGAACCACCATGCCAGGCTCCACCTTCTTCTTAAACGGTAAATACACAAAGAGCTGTCTAGCTCAGGCCCTTGCACATGCTCTGCCTTCTGCTTGGTATGCTCATTCCTCTTGCTCATCACACGGCTGGTTCTTTCTTATCTTTCAGATTTTAGCTGACCTGACCACTTCAGCAGATTTCTTCCTCCTTCATTATTTTCTACCATAGCCCCCTGTTTTTTTTTTTTTTTTAATATTTTGTATTGTCTGTAAGTTTCCTGAGGGCAGGGACCACACCTAGAGGCCAGCACAGTGCCTAGCACATAGTAAGTAAGCAATAAATACTTAAAAAATCCAAAGTAACAGAAAAGGGACCAATTAATTCAGTCAAAAGAGATAATACCAGTACTTTTCCATAGCTTTGTAATGTGGACTACAGGAGAGAATTCACAAAGCACTTACTATGGCACTTGGTGGAGATAAAATGTTAGCTATTGTTACTTTAATAAATGGATTAAGTAGTGTTTAAATGTAAAATTCCACACATTTCACCCTTTCAAATACATTTTATTTTATTTTTTAAAGGGAAGAACAAATGCAGAGTTTGCCTCAAATAAAGCTTTATTTAATTTCCCTTCTGGGTCTTTTCATCAAACAGCTCTGTGGGAGGACTTTCTCTCCCTCCTTACTATGAGGGCAGCTTTCACTGTGGTTCCCAGTTCTAACTTTTCCAAGAGAGTCGTTTGCCCTAATGAGACACAGACCACTGCTTACTTAGCTTTTATAACAATTCTGCTTGTTAATAAACAGAATTAATCTTGATTAAGCCAATTTATTCAAGTAATATTCGCTTCTGTTTCCTTAGGGGTCTGTTTCCTTAGCTCCTTATGCTCTTATTCTAATTTTTTTTTTTCCTTTCAGAGTGCATTTACTTCCTTACCTCACTCCCAAAGTAAATGTTTAAAGTGTTGCAAGAGGTTATGGAAGGAAATAAATGGGAGGAGAAATTCCCCTGAATTTGTTCTCTTGAATCTAGCTGGTTGTATTTCCTTCTTCTTGTTATTTTAACTAAGAGATACGTTAATGGCAAAGACGGACTTGCTTCCTTGGCTTGGAGGTGGTTTGTCAGTTCAGAAAAGGCCTGGTTGGTTTGTTTTTACTGCCAGGTGGCCCTGGCTCACTAATCTATATTCAAAACAAGGCTTGTAAGTCATAGTTACCCTACTGGAGTCAATAGGGATCAATTTCCAGACTCTGGAAATATCTTCCACAAATCTCTGGAAGCACTTTGCAGGAAAAGCTCTCTGGCTGCATTCATTCAGCCTGCTTCCAAAGTTTATCATCTGTCTTGACACCTGAACGTACTCTTGTTCATATGCTGAGCTGCTCTGGCTGGCCTACTGCCTGGGGGACATTCCCTGGAGATGGTGTCCTACCAGAGAGGGCTGGAAGGTGCTAATCTGTTCACATTCTGTTACTCAGTCCCCATACAATGAAGCATGTGGCATCAACAGGAATTTAGTCTGATTATTATGGTTTTTTTTCCACATTGATTCATAGAATATTTAACTCTTACTAAGATTCATACCTAAAACGGAGCATTACCGCGGGATAAGGAGCTGTCACTAGCCATGGGTTTCTGAGTTCTGAGAGGATTTCTTCATTTGACTCTGATATTTTATTCTGATTCTTAAAGGGAAACACTTACTATAGGTGGAGTTTGTTGCTTCACATAGTAGGTCTAATGTTAACTCTCTCATTCTCATTAAGGTCTTCTCAACCACGGTTCCACAGAAGAATTAAGCCTAATGTCCCAAGTCATTCATCACATGTAATGAATTAATTTCTTGTCTATGCATCTAGAATGGTACTAGATTTGTACCATTCTTGGAAGAATTAAGAAAATAGTCACTCAGATAATTTTTGTAGGGATCAATTCTCTAATGGAACCTTGATTGAGAAAGAGTCTAGGAAGTCTAATGCCTACTTTAGAATCAAGGCTTTATGGAATCAATTCTTTGAGAGGTACTCAAATGCCAGTGTTAGAGATAAACAAACCTCCAATATTCACACTCAAGGTGCTTCCTAATTCCTTAAGAGGTCTGTCCCTCACACCACCCAGGAGAGGTTGGCTGCTAACCTTCAACTTGTTTCTCTTGGATTCAGCACAGTCTCAGGCCTTAATTTTTTCTTGCTTAGTGTTAATATGACATGCCCACACTGTGAATCCTTCTTCTAGTCTCAGTTCTAATAGTTTCTACCCCCTGACATTTTCTCATCCCTTCTAGTTTGTATTAGGAATAATAACATGAGTCCTACCTGTCTCACAGAAACAGAAAGATCAAATAATATTCTTGAAAGTACTTCATAAAATATAAAGTCAAAAACTATTGCCATGATTCTGACAATTATAATTCTAAAAATAAGGCAGTGGATCTAGGTGGATCCACATAAACATGAGATTCCAGTCCAGATTGACATGGCCAATTCAGGCAGCCAGGACAATTGGCAGAAGGCATCAGTGACCGGGACACTTGATACTGAAGAATGGGAGTCCCCCAGCCATGTCAAGAGATAGGGCACAGAGCGGGGGGACTTCACCTAAGGGGTGGGTGACAGCACCCAGTGGACAGGAGAGTTAGAGAGCTGCAGTGAGGAGAGATCATCCTGTCAGCCTGAGGGAAACCATCAGGGGATCTTCTTTGGCCATTAGTTTTTAGTAAAATTCACTGGTAGAGCAAGCTCAAAAGTACAGCATTTAAACTGTGTAAATTAGCATATGCCTAAGTATACTAGGATTCAAAGAACCTAACTATATGCCTTATTCAACTTGTATTTATGGGATGTATGTGGAAGCCACCACAGGCCTGAAAGAGATGAACCACTTGTGGTTTTATAAAAGAATTTGCTGGCCGGGCACGAAGGCTCACGCCTGTAATCCCAGCACTTTGGGTGGCTGAGGTGAGTGGATCACCTGAGGTCAGGAGTTCGAGACCAGCCTGACTGACGTGGCGAAGCCCCATCTCTACTAAAAATAGAAAAATTAGCTGGGTGTGGTGGCATACGCCTGTAATTCTAGGTACTTGGGAGGGTGAGGCAGGAGAATAGCTTGAGGCTGGGAAGCGGAGGTTGCAGTGAGCCAAGATCACGCCACTACACTCCAGCCTGGGTGATAGAGTGAGACTCTGTCTCAAAAAAGAAAAAAAATTTACTTCCAGGGAGGACAAATAGCAAATGTACATAAAAAACATATTTAGCACTATATACTACAAGTCAAAAATAATAATTATAGTAGTAATAATAATAATAGTAGCTTAAAATTATTGAGCATCTATTATGTGCCAGGCAGCATTTTAGGCACTTCTTTTTAATCCCTGCAACAACTCTGTAAGACACCATTATAGGTATGATTAGTCATTCTCCATATTACAGTAAGGAAATTGAGCCCTAGGAAGTATAAGTGACTTGTCCAAGCTGACACAAGTAGCGATTGGCATAGTCATGGTTTGACTTCAGAGCGAATATTTCTATCTATTCTAGGTTGTTTGACAGTAGATATAGATAAAGTGCTTGTCAGTAGAATGACCTTCGAAGCTGGGATGGCAATGCCAGATAAGGCCATAGAAATAACTAGAATTTAATTGAATATCATTTTAATATATTTATGAGCTACAAGGTCCTATAGATATGAATAATATGAAAAAATGCAGGATCCTGTCATATTCAAAGGTATTTAGAGATAGATAAAAGGATATTTAAATTCTTAAGAGCCAAAGAAATCCAAAATCTGAACAGGTAATGTAGCAGCCTGAGCTGGTTAGGAGGAACTCAAGATCTACTTCTCTTTTGCTACAAAGCTCTCAGTAAGGACCATAAATAGGACACAGTAGGCCCCATCAGGAATTCAATGGAACTGGGAAATAATAAAGTTGAAGATAGAAGAAAGGCGATGACAAATTAGAGATGAGTTGAATAAATGTTGAAAAGATTATAACTTTGAGATATCTGGTGACTTCATCCTTTTATTTTAGGGAACAGAGTGTAATAAACTAAATGCTTAGAAGAATATGAATAGTTTGTGCTAATTTTATTTTTATTTTTTATTTTTGAGATGGAGTCTCGCTCTTTTGACTTGGCTGGAATGCAGTGGTTCAATTTCAGCTTACTGCAGCCTCCACTTCCCTGGTTCAAGCGATTCTCCTGCCTCAGCCTCCCAAGTAGCTGGGATTACAGGCATCTGCCACTACATCCAGCTAATTTTAGTATTTTTAGTAGAGATGGGGTTTCAACATGTTGACCAGGCTGGTCTCAGACACCTGACCTCAAGTGATCAAATGATCCACCTGCCTCAGCCTCCCAAAATGCTGTGATTACAGGCGTGAGCCACCGCGCCTAGCCAGTGTGTGCTAGTTTTAATTTAGTCACATTTTCTTTCTGGATGATAAAAAGGACTAATGTATACATTAATGATTGACATTTAATTCAGTGGATTAAATATGTGGCAAATCTGCAGTTCAGAGAATATTAATAGAACACACTGTTTATTGAGCCCATACATAGCAAACATTTTGCTGAGTAGCTGTGCATTTCTCATTTAGTATAATAACCCTATGTCCTATGTACTACTAGTATTTCCATTTTACATATGATAAGTGAGGCACACAGAGGTTAAGTCATTTACTCATGGTTGCATGTCATTTATTAGTAAGTGACAGAGTTTGGGTTGGACAAAGTCCATCTGATGCCAAGGCCACCGTGGGCTTGTTTAACTTTATCAGCAGTGATATACCAAGGTGGCGGGGCTATGGGGATGGTCTGTCCCAACAGGGAGGAGCATTTTATCACTGACTTTGTTTGTAGATGTTCCTTCTATGCTGAACTTGTGTTCTTCAAAATTACTCTTCTGAATAAGCTTTATCATAACTTTTACTTTTAAAAATACTTGGATTGTAGTTACATTAAAGAGACTTCTGTTTCTCACCAACATAGAGTTGCAAGAACTGGGTTTACTCACCTGCTGAAGCAACTAAAATTAAGCCTCAAACATGTAAGATATATATGAAATAACAGTTTTCAAGCCGTTGAACATTAGATAGCAAAGAAGAATAATCCCTGAAAGATGGGAAACAGATGAGGTGAGCCCCTATGATTACCCAGCTTACTGCCCAGAGAGAATTTCCAGGCATCAGGGAAAGAAGTGGGGACCCAGGCATAGATCAGTGGTCTGAGAATATGGAGCTGGGGGTCTGGAGAAGTCAAGGTGGCTAGAGTTCACAGGACAGAGTATCGGAGAGGAAAGAGCTGGAGAGAGAGAAAGAGAGAAAGCGAGCGGGAACAAGACAGAGAGAGAGAGAGAGAAAGCGAGTGGGAGCAAGAGAGAGAGAGAGCGTGAGCGAGCAAGCGAGAAAGCTCCGGAGATGTGCAGAGGGTTCCCCTCAAGTTTTCAATTGGGTACTGGCCAGCTCATGCATCCGTGGAAACTACCTTTAAAATAGTATTTGGTTCTTTTAAAAAAGTACTTGGCTGTTTAAAGCAAAATTAATAATAATGTATTCCGGGGTTTATAACATATGTAGAAGTAAACTATATGACAATATCACAAAACTTTCAACATCTACTAACTTCCATACTTTCTTATGAATTTAGAGAAATAAGACATGACTATTTGTACCTCTTTGGAAATACTTTTGAATAACCAAACGCTACTTAACATTTCATAAGACTAAAAGTAGTATTTATTTGTTAGACTATTTGCTGTGAGCAGTAAAAGATGATAGGTAAAATTTTGTCCTCATAAAATATGTTGTATTTGAAAACAACAATAAATGGTGGAAATGGTATGGGTTTTGGAACTAGCTGGGGCTTTGCGTCCCAATTGCCCCTGAGTGGATTGTGCAATTTGTATTAGTAATTTAAGAAGTTATATTCTGAGCCAAAGGATTGTCTTAACTACTAGATATTTATTGTTTATTCCTCTAAAATGTAAGTTTCCATGAGGACAAGGACTTGGTTTTGTTCACTGATCTCAAACCTTGACAGTTTGCATGTCATAGGTCCTCATTAAATATTTGGTGAATGAATGAATAAGTGTGGGTGAACACTCTTGGGCGAATATATAATGGTGGGGAATTTTATTGTAAGTAGTTTTTCTTAACCTATTTTTGTGTCAGAGACTTTTTTGAGGAAATAATAAAAGTTACGACAAATCCTTTTTCCAGGAAAATTACATACACACACATACACACGTACACACACACAGTGCTTCCTACAACAGGATGAGATGGATGGACTGCTAACCTGGCTAAGCTTGACTGTGGACTTCCAGGTTAAAACTCTTAATTGCAAAGGTAATTTAGGGCTTGGAGTTAGTTAAGGAAGTAGTTGTTAAGTAGAGGTAATCATCAGAATCACAATTAAACATTTAGTTCAGTGCTTGGCACTTTATAAACACTCAAGAATTTTAATTCTTATTATTACCTGTGGAGCTTTGGAAGTTAAGTGACCCGGTTCCACTTCACTGAGATTGATAATCCACAGGACAGTGTCCCAAGTGTGTGTAGTTTTACAAAGATACACAGATGATTATGACATGTGACCCTACATAAGAGACACTGGTCCAAGTGAACACTGAATGGGATCATTTGGCAATTGTTCTCAAGAATCATGCTGAAGGAGGGAAAATAATTACTGTACTTATTTACATTACAATATAATGTCTAACTGAGAGTCATTATTTAGTGCTTTTGGAGTAATAGATGTGACTTTGATGAGGTAGACACACAATTAGACAAAAAATGCTGAAGTTCAATGGAGAGGGTGGAGGGGAATAAAAAGTAGGAAGCCCATATACAAGTGGAATAGAAGACAAGCCATAAGAGCAAGAGAACAATATTAGTAATGCTGAAGGCTTTATCATTGTAGTTGTTTTACTTTATTTTTTCTTTTAATTTTCTTCCATTGTTTAAAAATTGTGGTAAAGTACACATAAAATGTACCATCTTATTTTATCTTATTTTATTTTATTTATTTATTGAGATGGAGTCTCGCTATGTCACCAGGCTGGAGTACAGTGGTGCAATCTCGGCTCACTGAAACCTCTGCCTCCCGGGTTCAAGCGATTCTCCTGCCTCAGCCTCCCGAGTAGCTGGGACTACAGGCACGCACCACCATGCCCAGCTAATTTTTATATTTTTAGTAGAGACGGGATTTCACCATGTTGGCCAGCATGGTCTTAATCTCTTGACCTACGATCTGCCTGTTTTAGCCTCCCAAAGTGCTGGGATTACAGGTGTGAGCCACCGCACCCGGCCAACTATTTTACTTTTGAGACAGTCTCACTCACTCTGTTGCCTGGGCTGGAGTGCAGTGGCACAATCTTGACTCACTGCAGCCTCTGCCTCCCGGGTTTAAGCAATTCTCCTGCCTCAGCCTCCCCAGTACCTGGGATTACAGGCATGGCCACCACACCTGGCTAATTTTAGTATTTTTAGTAGAGATGGGGTTTCACCGTGTTGGCCAGGCTGGTCTCGAACTCCTGACCTCAAACGATCCACCCGCCTTGGCCTCCCAAAGTTCTAGGATTACAGGCATAAGCCACCATGCCCAGCCCATCTTAACTATTTTGAATGTACAGTTCAGAGATATTAAATACATTCATAACGTTGTGCAACCATCACCACCATCTATGTCCATAACTTTTTCATTTTGTGAAACTGAAACTCTGTATCCATTAAATACAGATTAAAATTTCCCCCTTCCTCCTTTCCCCCTGCCCCTAGTAACCAGCATTCTGCTTTCTGTCTCTATGATTTTGACTACTTTAAGTAGCTCATATAAGAGAATGCAGTATTTGTCTTTTTGTGACTGGCTTATTTCATTTAATGTAATATCCTTAAGTTTCATCCATGTGGTAGCATGTATCAGAATTTCCTTCCTTTTTAAAGCTGAATAATATTTCATTATATGTATGTGCCACACTTTTCTTATATAGTGATTTTTTTAAGCCCAATATCTACCATCATTGTGAACATTGATGAGCAATATTGCATGTGTTCGAGTCTTCTAATTTTGAAGAGAGATGCTCTAAAAGTTAGTGAATAGCCTGAGATACTGGTTTTTAGAAAGTTATGGCCTATAAGAAAATATGTAGACATTTAAATTATTTAAGATAAGAAATAGAGTCTGTTACCTAGTGCCTAAGTCTACAACAAAATTGCTGTGTGAAAAATTTAGGGTTAGACATAAGGAAGAAACTTCTGGTAGTTTGAAAACACTGAATTAACATTTAAGAGTAGATTAGATAAGGTTCATTACTCTGCCAGTAAAATAAAAGCAGTGTCTTCCACAGTCAAAGTTTAGGCAGATTAAAATCTCCCGATTAGCTTTAGCTGGATAGATGAAGCTGTTTGGCTGATGGCTTATTTTTTAGGTAGAGTGAGTGGGGTTTTTGTCTGTAATCTTCCCATGATGTAGCCAATAGGGCCTACTTTCAAATGGTGAGAGCTACTGTGTCAGAGTAACCAGTTTCCTAGTGAGGCTATCTTAGCTGCAAGTTTAATGCTCATGTCATAATGATCATACAATATGATTACAGAAAAAGCAGATCACCTTTATTTAGAGGGTCATGCTTTGAATAAGCCACTCGGACAAATAATTTAGGTGGATACTCCCTTCTAGACTACACCCTTCTAGATTGGTGTGCTGGTTTGAAAGTATGCTGTTCCTTATTTAAATATTTAATATCTTCCATTTTTATTAGGAAAAAATACAATGTAAATTATGAAACAGTAGTGAGTGAATTTTATTTTCTGTAGGATCAATTCAGTATCATTTTTTTTCCTTATTAATACATTATTTATTTGTCTTCCCTCTGTCAAACCCTGAGCCAACCATGTGCCCCAGGCCACCTGGGGAGGTACAAGAAAAGGAACACACAGGGCAGACAAGACATGGGAGAAAGAACTGTCGGAGGTGCAGACAGCTCCTTCACATGGCAAAGAGGGTGAGAAAGGCCACCATCAGGCAAAAGAGCCCCACGGCCCCAAGAGGGCAAAGCCCGGAATGGCACAGGAGAAGAGCTGTTGCTTCAGAGACGGGTTCCTGGCATGACCATAATGAGGCTCTCAAACACAATAGCAGTCTCAGCCCCAGAACCAGCCACCCTAACTGTGGCAGCCCCAACCCCAGTGAACTTGGATGCTGTGTCGATGTCCCTTGGAATGGCTCTGGTTTGGAAGCTGCGGCTATGGGCAAGTGAGGTAAGGGGACATGAGACTGCCAAGCTGCTGAGGCTCTCATCTGTCAATGTCTCTGGTCATTTCAGCACCACTGCAGATAGTGGATGGCTCAGCAGCTGAGAGGTGTTCTTGACCAAGGAGGACGTGGAGAGGAACTTGAAGCAGGCTACATTTTCAGGGGGTGGGGGGCTGTGGCAGAAGAACTGCTCCCAACGTAGAGAAAACCCATATAGTGGTTTTTAGATTGTGTCCCCTAGAGGCAGAGCTTGACATGGAGCCCTAGTAAATCCAATGATTTATTGGAGAAGTGCATGCAATAGAAGGGGTAGGAGAAAAGTAGGATAAGGCAAGGGAAAAAAGATAAATAAGAATGTGATTTCAACTATAGACTAGCTAGCTCTGGCACCACAAGGGCCCCACAAGCCCTGGAGTGGAAATTTTACTATTAAATTGATCCCATCTTTTATTTTTATTTTTAGTTTTTACATCTTTTTCAGACAGAGTCTTGCTCTGTCTCCCAGGCTGGAGTGCAGTGGCATAATCTTGGCTCACTGTAACGTCCATCTCTCGGGCTCAAGCAATTCTTGTGCCTCAGTTCCCCTGAGTAGCTGGGATTACATGGGTGTGCCACCACGCCTGGCTAATTTTTGTATTTTTAGTAGAGATGGGGTTTCACTATGTTGCCCAGGCTGGTGTTGAACTCCTGGGCTCAAGTGATCTGACCTCCTTGGCCTCCCAAAGTGCCGAGATTACAGGTGTGAGCCACAAAATTGATCCCAACTTGAAGCACATTCTGTTCAGTCATTGGTCAAGATCTGCCTCCTAGGGTAGTGGGTGAGGCTTCCTGGGCAAGGCAATTGCCATTTGGCCCAGGTAAATTCTCCTTGAAGGGGACAACTCTAAGTTGTCTTCAGGCAATACTGTCGGCCCTCTCAGCGTCCATGAGTTCTGCATCCCTGGGATCAACCAACTGCAGATGGAAAGTATTCGGAAATAAAATTGTGTTTGTACTGAACGTGTACAGACTTTTTTTCTTATTATTTTCTAAACAATACCATACAACAACTACTTATATAGCATTTACATTGTATTAGGTATGAAGCAAGAGATGATCCGAAGTATATGGCAGGCTGTGCATAGGTTATATGCAAACACTACACCATTTTATATCAGGGATTTTAGCATCTGTGGATTTTGGTAACTGCTAGAGGTCCTAGAACGAATTCCCCATGGAAATTGAGGGATAACCATACTCACGGGTAGGGATGAGCATGCCAGTTTGTAATGGGGATATAGGTGGAGCACCAGTAGCACTCACTAAAGCACACCGCTTATACTGCTCAGATCTTCTCGCTTCTCCTTAAGTTCATTTCATTCTGACACATCTTTAAGTCTCTTCCTCAATCCCTCTTGCACATTCCTCTTATTCCTATCCACACTAAAAAGAAAAAGAAAAAACTGGAAGAGTACAGAAGATTATTAAATGAAAAGGAGGTAGATCCCTTTTTGGATCTACCAGTCTCTCTTCTCAGATAAACTCACTTTATCACTCCTTAATATATACATTATAGTCCTATGCATAAGGCCATCTCATGGCTTAAGACAGAGCTCCTGTTCCAGCCATCGGGTTTGTCCTCCCGCCAGCAGGAAGGAGAAAGGGATAGTGGCAGGTTGTGCCCTTTCCTTTAAGGACATGTTCTGGGTGTTTCATCTTATACTTCGCTTATATCTTATCATTCAGAAGTGAAGTCATATTGGTACACCTCTCTTCAGTGGTGGCTGGGAAATGTAGTCTTTATCCATGTACCCAATTAAAAATAGGAGGTTATATTATTATAAAAGAAGTGGAGAATAATTGTTGAAGGACAACTAGTGGCATGTGCCATACTGCATATCTACAATAATCTTCTCAGCAGTCTCATTTATTTTTCATGCAAAGAGTTTGGGTGCATTAGAAATTCTTGATGACTACTCTACTACTGAAAAAGTACTAGAAGAACACTGAAATTTCCAAGTGTACCTTATGTTGTTGCTTCCCTACATTTCCTAGTTTGTGATTTTATTTTATAGTCTGTTTTACTTTTTTGTTTGACAATACACAGTATCAATGTAGTATCTGTCAAAGTATAGTTGAACCATTTTTAATCTTGGAACTTATTATTGTAGAAAAAAATTTTTCCTGCATATTTGCAAGGTTAGGAATGTTAATCAGGATAGGCTTATATTGCTCCCACACCATTTTTTATTATAAAAATAATATTACTACTGCCACTTTATATTGCAAACTATAGAGTTGCCATATTACCTCAAACTCTCTTTTCTCATGTTATTAAAATAAGAATGGAAATAACTTAGTTTAATTGTATTTCTCTACAATTTGTCTTTATTGTGGCAAGTTAACTATGGTTTCTAACTGCATTTCACTATCATTGAGAAAATTTAAACAGTCTGAAGTAATTATAGCGTGCCCATGTAGGGAGTAACGAATAGTGCCTCAGTTGCTGAGAGCAGCTTCTGCTTTTCAAAATGGTGATAAAGGAGACAGTAACTCCCAGCTTATCGTACATGACTCCGTAAGGAATGTGTCTCAGGAAATCTCCAGAATGGAGAGTTTGGGTTTGTAAAAACATATGCGCTAGAATGTAGCTTCAAATATGTGTGTAGGGAACCCTATTTTTAAAATACCAACAATGAAAGACAATGCACAACATAATATTTCTCTGGTTGGTGAGGATACTTGCGAGATAGAGTTTCTTTATTTTTCACCCTGCAGTGGTGAGTCTCACTGAGAAGCTTGAGATCTTACATTGCATAAAGGAGGAATGAGTTGAGTGTTTAAAAAAGGGCTAAACTCCACTTTGGGAGGCCAGGGTGGGCAGATCACCTGAGGTCGGGAGTTTGAGACCAGCCTGACCAACATGGAGAAACCCCATCTCTACTAAAAATGCAAAATTAGCCCAGCGTGTTGGTGCATGCCTGTAATCCCAGCTACTCAGGAGGCTAAGGCAGGAGAATCACTTGAACCCGGGAGGCGGAGGTTGCAGTGAGCCAAGATCGCGCCATTGCACAAAACTCCGTCTCGTCTCAAAAAAAAAAAAAAAAATAGGGCTAAACTGTTATCTGGGTGTTGATTAAAAAAATTACTCATCTCTGTTAGAGTTTTTCTATACAATCAAAAAAACCAAATGCTCTAAAAACATGTTAAGTTTTATCCATGTTTTCCAGAGCAGCACTCTTCGTGGTTGTCTGCTTATGTGTTTCCAGGTTTAGGAAGTGGCAGTGGCAAAACTGTGAGTTGTTTACTTTCTGTGGAACAGTGTTCACCTCTATAAAGGGCTATTCCCTAGGACAGTGTTTTCAAAGCACATCTTTTATGCCGTGTTCATGTCTTCCTGTCCTCTATATTCTTATTTACTTATGATTTTTCTTTGAATAGACTTCTTTCATTTTAACTTTAAATTCATTTTAAAAGGAAATGTTATATTATTACTACCAGTAAAAACCAGTTTCTTATCACAAATAGAAGATAACTGCAATACTAAAATTTAAAAGCCCCATGCTGTTATTAAATAAAGTTCAAAGAAAAATATCAAATTATAAATGCTATAATTATAGAGTATCAAATTGTAAATACTATAATCATTAAAATTACATATAACATTTTAAATATTATAAATGTCATTGATTTATAAAATGCAAAACTAAAAATTAGTTCCTTGAGAAGAATGAAATTTTGGGGGCAGTCAATAATAAGGGAATAGTAGGTTTAATGTTACCTAGTTTAAGACACAGAGGAGGTTTTACTTCAATAGTATTATTTTTTAATTTTGCTTTGACTTAGTACTGACAGTGTCACTCACATGCGCACATGATCAGAAAGGACCAAGGACAATTTGTTGCCTTTTCTGATAAAATTACATATGCTTATACATGCCTAGGAGGAGCATAGTGATGTTTGCGGAATATGCCATATGAGCAGGCTTGTTAGAGGTCTAGGCCATTGTTTATTATTAGCAATGCTTCCAGACAGTTAAGAAATTCAGTTACTGAAGATCTGAAACACTCACGCCTATGCCAGGGTGCAGTGCTTTATTCAACCTGAATAAGATGGTTTACTGCAGCCATAACAACTATTATCTCATTCTAAGCCACAATATTTGTGGGTGGATTATATTGGGTATATATATATTCATATATATATATGGGGGTATATATATATTCATATATATAGGTATATATATACACATATATAGGTATATATATACACATATATGGGTATATATATACACATATATAGGTATACATATACACACACATATATATAGGTATATATATATACACACACATATATAGGTATATATATATATACACCTATATATAGGTATATAGGTATATATATAATATATAAATATATATAATATACCTATATTTATATATATATATAAATATTTATATATAAATATATATAAATATTTATATATAAATATATACAAATATTTATATAAAAATATATATAAATATAACTAAATAAATATATATATAAATAAGATACAGTAAAATAAATACACAATTATTAAAAAATATTTGCTGGCATAAGTTCTAATTCAGTGGATGCCACCTCATTATATTGCCCAAGAGGGAAGAGATCCACACACATTTGGTCCAAGTAACAATCTGTTTATAGAAGACAGATCATTTAAGGAACTAGTAAGAGATTTTCATCTGTAGCACAAGGCATTTATTAGCATTTTTGAATTTGAGATTTTTCAGAGAAGAGTATGTGTTCCAGATATTTCAGAAAAAAATATTCTAAATCCCACCCCAATGCATTTCTTCTAAGACTGCATTTACCCAAAATGCAGAGGCAGATTCCATGTTGATATTTGGTAAAATAGTAGAAGTAATTCCTGGAAGTTTCTGGGAGACCTTGTCATTTGATATTACTTTTATAGAAATAAGCCATTACTAACCCAGAATTAGGGATCTAGCAGATTTTCTAGAGCAATATCAGTCTTTTGACGGGACAAAAGTGTTTATCACTCTCAAATTTGCAGCTTATGTTGCTGTTAGCATAAAAGCAGAGGCTTAGAAACTATACCATAAAGGTTAGAAATGAGAAACCATCCTTAAACACTCTTAAGATCTTGTGAGAAATCACTTGGCTTTGTCTTTTCTATCAATAAGTGACCTTTCATTGAACATGATTTAAACTCAAAATCAAAATTTAAAAGCTAGATGGCAATAGCCTAATAGATTTTATGTTTGGAAGTATTTTATTCTGGAAAGAGCCTTTTTTTTTTTTTGGCCAGCAAAATGTATATTGGACCTAGTTTCCAAAGATTCCTTTGAGCTCTCCAATTCTTATAATGTTGGGACTTGGAGATCTAAGTTATTTTCACTGCCACTTTCTTCAATGGATGAAGAGACAGAAATGATTAAAGATACTTATCTTCAATTTATCAGCTAGGGATTTAAAAATGTTTTCTGAAATGACTTCAGCAATCACTTAGTGAGGGTGATAGTTACTAGTATTACTGACCTTTGCCCTAGAGATGTTCACATCCAGTGACAGAGGCAGGCATTTACATAATGCAAACCAAATAGTGATGAATGATCTATAGCTATTTAAAGTGGGAAAATGTGGGAGAGAGGAGGAAGCAGTTAATTCTTGGCTGGGGACAGCTTTGCAGGAGCAATACTTCAGTGGAACTTTTAAAAATAAGGAGTTTGCCTGATGGAAAATGAGAATAAGGCATTTCACGTAGAAGCATGGTGGCTTGATCAAAGATGAATGAGTCACCCTTTGGGACCAAGGTGGGTGGTGTTAGAAGTGAGGGGAATCTAGGGCATGTTGGGATCTCTTGGGAAGGTTTTTGAATTCTACACCGTAGACTTTGGACATTATCCTATAGTAGGTGATGAACCATCACAAACTTGAATAATGGAATGATACCATTCAACTGGTTTTACAGAAGATAACTGGGAACAATTTGGGTGGGGAGGATTAGAAGCAGAAAAACCAATAGGGAGCTTATGCAGCCACCTGGGTGAAAGGTGATGATGAACTAGTGAAGGAAAATGAGAAGGAGATACAGACTCAAAAGACAGATTGAACACAGAATCAACAGAACTTAGCTATTGATGGACGTGTAAATAAATGATGGTAATTCAGTTTTAGTTCTGTAATAAAGGCATGTACAGGCTACTGTGAAAGAGCAGAGAAAGCTTCACAGATGATTGACCTGGCAACCACATGTCAGCAGTTATTATTATAGTTGGGTTTCACATGAGAGTCATCTGGGAAACTTATAAAAAAAATCTGTCAGGCTGGGGGTGGTGGCTCACACTAATAATCCCAGCACTTTGGGAGGCTGAGGTGGGCGAATCGCTTGAGGTCAGGAGTTTGAGACCAGCCTGGCCAACATGGTGAAACTCTGTCTCTATTGAAAATACAAAAATCATCCAGGCGTGGTGGCACATGCTTGTAATCCCAGCTACTTGAGAAGCCGAGGAAGGAGAATTGCTTGAACCCCGGGAGCAGAGGTTGCAGTGAGCTGAGATGGTGCCACTGCACTCCAGCCTGGGTGACAGAGTGAGTGAGAGTCCATCTCAAAAAAAAAATATATATATATCAATGCTTAATGCCCACCCCTGGAAAGTCAGATTTAATTAGTCTGGTATTGAGCTGGATCATAGATGCATTTACAAAACTTTCCAGATGATTTTAATTTGCAGCCAGGGTTGAGGTCCATTGCCATAAGCAGTTTGTTGTGTTTGAAGTATGGTGTGTGTAGAAGAGCAATGTTAGATGATGTGGGAGGTTAGTCCTTAGACACTACACTAGGGTGTTATTATCTTCTAACTGGGACATTTTTAGAGTAAAAGGAAGCTGATAATTAACCTGGCACAACATGTGTAAATTAGGACTATCTCGGGGTAACCTGGATGTGTGTGGTCTCACCATCATAGGAACTATGGGGAAGCTTTGAAGGTTTCTAAGTAGGGGGAGTATGTGAACTAAACATTGGTGTTTGAACCATTTTGGCTACAGCAGTATAGGGAAGGGATTGGAAGGGAGGAAGATTGAAATCAGGGAAGCTGATTAGGAAATGATTGTAGTCATCCAGATGAGTGAGACAGCAACTTAAATTAAAGATTTGGCCCTGGAATGAGAGAGGAAAAAAAAAAAACAACACTTGACAGGTGTCAAGGAGTTGGGATGGCTGGTGTCATAGCAAAAATTGTGCCAAAGTTAAACAGACAAGACAACAGACTTTTTTCAAGGATATTGTCATGGGGAGAGAGAACAGAACTCTGAACTCAACTCCACTGAAAAGGAGGGTGGGAAGATTTGTAACAGCTGGATTGAGAGGGAGAACAGAGGTGGTTTGTGTTTGCTAAATGGCTTTACCCAAAGGAAAAGTCAACTTTCTCTTATCTTTCTGACAGGAGATAGTTTTACAACTTAGAGCAAGGTGCTGGCTGAAGTTAGGCTCCTACCCTCCCACAGAGCCTGGGACTATCTTCCTTGACATTTACATTTCAAAGAGATGGCTCTCAAGTCCTTGAGAAAAACAGGCCTACGTTGAAAAACTGGCAAAAGCCTTCTAAAAACATTTACACACATCTCAAAAGGACAGAGAAAGAATTTACATATTTCCCAAAGTAAATGCTCTAAGAAAAGGGAGATCAGGGCCTAGGGTCAAGAAGCCTGTCTAAAGTTTTGTCAAGCTGAGGGGAATGTGAAGGCTGTCTTGGTCAGTGGACGTGGATATGGGGGTTGAGGGGAAAGGAAGAGTTTAGAATGATTGGAGTCTAGAATGGTTTCTGGCTTAGGTTCTGGGTGGATGTTGATGCCATTTACTACCACTGTAGAGAAAACAGGAGGAAGAGAAGGTTGGTAAAAAAGACAAATTAAGTTTTGGAGACACTGAGCTCGTAGTGCTTTTAGGATATCTAAGTTGAGTTGGATGTATGGGTCTGTGACTCAGGAGTGGTGTCGGGAGGGTTTGGGAGGTAGGTTTAGGTGTAGTGAAAATATAGAGCTAGTAGAAGCTTCTGTGTGTGTGTGTGTGTGTGTTTTTTTTTTTTTTGAGACGGAGTTTTGCTCTTGTTGCCCAGGCTGGAGTGCAATGGCACGATCTAGGCTCACTGCAATCTCTACCTCCCAGGTTCAAGTGATTCTCCTACCTCAACCTCGCGAGTAGCTGGGAGTACAGGCATGCACCACCATGCCCCGCTAATTTTGTATTTTTAGTAGAGACAGGGTTTCTCCATGTTGGTCAGGCTGGTCTCGAACTCCCAACCTCAGGTGATCTGCCTGCTTCGGCCTCCCAGAGTGCTGGGATTAGAGGCGTGAGCCACCGCACCCAGCCAGCAGCTTCTGTGTTAACTCATTGCACAACTTATGTTTTGGTGGGACTAGTCTTGCACTCCCCTACCCCCAGTTGAGGGAGAATCCATATGGATTAAATGGAGTTTTGTGAAACAGTAAGATGCATCTAGTAAGTGCCCAATTCATTTGGTTAGTTTTATTATTATGGTTAACTAGAGGCTAAGGTAAATCAGAACAGGGGAATCAAATGGTCAACTGGTGAGTGTTATTGTAAAGCTTTTTCATTGTATTTTAGTGGCTGTGTTCTCTCAGGGACAAGTAGTTTTTACCAGAAATTCATTTTCCTTAGAATTAGCAAACAAAAACAAAACAACAAAACAAAAAAACCAACAAAAAAAGCAAAGAGGCAGCTCTCTCTAGAGTTCACATTCTGAATTTTTGCAAGACAATTGAGATTCCTTCTTCTTGACTGAGAAATAAGGAATCTCCTGGAAAGTGAAAAGAATAACCCCAAATAAGACCCATACCAAAAGTGGTTTGTTTTTAGAGTTTCACCAAATGATGGGAATGGAAAACAACAGCAATTGGTCTGTTCTCTTTGACTCAGTTCCTGCCTACTTTTCCTAGGGGTTAAATTTCTGTTCCTTTGCTGGAAAAAATCTTACAAAGAAGTAATTGGGGAAAAGGATGCATGTCTTAATTGCATCTTCCCCTGTGTGCTCCTGGAGCTTCATATGCTTATGGGAAGCCCAGAGCAGTGTCTTAATTGTAGGAATTTTCTGAAAAATGGAGAATGGATACTTCTGCACTATTGTGTTATGACTGGACAGCAGCCCAGCAGAGAATTGGATTTACCTGTGACAGCCTGACAGTATCCTTTGTCCAGTAGTGGCTGTTTCTGACATTTAAATGGTGAGGGATGGAAATGTGTGAACTGTCGAACTCTAACCTACCCTTGACTTCAGAGGCTGATGACAACTGTTCTTACTCTTTAGAATTTGGCATTGAAGTTTGTTTATAGCTAACAAAACTTTCCCATTATTAAGACCCAAATTTAGATTGGTGTTCTAAGAATTCTCCAAATGCTGTCCACATGCATTTTGCAGAGCCCTTTGAACATCAAATGGCTCTCACAAAAGAAGGCTTCTTATCAACTGAATGTGAAGGGGAACATGATTCAAAGGAAAAAAAAATTCCCACCACAGGCTTTTTGTGAGGTAAACCACAGAAGAGAGCTCTGCGTTGGGAAATTGCTTTCACTTAAGCTTATTATCAGACAAAGACTGTAGGGTTCTTATCTTTTCCCTGTCTGCATGTGCTGGGATCCTTGAAAAAGGTAGTTTTTCTCTGGCCCTGAAATATTTTTAATGTCTTTTAGATTTTTTGGTGTACTTTAGTGGCTGTGCCCTTTTTGGAGCAAGTGATTATTGACCAGAAGTTCATTTTCTTTAGAGTAAGTGAACAAGCAAACAAAAGCAAAGGGGCAGAGTTCTCCTGCAGAGGCTACTTTCTGAATTTTGCAAGCCAGTGCAGAGTCATCTGGGAATCGTGTATCTCTTGGAAAAGTTAAGAACAGGAAAAATCACAAATAAAATCCCAATCAATCACACACACAAAATCTGCTGTGGGGAGGAGGGTGCTGCCAATTTTCAGTGGCAGAGGAGTAACAGCTGGAGTCTAGCTGGGAGGGAAAGTGGGCTGGGCTGGATTCATGCTGCAAGGTCTCAGTTGGAAGGAAGCTGTCAGATATCAACTTGATATATTATCCTTTGCAGACAAACCAATACACATAAAAATAAATAGCAATCAATGTTAAGATCCCATAGCGCACATCGACACATGCAAGCACAAACCTCACAAACAGATTAGTCTGCCCTGCTTCCCTGTTTCGTGTGAGATTTAGGGGGAGGATGGGGGGAGGAGAAGGGATGAAGAGATGTCACTGTCTAATCATCCTAGGTGGGTCTTGATGCAGGTGTAGTGGATGAAGAAACTAATAGTCAAATATCATGTGTTTTTGGAAGGTATTTTAAAACAATTGACTCAGGGCATTCCATTTTGAAGCTTAGCTAGAGTGTCTGGGACTGACATTGAGTGTCAACAGTTTTCTTTTAAAATAAAATGATGCAGTTTAGTTTTTACCATGACACTGAGTAGAAGTCCTGCTAACTGAGGTCTAAGTTAAATTGTTGAAAAAGGAGAGCCATTTCAGGCAGTCTTTCGTTTTCGCCCTATGGCTGACCCCCACTGATTTTTAGCTCAGTATCGTTTTGTTATTAGACTAAAAAATCTGACCTCAAGGGATCCTTTAATGTGTGGATTTTCGAGATATACCTTACTGTGAATGACTGGGTTAATCTCCTGAGTTTTGAGAGCCGGTTTTGTTCCTTGAGTTTCTAAGTACCAGAAACCTTCTTTAAAAAATGTTGAGACTATGTAATTTGTAAATCCACTACAGATGATCAATTACACAGAATGGATTTTTTTTGGTCCCACATGATCACTTATATTTATTGCCTAAGATTAGATGCAACAATGTTGAATTCCAAAGTGTGCTTCCAGAAAGTGATTATAGCAAAATGAAACAAAACTAGGAGCTCTGATTTAATTGAAGCATTGGCGTCTGTTTGCAGGGATTGCAGAATCCAAAAAGAGATAAAGTGGTTCCAGAAGGGTAATATTTCCAGAACAAAGCAAAGCTTACCCTCACCTGTGAGTGTAAAACTAACATCCTCACTGTTGATCCAACACAGTTTTCACAATAATGCCAGGTAAGTCTCAAAATCATATCAGTGGCTTTCCAACATTTTAGACCATGACTACAGTAAGAAGTATTGATAGCTAGTGTACACACATAGTTTGTTTTAGGAGACAAAATACAGGTGATACACTGATTGTCTGCCCCGTGTCACATTTCCACCTATTCTATTTTATTCTACCTTGCCCCCAATACTGGCATGTTCTGCATTCACGTCCCACTAAGAGTTGTGAACTCCTGTTTGAAACCCCTGAGCTATTGCCAGTCATGCCAGTGTGTATCGAATATTTATTTTCTCTCCCTTTATTTTTTGTATTATACTTTAAGTTCTAGGGTACATGTGCAAAATGTGTAGGTTTGTTACATAGGTATACATGTGCCATGTTGGTTTGCTGCCCCCATCAAATTGTCATTTACATTAAGTATTTCTCCTAATGCTATCCCTCCCCCAGTCCCCCACCTGCTGACAGGCCCTGGTGTGAGATGTTCCCCGCCCTGTGTCCAAGTGTTCTCATAGTTCAATTCCCACCTATGAGTAAGAACATGCGGTGTTTGGTTTTCTGTCCTAGTGATAGTTTGCTGAGAATGATGATTTCCAGCTTCATCCATGTCCCTGCAAAAGACATGAACTCATCCTTTTTTATGGCTGCATAGTATTCCATGGTGTATATGTGCCACATTTTCTTAATCCAGTCTATCACTGATGGACATTTGGGTTGGTTCCAAGTCTTTGCTATTGTGAATAGTGCCACAATAAACATATGTGTGCATGTGTCTTTACAGTAGCATGATTTATAATCCTTTGGGTATATACCCAGCAATGGGATGGCTAGGTCAAATGGTATTTCTAGTTCTAGATCCTTGAGGAATCACCACACTGTCTTCCACAATGGTTGAACTAATTTACACTCCCACCAACAATGTAAAGCGTTCCTGTTTCTCCACATCCTCCCCAGCATCTGTTGTTTCCTGACTTTTTAATGATCGCCATTCTAACTGGTGTGAGATGGTATCTCATTGTGGTTTTGATTTGCATTTCTCTGATGACCAGTGATGATGAGCATTTACTCATGTGTCTGTTGGCTGCATAAATGTCTTCTTTTGAGAAGTTACTGTTCATATCCTTTGCCCACTTTTTGATGGGTTTGTTTTTTTCTTGCAAATTTGTTTAAGTTCATTGTAGATTCTGGATATTAACCCTTTGTCAGACGGGTAGATTGCAAAAATTTTCTCCCATTCTGTAGGTTGCCTGTTCACTCCGATGGTAATTTCTTTTGCTGTGCAGAAGCTCTTTAGTTTAATTAGATCCCATTTGTCTATTTTGGCTTTTGTTGCCATTGCTTTTGGTGTTTTAGACATGAAGTCCTTGCCCATGCCTGTGTCCTGAATGGTATGGCCTAGGTTTTCTTCTAGGGTTTTTATGGTTTTAGGTCTTACATTTAAATCTTTAATCCATCTTGAATTAATTTTTGTATAAGGTGTAAGGAAGGGATCCAGTCTCAGCTTTCTACATATGGCTAACCAGTTTTCCCAGCACCATTTATTAAATAGGGAATCCTTTCCCCATTTCTTGTTTTTGTCAGGTTTGTCAAAGATCAGATAGTTGTAGATGTGTGGTGTTATTTCTGAGGCCTCTGTTGTGTTCCAATGGTCTATGTATATCTGTTTTGTTACCAGTGCCATGCTGTTTTGGTTACTGTAGCCTTGTAGTATAGTTTGAAGTCAGGTAGCCTGATGCCTCCAGGTTTGTTCTTTTTGCTTAGGATTGTCTTGGCTATGTGGGCTCTTTTTTGGTTCCATATGAACTTTAAAGTAGTTTTTTTTCAATTCTGTGAAGAAAGTCATTGGTAGCTTGGTGGGAATGGCATTGAATCTATAAATTACCTTGGGCAGTATGGCCATTTTCACGATATTGATTCTTCCTATCCATAAGCATGGAATGTTCTTCTATTGGTTTGTGTCCTTTTTTATTTCATTGGGCAGTGGTTTTTAGTTCTCCCTGAAGAGGTCCTTCACATCTCTTGTAAGTTGTATTCCTCGGTATTTTATTCTCTTTGAAGCAATTGTGAATGGGAGTTCACTCATGATTTGGCTTTCTGTTTGTCTGTTATTGATGTATAGGAGTGCTTGTGATTTTTGCACATTGGTTTTGTATCCTGAGACTTTGCTGAAGTTGCTTATCAGCTTAAGGGGATTTTGGGCTGAGATGATGGGGTTTTCTAAGTATACAATCATGTCATCTGCAAACAGGGACAATTTGACTTCCTCTTTTCCTAATCGAATACCCTTTATTTCTTTCTCTTGCCTGATTGCCCTGGCCAGAACTTTCAACACTATGTTGAATAGGAGTGGTGAGAGAGGGCATCCTTGTCTTGTATCAGTTTTCAAAGGGGATGCTTCCAATTTTTGCCCATTCAGTATGATATTGGCTGTGGGTCTGTCATAAATAGCTCTTATTATTTTGAGATATGTTCCATCAATACCTAGTGTATTGACAGTTTTTAGTATGAAGGCTGTTGAATTTTGTTGAAGGCCTTTTCTGCATCTATTGAGATAATCATGTGGTTTTTGTCGTTGGTGCTGTTTATGTGATGGATTACATTTATTGATTTGCATATGTTGAACCAGCCTTGCCTCCCAGGGATGAAGCCCACTTGATCGTGGTGGATAAGCTTTTTGATGTGCTGCTGGATTCAGTTTGCCAGTATTTTACTGAGGATTTTTGCATCGATGTTCTTCAGGGATATTGGTCTAAAATTCTTTTTTTTTTTGTTATGTCTCTGCCAGGCTTTGGTATCAGGATGATGCTGGCCTCATAAAATGAGTTAGGGAGGATTCCCTCTTTTTCCATTGATTGAAACAGTTTCAGAAGGAACGATACCAGCTCCTCTTTGTACCTCTGGTAGAATTTGGCTATGAATCCGTCTGGTCCTGGACTTTTTTTGGTTGATAGGCTATTAATTATTGCCTCAATTTCAGAACCTGTTATTGGTCTATTCAGAGACTCAGCTTCTTCCTGGTTTAGTCTTGGGAGGGTGTATGTGTCCAGGAACTTAACCATTTCTTCTAGATTTTCTAGTTTATTTGTGTAGAGGAGTTTATAATATTCTCTGATGGTAGTTTGTATTTCTGTTGGATCAGTGGTGATATCCCCTTTATCATTTTTTATTGCATCTATTTGATTCTTCTCTCTTTTCTTCTTTATTAGTCTTGCTAGTGGTCTATCAATTTTGTTGATCTCAAAATAACAGGTCCTGGACTCGTTGATTTTTTTGAAGGGTTTTTTCTGTCTCTATTTCCTTCAATTCTGCTCTGATCTTAGTTATTTCTTGCCTTCTGCTAGCTTTTGAATTTGTTTGCTCTTGCTTCTCTAGTTTTTTAAATTGTGATATTAGGGTGTCAATTTTAGATCTTTCCTGCTTTCTCTTGTGGGTATTTGGTGCTATAAATTTCCCTCTACATACTACTTTAGCTGTGTCCCAGAGATTCTGGTACATTGTGTCTCAGTTCTCATTGGTTTAAAAGAATATCTTTATTTCTGCTTTTATTTCATTATTTACCAAGCAGTCATTCCAGAGCAGGTTGTTCTGTTTCCATGTAGTTTGTAGTTTTCAGTGAGTTTCTTAATCCTGAGTTCTAATTTGATTGCACTGTGGTCTGAGAGACAGTTTCTTATAATTTCTGTTCTTTTACATTTGCTAAGGAGTGTTTTACTTCCAATCATATGGTCAGTTTTAGAATAAGTGCAATGTGGTGCTGAGAAGAATGTATATTCTGTTGATTTGGGGTGGAGAGTTCTGTAAATGTCTATTAGGTCTGCTTGGTGCAGAGCTGAGTTCAATTCCGGGATATCCTTGTTAAACTTCTGTCTTGTCAATCTGTCTAATATTGACAGTAGGGTGTTAAAGTCTCCCATTATTATTGTGTGGGAATCTAAGTTGCCTTTTAGGTCTCTAAGGAGTTGCTTTATGAATCTGCATGCTCCTGTATTGGGTGCATATAGGTTTAGGATAGTTAGCTCTTCTTGTTGAATTGATCCCTTTACCATTATGTAAAGGCCTTCTTTGTCTCTTTTGATCTTTGTTGGTTTAAAGTCTGTTTTATCAGATACTAGGATTGCAACCCTAGCTTTTTTTTTGCTTTCCATTTGCTTGGTAGATCTTCCTCCATCCCTTTATTTTGAGCCTATGTGTGTCTCTGCATGTAAGATGGGTCTCCTGAATACAGCACACTGATAGGTCTTGACTTTTTATCCAATTTGCCAGTCTGTGTCTTTTAACTGGGGCACTTAACCCATTTACATTTAAGGTTAATATTGTTATGTGTGAATTTGATCCTGTCATTATGATTTTAGCTGGTTATTTTGCCCATTAATTGATGCAGTTTCTTCATAGTGTTGATGGTCTTTACAATTTGGTATGTTTTTGCAGTGGCTGGTACTGGTTGTTCCTTTCCACGTGTAGTGTTTCCTTTCAGGAGCTCTTGTAAGGTAGGCCTGGTGGTGACAAAATTTCTCAGCATTTGCTTGCCTGTGAAGGATTTTATTTCTCCTTCACGTTTGAAGCTTAGTTTGGCTGGATATGAAATTCTGGGTTGAAAATTCTTTTCTTTAAGAATGTTGAATATTGGCCCCCACTCTCTTCTGCCTTGTAGGGTTTCTGCAGAGAGATCTGCTGTTAGTCTGATGGGCTTCCGTTTGTGGGTAACCTGACCTTTCTCTCTGGCTACCCTTAACATTTTTTCCTTCATTTCAACCTTGGTGAATCTGATGATTATGTGTCTTGGGGCTGCTCTTCTCGATGAGTATCTTTGTGGTGTTCTTTGCATTTCCTGAATTTGAATGTTTGCCTGTCTTGCTAGGTTGGGGAAGTTCTCCTGAATAATATCCTGAAGAGTGTTTTCCACTTGGTTCCATTCTCTCCATCACTTTCAGGTACACCAATCAAATCTAGATTTCATCTTTTCACATAGTCCCACATTTCTTGGAGGCTTTGTTTCTTTCTTTTTACTCTTTTTTCTGTAATCCTGTCTTCTCACTTTATTTCATTACTTTGATCTTGAATCACTGATACTCTTTCTTCCACTTGATTGAATTGGCTATTGAAGCTTGTGCATGCATCACAAAGTTCTCATGGCATGGTTTTCAGCTCTGTCAGGTCATTTAAGGTCTTCTCTACACTGTTTATTCTAGTTAGCCATTCGTCTAACCTTTTTTGAAGGTTTTTAGCTTCCTTGCGATGGGTTAGAACATGCTCCTTTAGCTCAGAGAAGTTTGTTATTACTGACCTTCTGAAGCCTACTTCTGTCAACTTGTCAAAGTCATTCTTTGTCCAGCTTTGTTCCTTTGCTGGCGAGGAGCTGCGATCCTTTGGAGGAGAAGAGGCGCTCTGGTTTTTAAAATTTTCAGCTTTTCTGCTCTGGTTTCTCCCCATCTTTGTGGTTTTATCTACCTTTGGTCTTTGATGTTGGTGACCTATAGATGAGGTTTTGGTGTGGATTTCCTTTTTGTTGATGTTGATGCTATGCCTTTCTGTTTGTTAGTTTTCCTTCTAACAGTCAGGTCCCTCAGCTGCAGATCTGTTGGAACTTGCTGGAGGTCCACTCCAGACCCAGTTTACCTGGGTATCACCAGCGGAGGCTGCAGAACAGCAAATATTGCTGCCTGATCCTTCCTCTGGAAGCTTTGTCCCAGAGGGGCAGCCGCCTATATGAGGTGTCTATCGGCCCCGACTGGCAGGTGTCTTCCAGTTAGGCTATATGGGGGTCAGGGACCCACTTGAGGAGGCAGTCTGTCTGTTCTCAGAGCTCAAACACCGTGCTCGGAGAATGACTGCCCTCTTCAGAGCTGTCAGACAGGGACGTTTTAGTCTGTAGAAGTTGTCTGCTGCCTTTTGTTCAGCTATGCCCTTCCCACAGAGGTGGAGTCTATAGAGGCAGTGGGCCTTGTGGAGCTGCGGTGGGCTCAGCCCAGTTCAAGCTTCCCTGCCACTTTGTTTACCTACTCAGGCCTCAGCAATGGTGGATGCTCCTCCCCCTGCCAGGCTGCAGCCTTGCAGGTCGATCTCAGACTGCTGTGCTAGCAGTGAGCAAGGCTCCTTGGGCGTGGGAACTGCCAAGCCAGGTAAGGGAGAGAATCTCCTGGTCTGCCAGTTGCTAAGACACTGAGAAAAGCACAGTATTTGGGCGGAATGTCCGGATTTTCCAGGTACGTCTGTCACGGCTTCCCTTGGCTAGGAAAGGGAAATCCCCCAACCCCTTGTGCTTCCCAGGTGAGGCGGCACCCCGCCCTGTTTCATCTCACCCTCCGTGGGCTGCACCCACTGTCCAACCAGTTCCGATTAGATGAACCAGATACCTTAGTCGGAAATGCAGAAATCACCCGTCTTCTGCATTGATCACGCTGGGAGCTGTAGACCAGAGCTGTTGCTGTTTGGCCATCTTGGAACGGAGAACTCCTGTTTTCTCTTTTTGTCCCACAGCTCCTAGAGTAAGGAGGGACTCAGTGCTTGGAAAGGGGACTGTCACCTGGGAATTGGTAACCAAACCTCAGATCCTGGAGGACTCAGCACCATTTGTGGAAGTTGTCAACTCTGCTGAGACACAACAAGGCCCTACTACTTTAACACCATTTTCAAACAGTTTGAGGTTCACCTACTGTATTGTCCTGTCAGTAGGGTTGCCAGATTTAGCAAAAAACAAAACCCCAAACAGGTTGCCCAGTTAAAATCTGAGCTTCAGATAAAAGAACAATTTTTAGTATAACACACAGAATACATTTCTAAGGAAAAAAATTATTTTCTCTTCTTGACTCTATATTTTACTCTATATTTTCGGATTTGTGTTCTGAAGAATACTACTATGTATGGGATGGTAATAGGTGCTCCATAAAAGAGTTCTGTGGACAAATCAGTTTGAAACTCTTTGGCTAAACAAAGGCACCTTATTTTGTGTGTGTGTGTGTGTGCACGTGCAAGTGTGCATGTGCATGTGTGTCTGTGCGCACACAGAATTAAACTGCAGGACATTTCAGAGCCTTGTCTTTGTCTTGTCAATATGCACTGAACTCTTGTGGGAGATACTTGATGCAGTGAAGTCCGAACTCATTTGACTACGGATCTGCCAAGGAACCTAGTTTGGGAAATGGTGTCCTGGATAGATGCCTTTTTTTAATGGAATGTTTTTACAGAAAAATTACTTTGTCACCATTTCCTATAACCTTAGGTTGTTTATATTTGTAATATTGCCAATGTTTTGAATAAAAGCAAATAATTTGCAAAAATGTCAGGGAAGATTTTTCTTTTTCAGGTAGCTCCAAGGATGAGAAGGAAATGCATTAATTTTCTAAGCTTCCTGTGAATGTTATATTTCTTACTGCCACTATACAGATTGTTTTATGCTTTCTTTATTTCTAACCTTAATTCTTAAATTACAACTTTCCTTTTCTATTTTCAGTGGTAATGGTAAGGTAACAATTGAACTCTTAAAAATTTAAACAAAATGTATTTTTTATTAAAAATTATTTTTCATTATAGAAAATATGGAAAAGAATAAAAACAAAATGAAAGAAATAAAAATCACCCAAAATCCTGATATTCAGAGATAACCAGTGTTGACATTCCGCATAAATCAGAGCTGCTAACAGTAGTTTAAATATGTGCTTTATTTGGCTGTATAATATTTACATTTTTTGAATTACAATGCCAGCATTTACAACTGGAATGATTTCTCACAAACACAAGTGTTTCTAGCATCTTCTGAAATATTGACACTAGGCATCACGTAGCCTGCATTCCAGCATCACAGAGCTCAAAGCTGAATGGGAGTTGCTCTCGCTAGGAAAGAAAACTCCTTGTCGTAGTTTATCTGCCTACACCCTGAGGTTTTTGGGTTTGAGACTCCAGTTATAAGCCATTCTGATCTTTTCCTTCTTGGAAAATATTTAATTTTAAAAAGAGAGTATCCTTTCATATTCAGTTGTAAGTTCTTAATATTTTGCGAACATTTCCCCACATCATTAAATTGTCTATATCATTATATTTTCTGCATAATATTCCATTATATGGGTATGCCATACTTTATATAACCAATCCCTTACTATTGGGCTTTTATGTAATTCCTTTTTAATCTATTAAATACATGATACAGTGGGATAAACATCCTTGTAGCAAGATTGTGCATGTGTATGATTCTTTTTTATTAATAAAGTTTTGTATTTGAAATTGCTGGTTCAAGGAATAGAAATATTTTAAAGACTTTTGAGACTTATTGCTAGCTATGCTCACCTATACTTTTGCATATTGAACAAGGAAATAATTTTTTCAGAGCTCTTAATAGGTTTATGTGTCTTTCTAGGAGCATGTCTGTGGTAAGCAATGTTTCCCACACTTTAAAACAGATCCCTCTTCTCGCAAACCCCTAACCACTCCCAAAGCAGTACTGTTCTGTGGAGGAGAGTCTGAGAAATTTCAAGATGAATTGGTGGTTGTGAGGAAATGCAAAAGGTGATGAGCATTTAAAACAAGCTGTATTTATGTCACAATTCCATTTAGCTGACAACCGAGCTTAAGGTTTAACTGCATTATGTTATGAATTCCTACTTAGAGCTATCTTCCTGAAAAGACTGCAAGCCTGTGGGATGGGGGACTCTATTCTTACCATTCTCACTTCCCAGAGCTCCACTTCCCAGCCCCTTCTTTCTTCCTTCTTCCTCACCAGTGCTACCCTCATCATCCCTGATTATTTTTCTGATTATTTGTGAAGAAAAAAGTGCTGAGATTCCTCCTCTCTGGGCAGAGCATCTCTGAAAGAAAGTCATTAGCCCCAGTCAGGGGCTTATAGATAAAACTCCCATTTCCCTGAGACAGAGCACTTGGAAGAAGGGGAGGCTGTGGGCAGAGCTTCAGCAGACTTAAATGTCCCTGCCTGATGGCTCTGAAGAGAGCAGCAGATCTCCCAGTACAGTGCTCGAGCTCTGCTAAGCGACAGACTGCCTCCTCAAGTGGGTTCTTGACCCCCCGTACATCCTGACAGGGAGACACTTTATACAGGAGGGCTCTGGCTGGCATCTGGCAGATGCCCCTCTGGGATGAAGCTTCCAGAGGAAGGAGCAGGGAGTAATCTTTGCTGTTCTGCAACCTCTGCTGGTGATACCCAGGCAAACAGGGTCTGGAGTGGACCTCCAGCAAACTCCAGCAGACCTGCAGAAGAGGGGCCTGAGTGTTAGAAGGAAAACTAACAAACAGAAAGCAATAGCATCAACATCAACATAAAGGATGACTACACTAAAACTTAGTGTTTTAAAACTAAAACATCTGAAAGTCACCAACAGCAAAGACCAAAGGTAGATAAATCCACGAGGATGCGGAGAAACCAGTGCAAAAAGGCTGAAAATTCCAAAAACCAGAATACCTCTTCTCCAAAGGACCAAAACTCCTTGCCAGCAAGGGAACAAAACAGGATGGATAATGAGTTTGATGAACTGACAGAAGTAGACTTCAGAAGGCAGGTAATAACAAACTCCTCTAAGCTAAAGGAGCATGTTGTAACACAATGCAAGGAAGCTAAGAACCTTGATAAAAGGCTAACAGAATTGCTAACTAGAATAACCAGTTTAGAGAAGAAGATAAATGGACCTGATGGAGCTGAAAAACACAGCATGAGAACTTCGTGAAGCATACACAAGTATCAATAGCTGAATCCATCAAGCGGAAGAAAGGATATCAGAGATTGAAGATCAACTTAATGATATAAAGCATGAAGATAAGATTAGATAAAAAAGAATGAAAGGGAATGACCAAAGCTTCCAAGAAATATAGGACTATGTGAAAAAACCAAACCTACGTTTGATTTGTGTACCTGAAAGTGACAGGGAGAATGGAACCAAGTTGGAAAACACTCTGCAGGATATTATCCAGGAGAACTCCCCCAACCTAGAAAGACAGGCCAACATTCAAATTCAGGAAATACAGAGAACACCACAAAGATACTCCTTGAGAAGAGCAGCCCCAAGACACATAATCATCAGATTCACCAAGGTTGAAATGAAGGAAAAAATGTTAAGGGTAGCCAGAGAGAAAGGTCAGGTTACCACAAAGGGAAGTCCATCAGACTAACAGAAGATCTCCCTGCAGAAACCCTACAAGGCAGAAGAGAGTGGGGGCCAATATTCAATATTCTTAAAGAAAAGGATTTTCCATCCAGAATTTCATATCCAACTAAACTAAGCTTCAAACGTGAAGGAGAAATAAAATCCTTCACAGACAAGCAAATGCTGAGAGATTTTGTCACCACCAGGCCTGCCTTACAAGAGCTCTTGAAGGAAGCACTAAATATGGAAAGGAACAACCAGTACCAGCCACTGTAAAAAGAAACCAAAATGTAAAGACCATCAATGCTATGAAGAAACTGCATCAACAAAGGGACAAAATAACAAGCTTAGGATCAAAATATAGGATCAAATTCACACATAACAATATTAACCTTAAATGTAAACAGGCTAAATGCCCCGGTTAAAAGACACAGACGAGCAAATTGGATAAAGAGTCAAGACCCATCAGTGTGCTGTATTCAGGAGACCTATCTCATGTGCAAAGACACACATAGGCTCAAAATAAAGGGATGGAGGAAGATTTACCAAGCAAATGGAAAGCAAAAAAAAGCAGGGGTTGCAATCCTAGTCTCTGATAAAACAGACTTTAAACCATCAAAGATCAAAAAAGACAAAGAAGGGCATTGCATAATGGTAAAGGGATCAGTGCAAGAAGAAGAGCTAACTATCCTAAATATATATGCATCCAACACAGGAGCACCCAGATTCATAAAGCAAGTTTTGAGACCTGCAAAGAGACTTACACTCCCACACAATAATAGTGGGAGACTTTAATACCCCACTGTCAATATTAGACAAATCAACGAGACAGAAAATTAACGAGGATATTCAGGACGTGAACTCAGCTCTGGACCAAGCAAACCTAATAGACATCTACAGAACTCCCCACCCCAAATCAACAGAATATACATTCTTCTTAGCACCACATTGCACTTATTCTAAAATCGACCACATAATTGGAAGTAAAACACTCCTCAGCAAATGCAAAAGAAAGGAAATCATAGCAAACAGTCTCTCAAGACCACAGTGCAATCAAATTATAACTCAGGATTAAGAAACTCACTGTAGCTCACTAACAACTACATGGAAGCTGAACAACCTGCTCCTGAATGACTACTGTGTAAATAATGAAATTAAGGCAGAAATAAATAAGTTATTTGAAACCAATGAGAACAAAGACACAACATACCAGATTCTGTGGGACACAGCTAAAGCAGTGTTTAAAAGGAAATTTACAGCACTGAATGCCCACAGGAGAAAGCAGGAAAGATCTAAAATCGACCTCCTAACATCACAATTAAAAGAACTAGAGAAACAAGAGGAAACATTCAAAAACTAGCAGAAGACAAGAAATAACTAAGATCAGAGCAGAACTGAAGGAGATAGAGATGCAAAAAACCTTTCCAAATATCAATGAATCCACGAACTGGTTTTTTTTTTGAAAAGATTAACAAAATGAATAGACCACTAGCCAGACTAATAAAGAAGAAAAGAGAGAATAATCAATAGGCTCAATAAAAAATGATAAAGGGAATGTCACCACTGATCCCACAGAAATACAAACTACCATCAGAGAATACTATAAACACCTGTACGTGAATAAACTAGAAAATCTAGAAGAAAAGGATGAATTCCTGGACACATACAACCTCCCAAGACTAAATGATAGACCAATAACAAGTTCTGAAATTGAGGCAGTAATTAATAGCCTACCAATGAAAAAAAGCCCAGGAGCAGAAGAATTCCCAGCCAAATTCTACCAGAGGTACAGAGAGGAGGCTGGTACCATTCCTTTTGAAACTGTTCCAAACAATAGAAAAAGAGAGACTCCTCCTTAACTCATTTTATGAGGCCAGCATTATCCTGATTCCAAAACCTGGCAGAGACACAACAACAACAAAAAAATTCAGGCCAACTTCCCTGATAAACATCCATGTGAAAATCCTCAATAAAATACTGGCAAACCAAATCTAGCAGCACATTAAAAATCTTATCCACCACGATCATGTTGGCTTGATCCCTCAGATGCAAGGCTGGTTAAACATACACAAATCAATAAAATAATCCATCACATAAACAGCACCAATGACAAAAACTACATGATTATCTCAATAGATGCAGAAAAGGCCTTAGATAAAATTCAACACCCCTTCATTCTAAAAACTCTCAATAAACTAGGTATTGATGCAACATATCTCAAAATAATAAGAGCTATTTATGACAAACCCACAGCCAATATCATACTGAATAGGCAAAACCTGTAAACATTCCCTTTGAAATCTGGCACAAGACAGGGATGCCCTCTCTCACCACTCCTATTCAACATAGTATTGGAAGTTCCGGCCAGGGCAATCAGGCAAGAGAAAGAAATAGAGGGTATTCAAATAGGAAGAGGAAGTCAAATTATCTTTGTTTGCAGATGACATTATTTTGTATTTAGAAAACCCCATCATCTCAGCCCAAAATCTTCTTAAGCTGATAAGCAATTTCAGCAAAGTCTCAGGATACAAAATCAATGTGCAAAAATCACAAGCATTCCTATACACCAATAGTAGACAAAGAGCCAAATTGTGAGTGAACTCCCATTCACAATTGCTACTAATAAATTAAAATACTTAGGAATACAACTTACAAGGGATGTGAAGGACCTCTTCAAGGAGAACTTAAAACCACTGCTCAAGGAAATAAGAGAGGACACAAACAAATGGAAAAACATTCCATGCTTATGGATAGGAAGAATTAATATCATGGAAATGGCCATACTGCCCAAAGTAATTTGTAGATTCAATGCTATTCCTGTCAAGCTACCTGTGGCTTTCTTTGCAGAATTGGAAAAAACTACTTTAAATATCACATGGAACCAAAAAAGAGCCCACATAGCCAAGACAATCCTAAGCAAAAAGAACAAAGCTGGAGGCATCATGCTACCTGACTTCAAATGATACTACAAGGCTACAGTAACCAAAACAGCATGGCACTGGTAACAAAACAGATATATAGACCAATGGAAACAGAACAGAGGCCTCAGAAATAATACCACACATCTACAACCATCTGATCTTTGATAAACCTGACAAAAACAAGCAATGGGGAAAGGATTCCCTATTTAATAAACGGTGTTGGGAAAACTGGCTAGCCATATACAGAAAACTGAAACTGGACCCCTTCCTTACACCTTATACAGTAATCAACTCAAGATGGATTAAAGATTTAAACGTAAGATCTAAAACCATAAAAACCCTTGAAGTAAACCTAGGAAATACCATTCAGGACATAGGCATGGGCAAAGACTTCATGACTAAAACACCAAAAGCAATTGCAACAAAAGCCAAAATTGACAAATGGGACCTAATTAAACTAAAGAACTTCTGCACAGCAAAATAACTATCATCAGAGTGAACAGGCAACCTACAGAATGGGAGAAAATTTTTGCAATCTATCCACCTGACAAAGGGCTAATATCCAGAACCTACAAGGAACTTAAACAAATGTACAAGAAAAAAAAGAAAAAAAACCCATCAAAAAGTGGGCAAAGGATATGAACAGACACTTTTCAAAAGAAGACATTTAAATGGCCAACAAACATATGATTAAAAACTCATCATCACTGGTCATTAGAGAAATGCAAATCAAAACCACAATGAGATACCATCTCACACCAGTTAGAATGGCGATCATTAAAAGTCAGGAAACCACAAATGCTGGAGAGGATGTGGAGAAATAGGAACGCTTTTACACTGTTGGTGGGAGTGTAAATTAGTTCAACCATGTGGAAGCCAGTATGGTGATTCCTCAAGGATCTAGAACCTGAAATACCATTTGACCCAGCAATCCCATTACTGGGTATATACCCAAAGGTTTGTAAATCATTCTACTCTAAAGACACATGGACATGTATGTTTATTGCGGCACTGTTCACAATAGCAAAGACTTGGAACCAAACCAAATGCCCATCAACGTTGGACTGGATAAAGAAAATGTGGCACATATGCACCATGGAATACTATGCAGCCATAAAAAAAGAATTTCATGTCCTTTGCAGGGACATGGATGAAGCTGGAAACCATCATTCTTACCAAACTGACACAAGAACAAAAACCAAACACCACATGTTCTCACTCATAAGTGGGAGCTGAATAATGAGAACATATGGGCACAGGGAGGGGAATGTCACACACCGTGGCCTGTCAGGGTGTGAGGTGCAAGGGGAGGGATAGCATTAGGAGAAATACCTAATGTAGATAATGGGTTTATGGGTGCAGTAAACCACCATGGGTCACATACACCTATGTAATAAATCTGTACATTCTGCACGTGTGTCCCAGAACTTAAAGTATAATAAAAAAAAAAGTGCCCACCTTAAGTCCTTTTCAGAATACAAACTTAAATAAACTGACAAATCAGTAGACTCACTGTTTTCTTTTTTTGTTTGTTCTTTGTTCTTTTTTTTTTTTTTTGAGACGTAGTCTTGCTCTGTTCCCCAGGCTGGGGGGCAGTGGAGAGATCTTGGCTCACTGCAACCTCTGCCTCTCCCGGGTTCAAGCAATTCTCCTGCCTCAATCTCCTGAGTAGCTGGGATGACAGGCAGGAGTCACCATGCCCAGCTAATTTTTTTTTTGTATTTTTAGTAGAAATGGGGTTTTACTATGTTGACCCGGCTGGTCTCGAACTCCTGACCTCAAGTGATCTGCCTGACTTGGCTCCCAAAGCAGACTCACTGTTGAAACTTGGGAGCAACAGCCTGCTTTGCAATGTGGAGCTGTAAGCAGTTCACCCTCCAGAGAGTGTTGAGGGTGACCTTGGAGAGGAAGGCAGGGAGATCTTGGAGAAGTCCCTGAAGGGAAGTCACCTATGGCTGTGGGGATGGTAGATGTGAAGGCGGTGGGACTAAAGAAGAGAGGAGTTAGTTGTTTTGGAGGCTGAGTGGGGACGGTTGTGAACCAGAGCTGCAGGAATAAAAGCCACTGTGGTAGAAGGATAGTGGTCACCGGGTGCGGTGGCTCATGCCTGTAATCCCAGCACTTTGGGAGGCCTTGGCAGATCACTTGAGGCCAGGAGTTCAAGACCATCTTGGGCAACACGGTGAAACCCTGTCTCTAATAAAAGTACAAAAATAGCCTGGTGTAATGGCTCAAGCCTGTGGTCCCAGCTACTCAGGAGGCTGAGGCACGAGTTTGGCTTGAACCCTGGAGATGGAGGTTGCAGTGAGTGGAGTTTGTGCCACTGCACTCCAACCTGGGTGACAGAGTCAAACTCCAGCTCAAAAAAGAGAGAGAGAAAAAAAAGATATGTGGTCAAATTAGAGAGGGAGAAGAGAATGCTCAGGATGAATTTTAAGGTATCTTAGTCATCAAAGACATATGAATATATGTGTGTATATAATTTCCTAGGCCTTTTATATCAAATGCTGTATATTTTATGAATAGAGGTAAACAGTTTTATGCAAATGATATTTAGGTTAAAGAGGCTTTTATGACTATAGTGGTCTTAAACATTTTTCAAAAGCACGAAGACAAATAGCATAAAGTCACTTTAAATCTTAGCATGCAGAGTAAACGATTGTTAACATTTTTGGGGTATATTTTTCTAGAACTTCTGAGCTAATTTCTCCATAAACTGTTAATGAGTGCTTATTTAATTCCCGCTTTTAAAAATGTAATTAGAAATTTCTTTGCATTCTCTCCACTTTCTCTTGGGTTTAAAAGTTCTTTCTACCCCAGAAAGAAGGATGACAGAGGAGGCTGCTTCTTGTTTTTGGATGTATACACACAGTGGTAACTAGGTCATCTCTGGTTTTAACAGGCTTGCTGTTTACTTAGTCATGGAAAATGCATGCAATAGCAACTTTTCTTCATTTTTTAGTCTAACTTAATCAAACACTATTGCCATTTCTTCCTACAGTTTATTCCTTACTGTTCATGTTTAAAAGTTAGATTTTGCAACTTTGTACCTAAGAAGTGAATCAGTGTTTCCTGAGGGGCAGAAGGAGAAGGGGCCCGAGAGAGGAAAGAGGGAGGAGGTTATCCGAGAAACAACTTTGAAATGGAGATTTGCATGCAGAAAGTTTATCAAGGTGTGCTCTTGGGTATAACTCCTATGAGGGAATGAAGAAAGCAGGTTTGCGCAGAGGGAGAAGTTGAACTATGTAATTACAACAAAAGCCTCAGCCCAGTGCTGGAGCTAGAAAGCTCTTCCAGAAGTTTGTTTGTTTGTTTGTTTTTGAGACAGGGTCTTGCTGTGTTGCCCAGGCTGGAGTGCAGTGGTACAATCATAGCTTATTGTAGCCTCAAACTCCTGGACTCAATTGATCTTTCCTTCTCAGCTTCCCAAGTAGCTGGGACCATAGGTGTGTACCACCACACCCAGCTAATTTTTAATTTTACTTTTTTTTAAGAGACGAGATTTCACTATAATGCCCAGGCTGGTCTTGAACTCTTGGCCTCAAGTGATCCTCCCACCTCAGCTTCTCAAAGGGCGGGATTACAGGCGTGAGCCACCATGCCCTACTGGAAGTATTCTTAGTAGAGGCAGGGGTTTGGCCTTTGTGTCTTTGCATTGACCAGTCATTAGATGGGAGCTGAAAGGAGGAGTAAACTGGAAGCCAAGTAGCTCCTTCAGCTAAGATCGATTTTTGGATATTCTGCTGTGAGTAACCAAAATGCTTGTCACCTACAAAAGTGAGCACTTTGGTTCAGGAGGGGATATCTAGATGGTGCACCAGAGCACGTCAAATTCCACCTGTTGTGCCCTTGGGTCCACTTGTTTGATATAATAAATTTATCCCTTCCAGGAATAGCTCTTCTAGGATTTTCTTTGGTTCCCCCTTTTTTTTTTTGAGAAACTTATAAGAGAAAGTTTAGTGACGTGAACTGCGTCCCCCACTGCTGCAGCTGGTCTCAGCGATGCAAATGGTACTCATCATTTCCTCTATGTTCCCTTCACTCCCAGCACTTCTGCTGGTCTAGGTGGTTTACCAGGTGGGGTGACCCAGACCTCTGGTCTGAACCTCTGGTCACCATGCCCTTCATATCTTAGAGCAGCTGTACTTGTTCATTTACCATCAAAGTTAGGCAAGAGAGTACCGAAACACCCCAGGGGACTACCTGGATGTCAAACATATCCTTCCCTGTCCCTCTTGTCTAAGGACACCCCTCACCTTGTTTCACTGATCAGGGCCAAATACCCCTGCCAGGATGATGTCCTTTCCTTACCTGCTAGTCTTTTGGCACAAGAAACCTGAAGAAACTGAGTTGCAGCTGTGGCCTAATGATTAATGTCTTTTTTGTTGTGTCCCCTGGTACATGTGTTTTTCTTCTGAACCTGCAGGAGTCAAGTTTCCAGAGACAGGAAGTACAAATTTCATGAAGGGCATGATGGTGAATTTTCTATGTTAACTTGGGTGGGCCATGGTGCCTGGATGTGTGGTCAAACATCTTTCTGGATATTTTTGTGAGCGTGTTTTTTGATGAGATTAACATTTAAATGGGTGGACTTTGAGTAATCCACTTGCCCTCCATAATGTGGGTGCACCTCACCAATCAGTTGAAGGCCTGAATAGAACAAAAGACAGACTTTCCCCCAGCAAGATAAAATTCAGCTGGTTTAAGTTGGGGTGCTCAGAGGCTCCCATTTGGCCTTCCACATTATGGAAGTACTTAACCCTGAGTCCAAGAAACCAGTGTGGGAATTCTGCCAATTATTATTATTATTTTTGAGACACGGTCTTGCTTTATCACCCCTGCTGGTGTACAGTGGTGCTATCATAGCTCACTGCAGCTTCGATCTCCCAGGCTCAAGCAATCCTCCTTCCTCAGCTTCCCAAGTAGCAGGGACTACAGATGCATACTATCATGTCCCTAATTTTTGTATTTCTTCATAGAGACAGATTTTACCACATTTCCCGGCTGGTCTCAAGCTCCTGGGCTCACCTCAGCTTCCTAAAGTGCTGGGACTACAGATGAGAGCCACTGCACCTGACCTATGTTTGTATTTTGGTAGGACTGAGGAAATTACCACTAGGTGGGTTCTTGAACCTAATATATGCATCATGAGGTAGACCTGGAATAGAAGTGGGGTCAATCCAACATTTCATTGTGGCCAATATGACTTGGAGCCTATGTTTAGCAAGACTCAAAATGTCCTGGTATTTCCCTTTCTCCAATGTATGGTTACCCTAATATATGATCATAGGTCCACTTGGCAAATGATTTGGGTAATCATATACATAATCATATACAATTGCCTTGGTGTTTCAGGGTCTTTCCTCCTGAAGACCCAGTCTCTCCTTCAGTCAATTGGTTTCTGGGTTTGAAAAACAGACTCAGATCCAGAAATTGAAACTGAATAGGGATCATAATGTTCTTATTAGAGTAGCTTCTCTCATCCTCTTGATGATTCATTCTTGCTTTTCTCCCCTGATTTCATAGATTAACAAATATGCCTATTAGCTGCTTATCTATCTTGTGCCTGTGGACTCTGTATTCTGTGAACCATCTCCATTGTTCTCCGTAGATGAGGCTCCTCTGGATCTCACTCTGACTATGCCACCTGCATTGCTTCTGATTAAGCATCAACTGTGCCTCCTGGCCTTGATTGTTTGGGGATTCTATCATCCTCTATGCCATTAGGGAGCCACATTCTGTAATGGTATATCTTTCTGCTACCCCTGGCTTATGAAGGACAGCCATCATTTAGCTTCTCCACAATGCTGGTTCTTTTCTCACCAGCATTTTTAGTGCTTTCCTTACTGTTTTAAATAGAGCATTCTTCTGGTGCTCAAGCAGAATATACTTGGCCGACAAGTTTCCTGGCCTTAATGGTATATCCACTCCAGCATGTCCATTTCTTTGAGTCTTTTGATCCATTTGTCTATCATCTATCATGGCAATTCTAACATTTCTGTGAGTCATCAGTTTTTCTAAGCATCCAAGAGCTAGCTCAGCATGTTTGTCTCATATCCATGGATCCTTGAAAGGGTGTTAAATCCTATATCCTTTATACCAGTTTATGTTCTATTCCCCAGTCTCTTCCAATAAAGCTCCCTTTGGATCCAGCCCCATATATCTGCTCCTGGCCCCTGCTGGTAAATGTTGACTAGGTCCTGTAGCTCCTTCAGGGAGTGATGACTTTTCCTATAACAGGCCCATTATTTTCTGGATTAAAAAATATATATATATACACATATATATTTTAGTTAGGAACTCACTTTGTCACCCAGGCTCTGGAGTGCAGTGGTGTGATGATCTTGGCTCACTGCAACTCTGCAACTTCTGCCTCCCAGGCTCAAGTGATCCTCTTGTCTCAGCACCCCCAAGTAGCTGAGACTACAGGTGTGAGCTGCTGCACCTGGCTAATTTTTTTATTTTTTTTTGTAGAGAGGGGGTTTTGCCATGTTGCTCAGGCTGGTTTCAAACTCCTGAGCTCAAAAGATCGGCCTGCCTCAGCCTCCCAAAGTGCTAGGATTACAGGCGTGAACCACCACACCCAGCATAGATGGGCTATATTTTGACTTGATTACTGATCTTAGTTACTGACTAGGAAGGAAGGTGCTGAGTTGAATCCTGAGTGGGGTTCATATTGTCCTGCAAGATAGTGGCCTCTCTACTTCCCTTATTTGCAAGAAATGGGGAAGTTCTAACCTTCAACATGGGATAGTAGGACACTCTGGAGGGGAATTTGGGGTTTCAAGGTTTTAAAGTACATCAGCCTAGATGTCTAGATCCCAAGTTTTAGGACTCTCCCCAGCCAGAACTCTCATCTTGGCACAGTAGACCTTGCAAGGTTGAGAATTCAACCTTGTCTTGAGCTCTTCTAACCTTGTAATTAACTTCTGAACCCAATTACTAGCTTTTCTATTTTTTGGCTGCAGTATATAACAACGTTTTCATATGTTATCAGTTAGACCCTTTGATTTTCATAATTCATCTGGAATTGGTGATTAATTACCCTCAGCTTTTCACTGTCTTTCTCTACTCATTGATAGCACTCAGCAATAGCCATCTGATTCCATTGCCCTCATAATTACTACTTCTCAAATGCCTGAGATATAGTAGACTTGTGAGTGCATTCCTTTCTGCCACTGTCTCCTCCTGGTTTACTACCAGTGAAAATTTAAACAGTTTAACCAACTCCTACCAAAAACCAGGGACTTCAGTAATGCATGTACCACCAGTGATGGGGTCTTTATTGCCAGCCAGTTAGCAGGTGGGCCAGCTAAAAAGTCTCATTTTCAGGTTCTGGTTTTTTTTTTTTTTGAGACAGAGTCTCGTTCTGTCACCCAGGCTGGAGTGCAGTGGTGCAATCTCGGCTCACTGCAAACTCCCCCTCCCGGGTTCAGGCCATTCTCCTGCCTCAGCCTCCCAAGTAGCTGGGACTACAGGTGCCCGCAAACGTGACTGGCTAATTTTTTGTGTTTTTAGTAAAGACGGGGTTTCACCGTGTTAGCCAGGATGATCTTGATCTCCTGATCTCGTGATCCACCCATCTCAGCTTCTCAAAGTGCTGGGATTACAGGCGTGAGCCACCGCTCCCAGCCTCACGTTCTGTTTTTCTCCATTGCTCCTGGGACATCAAGTGTCCCAGGTCAGGTATGCACAAAGTTCATTGGAGAATGATGTTGGGAAGAACACTTTTGAAGAAATGAAGGAAGCAGGTTTGGGCAGAGTGAGAAGATAAGAGACAACACAGTCACAGCAAAACCTTAGCCATCCCCATGAGGAACTCTGGCACTGGATGTCCCTTCAAAGTAGTTACAAACTGAAGCAAGGGAGCCAATCCAATGCTTGCCTGCATCAACCAACCATTGGATATGGACCACTCTCAAGGAGAATGTGTAACCTTGGATAGAATAGTTTCCTTGGGCCAAGGGCAATATCCAGGTAGGAACTCAGCTATGAGTCATCTGCAAATCACTCCTGGAAGCTGAGGGAATTACTACCTTGATCTTGAAGAGAAAACTGAGCAGCACATCACAGCATCTACTATAGTTGTGGTCTGAGATAACTACTTGGATGTCTAATAGCCTCACAGGCTTAACATATCCAAAGCATGGCTCTTATTGTTATTATTTTTCTCTTTGAGTCTGTTTATCAGTCTTTGTAAATACTATTATAAAGGATTTGTGAGGATCAGACCATAGCTTTTGGTTTGTTTCTTTCTTGCTGAAACCCCCATATGATGTCAGCAAGTCCTTCCAGTTATAACTTAAAAGGTATGTTCTGAGTCCACCACTTCTCTGTACCTTTACTGTTACTACCCTAGTAAGCCACCATCATCTCTTGCCTATAGCATTGCAAGTGTCTTGTAATCAAAGTCTGTGTTTCTATTCTTGCTTTCTACAATTTATTTTCTAAATGGCAACCACACTCTTAAAGATGCAAATCAGACCATGTCACACTTTTACTTACCTCTTTCATGATTTTACATTGCACTTAGAAAAAAATCGAAACTCTTTACCATAGTTTTACAAGGCCCAATATTATGTGATACCTCCATATCTCTCTGAATTCATCTTCTCCTTTCCACCATGGTAGTCACTATTATGGCCGCCTAATAGTCATTTCCTCCTCTTTTGCCAACGGAATTTTGATTTTTTTTCAGAGTACCAATATTCCCAGATAGTGGAGCTATACTAATCTAAGCCAGTCATGACAGTACTTTCCTTGCCTAATTCACTGCTGGATGGGTGGGTGGGGAGTGTTTATGAACTGCTTCAGGCCAATAACACCAAATAAAATTCTGCAAGAGACTTTCTGAGAATCTTTTAAAATTTTTTTGTTGAAAGGAAATGATGTGGCTAGCACTGGCCCTTCTGCATTCCTTCTGTCATGAATGTAGACATGATGTTGAAACCTCCGTAGACATTTTGTGACCATGAAGAAAAGACCTAGGGAATCACAGAGATTTTGACTCAAATGATTGAGCCTCAAAAGCAGTCTCTTAGTTCTGTCCCTGAAACACTCAGCTCTTTCCCACCTCCAGGCCAGGCCATGCACTTGTTTTCCCTCTGCCTGGAACTCTTTTCTCTCATATCTTTGCATGACTGGCTCCTCCAGGTCTCAGCTCACCTCAAAGAGGTTCTTTCTGACCGTCTAATTTTAAGTAGCACCCACTTCCAACTCATGTCCTGGCACTCTATCATAGTATACACATTTAAAAATAGCACTTAGTATTTTGTGAAAATGCCTTATGGAATGAGTGATTACTTTTTTATACTCTGTCTCTCCAGTAGAATGTAAGTTTTATGAGAATTGGGATGTTATTTGCCTTGTTCAATGAAATTATCTCCAACACCTAGACTAGGGTCTGGCTTACAGTAGGTGCTAATGAATGTTGTTGAATAAATGAATAAATATCACCAAATTCTAGCTACATTTGACCATTCTCTTAATTTCTCTGATTTTTACAGTTTTTTCATTTTTTAAATAGGGATCAAGTAATACCATTTAGATGCACCATGAAATGCTACGAATGGCAAATGAGACAATGTTTGTGGAGGTGCGTGAGATTGCAGAAAGCATTGACGGTGCAAGCTCTGAGATTGTGGAGTGATAACAGCTCTTTCAGGTTTTTGAGTATGCTGTAATGCTGTAGGCATTGCAAATTTCTTTCTTTTATTAGATTCTTGTATATACAGAAGAGAGTTATGAGCCTAGGAACCTGAGAAAGTAAAATCAAATGACTTGATTGCAGTGTTTACTGCAGAAGGCACCTGGGAGCACTCTGGTTGCTGTGTTTGAATGTGGCATTACTTGGTCTGGGGACTGCAGAGCGAATGAGTTTGAATTTAGTGTACCAAGGGTAAAGTCAACATATAGGCAGTTGCTAGCAGAGTGGAATGATAAAAGCATGATTATCTGAGGAAAGTGACTAGGGATTCAAAAATCAAACTAATCATGATAATGAAGTCATAAATTGGGCTTTATCAAAGGAGGGGAAACAGCAGAAGGAGGCATTAGGGAAATGTGTCATTTAGTTGGTAGAGACAAGTGTATGGAGGTATTTTTGGCTGCTGTTTACAGAGGTGATGATAGGGGGAAATTATATTAAGAAAACCAGGGAAGTTATTTCTTGAAAATTTAAAACATAAAAGTAGACTAGGCAACATCTCTCTCCATTGTTCCCAACAATATTTAAGAGCCTAATAAGGAGAACAGAAATTTAATTATTATCCAGGTATGAACAGGTGGAAATTCCAAGATGGAAGAAGTCAATATAAAATAATAAAAATGAAGTTCTGCTTCAACAGTAGTCCTCACTTATTGGAGAGGTGATGTTTCACAGTGGAAAGAGAACTAGACTTGGACTCAGAGGAACTGATTTGCTAGACATGCATTTGCTAGACAATATTGATTAGATTTCTTCCGTGTCTAGACATTCTCGGGTGCTGAAAATACAACATAGTCTCTGCCCTTAGAGAGTAATTCCACAGGGTGTTGTGGGCATTTGGTAAGCAATTTTAGCAGAGTGTGATAATACTGGAGTAAAGGAAGAACAGGGTGCTTTGAGAACACAGAATCCAGCCTGGTGTGTGTGTGTGTGGCAGGGGGTGTGTGGGTTGGACTGGGAAAATACACTGGAAGAAGTGATGTCTAAGCTGAGACTGGAAACATGCCAAGCGGGTTTGTGCCACAGGGCCTTTGCACTACCTGTTTCCTCTGCCCGGAACGCTGTTCCCTTTGCTCTCTGATATTTAGTTTAAATATTACCTCCTCAGAGTGGTCATTCCTGATTAACTAATGTAAGGAAGCCTGACAGAAAACCTTTAACAAATTACTCTTAGTGTTTTTAGAATATTTATCATCATCTGGTGTTTTCTGGTATTTTTATTGTTTGTCTCTCCATTAGAATATTTTCTTCATGAGAGCTTGGACCTTGTCTTCCCTGTTCCTTGCTGTATCCTCAGTCTTTAGAATACTTCCTGGCTCAGAAGAGATGCTTAACAAATATTTGTTGAATGAACAATCAAACAAATGAATAAATACTAATAACAGTTGAGGGAGGGAAAACGGGGACCAAAGAGGAGAGGAGAAAAATGTTCTGTCAGAGAAACCAATGGTTGTTGTGGGTTCTACTTGATTCCCATGCCCTCTCAGGATTTGTTGGAGAAATTGACTCACTGCTCATCACCGGGGCTTTATTGCCTGTGTAAGGAGTTTCCTCTTCCACATCGATGGGGTTTTTTTCAATCTGATCCTATTCTGCTGCATTTTAACTTTCTGTTGGCACCCTCCTCTGTATTCCAGCTTTGCTACAGAGATTTTAGTTTTTAGATTTCCTTGGCCCTTCTAATGGGGTTTAGAGGTCAATCTGTGGGCTCAAGCTACCATGTTGAATCTGAAAATCTAAAAGAAAATACTACTCTTAGTTAAGGTTTGAACCCAGGTCACTTTTCCCCATAGATCTTCTGATAAAGAAACCTATGCAAATTACCTTAAGCATAGCAGAACTAGGAAGGAAAATTTGCTGTAAAAGTAGTAAATGCAACTAACACAAAATAAAGTGTTTTAGAGTAAGTAAATCAGGATTTTCCATTTATGACTGAGGTTCCCCTGAGGATAATTAAATCTAAAAGGGTGCTCAGATAAGGTCTTTTAATATTGCCACTACCATGGAGCTGGCCTGTGGTGACTGGCACTAAGCTCTCCTTCAGACCCTGAGGAGTTTTTTTGTTCAAAATGCTAGGAACTGCAGTACAATAAGGTAAGGGAGAAGCTGTTCATGGAAGGATCTCATGGGGCAGCTGCACCTCAGTGGACTCATCATGCTCTAGAATTAGATTTTAAGTTCATAAAAGTAATTTTATTGCTCTTTTTTTGGGTGGTATCTAAACTTCCATGTTTCTGATTTATCCACTTCAATGTGCTGGTGTATATTGTTCTACCCAGGACATTCTCTTCTGTGAAGAAGGACACAAAATGCTTAATACACTTAAAAATAGAGTAGAATATAAATTCAATTAAAAATAAATTTGAATGGAGGAATGAATAAGATTTTAAGAAAAGCTACATCAACTTTGAAAAGAAGAGCAAAGTTGGAGGGAGTTTGCCTGATCAGAAGTTAGAGCATATTACAATGCTATAATAATAAAAACAGCAAGGTTCTTGTGTAAGAACAGAGAAGTAGACCTAATGGAACAGGACAGAGAATTCTAAGAAGATCCAGGTATATATGGAGGCTAGGCTTTTAGAAAGTGGCATCAAAAAAAAAAAAATGGGAGAAAGAAAGGTGTGAAGAAGTTTAAAGTTCTTCCTTTTTTCCTCTGTCCACTTTCTATTTGAATTTCTCTGCTTTGTTCTTTTTCACTCCTACCTCTCATGCAGTGGGAAAGGTGGGCCCACGCCCAGGAAGAGGAGCCTCACCGCACTTCCCTGCTGCAGGAGGCCTAGAGGAAGTGAAGCAAAGGAAGAAGTGGTCAGGTAACTGGGGCCTATTTCTGACCTAGGTACTAATTCAGAGTTACAGGAGACTAGAGAGGGATTTATGGATAAAACCATAATTAATTCAACCCCAATGTAATTGAGTAGCCTCTGCTTTTATCCCATACCCTTTCTGAGGCATGTATTTCCATAAAAAACCCTAATATAATACTCAAATCATCACATAATAAGGTAGGTTTGCTGAACGCTTTAAGAGGAGACAGGAAAGAGGATTCACATGGCTTAAAAATTCTCCATTAGACATCTCTGTTCTAAGGAGATGTTGCAAAGGAGCATGCACACTGGGATAAAAAGAATTTATGTTCATTATTGCAGTCAACCCACAGCCTGCCTTCTGACCGTCAGTGATTCACATTCCTCCAACATGCAAAATATTCCCAACTCAGGACTTGCCTTGTCTCAATTCTTTTTTTATTCCCACTCTAAATCCAGAATCTTTCCATTACCCTGGCCACCTCAGCTCACTTCGCAGTTTATGCACCTTTCTCAGACAAGCCCAAGAAAGCTACTTCCTTGAAAGGCAGAAGGCAATTGCCTATAGTTAGTACTTTATTTTCTCTTTGCCTAGAATTTACTCTATGGGCATGTTATCCTTTCTTTGGGAAAATTATGGATGGCTCATGCCAAACTTATGGACCCCAGATCCTGGCTAGTACTTCTTGGGAAGGCACAGTTACCATTATTTACAGTTATAAAGAGCGATGTTGCTCCCTTCCTAGATTTTGGGGCATGACTCCTCTTCTGGGTTTTTATGTTACCCTGTACATTCTTTATAGACTATTTCTAGTGTTAATTATCTTCAATAGTAGTTCTTCTGTCACTTCTGGACAGAATGGGCTTATTGTTTGAAACTCTGGGACAAGAATAGACTAGGATAATGACTTTTTCTTGCTTCATGAACTTTAAAGTATTCATTTCATATTGTTTGATGGAGATGGCAGATACTGTTCCTTTTGTGTGCTTAAGACAGAAAACAAATTTCAGCAGAGAGCAGAAAAAAACCTTTATTTGGAAAGTAAAGGAATGAGTGAGATAAGTATTTTTTTTTTTGATGCCAAGTCTTATTACCTGGTTAAAATAATGCTGGTGTCTTTTATGTACATCAAATGGATATACTTCTATGCAGGAAGCCTCCACCCCAGTCCTGTCCCTTCTTTGCTTGGCTGTCACTGTCATAGGAGTCATTGTTAATATGCTAGTTCTTGAAAATAATGTGTGAGTAAGAACTGGGAGTGAGATGGAGAGAAGCTTGATAATTTGTGGGTCCAGAACTGGGGGTTAGAAGGGTGAAAATCAGAAGCAGCTTTGAGGAAGTGACCACTCCCTCCCCACCCCAGGCTAGCTCCCAGGCAGGACTGGTCTATTTAATGTTGATTCTCCAGCCCCCATTCTTTCCCTTTGTAATCCAGCCTGAGACCTAATCAGTAAAAAACTCATTTGGCTCAATAAAAACCTGTTAAAATCATGCAATTAACTGTGAAAAGCATAAGTAATGTTCTCACAGTTAATCTCTTTTTCCTCTGTGCTTCTGTAATAGTTACCTCTTGCTGTATAATAAACCACCCCAAATTTAATAGTTTAAAACAACTATTGTTTTATTTGCTCATGATTCTGTGTCAGCAGTTGGGGCTAGTATCAGACAGGTGGTCTGCTGGTCTCACTTGGGGTCACCCATGTCTCTTTAGTTATCTGGGGGGCTTAAGTTGGGCTGGCTCATCTCTGTTGCATGTGAACTTGTCCTCCAGCAGGCTAGCTTGAGCTTCCCCACATGGTAGCATCACTGTCTAAGAGGGTGAGAGAAGAATCTGTAAGTCCTCTTGATGCCACGGCTCGGATGTCATGCAATGCCATTTCTGTTGCATTCTATGGGTCCAAGTAACTCACAGGCCAGCCAAAATTTAAGGGGTGGAAAAATAAGAGGAGCTACAAGGAGGAGCTTGATAAGAGGAGCTACAAGGTCTCATTCCATAGGATGCATACCTATAGGGATGGGAGGAATTGTTGATGCCGTCTTTGCAAATAATCCACCACAGCATCTATAGCACATGCATGGCTTTGTCCCTAAGCTTCTAGAGAGCAGGAAATCTTACTTGATATGCTGTACCACAGGCACTAGGCCTTTCATAAAGTAAATGTTTGATAGTCATTAGTTGCATTGAATTCACATGTCGAAGAAGGGTAGAGTTACCGTGAGTCACATAGGAAGCCAAATCAGGGGGCTTGGAATAAGTTCAGAGGCTAAAGGTCTAAGGCCTATTGGGGCATCTGCTGAGATAGCAACTTCTAAATGCCCATGGAGAGCTGGGAGGATCAGGCAGGAGTAAGGGTCAGGGTTGAAGCTGGGAAGCAGGAATTGTGAGGGTGGGATTCAGTGAAAAAGCTTCAGAAGAGGTTTCAGGATCTGGGATGGGTTGATAGGCTCCTTTGGTGGAGAGCTTCGTGATCCAAAGACTTAGGAATTAAAAAGGCAACTCATATGGCCCCCTGATAAGATAGGACCAGGAGGCCAGGCACGGTGGCTCATGCCTGTAATCCCAGCACTTCGGGCGGTCGAGGCGGGTGGATCACAAGGTCAGCAGTTTGAGACCAGCCTGGCCAATATGGTGAAATCCTGTCTCTACTAAAAATACAAAAATTAGCTGGGTGTGGTGGTGGGCACCTATAGTCCCAGCTACTTGGGAGGCTGAGGCAGAGGAATCGCTTGAACCCGGGAGGCGGAGGTTGCAGTGAGCTGAGATCGCGCCACTGCACTCCAGCCTGGGTGACGGAGTCAGACTCCATCTCAAAAAAGAAAAAAAAAATAGGACCAGGATAATAACAACGGACATTTGTGTTCAAAAGGGAAAAGAAAATAACAGGAATCACATAGCACTTACTAGTCCACAGCAGTTCTGAAATCTAAATAGACACATGCTGCCACGGAGCATTGCCTTTGGGATCAGAGCTAGGTTCTATTTCCCGGGAGTGGCTTCCTAGTCCATTGTTCTTTATGTCTCTTAGTGTCACTTTCTAAAATGCCTTTGATTTCCGTAAAAGTGGCTAGTATTTGCAGCTGAGTAAACTTCTCAGCCTGTTTCTCATAGAAAGCTGGGAGCCCAGAGGCCTCTCTTTATTTTTAGGTGTCTCAAGTCTATTATAGTCCAAGTTGACATAACTTTCATTAGCACAACTCTCCTGAAATCTCTGTGGGTTTCTCTAAGGATCTGTTTCAGATCTACTCCATTTAATGAAAGTTCCATGTACAGTTCTGAGACAGGCCTCTCTTTTATTTTGGGAGCCATGTCAGGCTGCTGTGGAACAATTACTTTAATGCAAGCACTTTGTATAGTTGAGAGGACCCATTAATCACTGCGTTAAATCTTACAAGGTATTAACAAATCGGCTTGCAGGGGCATCTTGATTTGATCTTTTTCTTGAGGCTGTTTTATTACTTTGAGGATCTTTTACTGGCTTAAGGGACTGGAAATGAGACATTGTCTAATTTTATTGTTTTATTGTCCCATCCAGTATGTTCTGGCTCCTCTATATACCTCTAAATTCTGCTTGAAACCAAACAGTTCTCCTAACTCATCCATCTCTTCTCATACCATATCATTATCAGCTAAAATAAGCCAATTGACACTCAGTATTCTACCTGCAAATCATCTTACCAACATCTGCAGTTTCATTCGGTGATATTCTATCTTCCTAGTTTACCGTATGTGATAGTTTTGCCAATTATTTCTTTATTACATAATGTGAGATTCATTTTCCAGCCTGCTAAAGCAGGTTCTTCATTGCGTTTCCAGCCTCTGCTAACTATTTATTTGACAGTTTTTAGACTTGGCTAAAATTTTCTTTGCTTCTTCTCCAGGCTCTGCTTGCTACCAGGTCTTAGAGTCAGTGCTACTTGTTTTAGATTTCATTATATCAGCACTCTAATGTTAGAACAAATTTCTTTCTCAGCTATATTTTTCTTTATCACAAAACACCCACAAACCTGGTGGCTTAAAACAATAAAAATTTATTATTTTTCACAATCCTTTGGTAAGTTGAGTAGTTTTTCTGATTTGGGTTGTTGAGCTGGGCTGAAGGGTGTAGGATGGACTCACTCACATATCTGAGAGTTGCCTAGATGTCTATGGAGTGATGGAGATGACTAAGTGTCTGTCATCATTTGTGGGCTAGCTTGAGTTTCTTACATTGAGATGATTGTAGGTTCCTAAAAGGCAGCATGGAAAGGCAAGCACTTTGTGTTTCTGCTTGTATCATGTTTGCTATTGCCCCATTGCTCAAAGCAAGTCAAATGGCAAAGCCCAGAGTCAGTGTGCATTGAGACTACCTGAGGGCATGGATAGGAAGGAGAACTAGTGCAGCCAGTTTTACAAACAATCTACCACCCTTTTAGAATTTTAATTTCTGCTCAGTATTAATTCCATTCCACAGATAAAAGTTCCCAAGCAGTAGCATATGATGTTTTGTGTTTATATTTTCTAGCACTTTCCAAATTAGTGTGTACATACAATATTCATGAGCAATAATTCTTCTTTTTTTCTCCTCTGTTAAACTTTTATTAAACCCACAGTTATGTAACAGTAATAATAGGTTTCTTCTCTTATTTTTTTCCTTTGTGCAAATTAATGGTGTACATGAGATTTTTTACATGTATCTAATGTGTAACAATTAAGTGAGGATATTTAGGATGTCTGTCACACAAATACAGTGCATTTTTAAAAGTATAGTCACTGTACTCTGCTATCAAACATTTAACTTATTCTTTTATCTTACTATATGTTTGCACCCTTTAACACACTTCTCTTCATTCTCCTCCTCCTTTGTACTCACGCTTCTCAGTCTGCATTATCTGTTTTTCCACTCTCTACCTAGATGTATGCAATTTTTTTTTAGTTCCTATATGTAAGTGTGAACATGTGATATTTGTCTTTTGTGCCTGGCTTATTTCACTTAAGACAATAACCTCCAGCTTCATCCATGTTGCTCCAAGTGACACAATTTCATTGCTTTTTATGGCTGTGTGGTATTCCATAGTGTATATGTACCACATTTTAAAAATCCAATCCACCACTGATGGGCGCTTAGGTTGATTCCATGTCTTTGCTATTGTGAATAGTACTGCAATAAACATATGAGTGCAGGTATATCTTTGATATATTGATTTCTTTTCACTTGGATAAATATCCAGCAGTGGGATTGGTGGATTGAATGGTCATTCTGTTTTTAGTTTTTTGAGAAATCTCCATACTGTTTTCCACAGTGGCTCTACATTCCCACCAACAGTGTATAAGTGTTACTGAGGAACATGAATGCAGCTGGAGGTCGTTATCCTAAGTGAATTAATATAAGAACAGAAAACCAAATACTGCATGTTCTCACTTATAAGTGGGGGCTAAACATTGGGAACTCATGGACATAAAGATGTCAACAATAGACACTGGGGGCTAATAGAATGAAGGGAGGGAGAAAGGAAAGTGTTTGAAAACTAAGTGTTGGCTACTATGCTCACTATCTGGGTGATGGGATCATTCATATTCCAAATCTCAGTGTCACACAATATACCCAGGTATCAAACTTGCACATGTACATGCTGAATCTGAAATAAAAGTTGAAATTACACTAGAAAGAGTTCCTTTTCTCTGCATCCTTGCCAATATCTTTTTTTGTCTTTTTAATAATAGCCATTTTCTTATGATTAGTCATGTTGAGCATATTTTCATATATGTGTTGGCCATTTGTATGTCTTCTTTTGAGAAATGTCTATTGATGTTCTTTGCCTACTTGTTAATGAAATTATTTTTTTTCTGTTGAGTTGTTTGAGTTCCTTGTATATTCTAGATATTAGTCCCCTGTCAGATGAATAGTTTGCACATATTTTTTCCCATTCAACAGGAAAAGGAATTTTTTTTATCTGTACTGGCAAGGAAATAAGCATTATATGATAAAAGAATGTTTCTTTCCTAAATTTTTTTGGTAAAAGATCATATTTATGAGAAATTGTGCATACTTCTATTTCTTTTATACAAGAGTAGGCTTTTGGTTCTTTGAAAGCATTTAACATGAAAATACTTTTTTGTCTAAAATGGTAAAAACAGTTTTACATTTACTGGTTTATGGTATTAACAGTAATAGGTCTGACTACTTAAGTAACAAGTCTGACTACTTAAGAAACCAAAAACAACTTCCAACTTTTAAATTGATCCACTAAGAATCTTAGAGGAGAAACTCATAGTAGGGATGTCTAAATGAAAAGAAAAAAAAAAGAAAGAAAAAAAGCAGAGGGCAATGTGGTTGAAGAGAAATGAAAAACAATAAGTACACAGTACTGCAAAAAATATGGTCTGGAGAGGAGGTAAATTAAAAGAGCTATTTAAAAAATGGGCCTTAGGCTGGAAGGTTAATTGGAAAGAAAGAAAGGAATTGAAAAGAGATTTCAGTTTGTGATGAAGATTTTTTTTAATGGAGGAATTAGCAAATGCCAGGTTAGATAGAAGACATTGGATTCCAACTCTTTCAAGGCTCTTCTACTCTAGAACTGTAGAGAGAAAGATGAAAATTGTTAGGGTCTGTATGTCCATGTCCATATGTTGAAATTGAATCCCCAATATGATGGTATTAGAAGGTGGGCCTTTTGGAGATGATTAGGTCATGAGGGCAGAACCCTCATAATGGAGATTAATGATCTTATAAGAGTTCTCAAAGAGCGGCCTTGCCTCTTGTATCATGTGAGGACACAGCTAGAAGGCTCTGTTTATGAACCAGAAAGTCTGCCCTCACCAGACACCAAATCTGTCAGCAATTTTATCTTGGACTTCCCAGCCTCTAGAACTTTAAGAAATATATTTCTGTTGTTTATAAGCCATCCAGTCTGTGGTATTTTGTTATAGAAGCCTGAATGGACTACTACAGTAGTAGGACAAGAATAAAGATGCATTAGTCATCATTCAGATGGCAGTGGCAGTCTGTCTAGAGTGGCCACTGTGAAGATGCCAGCTGCAGCAGGGGAGGCACAGCTGGAGCTGTGCATTCCATGGAGCCAGCAGGGGCTGGAACAGGTGGGAGGCCCACCCCCTGCCAAGTCAGTGGGGCAGGAGCCTTATGCTCCTGGGGGCAGCTGCAGCCACCCAGCTGTGACTACGGACCGGGGCATCCCTGTGCTCTTGGGGGCCTAGGGAGCCCCTTGACCCCGCAGGCTTGAAAATGCCTGTTTCCACTACCTGGCCTCTCCCTGCTCCCAATGCTCACTCTAGGGCAGAGCAAATTTGTGGCTGAGCCAGGATACTGTCAAGACCTGGCCAAGTGTGCATGTGCTTGGGGTTGTGCTGACACACCAGCCCCCTGCCATCTTGGCCCCCTCTGGACTTTGGGTGCCAATGAGCACAAGATGGAAGCTGAGGAGGGGCTGAGTTTGGCTTGGTTTGGGCCTGTAGGCACAAACAGCCTGGATGCTGTGGAGGACATGTTGATGGTGCCAGGAGGAAGACAGGCTTCTGGGTCGAAAAGGGCAGGTTTCTGGTGAAGCGTCACCTTCAAGACAGGGACTGCTTGAAGTCTAGGGGTAGGGCTGTCAGTTCTGGGTGAAGTCTGTGACCCAGAGTGAGAACTTATGGTGCTTTCTTCAGGCCTGCCCATGGCCACCCATGGACCTATCAGCATGCATTTACTCACTTCTGAGCCCATAAAAACTCCAGACCCAGCAAGACTCACATAGACATTGGGACTACCAGCTGTGGGAAGGAGCTACCCACCACAGGTCTCCTCTGCACTGAGAGCCGGATACTCACTGGGATGACCTGCCTGCAGAAAGGAGCTACCCACTTTGGGTCTCCTGAGAGCTGTTTTGTCACCCAGTGAAGCTCCTCTCTGTCTTGCTCACCCTCCAGTTGTTTGTGTACCTCATTCTTCCTGGATGCAAGACAAGAACTTGGGACCCACTGAAAGGTGGGAATGAAAGAGTTTTAACACAAATAGGGCCAAAACATGCTCCCTGTTTACCATGTTGTGGGCAATGAGAAGAAAAGAGCTGTGGCCCTTTGGGGAGTCCAGACCCAGGGTCTCCCTGAGCCAGGGCTGTGACAATCTCTTTAGGGCTTTGCAGTTTCTGATGTCTCCAAGTTTCCGGGTTTCACAGAGCCAGTACCTGTGCTGCCACTTGGAGCTGCCCATCCCACCACAGCCAGCATGCCTGGCTGTGAGCAGTGGCTGGACCCTGTGCTCACTCACACACCCCTCACCACTCTGCACCTGGCTCACCCTTGGCATGCATGGGATTTGGGCCAGTAGTGCAAGCTGAGTGCAGCCTGCTGGGCCAAGTGGGCGGAATGAAACCAGTGGTCACAAGCAAAACACAAGCAGAGGTGCTGCTGGCCACAGAGGTTTCTAGCTGGTGAAGTGACACCTAAGGACTATGTGACAATTCTACTCTTGGTTTTCTATAACAATAAATTATAAAGCCTGGATATAGCAGAAGAAAGCATGTGACAGACTGATTTGAACGTTTTGGCAGTACCCACAGACCAACAGGGAAAAGACGTGCGATAGCAGCATCAGCAGTGGAGCCAGCAGGTTGGGTGGTAGGGAAATGACTGCAAGGCAGGTGAACACATTATATTCAGAATCAGCTTCTGCTTAAATGGGAGTTGGCATATTTCAAACCAAATAACTACTCTGGAAGCCAAGCTAACTCTTGGGCTTGAAGAAATTGGGAGATAAAAAGAGCAGAATTAAGAGTTCCCTTTTAAAGGTGCTTTAGGAGTGAATAATACCTCAAAAATAGTAGCTTGAGTGTTTCAGTGTCACTAATGTACAAATTTGAAAGTGCCTTGAAAAATAGGAAATAATTATGGAGCCCATTAGAATTTTACAGTGGTTGTGGGAAAAATACTAGAAATAACCTCTTCAGATTTAATGAGGGGAGTACATTTAAAGGCAAGTTTAGCTACATTGAGCATGCATTTATGACAGAGGAATATTTTGTTTAATTACCCTGTTCATGAAGAGTATTTGTGCCTCATATGTAAAATGAACACAGGTAGGCTATGCAGGTTATTTCCTCTTATAGGATGTTAAAATAAAGAAAATTGGAGCACAATAATAATGAGAATTTTAAAAGAAAAACACAAAATAGAATGGAGTTTGGAATTTTTATAATTAAAAAATTATATAAGAATTTATGCATATTATAAAAGACTCGGAAATTAGGAGAAAAACCATCAATAGTCCCCAAGACCTTAATCACAATCACTTTTATTATTTTGGTGTGTTTTCTTTCTTATATTAAAATGCATTTAAAAACATAGTTTTAGTTGTGGTCAATGCATATTTTTTCAATTGGTTTTTGTCATTCAACATTTCATTATAAATATAAAAAACAAGAATTATAATTTAAAAATGTTTAACATCCTTCATTTCTTTAATGAGTATCCAAATTTTTTGCCTAACTTTCCACGGCACACAAAAATGTGAGGTTGGTATACAATAAATGCCAAGCTCCAAACTGGAAGATCAGACACTTGCTGGTTGTTTACTCGTTATTTACTGTATACCTATTTCACTGGTCTTCTTTGCTAACAGAACCTTGATTGTGTCCGGGTGTTTTTCTTCTCTGTATGATTCAGGTGAGGTGCTCTATCTGTGGTTTGAGGGTTAATTCTTCATCTGCCAATAAGCTGTGAAGGTGGGAAGTCTTCCCTTGCTTTTAAGAAGACAATGGTTGAGATGGTTCTTTTGCACCATGTCCAGGTTCGTGCTTGTTAATGGCAGAACCAGTTTATAAAAAGAACCTAGGATTATACTAAGGAGCCACTAAATCAACTAACTCAGAAACCTCTGGACTTCTTTCCTGTTTAGGCACATCTCCACCCCTGCAGCAGACTTCTGCCTGGATATCCAGGTATTTTCATACATTCCTGAAATCTAAGTGGAGGTTCCCAAACCTCAACTCTTGTCTTCCATGCACCCACAGGCCCAACACCACATGGAAGCCACCAAGACTTGGGACTTGCATCTTCTGAAGCAATGGCTGGAGCTGTACCTTGGTCCCTTTTAGCCATGGCTGGGGCTAGAGCAGCTGGGATGCAGGGCATCAAGTTTCAAGGCTCTACAAAGCAGCAGAGCCCTGGGCCTCCTCCTAGGCCTCCTAGGCCTCCAGGCCTTTGATGGAAAGGGCTGCTGTGAAGATCTCTGAAATGCCTTGGGGACATTTTCCCCATTGTCTTAGGGATTAACACTCAACTCCTTGTTACTTATGCAAATTTCTGCAGCCAGCTTGAATTTCTCCCCAGAAAATGGGTTTTACTTTTCTACCTCATGGTCGGGCTGCAAATATTCAAAACTTTTATGCTCTGCTTCCCTTTTAAATAAAAGTTCCAAGTTTCAGATAATCTCTTTGTGAATACACATGACTGAATGCTTTCTGAATTGGCCAGGTGACCTCTTGAATGGTTTGCTGCTTAGAAATTTGTTCCACTAGATACCCTAAATAATCTCTCTCAAGTTCAATATTCCACAGATCTCTAGGGCAGGGGCAAAATGCCACCAGTCTCTTTGTAAAGCATAGCAAGAGTGACCTTTACTCCAGTTCCCAATAAGTTCCTCATCTCCATCTGAGACCACCTTAGCCTGGACTTCATTGTTCATATCATTATCAGCATTTTGGTCAAAACCATTCAACAAATTTCTAGGAAGTTTCGAACTTTCCCACATCTTCTTGTCTTTTTCTGAGTCCTCCAAACTGTTCCAGCCTCTGGCCCATTACCCAGTTCCAAAGCTGATTCCACATTTTCAGTTTATCTTTATAGCATTACCCTCCTCTGCCAGTACCAATTCTCTGTATTAGCCCATTTCACACTGCTATCAAGAACTGCCTGAGACTGGGAAGCTTATAAAGAAAAGAGGTTTAATTGACTCACCATTCTGCATGGCTAGGTAGGCCTCAGGAAACTTACAATTACGGTGGAAGGCAAAGGGGAAGCATGGCACATCTTACATGGTGTCAGGAGAGACAGAGTAGGCAGGGGAAACTGCCACTTTTAAACCATCAGATCTCATGAGAACTCCCTCACTATGATGAGAACAGCATGGGAGAAACTGCTTCCATGATCCAATCACCTCCCACCAAGTCCCTCCCTCAACAGGTTGGGATTACAGTTTGAGATGAGATTTGGCTGGGGACACAGAACCAAACCATATCAAATGGGGGCTCAGCAGGATGACCAAATTAATTGCAGACAAGATAAGCATACATTTTCTCTGTGTTTCAAAATTAAAGCATGGGTTAAATTGTACTTTTTCTCTACCTCAACACAGTTTTCCTAACTAGGGTTGATAATGGTGGCACAATAGTTGATTGATGTTATATTTTATGATTTAGTTTAATGGCCCCCAATTATTTTATATTTAGGTTAATATAAAGAACACTATGACAAACATCTTTGGGTCTACAGATTTTTCTACATTTTGGATTATTTCTTGAATTAGATTTCTGTGATATATTTGCTGGTTCCTATGAGATGATCATTTTGTTTGTATGCTAAATTACTCTCTATAAAAGGTGATTCTAATTTACATGGCACTAGAGTATCCATTTTCGTTTCACTTCTCCTTCTCCTCAACTTAATATTGTTAAATACTTTTTCTAGTGTAATGAATGAAAAACATTCTGTATTATTTTAATTAACATTTCTTTGATTATTTGGTCAATGGAGTGTTTCTGGACATTTTTACTTGCTATCTATAATGATTATTTGATATTTGATGCTTATGATTTATTTTTTATATATGATATAAAAATCTCTTACCTTAGAAAGTCAAAATGGAAATATTTGTTTATTACAAAGTAAACTAGTTCAATAGATTCAGTACTCAGTATGCTGTGCCTGTTGGAGGAGATTAAGAATGGAAAATGGATGGAGCTGTTCCGAAGCATATGGCACCTGTCTCTTTAGGAGTGCTCACTGGAGCAAGCCCCATCCATAAGCCCTAGAAAATGTCTGTCCTGTCCTGCACTGGTAGGCTGCCATTTTATTTTCACTGCAAGCTTCCTGGCCACAACCTATACAAAAAAACTTTTACAACTAACACACAATATAACCTCCTACCCTGGAAAACCATCCAACAGCCAATACTGTAAAATTTCACTGTGGTGGTCTCTTTTTCTTTGCTTGTTCACCCTCAATGACGTGTCCCAGCAGGCATGATCTCCTGATTTGACCTGCTCCCTGGGTAGTTCAGGCTCCTCCCTTCTCATTCCATCACACCACACTGTGGGTGCAGTTGCTGTGGCATCTTCCAGGATGTCACCATCATCCATTGAAGTCAGCTTCTGAGGAGCCAACAGAAGGGCCAGAGGATGACTCAGAGCTCTCCCAAACACTACCATCCTTCCCAAATTTCCACACATAGCAGGTGTTGCCACTTATCTCAGCAACCTTCAGTGCACTCTCATTGGACATCGTCAAGAAAAGTGAAGCTGCTATCAATGCTCATCACCTGGGGAATCTGTCTCAGTTGCTCCTGGAATAGATTTGCCCTGGGGAGGGTCATCTATCTCTTGGGTAGTCAGTCCTGAAGGGGAAGATCAGAGGTCAAAGACTATTGTCTCGTTAAACTGGGCTATGTATGTGAATATTAAAGTTCACTTGATTTTTTAAAAAAGTTCTAAAACAATCCAACAATATTAAGAAAGAAATTGACAACAGAAGAAAAGGAGCCTTTATCCTGTCAAGCAAATATATTTTAATAGGTATATATTTCAGAGTTTTTTTTTGCCATATGTGCAAACATTTTACAAAGTTGAATTGTAAAGTACACACAACTTGGCAGTTTGCATTTTTATTTATAGGTCTCTACAAGCAAGCTCCAAGGTTGTTACAAAGTGTTATTAGTGTTACACAGATATTGCTGGTGACTTCATAAAACCAGGCATAGTGACTCCATTCCCCTTAAAAGTGAGTGGTTCAGATGTACTCAGGTGACCCAGAAGAACCAGTTCTTCTTCTGCTGGATATTGCTGTGTTTGTAAGTGATGCTAGTTACCCAGCAACCATCTTGTTACCAGGAGGTCAACTACAAAGCCACTCAACACATTGAAGACGGCAAATATTTATTAAGCATTCCTATGTGCAAGATGTGCTGCTATAAGTAAAATGAACACATCATAGTTTCTGCTCTCTAGTGTATTACCATCTATTGGGGAAGACAAATAGTCCCAAATAATTGTAATATAAAACCAATGTGATGTTTCCTTTACTATTGTTATTACCGACCTATGCATGTAAAAAAGTCTCCAGTGCTTTTTTAGGTAGTAGTCATAGATCTGAGCCATTTCTTAATGTGCTCTGATCAGGCCATCAGATATTAGTGGGCTTAGTAATTTTCTTATTTGTAGAATTAGGGGGTTGGACATTTTGAGCTGGAAATCTATTTAAATTATTAATAAAATTGTATTTTATATTTCTCCCAAACTGAGTTATAATAACCTTGAATGTGAACAGTTGAATGAATGGCTCCCAAGAGGTTTTTGTTTGTTTTTGAGAGTGTCAGGAAATTATATGTTAGAATAGAATGTTAGGATAGAATGATCAGAAAAAAATGTAAAGTGAACAGATGTTTGGTAGGAAAAAGAAAGGTGAAAATGGGTAGCAGCAAATTAGAGACACTTTGCAAATTGTTAAAACAAAAGCCAGCCAATTCTATTTTGGATTGTAAAGCTAAAACAGACAATATGTTCTGGAACAGAAAAATTATGTATCCAGGAATAGATATGAATTAGAGGGTGGCTTGACTGACAAATTGAAGATTGTGAAGGGCACAGATCTAATTGAGTATCTTCCTCTTCATGTGTGTTCCCTCATGCCAGTTCAGTAGGTCACTGGTGCTGATTGGATGTTGAGTCAGAACAAATGAAAGGAAACCAGTTTCCACTCTGGGTTCTCAGCGTGTAGATTCACTGCCCCTGTATTTCAGCAACAAATACAGAACTCAGACTCAAAATGACAAGTTTACAACAAAGCAGGATCTGTAGTAGAACACATAACACAAAGTAATGAAATTTCCTTCTTGGAAACCAACTGTTGCCCTTGAGGTCAATAAAACATTTTTCCCTATGGAGCATTGTTCATTTGGCTAGATCCACACTTTTGATGTATAAACACGGCTAATATTGACTTTGACCATGTTACCATAGTTTCAGATCTTTTGATTTATCAGTTGTAAATTGTCTGACTTGCTTTTAAAAACATTGCATTTTTTAAATTACTTATTGGTAATTTATTAGAAAAAAGAAACTTATCAAGTGCTTGCCATTAAAGCAGACACAGAAGGAAGATAATTTAAACTTGTATTTGAAGACAGTCTTCCATCTGTGGCACTTCTCAAGTCAGATTCTACTTTGCACTAAAGCATATTTCTTTGCTGGAAAGTTTGGAAGTTTATAACTGACTTTTAGAAGATTTTTTTACAGGATGTTTTATGAAGAGTCCCAACCAAAAGTCGGCTGCTCTCTGGTAAAGATGGATGGTCTTTTCCTCTGCAGAGCAGTTAGAATGTGTTAGCTCTTTTAGGCCACACCTTATAGACCAATTAAATGTGAGCTCCTGTGGGTTAAGGGCATTTTCTTTTGATACGGCGTTTTGTAATGGTCCTAAAAAAAACAAACTTATTTTTCTCTAATTACAAAAATAAGTTATACCTCTATAAAATTTGTATGACACACAGTATGAAAATGCTTCACACTCCCGTCCTCAGAAATAATCACAATTATTACTTTGCTATGTATTCCTTCAACATATTGTTTTTTTAAACATACATGTGTATTTTCTTTATTTTATCTCTTTTTCAATGCTCAATTTCTTTCCATTTAACTATATATCTTTTTCATCTTTCCATGTCTATATATTAATATATACATCTGGTACACACACACATCTGGTTCCTTCATCTTTCCATATATACACACATCTGATACCTTATTCTTTCAATGGCTGAAGCTATTTCATTGTAAGTGGTTTGTTAATTTTCATGGCAAATACGGAAGTGTTTGATTTTAGGGTTAAATAGGTGAAAGAATTGATGGAAATAATGAAGGTTAAATATACTTCCTGAAAGAGTAGTCTACAGTGTAATCACTTCTCACTGTGCTCTGTGTTGCAATCTGGTTTCTGCTAGAATTGCTCATCAAAGTCAATGACTCCTGCTGAATCCAGTGAAACATTTTTCATCTTCTTCTTCCTTGACTCCATGTAGCAATTTGTGCCTTTTTTCTGGTGACATTCTCTCTCTCTCTCCTTTTTTTTTTTTTTTTTTGGTTTCTGTGACACCACCATCCTCTGTTGGTTTTCTTCCTTCCTGGCCTTTCTGCTCTATCCAGCCCCTTCCTATTGGAGTTCCTCAGGGCTGGACCCTGGACCCTCTTCATGCTTGTGCTCTCTCCCTAGGTAATCTGATCCTTTCTATGATTTTAAGTACCATGTCTATGCTGATCACTCCAAGCTTTTGATCTCTAGTTAGTTGTGCTGGGTGCAGGACTCATCTCTAATTGCCTTCTCAACATCTCCCTTTGCATGCCTCACTTGCCTCTTAAACTTAGCATCAAAACTGGACTCCATGATTTTCCTCTCTAAGTTGGCCATATCCAGTCCTCTCCATCCCGGTAAATGGTTTCCTTGTCCTCTAGTCACTAAAGCAAAAACCTGGTAGTTGTCCTTGACTCCTCTTTTCAAAATGTCTTGGACCTGTCTGCTTGTCTTTTCCTTTGTCAACCCCATTTTGGTCCAAGCCTCCATCATCTTTCTCTTGGACTATTGTGTAGCACCATACTTGTCCTGTATACGCCACTGCAATTCTATTTTATTCTAAATGTAGTACTCAGAATTAAAGCACAGATCACGTCATTGAGCTGCTAAAAATCCATCAGAAGCTTCCAATATCATCAAAAATACAGTCCATCTCCTTACCATGGCATGCCAGATGCTGAGTTATCTGGCCCTTGTTTTCATCTTCATCCTTGTCTCACAGCACTCTCTCTCTTTCTCACTCTACTTTTGGTGAAAAGCAATCCCTAAAGCGCCTTTCATTCTGAGGGCCTTTGCAACCTTTCATTTACTTGCTCATTCACACAATCATCCATTCATTCAACAATTATTCATTAAGTCACAAATAAGAATGCCAACCACTGAGATGAATTTGTCCGTGAAGACTGCACAAATGTTCTTCCAGCATGTCACTTACACTCATGTTTTGAAGACAGGACCTTGGCTCCATCAGCTTTGCATATCAGCCAAAACAAAATTTCCCTGGAGGTTGTTGCTGAATACCTGGAGAGACCAGGCAACAGCCAACTCACTCATTTTGCTTCAGCCAGTTTCAAATGATCATATTTTTGATATTATTTCATTCTTCCACCAAAAAAAGTTTCAGAACTGGAGGATAGGTACTCAGAGTGTGACCTAGGTCACACATCCATAATTCACATTAAAATGGTCATTAATTATTTTTTTTCTGTGCTGTATCTGGCAAGCATACATACTAATTTGAGTTTATAAGTGTTGGTGCTATTTCTATCTCTCTCTCCTCAAAGATCTTAATCTCTAGTATGAAATCACAGATGGCTATCCCTGAACACTCTAATAACTGCAGTCACATTGGGGTACCACTTCAGGGGCAAAGTAGCCCTGGACTTTGTGTCATGCCATCACCAGTGTGAATATGGATCTTAATGAAATGTAAACACATTGCATGCTGTTGAATAGGAAAAATAGCTCCAGGCCTGCTCTGGTCTGTGTTAATTGCAATGCTTTTCTGTGTGAATGAGAGAAGGGAGTTATGTCTTTTTGTTTATTCTATCTCTATTCCCACGAGGAAACTAGGAGCTGCTTTCACACTTCCGACATTCATGTTCCATTTTGCATTGACTAATGGAAAAAAAATCTGAGAAGCAATTCCCGAATCCTGACATTACTAGAACGTATCCATTTCTAGCTCTTCTGAAGTTCAAATGATGTTATTTGACTGTGGCAGGATGATGTATTGAGACATTGATTGTGTTTTAGTTCTTCCTTGATTTTGTGCTCATCATTTCCTTCCAGGTTGCTGGGCTCTTACGCTCATTTGCCATCAAGGAGGGTTTGTTGATGGTTGAAAAAAAATTAAACAATTTGTCTTCCTGGATTTTTTCCCCTTGGAAGCCTGAGTTCTTTGTGGGGGATTATGCTGGTCAGGAATTAGGGGAGAGAGGAAAGGAAGATGTATTAAGCGCAGATCTCTGCTCTCAGCTGCACCCAGTATGGGTGGCCAGACCTCAGGGAAAAGGGTGACATGGAGCAGCAGGGAAGATGACATAGGACAAGAATTCTCAGCCTCCCACAAAGTGGGAGTGCCCCAATCAAAACTGGGAAGCAGAGAGCTGCCATACTTCAAGGGAGATGGGCGTGGAACATGCCATCTCAGTGGTAACTGCTGTGGACTGAACATGAGAGGGGTCTCCTCCAATGTGCTCTTCTTTTCATCACAAAACCTCGAGACCTCTCCATGACCCCAAGAGTGAGAGTGTGTAGCAAGCTCCATTAATGACTGAAGTTGACTCTTCTGCTAATAGGGTCAGAAGGCGTTCTCAGTTTAAATAAATTCATTGTAAGACAAGAAAAAATTGGTCTATTATTTTATACTTAAGAGTGTGATATGAGCCATAACTACATTGTGAAAAAAACTGCTTTAGCCCCAACTGTGATGTCAAGAGGTAACCTCTCTCCACATCACTTTTCTGTGCTTCACTTAGCATAGATATATCATAATAGCTCATGTTATTAGTTTTGCATTTTTAAGAACTTTGCCTTGGAGTGGAGATGCAACTTCTATTTATCTTCTTGACTCTGTGCTTCACAGTCTCCAACTTAAAGTCATCACACTAGAAAAGCAGATGGACCTGGGTCTAAAGGACAGGTCAAAAACTATATGGAAAATGACACTATTTTACAATGAACTTTGGCAGAGTATAAGAATATAAATACAATAATTACACATTCAAACCTCATCGGCTGCTGAGGTAGCATCTAAAAATGTCCAACAGTTGGCTCCCCAGCAGGTGCACTCCAAATATAATGATGTTCTTGAAGTTTTCTTTACAGAATCATTTCTCAAATGTGTATAAATTGCTTTGTGCCAGCATGGAGAGCTCTTTTAGCATCTCAACTCAGATTTCAAAGGAAGACTCATTAATTAGGACTTTTTCAGACAAATTCCCTTGCTGACAGGGAAAACTGCTGACACATTACTCAGATGATACTAAAGTTCAAACCTTTGTGTGTGTTTGTGTATGTGTGATTTTTTTGATGATATTCTTGAAGCCAAAATTTTTGTTTCCAAGTCTGTTATGTTTCACTTTTGTTCATATTATGTCTTGTGTCTCCAACAAGGTTAAAAAAAGTCTTAAGGATGGGACAATATCATTGTGTATGTTCCCTCCTTCCCTCCCTTCCCTTCCCTTCCCTTCCCTCTCTTCCCCTCTTTCCTTCCTTCCCTCCCTTCCTTCTTTCCTCCCTCCCTCCCTTCCTTCCTCCTTCTCTCCTTTCCACTCCCCTCCCTCCCTTCCCTTCTCCTCCCCTCCCCTCCCCTCCCCTCCCCTGCCCTCCCCTCCTCTCCCCTCCATCTCTCCCTCCCTCCCTCCCTCCCTCCCTCCCTTCCTTCCTTCCTTCCTTCCTTCCTTCTCCTTTCTTTGTCCCTGTATCTCCCCAACTAACTACGCCCACAGTTTTTAACATATCACAGCACAGAACAGGCACTAATGTCATTTTCGCTGCTGTATATAACCTTGAGAGAGGGAATTATTTATCTTGTTCACCATTATATTCTCAGCATCCAGTGCCTGAACCATAGTAGGTACTCAATGAAGTTTCAGAATAAATACATAAATAAATCAACTTCATTAGTCAGTTGACCAATTCAGTGATTATCATCAATAGTATTTAAAAGACTCACTAAAGCTCTAGAAGCCCTGGAGAAACCCCAAAGCAGTGAATGTTGGATATATAAATGGCTAGTTCTATTTTGCAGTGAAGACAGATTTCTGTCTCAGTCAAACAACTAAATTAAGGCACTTGGATATGACTACTACTTGTACAGAACATTCCTAGAGAGAGCCAGAAGCAGCATCATATAGGAAATTACCAACATTGGAAAACTCTTTTTACTCTGATTTCCTTTTAGAATACAGCATTGAATGTACCTATGCTGCCACTCTTCATTATGCCCCTCTCTGGGCAATGAGCTTGCAGTGCTGGTTTCCATGTTTCCTTGGGCATACAGATCTGGGTAAACCTGTGCCTGTTCTTAATGTAGGTGAAACTTATTGTCAAAATGAGCTGCCTTTTAAGAACCAGATGGGATTGTCTTCTAACAGCATCACTTTTGTGTCAAATTAATATATTTCTGTTTATTTTCCTGAGATCAACTGGGTTTCTAACAAAAGTTAGTTGGGCTAATATTTCAAACTATTTTAAAACATACGGTGAACTCAGTGAGACTCTGGCATGAACCATCCCCAATGTGTATTTTAAAGGCCATTCAGCTTCTCTTTATGTTTAGTTTATCAGAAGTTTTTTTTTTTTTGAGGTCTGTTGCTCAGGCTGGAATGCAGTGGTGTGATCACAGCCACTATGCTTGACTAATTAAAAAGTTAGCAAGTCTGGTAGGGATAAGGTATATACAAAGAATGGAATAAAGGTTTAAAAGGCACTGACAGAAAAAGAGAAGCTGAAAAAGGTAAGACTATCTCCAAATCCAGGAATAAGGAGAAGGGAAGAAGAGAAGAGACAAAGAAGGATGAAAACAGGCAGGGGAAATAGAATGATCTGAGGCATATTGAGAGAAAATAAGGGCTTTGGCTGAAATGCAAAGTATGTAAGAGTCATGAGAAATAAATTTCCAAGGATTTCTTTGGGCCAGATCTTAAACAGCCCAGATTTTGAAAAGTAAAGATTTCCAAAAAGTTTTATTTATTTATTTATTTTGTAGTAATGGGGTCTTCCTGTGTTGCTCAGGCTGGCTTTGAACTCCTGGGCTCAAGTGATCCTCCTGCCTTGGCCTCCCAAAGTGCTGGGATTACAGATGTGAACCACTGCACGTGGCCTAGTTCGTCTGAGTTCTGAGAGGCTTTTTATAATCAATTTTCTTCAGTCATTAAAGCCTTTTTATATACAGTAATATTTACATATTTATTTACCTAAAAACAGTGTTTTCTAGAAGTAAAAAAATACGAAACAAAGAGTAGTCTGGACAAAATATTCTCTCAGGATCTCACGGGGTAAACAGCATGTCTCTCAAGTAAACTTGATTACAATTTATTACTTTGCATTGGGCCCATTGCTTTTATTTTATTTTATTTATTTATCTTTCTCTAGTTTTATTATGGTAAGATTGACAAAAATTGTATATATTTATGGTATACGACGTGATGTTTAGATATCTGTATATACTGTGAAATAATTAAATTAAGAAAATTAACATATTAATCATCTCTTACCTCACATACTTATCTTTCTTTGTGGTGAGAACATTTTAAGATCTACTCTCAGAAATTTTCAAGTACACAGTACATTGTTATTAACTATGGTCACCATGCTGTACAGTAGATCTGCAGAACTTATTTCTTTTGTCTAACTGAAACTTTGTACCCAAACCTATCCTTTTTTGTCCTCTTCTCTCCTCTCCTTTTCCTTATTCCTGGATTTGGAGACAGTCTTACTTTTTCCAGCTTTTCTTTTTCTGTCAGTGCCTTTTAAACTTTTATTTCATTCTTGGCATATACCTTATCTCTGCTAGACTGTTCTGAGACTCTTCAGGGCAGGGTGCATGTCTGGTTCTTACCTATGTATCCCAGAATCCAGCATAGCATCCGGTACTAGTAGGTTCTCAATTGATGTTTGTAAATAGATTAAGCTTTTAAACATTTAGAATTATGTTATGTGGAAGAAGCATTCAGGGAGCTGGCTGAGCCTGAGGAACCTGACTGGAAACAATAGTACAAATTCATATACTCACAATATCCAAATCCTGAACTACAACCAGCTCAGAAATAGTGAGATTGTTTCATCATGGACCAATTCACCTTTTGCATGAGATTTTTTATTTTATTTATTTTTATTTTTTGAGACAGAGTTTTGCTCTATTTCCCAGGTTGGAGTGCAGTGGTGTGACCTCGGCTCACTGCAATCTCCATCACCTAGGTTCAAGCAATTCTCATGCCTCAGTCTCCTGAGTAGCTGGGACTATAGGTGTGCCACCATGCCTGGCTAATTTTTGTATTTTTAGTAGAGACGGGGTTTCACTATGTTGGCCAGGCTGGTCTTGAACTCCTGGCCTCAAGTGATCCGCTTGCCTCGGCCTCCCAAAGTTCTGGGATTACATGCGTGAGCCACTGCACCCAGCCTGCATGAGATATTTTATATAGAGTGTGGTGTCAGAAAGACCTGAGTTAACCTCCTAGCCTTGTGAAAGTTACTGAAATCTCAGTCATCTAATGTGCAAAATGGGAAGATAGTAGTTTCTGCCTAATGGAGAGTTGTGGGGACTCAATGAATACATAAGAACATTCAGGGTCGCTGCCGTGTTAAACTCTCAGTAAGTGCTAATTAGTCAAAACTTGGAATAATAGTTCAGTCTGACCTGTCTCTGGGGCCTCCACATGAGAGTCTGAGCTTTGACTAGGAGCTTCCTGGATGAAACTAGAGCTTTGTGGGCTACTTTTACTTTGCCTCAGATTGCTGTCAATCTGATGACCAGCTCTGCTCTTCACTTTGACATTACCTTTCATCCCTTCTTGAGGATCAGCACCCTAAGAAATGACCGTGGTCTTCTTCAACAAGCATGCTACCTCTCTAGCCTGGGACCTTTGTGCGATGAGAAAATGGGACTCTGACCTTGAGCCTCTCCACCATGCTTGTCCTCCCAACCCTGCTCAGAAGAACTTAGGGAACACAGGGAGCTCTTCTTGACAAAGGACCACACCATACTTCTCTAGGGGGTGCTGCACCACGCAGATGGTGTTCACTTTCAAGAGGCACTGTTACACTTTCACAAGAAGCAACCGTAAGGTCTGAAGTGTGATTCATATGGGCAAATATGTCTTATTTTTTATGTTATTTCCTATTTTGTAATGGTATGTGTTATGCTAAGTAAATGCACTTTATTACAGTTTATATATAATTTAGGTAAGTAATATAATTTTAAAATTATTGTTCATCCTTATATTTGTGTGACATAGGTAAGTGTTCCACTCATTTTGAAAAGATGAAACAGATTTATTGTAGTGAGGTAACTTTTTGTGTGAGAAAAACTTCTTATGAAAGGATTACCACTGTGAGTCTTCTCAGTTGAAGGACTGTACAGTTACACAAATCCCCAAGCCAACTTTCATTTTGATAAACTAGGCCTGGAACATAGACAAGAAGCTGTTACTACTGCAGTATGGAAACAAGAAACAATTCTAACTTTAAGTGACATTCACCTCTTATACACTTAACATTTTCATAACAATTTCTCCAAATTCTACAGAAATGTGAATGCTCTGAATGAGTCATGCTGTACTCAAGGGAATTACGTTATCCTTAGTTCTATGCGCTATTGAACCCAAGCATTTGATTTATTTCCTGTCGTCTGTTTTGCAGACTGCATATTGGAGGATATAAGGGGGTGAGTGAATTTTTATAACACCCTAGAATTGGAAGGAACATTAGGGACCATCCCCAGTATAAGACCCCACAATACTATTCCTGAAAGATGGACCTGAATATGCATTTTGCACATATTCAGTGATGAACTAACTCATCACTTTGGCCTATTCAGTTTTCAAACAGTTTGAATTGTTAGAAGGTTCTTTTACTTCTTTTCTTTCTATCCCCTTTTCTCGTTTTCTTTCTCCTTTGTTGTAAGTGAAAAATCTGATTTATTTATACTTTCACCCACTGGTCCTCCAACGCTGTTCAGAATGATCCAGATCTTTCTTCTACACATTAGCTCTTTTTGTTATTGATGCTAACTCTCACACTAACTTCAGCATGTCTGATGTTAGGGATAAACATCCCATCACCCATTCGTCAGCAACAGGTTTCTTGGCCCTTCACGCTCCTGAGAACACTTCTCTGATGAGCTTTAGTTTATCAATGTTACTCTCAATACTTGGAATGCAGCCTGGAAAGAAGGGTCTGGATGTGGTCGGACCAGTGGTCTGGACAATGACCTGTGCCTTCCAAGTCCTCCTGAACACTATACGTCTATTAACTCTTTTTTTTTTTTTTTTTTGAGATGGAGTCTTGCTCTGTCGCCCAGGCTGGAGTGCAGTGGTGTGATCGCGGCTCACTGCAAGCTCTGCCTCATCATTCTCCTGCCTCAGCCTCCTGAGTAGCTGGGACTACAGGTGCCCGCCACCACGCCCGGCTAATTTTTGTATTTTTAGTAGAGACGGGGTTTCACCGTGTTAGCCAGGATGGTCTTGATCTCCTGACCTAGGGATCCACCCGCCACAGCCTCCCAAAGTGCTGCGATTACAGGCATGAGCCATTGCTCCCGGTTGTCTATTAACTCTTAATAGAATTAAACACTTTACTTCTACCAAATTTACATTTGCATCACTTGTATCATATTGATTCATATTGTGATGGCAAATAAAATCCAGGGGACTTCTTCTTTAAAAAAGAACCTGTTTCTCATAACAGAAATAGAATATTGTTATTGTAGAAACTCTATAAAAATAGATAAAAAATAGAAAAAATCACTTAGGTAAATCCTTCCTACTTTAAAAATGTATATACCTATATATACATATATTTGTTTGTATGTTTTATGAAAGTGAATAATATCAGACATACTACTTTGCAATCCGATTTTTCAACATTTTTATATCATAAAATATTTTTCCATGCCAGCAGTTATGAAACAACTTTATTATACTTAATCTATAGTATTCCATTGAGTGGATGTACCATAGTTTATTTAACTATTTCTCTATTGATGGTTATTTAAATTGTTAAACATTCCTTTTTCTATAATAAATGCTGTGATGAATATGCTTGTATATACACATTTGCATACTTATTTAACAAATTCCTGGCAGGAACTTATGTCAGAATATGCACAGCTCCAGATTGGATAAATCAGAATATGTGCAGCTCCAGAAAGTGTTGACTAATTTACACTTCCTCTAACAGCACATGAGATCATCTGTATCAAGAGCCTTTTAAACACAAACAGCTTTTAAGCCAGGCCTCTTCCATCTGCAATTGTGTACTTGATGTTTTACACTTGGGTCTAGAATGATCAATTTATTTATATAATATTGCATGCTTTTTGTTTTAGCTTGTCTTTCCAGCCTATCCATGTCTTTCTGAATGATTTTTTGGTATTATTCTCAGGTATTTCATCCTATTTTTGGTCATGCACAAATTTACCATGCATGCCCTTTCTATCTTTAGAAGTGTCTCTAGGACAATGGCAAGAACTTAGTGACTATCTTACTGTAGTTCTCCACAAACGTAGCCAACTCAAGGATTTGTGTGTAGATGTTTTTCTGGAAGATGATCCCAGAAAGCAGGAGTGCGGAGGTGGGGAGAGAGAGGCAGGGAAGGAGAAAAAGCCATTTGAGACTCTTATAGGCATTGGGGCTCAATTCTAGAGAGACCTCCTGAGAGGTACACTGAAGGTCTCCCAGAGTTGTTCAGAAGGATGGATGTGTGTTGCATATATCCACTGGTATCCATCTCTAGTTTGTTATGTGTTTTCCCTGGGGGCATTGACATCTCTGCCCTTTCAGGGTGTGCTTGTGAATAGGGCCAGTGGGCTCTCTCTTCTTCAGAGAAGTCCCTGAGAAAGAGAATGAAGGACGCAATATACACCCCCAGCTTGGGGTATGATGCTGTCACAGCAAAAATGAGCTCGCCCAGAATATCTCCCATAGCTGTGGCCAAGATCAGAGGTGGGGTGAAGGATGCTACTATTGTGGTGCACTACAAAAGTCCTTTATCTAGGTAGACGTTCGTCCAATAGTTAAAAATTTAATTGGTGTGTATTTCTCCATCTTTTCTATGAGGATTTTATAAAAGATTTTGACAAGTTCATTGTGGAAATCAGAACAACAGCTGATAATCTCTGCTGCACCATCAATTTAGTAGCCATTGAAAATAGAGAAAGATGAGTTTTACATGACTTATTCTCAGTGAACTCAGGCAGGTTCCTAAGCACAGTGTCTTTTCTTTTTTATAATGAGCTGTTTATTTAATGTGTTTTATAATTTTGCCAGGGACTGGTGTTCATGGTCCAAAAATTTGCAACAATGTTCGCCCACCTCTTCTGTTCCTTGAAGCCTTTACTGTGAACCTTCCAAGATTTCTGATGGTGGTTTGTGATCATAACTGAAAATGTGTTCAGTAGCCTGGGACCTAATTTGTCTGAACTTGAACTTCGAGTTATTTTGGTTTAATCAGCTTCTTTCTCATTGTGGGTTCTTGTTTGCCTCTTTGCTTCTGAAGTCTCTGATCCTCACAGCAGGCCCACCTGACTTTTCCTTACAGGGAAGGTAATATTATGCTGACTCTAGCACCATGTCCTGCGGCATTTAAGGAGATTCGGAGATGCAACATGAAGTCAGATTTGATGATAGACTTGCTCTGACTGGGTACCTGAGGGTCTCATTTCCTGTCTCCAGTCTCATTTCCTTGCACTTGATTTCCTGCTTTAGTAACTGGTCTAGGCCAGGTGCGGTGGCTCATGCCTGTAATCCTAGCACTTTGGGAGGCCAAGGCGAGTGGATCACCTGAGGTCAGGAGTTCGAGAGCAGGTTGGCCATCATGGTGAAACCCTGTCTCTATTAAAAATACAGAAAACTTAGCTGGGTGTGGTGGCGGTTCACATCAAGAAGATAACATCATCTGCAGAAACCCAGAAGGCTAGAACATGATATTGAAGACAGGTTAATCCCAGCTACTCAGGAGGTGAGGCAGGAGAATTGCTTGAATCCAGGAGGTGGAGGTTGCAGTGAGTTGAAATTGTGCCATTGCACTCCAGCCTGGGGGACAAGAGCAAAACTCCGTCTCAAGAAACAAAACAAAACAAAAAAACAAGCAAACAAAAAACTGGTCTAGCACTTTTACCGATAAATTATTTGGGCTCTATTTTCTTTTTGTAATTTTCTCCAAGTGTTGGAGCTCTGCTTCTCAAACTCAACTCCAGTGGTGTAGGAGCCTGGATATCTGCTGTCAGATCACCCCAAGGCTGGACTGCCCACTTGATTTACTCTCCCTATATCCTTACTTTATATATTTACTATAGCTAGATGTCACCTGCTTGTCTTCGTGATGTTAAGATATGATAAAGAGAATGAGGAAGCATTCATTTTCATGACAGAAATGTTGGCTGCATCAGGATAAGAGAGGAAAATATCACTGGAGAGTTTCACCATTCGAGCTTGTGTTTGAGTTGATGTTACTGAAAGGTTGCATGTTGGTTAACCATTAAAAAATTGACCAGCATGAGGCTCCTGATTGATTCTGATGATAACCGGGGTTGGGAGCCAAGTGTACGACAGGAACTTGGAAACTTGGAAGTGATGGCAACATGCTTGACAGGTACATTGTTGCTGGAGAGAGAGAGAGAGAGTGTGTGTGTGTGTGTGTGTGTGTGTGTGTGTGTGTGTGTATGTATGTGTGTGCATGCCTGTGTGCACACATGCATGTCCGTGGAAATAGCCACATACCCAACTGAGCATATGCAACTGAGAGAAGGTTATATACCAGGATTTATGGGAGGATAGGAAGAAAAGGTTGGTAATGCCATGTGAGGAACATGGATAAAAACCACTTTGAGGGGATTCTTTTAGGTGTAGGTAAGGTGTAGGATATAGTTTGTGCAGCTGGGTTCCTTGACCTTATATTTATCCCTATAAATGTAGACTATAGGGAAAAAGAGCCTTTTGAGATGCTAATGTCTCTGCTCATTCATTATGTTGTTTCCATGGCAGTGGAAGCCACACCCTCTGGAGACCTGCCACTCCTTATTGGGTCTCCTGGGTGCCATTCCTTAGCCTGCCTAGCTGGACTTCCTTCTGCAACCTGGTAACCTATCTTCAATATCATGTGCTGGCTTCCTGGGTTTCTGCACATGACCTTATCTTCTTGATGTGAAATTTTACTCCCATGTCCTTTAAAAATTAGATTTATGCCTTTTGGAATAAGAATTATCTTTCTGTTGTCATATTCCAGAAATTAATATGATGTCTGCATCATAGTTTTTCTGGGATATCCTTAATAACTTGAGAAAGGAATGATTAAGTATGTTCTATTTTAAAAAACCTTTATAAATATTTTGTGTCAATTGATTAAAAAATTAGGAGAAATTCTTTGTTAGGCTTTTCAATAGGTGATCATTTTGTCAGGCTAGGTAAAGCACAAATCGGATCCTGCCATTCTTTAGTTTGACACCCCTCAGTTGCATCCCGTCAATCTAAGAATATAGTGCACACTGCTCAGTGCTCTCTTCAGTCCTTTATTCCACCAAACCCTGCCTTGTTCTTCATGCTCAGTCCCTCCACACTCCCTTTACCTCACACATGCACTTGTCATTCCTCCTTCTGTACCTCTGTTCCTTTCCTCTGTCTGGATGTTCTGCTCCCCTTTCTTCGTCTGCTGAGTACTAGTTAACCTTCAAGATTGGGTTTAGGCATCACCTCCTCCAGGAGGGCTTCCCTGATTTTCCCCTTACTCCAGGCCAAATGGGCCAAATGGACCAAATGGACCAGGGCATCTAGTGAGACTGAATGAAGCACTCATTTCTTTGGGTTGGCTTGGCTGCGTGGTCTTCCTCTTTCCTCTATGGTAATGAAATCATTATAAGAAAAGCCCCAAGTAAGTAAAGGAAATAGTAATTAGAGGAGCAGCATCCCACAGTTTAGCTAGCTCCATCCATAGGTACTGTCAGGGAAAGAATTTCAGAGAGGTTTGAGCAGCACACAACACAAATGCAATCATGAGGGAAAGAATATTGATTTTGTGTATAAAAAGGGTAAAACAATCCTTCCAGGCTCAGCTGTGGTCAGTGTAGACAATCAACTGAATACATGTGTGTCCCCATTGCCTCACATGCCCTGCCTGATGCTACTGTGGCCTTGTGGGAAATCTGGAGGGAGAGTGTAGAGGGTGAGCAAGGTTACTGAGGCTGGCTGTGATGTATGACAGACTGGGGGATCCTGGAGGGCAAGCTCAGAATAGAATGGGAAACCACCTCATATTGGTTTCCAATATTCCTTTGTAAATATGTCACTATCACTCCCCACTACAGCCACTCTTTGTTGCAAATCCTTGCTTGGACTCTGCCATCGTCCTGGACCCCTTCTCTTCCCCATGCCAATTTCCTCTCCTGCTGTCTTTAAATTCTGGGCACTTCACACCCTCTCATTCTTTTGAGGTTGCCAGTGAAAAGCACAAAATTCCTTAATCTGTATCCCAGAGTAGAGTCCTATTTTTGCATAATCAGAAAAGATTATTAATTTTTTTTCACACAAAAGAGTTGATTTTACTGTTAACTTATGCAGGTACTTCAGAAACAATTGTACTAACTTAATTTTAAAAGCAAATTCTGTTTCCTTGGCCTACTAGAGTGTTTCTAGGGGTGGCAGCTGGGTGTAGGGAAAAACTCAAGAGGACTCTGTGGTATTGAAAGAACCTTGGTCTCTAAGTCAGAAGACATTGGTTTAAATGTTCATCCAGTGGTTTGTAGCTGTGTGATTGAGCCCTTAATTGTTATATGCTTTAGTTTTCTTATACTGGTTATACAATGGGGACCGTAATAACTGTCACTATCATGAATAAAGAAGATAATGCATGTTCAGGTGACTATTAGGACAGGGACTGGCTCAGACTAGGTGCTCAAAACTGTAATTTTTTTTTAAAGATGCTTCTAATTTCTGTGGTATTATTAGTCATTATTGCGGTAATGGTCTTATTTATCTTTTTTATCCTTTGGGTTTTATAGTCCCATACTGCAGCCAACCCTTAGCATTTTCCGGATTTCTAAATTTTGGCAGTCTAATTGTAAAGTTACATTTCATTGTTGTTTCAATTTTCATTTCACTGATAACTGTGGATCTGAGTGTCTGTTCATAAGCATGTTAGTCCTCTGGGGTTTCCTTCACTGTAAATTGCATTTTGTCATCCTTTACCTATTTTTCCTTTGAGATTGCTGTCTTTTTATTTTGGATTTAGGAATTTCTTAGACATTGTAGATATTACTCTAAAATGGGTAAAGTGCATACTGATGCTGTATAACTAAGCCCTCTCTGCCCCGAATACAAGAAACCCTCATACTGAGGCAGGAATATCATCGCCCCTATTCAGCCTGAAGAAGTTACGGAAGATGGATCTTCATCTTCCTACAACACTTAGGATTAAGGGTTCTCTTATAAAAGGGAGGGGAGAAATGTCGAAGGCATTTGAACCAGAGTGCCTCCATCTTAAATAGGGGCTGGGTAAAATAAGGCTGAGACCTACTGGGCTGCATTACCAGGAGGCTGGATGTTCTAAGTCACAGGATGAGATAGGCGGTCAGCACGAGATACAGGTCATGAAGACCTTGCTGATAAAACAGTTTGCAGCAAATAACCGGGCTAAAACCCTCCAAAACCAAGACGACAATGAGAGTGACCTTTGGTGGTCCTGACTGCTACACTCCCACCAGCGCCATGACAGTTTACAAATGCCATGGTAACATCAGGAAGTTACCCTATATGGTCTAAAAAGGGGGAGAAATCCTTAGCTCTGGGAATTGCCCACCCCTTTCCTGGAAAACTTATGAATAATCTACCCCTTATTTGGCATCTAATCAAGAAATAACCATAAAAATGGGCAACCAGCAGCCTATGGAGTAGCCATTCTTTTATTCCTTCACTTTCTTAATAAACTTGCTTTCACTTAAAAAAAAAATAAAATGGGTAAAGCATTATAAATATCTTCTCCTACTCTGTCAGTGCTCTGTTAATTTTGTCCGTAATATCGTTTGTGGAACTGAAAAGCTTAGCTTTGATGAAAACTCATTAGTCAATGTTTTGCCTTTTGGTTTGCGCTTTTGTATTTTGTTTAAGAAGTATTTCTCATCCTTAGGTCACATAGACATTCTACAGTTTCTTCTACTAGCTTTGCAGCTTTGACTTTTGCATTTAGGTAATGGGTCTTAGAGTCCACGTCAGGCTTTGCATGTGGTACTGGGACAGGGCTCCAGTTTTACTGTCTTCCTTATCATCTTCTTTGTATTTCTAGAATGTAACTGACACACAATAGTGTTCAGCAGCCAATTGAATGAAAGAGTTGAGATTTCCTCAGAGTTAGGGAAAGTAAATGTGTGTGTGTGTATGTAAATCCTGTGAAGGATATTTCCATTTGAAAGTAAATGTGTGTGTGTGTAAATCCTGTGAAGGATATTTCCGAGGGGAAGCATGGTTAGAACTGGAGGGCAGAATCCCTCCTCCCCTCCCCAGCGCAAACATTGATTTAGGGGCCATGTGTGAGGGGTTGGTATTGGGAGGATAGATTAAAGAAAATATTTATCTATTGATTGAAAATTACTCAAATATTCCCTTTTCTATTCAGTTTTACGTGAATCAGGATGCAATAAAGTCAAGGGCAATATTAAAAATATCTTAACAGCTGGCACTGAATAGGCACTCACTAATCAGGATGAATGCTTTAAGTGTGTAATACTGGTGTGATATGCTGAATATTAATTGTGGAAACTATGTGGTTGCTAGATATTATTAAATGATATATATATATACATATAAATGCTTTATGAACTAAAGACTTATACAAATGCTAGACACTACTGCTATTAGCTCTACTTGGCCACATAGAAATACAATTTAAAAATCCCCTCTTTTTTCTATATAATATTGATCTGGTTGCCATAATACAATCTATGAACCAGTAGATGAAATAAGTCAATTAATTACAAAAATTTCCTTTGATTTTCTTGAAAAATTCTCTGCCTCTCAGTGCAACCTGAAATCAGAGGGTTAAGCAACTTCAAAGGATGTTACCTGTTATCTGACCTATGACCCTATTGAAGTTTTATTTTAGAAAAGTTTGAGGGTAACTTTATAGGTCTTCAGTTGTAGAAAAACATTCCAGTAGGTGGAGCTCTTTCTCAATGTTTTTTCAGTTTTTAACCGTGGTAGGGACTCATTTCTTTTTCACCTTTCTTTTCTGCAATGGCTTAGTCATAACAGCACAGATACTTACAGCAGCATCTGAAATTAGCATCAAATATAGGCTATATATTTCTGTAAAATGAGTTTGGAACCCCCAAGTTGTTTAATGGAACAGCCATGGTTAATTTCCTTTTGAGACCTGATCAAACACCATAGGATTTTTTTTTTCTCCCTTTGATTATCTGCATCAAAGATCCAAAAATACCTACCTTTTACTATGAAGCTATGTCTAGGTCCAAGATCAAATAGTGCATGTTTTTATTCTCAATTCTAGTTATGCATACTAATGACTCAGCTCTTGTATGGTCTGTGTTGCTGTACACCTCCTACATATTAACAATTTTAAGTGTGGGGCTTAGAAGCTGCAAGTGTATATGATAATAAATATGAGCATAGCAAGAGGGTTCATTCTGGTCTGGGTAATTCATTTAGTACCATCTCTACAAGCCTCTCTACCAATCTGGAATTATACGTAGGTAACAGAATTAAAAGAAAGAAGTGTCTAGAGATGGTCACTTTAGAGGCGATATACAGAACTGTAAAATGGACATCTGAAATAATGAGCAATTCCAGAACTTAGCAGGACTTAAGTTTTTGCTAAAGCTAGTAAATGTATTTAGGAAACATCATCTGATCTCTTTGGAGAGCAGATATACTCTTTGGAGTATAGATTTTTTTTTTTTACTAATTTATTAGTAAACATTAAAAAACTTCAAATCCTACATATGGAAATCTATAGGAAAGTTATCACATTGTTCCTTCAGTGAAACTTTAGTTTTGTCCAGAAATAAAAAATAATTATAGCTGAAGTGTCCAGGAGCTGTGCTCACAAGTGTGAGAGCAGAAAAAAAATACATTTCTTTCTCACTTGTTCTGTTTTATTTCCTCCCTTTGCTGCTGTTTGACTTATGGGCAATACAGAAAGCACATCTAAAGAATGGAATATTTTTCTATGATTAGCCTTGAGGCATGGAAAGTGGACAGTAGTAATGCAATATGAGGGTGCGGTGGACCAGACGTGTCAGACTGTCTGCTAATGCCAAAGAGATGTCTAAAGAAATGAGAGATGGTGAGGGGTAGCTGCTGTTATAGTTCACTGAAATTTCTAAGTATTAGGCAGGAAGACTGGAGACTGCCCAGATAATTGTGTGGCTGCTGTCCTCTTATCATGCTTCAAGTCTAATTGTAGGAAATGCAAGTAAACTTAATTCAAAACATACTTACTAAGCATGCAATAAAAAATGTTAGGAGCAGGGCAAAGGAATTTGAATAAATATGATTTTGTTTTCATAGAGGAGACATACAGTTGGATCATTATAATTGAAAAATATCATAATAAATGTTATAATAAAGATGTATATGAAGGGCAATTTACACATTTCCCTGACCCTTGGTTTCTTCATATGCTGTTCTCTATTAATAAGCATCTACTATTGCCCAGCCAATATGACAGGGACTTTTGTCCAATATCTTAAAAATAATTTAATTTAATCACCACAGCTTACTATGAGGAGGATATTATTACCCATTGTTTACAGATGAGGTTTGGAGCAGTTAGGAAAGCAATGGCCCATTGATCACGTCTTGTTATGTATAATGTTCTTTTCCAGTGTCACATTCTGGGCCCTAGGGAGTCAGAAGCTTGAGTTAATATACTCAAGATACAGTAGAGCCTGCCCAAAGTTTTGAGGTCTCTAATCTCAGTGGAATTATTTAATGTAAAATTGTCCTTTTCCTTTAGTGAATTTATCAGAAGACCCATCAATAAACATATCAGAAGATATTTTCCTTTTGGATGTTACAATAATGTCATTGTATTGCTGTGGCAGGGAGAGATGAAAAAATCCATCAGGAATAAATGTCCTCTCCTTTTCTGCTTAGCCTGAAACTACTGCTTCCAGGGACAATCCAGCCCGTGGGAGCTCCCAGCCGAGGGGACTGCCTGCTGATTTTTTGGCACTTGTTCTCAGCGACAGCAGCTCAGAGGCGAGTGGGGGTGGCACTCTGTGATCACAGCTCCTTTTGGAAACCTATGTGGACTCTAACAACAGCTACTCCTCATTGTTTCCCATCTCCTTCAATGGTATATTGGTGTCTTGGTGAGCAGCCTTCATATTTCAGCACCACAGTGGAGGACAGCTCACAGCACTTTCCTTGTTGAGTTCTTCAAGGGCGAGTCTCTTAAGGAAAATGGGTTCACCAGGAAAGTGAGCCTGGGAAACTGATCTACTCTGAGGTTTCCTTCTAGCAGCTTTGAATCTCTGAGACAGGATATAGTTCTTCAGACTTCCTTTGCTCAGACTTAGGTCATATGCTCCTTTTGGGTTACTATAAAGTGCCTATAATTTCCTCTAGGCAGTGTTTGAACTAAAATTCCTCTTCATATGCCTCCTCAACAGGTCATGAAATCTGGGAGCAGCTTTGGAAATCTCATATTTCTCCAAACTGGGTACATAGAACTTAGCTTCCTTAGGGTCCCTGGGTTGGGTAAATATAAGTGGTCACGTTTTGATTCTTGGTGTGTGACTTTTAAGGTGTCTGCTCTCACTGACTTGGAGAACAAGAATAGAAACTGGCTTTCTTCTGGCACAGCTCTGGTTTGTCCTTCTGTCTCTTGTCTCCACCCAACCCCCATCAGCTTAGAGATTGGAAAGAGATGGCATTTTCTTAAGGATTAATCTGAAGCATCTTTGTTAATCCCCCCTCCCCTTCCTTCTTGTGGAAGACCTCCCTTTTTATCTGAATTTCTAGCTGAGGAAATAATTTTCATGTTATTTTCTTACATAGTATTTGCTAGAGACAACTTAGTAAACATCATGTGACTATTTCATGAATTTAACCCTTTTTATGCCAAGAATGATTTAACTCTATAACCGTCACAGGTTAAGCAAAATCCACAAAGTGACAATTGGCAGTTCCACACAGTGTTAGCTGTAGATCTTTATATAATTACACATTGTAAATCTCAAATGAATGAGGAGCTGTGTGTTGTGTTGCAAAAGAATAGCATTTTCCCTTAGGCAATTCTATTCAACTTCTACAGACCATTAAAGCTGGAGACTCTTGATGGGGTGTAGGGGGCATGCTTGCAAACACAGTCTCTCAGAGAGCATCATGAGCTCCAGGCTCTGTGGGCTTCAGAATCTGCTTTCCAAACTTTGGTTTTCAATTCATATCCAAATAAAAGAGGCATGTGCGTCTGCCTAAGGCAGAAAATAGATCATGGGAGATTAGGCGTTGTTTACTTGAGTCTTGTTTGTTTGAGAAAAGGTGACCTCAGTGGGTCCAACTGTATTCACACATTTGTCCAGTCTTAGAGTGAAGTTCCCTTTTTGGTAAAATAGAATTAGTGTCCCCAGGGAGCTTCAAGACAGAGCCCAATACAGACCTGTCTTCTGATAATACCGCAGTTTTCCAAGCCACTTATTTTATTAGAAATTAGTGCAAATTTTGGATTCTGCTGCATAGTATATCCTGGATTGCTTTAAAATGAGAATAGCGTTTAAGTTATGCACCTAGGACAATTGACACTTTACATGCCATGTTTATCTTGGAATTTTGCATATACTTTGACACATTAGAGGAACACAAACACAATTTGAGAGTGCAATCCTGGGCCAATCCTGAGTTGCATCCCTTGGTCTAAGCCACTGGGGGTTATTACCCAACTTGCATTGGTACTGTGAGCCACCCAACTCACCTCCTTACCCCCAACATGGACCATGTGAAAGTAGCACTTGTATGGTTCCTGAGCTTAGTTTTGAATCATTTCCTCTGACCCATCTCCAACTTGACATATTGATTGGCTCTCATTCCTGCTGGCTTTTGTTGAGTTATGTGTATTCCTAGTTAGGTCCTTGCTTCTGTCTCCCTTCCTGTGGTTACAAATGCTTCCCAAGATTGGTCTTTTTATCACTTGCCTTTCAGTCTTTCCTTTGCTTACCATTCTTCAGCCACCTGGGTTGCCCATCCTTGCCTCCAGGATGTTCTCTTTCAGCAGGGTTCACTCCCAGTAACTTCCTCTCCAGATTGCCTAATGCTCCATGAAGAGGGGTAAGGGTGGGTTCTCCTCTCTCAACAAGGACGTAGACACAGAGGCAAGAATTATTGTGTAATTGAGTAATGCTTTTTAGCCACAGTTTCTTTCAATATGTCCTGGAGCATTGAACTAGACTAACTTTTCTATCATTTTTCCAATTAGAATACTTTTCTCAATCAAACATTAGTCTGTAATAGTTTTAAATTACCATGCATGATTCACAGTGATTTAATATTCACAAAATTCCTGCCATCTTAATATGCTCTGGAATGGGAGGTTGATTGGGAAGTCAGTTCATGAGTGGAAGAGAGCAATTTAAAATTGTTAGAACATTTCACGAATCTTAGCTCTTGGTGGGAATGGTTTGGTGCCTGCTTAATATAGAAGAATCTGAAATTGCTGGGCAATGAAATTTCAATCAGGGGCTCTGTATCTGAGGGAAACTCTCCAACGAATAGACCGTGAGCTTTCACATCACTCTATTCCTTTGAGAAATCTTTTTTTTTGGGGGGGTATTTTGTGCACATTTCCAGCCAACATTTAACTAGACCTACAGTTGCAACAAACTCCGCAGTGATCTACTCTCTCAATTTCATACCTGAGTCCCTCTGTGTTTTCAGGTCTTCAAGAAACAGAAAAGTGTACAATCTACAACAGTTTTGACACGAACAAAGTTCATTTCCCAAACTGTGGAATAATTATTTATTTCTCTGAAAATTTGAGCCTTTCTTGTATTATGTTGGGTATCAGCAGTACAGAGTTGTTTACATGGCACCTGGGAATCTAAGTGTGGGTGAATAGGTGAGGTTTTCTTTGGCTGGCTTATGTCTAAACACTTTGATCTTAGTGTTATTTTAAGTTTAACTCCATGAAGTTTAAGATTTCCACTGAGCTTGATACTGAGGAAAAGGTAGATTCTCATGGATTTGAAAACTAGAGGGCTTGTTCCTCTGTGGGCTCTGAGACATGAATCCCTAACTTAAAACAAAGTTGTTTCATTGGCAGTTAATCTCCATCTGGTATATTAGGACATAGCCAGATACCTGGTAGAGGTATTCCTACCTTTGGTAAAATTGCAAAATAGATGAGGGTGCTCACAAAAGAAACTATCACCAGAGTGAGCAGGCAACCTACAGAATGGGAGAAAATTTTTGCAATCTACTCATGTGACAAAGGTCTAATATCCAGAATTTACAAGAAACTTAAATATATTTACAAGAAAAAAGCAAACAACCCCATCAAAAAGTGGGCAAACGATATGAACAGACACTTCTTAAAAGAAGACATTTACATGGCCAACAAATATATGAAAAAAAGCTCAACATCCCTGATCATCAGAGAAATGCAAATCAAAACCACAATGAGATACCATCTCATGCCGGTCAGAATGGCAATTATTAAAAAGTCAAGAAACAATAGATGCTGGAGAGGCTGTGGAGAAATAGGAACACTTTTACACTGTTGGTGGGAATGTAAATTAGTTCGACCATTTTGGAAGACAATGTGGCAATTCCTCAAGGATCTATAACCAGAAATGCCATTTGACCCAGCAATCCCATTACTGGGTATATACTCAAAGGAATATGAATTATTCTGCTATAAAGACACATGCACACAATATGTTTATTGCAGCGCTATTTACAATAGCAAAGATTTGGAACCAACCCAAATGCGCATCAATGATAGACTGGATAGAGAAAATGTGGTACATATACACCATGGAATACAATGCAGCCATAAAAAGGAATGAGATCATGTCCTTTGCAGGAACATGGATGAAGCTGGAAGCCATCATCATCAGCAAACTAACACAGGAACAGAAAACCAAACACCACATGTTCTCACTCATAAGTAGGAGCTGAACAATGAGAACACATGGACATAGAGAGGGGAACAACACACACCAGGGCCTGTTATGGGGTGGGGGGGTGAAGGGAGGGAACTTACAGGATGAGTCAATAGGTGCAGCACTTGCACACATCATGGCACACATATACCTATGTAACAAACCTGCACATTATCCCATTTTTTTCCTTCTTATTTTGCTTCCTCTTCATTCTTTTTTTTTCTTTTTTTTGAGACAGAGTCTCGCTCTGTTGCCCAGGCTAGAGTGCAATGGCGTGATCTTGGCTCACTGCAACCTCTGCCTCCAGGGTTCAAGTGATTCTCCTGCCTCAGCCTCCTGAGTAGCTGGGATTACAGGCGTGTGCCACCAGGCCCAGCTAATTTTTGTATTTTTAGTAGAGATGAGATTTCACTATATTGGCCAGGCTGGTCTTGAACTCCTAACCTCTAGTGATCCACCCGCCTCAGCCTCCCAAAGTGCTGGGATTACAGGCATGAGCCACCACACCTGGCCCCCCTTCATTCCTGATGATCCCTTTAACTATTCCTAGTACTCCAAAATAGCCTTCTCATTTTCCAAATACAACCTTTCTATCTTCTCTGCCCTAGGAACAATCATCTCAATCTTTTGTACACTCACTTCTGGGGCTCTGATTCCTCTTAATGTATTGATAAGTACTTGTGAATTAAGCTACAGCCTGTCTCAGCCCACATATTTATTTATTTATATATATTTTAGAGATAGGTCTCACTCTATCACCCAGGCTGAATGTAGTGCCTATGTACAGGATTGATCATCGTGCACTATGGCCTCAAATGCCTGGGCTCAAGCAATCTTCCTGCCTCAGCCTCTTGAGTAGCTGGGACTATAGGCATGCGCCACCACACCTGGCTGATATTTAAATTTTTTATGTGGAGGCAGTGTCTCATTATGCTGCCCAGGCTGGTCTCGAACTCCTGGCCTTAAGTGATCTCCCTGCCTTGACCTCCCAAAGTGTTGGGATTATAGGTGTGAGCCACTGTGTCCAGCCCTACATGTTTTTTCTTTATTAAAAATCTTTGTAGACAAGGAGTTAGTGCCTACCAGTGACTCTCAGCCTAGAAGTGGACAGTCCAGTCACACAGTAAGGAGCAGGTGGTGTTTTCCTGTGTCTTTGAGGAAGAGCTTTTTCCCCATTTATCCTTCACTGATGACGTCAAATAAGGCCAACAGGAACCACTAGTATTTCTCCTATGTTTACTGAAGGACAAATCTCAGAGTACATTTTACTTGTAAAAAATGCCATACTAGGACAGCACACATTGTTTATTAACTTGTTTCAAAGGCAATTTAAGAAAGCTCAAGTCTGATTAAATGATACAGAAATGATGTTTCTGGAGAAAAGACCCCAGTTCATTAATTTTTAAAATCTTTGCCCCCTCCTTCATCTTTTAAGCTGTGATGCTTTTTATTATTCTATTATTTATTTATTTTTCCATAAAGATGTTTTGAAGCCTCTGAATTTTCTTCTTGGGTACGTTTTACTGTTATTACAGTCCCTTGTCACTATTATTCAAATGTTCAGCATTTAGAATTATTAAATGTCTTTCCTGAGATTGTAACTTTTATTCTCGATTATCTGATAAACATAAATCAAATGTTTATCATGTGATTGTGATTAAAATATATAAACCCTCAGCTATGTTTATAGTAAAGCAATCTTCCTAAAAATTAAATAATCTTTTATTTTTGCAACTATTACTGGACAATTGTGAAGCGTTTTATCTTTTGACACACACACACACACACACACACTCTCACATGTATATATAAGTTTTTTTAGTGATTTCTCATTAAATTCTAGGAAACTATGTCAAGATCTTCCCATTTTAGTGTTGAAGAAGTTTTCAAGTTACTTAAGGCAAAGTAGCATGCTTGGATGTCACTGTGAATGAGGAAGGGTGTTTTTAGAACACACAGCCCTGATGACACCTTCTCCTGAGTCACACACAGAAACTATCTCCAGTGGTCCTAGAAATGCACTTGCGTGGGCACAAGCGGCAGCTATGGTTGAAGTCAAATGGGATGTTGGTTTGTCTTGTTTAGGTTAAAATACATTCTGTCAATGAAAAATAATTTAGGGACACATTTGTTCAGATTAGTTACAATACATTTATCTGGTGTTTGAGGAACTACCCTGGGAGATTGAGGAGACTCAGAAGTTCAGAGGATCAGAGAATGTGATCCAGGAGCCACATTGGCTTTATGTGGGAGAAGTAGGCTTCTGGGGGCTCTTGGAGGAAATAAAAGCAAATACATGCACATTTAGGTGATGCTGTGGGGAAAACCAAGGACAGGAGTGGATGTTGAAAAGAAGGCAGATAAGTGAAAGGGAGAGGCAACTTTGCTTGAAAGAAGGGAAGAGAAGTGGAGCCGTGGAAGTGGAGGAGGTGGATGAGGCTTTGAGGCGCAGGAGGAACCCCATTTATGAGCACTGTGCTAAGTATTGAACGTTGGCACCATTAGATCCTTACAGCAACCCCATGAGATGGGTGCGATTCCCCCAGTCTACCTGTTGGGGACTGGGACACAAAGAGAGATTAACAACTGTTGATGCTTCAGCATTAAAATTCTGATCCAGGTTTTAAAGGCCCTGTTTTTAGCTCATGATTTTATCCATTATCCTGCTGATTCTTGAGATGAAGTCTCCTGGAGAGATTTTCTTCTTTGGTCACTTTGCTGACCTTTTCTCATGCCTGTTTATTACTGAGATGGTCACACACGGAGAGCGGGTCTCCCTGCCTATAGACTGTTCCTGGGGCACTTTCCTAGTTTTTTTTCCAGCGTGATTCTGATTTCAGCCTACTTGGCCAATGTTACTTCTTATTTGTATTCCAGGGAGAGAAGTCACCTGGCTGTTGGCACTCCCCACTTGGCAGAGCCACTTAGTGGCTTCTGAAGAGAGAGAGCCTCAGGAATATCAGCCATTCTTCCAGAGATGCAGGGAAGGTGGAGTGAGGGGCATGTGTCATCTCATGACTAGCTATGAATTTCCCTGCAGCTGCTTTCCCGGCCCACTGCTGCTTCCTGCATCAAGCTGGTGCCCTGCAAACCAGCTTGCACCTGCACTTCTTGAGAGGCGGAAGCTGTTGATGAGGAGGGGCAGCCAAGGCCGGCTCAGGCAGCCAGAGTGGGCTCAGCCAGCCTGGCTCCAGATCCACCAGGCTGTAGGCAGCTGTGGGTTCTCCACTGTCATGGCATCTTGCCATTCAAGCTTCCTGAGAGAGGAAAGGATGGAGAGAGAGAACTGACGTGCTAATCAATTTTGGTGTTGTCACTTCTGTTTGGGACACTGTTTGGAAAAGGCCACTAGTGCATGACCATGTTTAGAGCTGAACATGTTTTCCCAGGTGGGTTAGTTTCAACTTCAGCATGGGCTTCTGCTCTCTCCAAGTGCTACCTGTGTAGGCTCTGGTCTTTGTGGGCTTAGGACTCTTTGGGGTAGGGACTGAGACTTGTTCCTGTACCACAGTGTCATATTCAGGCACATATAGGAGTCAGGGAGAATAATAAAAATTTGTTGAATGAATGAATTTTTTTTGAATGAATGAATGACAAACACCATTCATCGGAATTTATTTTACTATATATATATTTTTTGAGGCAGTGTCTTGCTCTGTCACCCAGGCTGGAGTGCAGTGGCACAAACTCTCACTGCAGCCTCTGCCTTCTGGTTCAAGTGATTCTTCTGCCTCAGCCTCCTGAGTAGCTGGGACTACAGGTGCGTGCCACCACCCTGGCTAATTTTTTTTTTTTTTTTGTATTTTTAGTAGAGATGGGGTTTCACTATGTTGGCCATGTTGGTTTTGAACTCCTGACCTCAAGTGATTGTCCCATCTTGGCCTCCCCAAATGTTGGGATTACAGGCGTGATCCACCATGCACAGCCCATTCATTGGAATTTATTAAGAAGTGTTCTTGAAAAAAAAAGGTATGAGAATAGTGGGGAAGTTGGACAGGAAAGGGAAAGAAGCCAAGAAAGTGTACAAAAGCAAGCAAAGTCTCCCAGAAGCTAACTTTAGTTCAATTCCACAGAAGAGCTTTTGAGATAGCAGCAATCACACTTCAGTGTTGTCCAGAACAGGCAAGAGGTCACTGAGGTATTTACACCCAGTACCGTCCAGCATTAAGAGCTGCTCCCAAGGGCATCAATTCTCATCCTTTCCAGCTTTGGGTATGTGATGGCAGAGCTGTTCCTGCAGCCTGCGGGCAGCCTGCTGATAAAAAGACACAGGTGCTGGCTGTGGGGAGTGAAATTGCACTAGAATTTGGTGTATACAGATATCTTGATACTTAAAGATTGGTCTTTGGGTTAGCAGCAGTAGCACAACTTGAGGATGCATTAGAAATTCAGAGCCTCAAGCCCCATCCTGGAGTTACAAAATCCTAATACATAATATAACAAGATTTCCCCAGGTGAGTTTTTAAAGCACAATAAAGTTTGAGAAGTGCTGTGGTGAAGGGAGCCAGGAGATTGTGTGGTGTGCTGACATCTGTTACAGGGCAAGGCCTCATTAATAATTCTCCAAACTTGGAGAAACTGCCTACCAACTTATTTCTATGAGGAAAAGTGTGCGCAACATGTGGCTCCTCCTGGGGGTACTAACAGTAGAACAGGGATTGATGCCTTAAAAACAAACAAATGAACAACAGTAACAACAAAATTTCTCATCCTTGAAAATTGCAGTCACCAGGACATCAGTATTTGGCTGTTTAAGAAACAGACTACTAAATACAGTAAGCTTTCCTTAGGCCAAGACCATAAGCTCTTTATATAGGCTAACCTGTTCAATTCTCACAATAGCCTTGAAGTGGTACTTTTATAATCACTACTTCCATTTTACAGATGAGAAAGTAAAATACAGAGAAGTTATTCGTTCTAGTCACTCAGTATATGGTGGATCTCAGAATCAATTTCAAGTCTCTTGGCTCTAAGTGATTCTTGGCTTGTATTCTGTAATTGCCTCTTGGAGGAGGGTGGGAGCTGATTGGGACTGCTCCTAGAATTCTTAAATTACATACGCTAGCTACCTTGACTGCCTATGAACAAAGTAATCTGGCACTTTACTACCTCCCCTTTAAATGGCTTAATTTCAGAAGGTATTGCTTCTTCTTCAAATACTCTTAAATTTTCTGAGATAGAAAATTATTCAAGCCTAAGGTGGCACTAATGCAGTTGCTGCTGGAAACTCTTTGCACTGGGCCTGGAGGTCAGGTTCACAGTCCATCTGGTCAGATGCTTGCAGGGGCTGATGTGTGCAGAAATGGCCTGCCTCCAAGCCTTGGAGGCTCCCAGGAGAAGCTTTCCATAGGGATGGGCAAGTGCTTACAGAAGGGAGGGCTCCCTTACTCTCACTCCTCTTGCCAGAACTCAAACATAGCTCCCTCACCCTGTCCCCTAGAGGCATAGAATGCTAATGCAGATGTTCTTTGAAACAGTCAGGGAAAAGGCTCCCCGAGTGTATAGCATGAGCATTTTCTGCATGGCCAAACTGGCTCGCAACTGGCCTGTGTGCTGGGAGCCTAACAGGAAATAAAGGTGAGAGGAGTGAAGCACTTGATACCACTGCACATGCTGAAGAGGGCCGTAGGGGAGCCTCTTCTGTCACCTTGGTTTAATTAAGGGTGGATGGAGGAGGCCTTTCTTCAAGAAAATGCCAGGAGTGTCTAAGGGATTTTCGAAGTAGGCGGCTCATTTGCAGCACAAGGAAGAATGATTTCATTCCATTGAGTAAATAGGCAGGGAGATGAAGAGCAGTGGTGACTTTTAATTTCACTTTAAGGAGATTACGGAAAGCAGTATGGTAATGATCCCTGAGAGGCAGCAGCATGCCAGTGGACTCATTCTTAATGTCAGAGACTTTGCTTATATATAAATCTTATTATTTGTCTCTCTTCAACCACCAGTGGGTTGTGCAATCTGGATCCCATTACATTGCCTCAGTTCTTCTGTGAGAAAGATGGAATTATTTCAGTCTTCTGATGATTCATGGGGCTCATCTGGGAAAGAAACTAGAGGGGCTTCCTTCACAAACATTTCCTGACCCCCTGCAAGGCTGGTAGGACATGGCCTTTGCTCCTGAGCCACTCCCAGCCCAGGGTTGCCCACCTGTTTGACTTTGGAGACAGAGGAAGTGTTAACTTTAGTTAGTATTTTCTTTTGATTAGGTTTTTGCTGCTTGGCTAAAAGGTCCACACTGTTGGTGGAAATCTCTGCTTTCTGTTTTGACTGTGCTACCCTGGGTTCATCTCTTTTAGATTGTGTGAAAACCCTGGTGATGCATCTTTGAATGGGGAGGAGAGGTTTTGCTGCCCACTTATCTTTCTGTCCATCTGGTAACTCTCCATTGTTTTCTCAAGTCTCCTCCAGAGGGGAGGCGAAGAATAAGTGCCTTGATTTTGCAGCTTTTTCTTTCCTAAGGGCCTGCCTGGGAAGGGTATTGCTTCTTGTTTCCCTCAATTTCTAGGCTACTTGAAGTAGAATCATGCAATGAATTTACGTAAACCTGGGCGCCTGGCTCTGCAGGCACTTTCTCGTAATGAATTACCCCCCACTCCTGAATTCAGTATGAGAGTGAATGGGCCTGTCATACAGACTCCTGAGGCCTTTCAGTTGTGGCCTCTCCATCTCTTATTTCCTGTATCACTCAAAGTCCAACCAGGAAAACAGAAATTACTGTGTTTAAAACAACGTGAATTTAATGCAAGGAACTGGTTATGATGGCAAGAACTGGGTAGTCATGTAGAGGACAGTAGGTACTCTGGAGATTAGAAACAGTGAGAGGTTGCTATACCATCCCTGTCTGCAGGAACAAAGGAAGAAGGAGGTGTTACTGGAGCCCATGGGTTGGGGTCACTGATAGTTGTCCGTTCAGTGGGAGCTGGGGTAGAGGAGAAATAGCTTCTGCTGGAGATGCTACCCAAGACAGAGAGCGGCAGAAATACTCTGGCTTCTCCTTTCCTCCCTCCAGTCTCATTAGTGCTCCTGCTGGCCAAATCCAACTGGAAGGCAGCTGAGGAGGGAACATGGGAATGATCCTGCAAGAGTTAGTCCTTCTGCATTACAGAGTTAGGTGGGGGAAGGCTGGGAAGAATTTAGGAACAAGGTGTCTAGGGCATAGCACCAGGAACCTCACTTGTAGGGTCTTCCCAAAGTCCCAAAGCAGTTCCAGCACTCTGATTATGTGCACACTTCCTCGTGTGTGTTTGCAAACCCGACATAAATGGTGGTGTGAGATCTTGGTTGTTTGTTTGGAGAAGTTCAGGGACTGTCATCTTTCTTGGTCGCCTTTCATGACCTTCATGTTCTAGTTCCTATTTGTTCTTGTTTTTCCACTACCTTCACATCTTCGTACTAACTAGCTCAGATCTGATCTGCCAATCTGCACAAGGTCTAATTTCATCCCAACTAATTTGGCCCCTATTTCTCTTTGCATTTCCTTATCCCCTCCTTGGTCATTAGGAATAATTTTCTTTGATAAGGTAATTGAGATGCTGGGCATAATTTATCAGCTATCATGGCTGTATTAGGATTCCATATTAATGAAGACACAGTGGTAAGACTGTTATTCCAGTTCCTGTTAAATCCAAACTCACTCACTGCATTGACACTGAATGGCAGTAAACTACCATTCATTAAACTCACCAAGCTTATATTATTCTCCATAGAGACAGCTGGAAAATTATCCTTGGGTGCCACAACACTAATTTTAATTTTAAAGAAATGAGCCATGAACTGCTGAAAATAATAATTCTCAATGACGACACCTGAGAGGCTGTTGTGGTTATCAACCAATATATTAATTTTAATCTCTGGTTTCCAAGCAGCAGAAATTCTCTTGCTAGTTATATAAGAAATGTGTTAAGGCATGGCCCATACAGCTATAAACACAAAAAGAGTTTTTGAAAAAAAAAATGGCTCTCCACTTTGCTGAATAGGTTGCTGATGATCTTTTTACAGGGTCTTCGCATTTGGAATGGTAGGGAGTTGACCAGTTGTCTGTCTTTCTGATATGAATATCCCACTGGCAGCACTAATATTCTTGCTTTAGGAGAACTTTATTTCAAAAAGATGCTATTCTTCAAAAACTTTGTGTTTCTTGTTTGGATTTGTGTACTTGTGTTCTTTGAGACTGAAAGAATTTGTTTTGCAATCAAAGCAAATATTCTACAATACACTACTAACAAGTAACATCCATGGCTAGTTTCTGACATACTTTCAGATAAAAAAGCTAAAAAGACAATCACTTCTGAATTCCAAAGGAAAATGAGTCAGCATTACATTTTAATTTCAACTTATCACCACCATGACCATCACGACCCATTTGCCTGTTTTTACATTTTATGATAATTTGCCCTTTGTTTTGTTTTGTTCAGGCTCCCTTAACATGGTGGAGCAGACTCTTCAAATATCTTCACAGTGATAAACTCTGGTTCCAATTCCTATGGCCCCCTATTCAACTGTTCCATAAACTACATGATGAATTGTATTAGGGAGGCTGTGCAAGGCCTGAACAGCGTTGAGTTTAGCCCTAAATGGTTGCAGTTTTAGTGTGTACCATGAGGCTCCTTCAGCCAAGGAGGTTGAAAGTCTTCTAATAACCTAAATCCCTAGAGCAGAAGGAGAAGAGCCAGCAGTTGCTTATTCTCTTAATTCTTTAAATTCCTTTCTTTTTGCATCTTGGAAGAACTCTCCACGGTACTAACAGTCAAAGCACTGAGGAGAAGATTTATTTCTCTTCACAAAGATCAGGTGGTTCAATCAGAAGCAAGTGGCCACTGGAGATTTGGATGAGTTTGGTAAGCAGCTCTCTTTTGAAATCAGTGCTTTGTTCCTCCTTCCTCCCTCCCTTCCCTTCCCCTGACTACAGGTTGCACTGCTTTCCTTGAGGAGATAAGATTTTGCATAGAAAGTTTGATTTGCTTCAGAAATCATGACTTTGCAGCTGTAGAGAATCTCATGAGTTCCATTGATTGCCCTTTCAGTCAGTCCTACAAATAGTTCTAGAAGCATTACTAGTTTTCTTCCCATATCGGAGGCCAAAATATAAGCCAATGCCCAAGATAACCATTCTTTAAAATTTCTCCCAAACATAGATTCTAAACTGTTTGAAAATCCATTTCTTCTAAGAAAAGAAGCCAGACCAAAAAATATGTATTATTAGCATACTAACTCAGTTCAGATCTCTCATGCTCTATTTCTTCTAGATTCCATAGGTTAGAGTTATGAGTTATTGAGGACACAGGGAGTCTAATAATTATTAATGTCCCCTGTAGCACTCAGGACAGGTCTGAGTATAGAGCAGATACTCGGAATATGTTCATTAACTTACTAGGTCTGATTTCATGGCATTTGGAGATCAGGATTCTATTGGTTAGGATGCTACATTTTGTGAGTAAGAAAAGACCCAACACAAATTAGCATAGAGAAGAATGATTTTATTAGCTCCTGTACCTGAAAAGACTCCATGAGGGCTTTAGCTCTGTGTTTCTGCTTTGTTTCCAGTTGGCTTTATGAGATGGCTGCCTGCCTCAATCACAGAATAGAGTCCCAAGTTCACCCATGTCTTTATCCCCAGAGATTCAGTTTCAGTTGAGCTTAGGTGAGGCTCAGGAGTTGGTATTCTTTAAAAGTGCCTCAGGGGATTCAAGTGTGCAGCTAGGGCTTAGAACCACTGCTCTAGGGATATTTATCTAGGCTAAGGTGACCCAGTAAGATTTTGTCTCCTTGGAGTTTGAAATCTGGAATGGGAATACCCAGAAACTGAGTGTTCCTGAGGCTGAGTCATGCTGATGATAGTCATTTATAAAGAGGACCTCTAAATTCTCCTATTGAAGTTTGATTTACCTTGGTCCCAATTCTTCCCACTTCTTGGTCATTCGCTTGATTCTGTGAGATACCGTAGTGCTTATCCATCTATCCAACCATCCACTCAACAAACATTTATTCAGTATCTAGCTAGTTGCTCTCTCCTGAATTTCATCTAAAGAATCTATGAAAGTTGTTTAAAAGTCTGACTTGGGTGAAATTTTACAAACTGTTGTCCCAGCTCTTATATTGATAGCTCCCAATCCTTTCTTATTATTTGGTTTTACTTTCTTCAGCTTTTAAAAATACATTCACTGTTTTGTTTTGTACTGTGTCCTACTGTTACCCAACTTCTTTCCTGTCTGAGCATTAGCATCCCCAAATCTAGAGACAGTTTGGAGTAGTGATTACCAGCATGGACTCTCAAGCCAGACTGTCTGGGTTTGACTTCTTGCTCCTCTTACAAGATACCTGGTTTCGTTTTGAAAATGATAATTCTTTTAGTTCTTTCAGGCTGCTGTCACAGAATATCATAGGCTGGGTGGCTTATAAACAACAGAAATTTGCTTCTCACAATTCTGGAGGCTGAGAAGTCCAAGATCAAGGTACCAGCAGGTTCAGTGTTTGGCATGGGCATGCTTCCTGGCTTATAGACAGCTGTTTTCTTACTGTGTCTTCTCATGGCAAAATGGGTCAGGGATCTCTCTAGGGTCTCTTTTATAAGGGCACTAATCCCATTCATGAAGGCTCCTCCCTCATGGCCTAATTACCTCCCAAAGGCCCCACCTCCTAATACCATAATATTGGGGGTTCAAATTTCAACATGAGTTTTAGGGGGGAACACAAACATTCAGTCTATCGTAGTGTTAATAAAAGTGCCTAACTCAGGCCAGGTGCTGTGGCTCACGCCTATAATCCCAGCACTTACTCATAAGGCTGTGGCAAATCAATAATCCAGGAAAAGTATGTGTCACTTTCTCATGGAATACTGAATGAGTGATGGCAATTATTGGCATAATCATTAGGTGTTTCTGTTGCTTAGAGCAGGTATATCTATTGTTTCTGCAAAGGGTCTGTCTCTGTGGCAACTGCTCAACTCTGCCATTGTAGTGTGAAGCAGGCTTCGACACTATGTAAGCAAATGAGCATGGCTGTGTCCCAGTAAAACTTACATAAGTGGGCTGGATATGGCCCATGGGCCATAGTTTTTCAGGATCTGGCATAGAGCAACAGGAGCTACAAGTGTGAATTAATATAATTGTGGAGTGAGGCTCTTAATATTGATAGTCGTGGCTTATTGAAACTTGTAAGAAAACTTCTATTATTTTCAGAATGAATAAAATTCTGGGAAGAGAAAGGATGGGTCAGGACTCTAGTTTTAGCAGGATTTTAGGTCATAAAACATAGGTCTCATTATTACCAATATGCATTTATCACCTATACTTGCTAGCTATGGGGAATAGGAAGGTACATAGGGCTGAGTCCTCAATGGGAAGGGCTTCTTTTTCTTTTTCTTTTGATCTGCTTCATGTGACAGGTGTGGGTTTTAATGTTGACGGTGTAACTAGGATTCCTGGAAAAGACAATTGTGGAACCAAAGTTTTCTTATGGGAAATTATTTTATAAGGATAAACATTCTTCCTCTGAGGCACTTGTTTAGCCATGTAGAAGCCATTCAGGGGCTATGCCTAGAGAGGAATTGTTTAAGGACCTTCCAGCATGTAGTTACAGTTTCATTTTTCAGTGCAGTGGAGCAAGGCTGTGAAGGTTTACTCTGCATTTAGAGGGGAAAAATGTGACACTTCGCCATCCCATTGATCAAGAGCTTGGCACTTTTGTGGGCAGCAGGGAGACTTGTAAAGAAGACAAATAAAACCTCTGGGAACAATAGTGATTCACTCCCAGAGAAGTTCTTGCCCAGCTGTATACCCTCATTTCCAGGAGTATAAAATCAGTACTGTTTCCTGCAAAACAAGAAAACCCAAATTGAAATACCAAAGTGAGACAGGGAGAGAAGGAGATGGGGAAAGAGGGAGAGAGACTTGGGGAAGAGATGCTGAGAGGTAGAAACAGGGGGAGAGAGGCTAGGAGAAGGAGACAGAAGTCAAAAGACAGAATTCTTCCTCATTCCCTGAGCCCTCTTTCCTCACAGATGGAGACAGAACGAGAGGCAGAGGCACAGAGAAAAGTAACTCAGAAAGAAAGGCAAAAGAAAGAGGAGGCTATTGGTCTTCAGGGGTGGGAAAATAGGATATAGTTTACTGGGACACTTGAATTGAATTTTCATCATTTAAGGCTTTATCTTACAGGGGAGCAGTTTACTTTGCTACCTGGTGTCTCAGAGGGAGATGCACAGACAGGTAATGGCCATAGGATCGCGTCTGTAATGTGCCCGTGCACTCATCCATCCTGTTTAAAAAGCTAGCTCATTGGTAAAATCATGGTCCCCCTGAGGCCCTGAAGTTCATAAAATAATATTTATTCAGTAATAGCTAATTCTTTTCTCTGGTCAGCAGGTATCATTTCTTAAGGAAAATGTTCAGGATGGAAACCTAAAATACCTTGAGCTTCTCTGGCATCAGGTGAGAACCATGGGTATGTACTGCTTATAAAGAATAGACTTTTAACAGAAATCTTGATTGCGTGAAGAGAGCACTATTTTGCTGGGCTCAAGTTTTCTTTCTTTCCCTGTGTCTTCACTTATGGAGAAAGATTTTTATGTTGTTTTGCTTCAACCAACAGCAACTTGCTGAGTTTTTTTCTTACAGATCTTAAAATTTAATATGAACTAGCTTTTTGACTTTTGCCTGTGGAAAGGGTAGGGGAGAGGGTGATGAGGAGAAATAATTTGCTCTAAGGCAAGTGTAGAGAAATCTGAGATTATAAGTAGTGCAGTGTGTTTTTTAGGTACACTTTGGGAGTTCCAAAAAGCTTTTGAGGGCCTTGATGAAAATTTTTGGATTGACAATTGTAAAGGTGAGAAATTTTTGTTTACTCATGGAACAGATCCATCAAGATAGTGGCAAATGTTCATAGGCCATAGGACACGAAAGACATCAGCCTATACCTAAGAGAATCTAGACTCTAGCCAATAAAGGATTTCAATAAAAAGTGACTGTGGTATTTCCTTGGGCTACAGACCTTACTTCTGTTAGAGCTATGTTGCAATTTGATTCTAAACCGTGGCTGAAGTCTGCTTTTCAGAATGGAATGAGTTATATAAGAGATACTGAATAACTCACTTGGAGTTGTTCTCTGTCTCTTATGTACTTATGTACTGGAGAACTGCGTGCTGTGGTCTGTGCCTTGGGATGTGTCAAGGCCATTTCTATGACGTGGCAAGAGGATAAAGAGTATTTGAGTGGAATCAAGTGTGTGTGGACGCTGTTTGAGGACAGAAAGCCAAACTCAGATGATTGTTTGGGGCTGGAATGACTGTTCCTGGTTGGAATTGTTTTGCATTGAGTAACTGACACAAGCAAAAAGGAGTGGTAGGAGAGAGACAAGGAACGTTTTCATATTTGGAGAAATGGTATAAAAGCTCTTGGAAATGAGACAATAAAAGCAGGTTTGAATCTATCTACTCTTCTGTAGTGACTCAGAATATTTCAAATTTCCGCTGTATGCTGTGTTGTCTCATTAGACTGCCACAGAATATCCATTCAGGATATTCACTTCATCAACAGTGAAATGAAGATTAGATCTTTCTTCTGCCTTCCATTATCCCTGAGAACTGTCAGGGTAGATGTCCATCTCTTCCTGGAAATGAAATGCACACTACCTGCTTAATAATTAACCTCTAGAATGTCATGTGAAATATCTGAAAATTAACTCCTTGGCTCTGGAAATCAGAATTTGTCCAAAAAAGACATCCTAAACTGAGCAAAAATTTGTTCATTGCTTCTGAATCAACAAGAAATTACAAACATGAGCCTGGCTACAAAAAGGATTGGCAAACCAAATTAATTTCTTTTGAGCTTTGTGATGGTCTATATAGCAGCCATCCCTGCCTTTTCTTTTGAAAATGATATAAGTGACATTCTTTTCTTCTGAAAAGACAGGGATATAAGTGACATTAATGACTGCCAATAAGGATCCTTGTCATATAATCCAAGCATTATTCCCAGACACTTTTCTTCATTGACTTGCATATCCTAATTTCTTACAAAATTATTCAAGCAGGAGATATTATTTTATACTCAATTAAAAGCTGTGGATATTTATAATGGGAAGAGTTTCCTACCTTTAACTGTTTTTGTATTCATGTACCATTGCACACTTTTATTTATAAATAAAATATTTGTTTGTGGGGTCTGATACTCTTTAGTCAATATGGAAATAATGCCAGAGTTCTTTATTCTTAGAACCTACTCATATCAAATAACTGCTTGTACCATTGTAAAGAAAATGACCCCATTAGTGCTCCTGGGAAGTCCCTTTTTGATGCCATGTTTGGGATTAACTGTCAGAAATAAAGGACACACTTCAGTTATAACCTCAAGGTGCTTATAGGTTGGGGGGTTTCTAGTGACCACTGGCCACCGTCACATTGTTGCTGGAAGGTTATGCATTTCTAATGGCATGGAAGATATTTTTGCTCTCCTATTTTAAGCACAAGTCTCTGCTGTCCAGACACCTATTTTAGTTCAGTAACTAACTAGTTGCAAGAGCTCTTGAACCTGGTCTTTTGGTGCTTCTGAATCAGCAGGTGCTATGATCACAGATATGTAATAGTAGGATGAGATAAAAATGCCAATGAATATAAATCTGGTAATACTGGATTGGTGTCTCTTCTTTGCATTTGGCATAAAAGGACTTGAATACTCAGGGTGAAAACCCTGAAAGATGTCATATCTGATGCCTGATCCTTGAGGTGATGTTTGAAGAAAAGATTAATAGAGACTCATGGGACTTTAATTTTTCCCTTTTATCCTCTTTAAATGGTAAAATGGCATAATAAGAAACATAAACCTGCCAAGAATGTGGCATTTGCTAAAAGAAACTATTGGTGTCAAAATTAATCAAACACATTTTCCTTCCCCATTCAGATTGGGGTGTATCCTGGTCGTCTAACTCACACTTACTCGCCTCTGATGTGACAATGTCCCCTTGCTACAGTGGGCCAAGTTTCTCTGTTTCTGAATTCAAGAGGCTTTGTTAAAATTCTAATAATTCCTGGATTGATAAGAAGCTCTAAGCTCCTTGAAAGCCAGTATGTTTATAAGTTCATTTTCTTTACCTTTCTGCGAACTAGGGAGTGGAGAAAATTGAAAATAATCTTAGAGAAAAATGAATCATACTATATAATACACGGTGTACTTAAAGTTATAAACAAAAGTTTACCTTTGAAAGTTAATTCAAATACTTTCTTCTCTGAAGTCATTCCTGATATTCTACTTCCCTGACTTTCCCGCTCTAATAGATAGAAGTGAGTTCTCTCTTCCCGACACTTCCCAAGCCAGCAACCCTTCAATAATGCTTAGCAAACATAGCCTGCTGAATATTACAATGATCTGTTTGCATTTTATGTCAAATCCTAAGCTTCTTAAGAGAGTTTTGTTTTATTTTTACATTTTCTCAAACAATCCAAAATGGTGCCTGGTCATAGTAAATTACATAGTAAATTCACATAGTAAATTCACAATAAATATTGAATAAGTTGATGGAGATGGTTTCTACTTCTGAGTATTTTGAAACAGCTCTTCAGTTTTCTGCTTAAGATGCAGATTTATTCAAAAGATGTTTACTATTCTATGTGCCAGGCACTGTGCTAAGTACTGGAGATACAACAGTGAATAAAACACAAAATCTTCCTTTGTGGCAAAAAAACAAAAAAAACCTAAATACATATAATTTGAGATGGTGACAGGAGTTAAGGAGAAAAATGAATCATGAAAGAGACATAGAGGTTGCAGGAGGGTGTTCAGGAAAGGCTTTCCTGCTAAAGTGGCAGTCAAGGACAGTGGGGGAGGAGAACGGATAATCTCCTAGGCTGGGGGAACAGCAAGAGTGGCCTGAGGTGGGAATGGGCCTGGAATGTTCAAGAAAGAGTGAGGGGACTGGTGTGTAGCTGCAGCCCAGTGACGGAGGGTAGAAGGAGCTGAGGCCAGAGAGGTAGAAGGGGTGAGATCAGAGAGGATCTTGTAGGCAACTCCAAAAATTTGGGATTCTACTTTGAGATGAAAAGCCTGCTGGAAAGTGTTGAATATAGGAGCGGCATGAGTTGACATATAGGGAAAAATTTTGTCAATGATGAAAGTTGTGTTTTGTTTATCAGAAGTTTTGACATCATCTGTGAACGTGATTTTACTCTAAGGTGGAAGGCAGTTTAATGGCTTTAGGAACCTTTGATTTGAAAGCATTCTTAGTCATATGCAGCATTTCTAAACTTATTTAAGTGGAGTACTGCAACCAATGTGGGTATACTGTTATGATTCTGAAGTTAATATATGTAAAACCCGTATTTTATGGCCTACATTTTAGTAAATCTTGTTTTTCTTAATCGAAGCTTTACTGATGCACTACCTTGAATATGTTTTTGTTGCTCCCAAACTTACCTAACACGGAGCTTCAGCTCTCTGATGTATACAGTAGGCACCATGATGGAACTTCAGCTCTCTGATGTACACAGTACATGTATTGGAAGTAAACTCTCACCAGGCTGGAAGCCATTGTAGACCAATGGTCATCACAACACTTTTTAGATCTTGTGCCTCTATCAGTAAAATATTTTTGAACTTTCTATCCACAATCTACATATGCTTATTTATCATTTCTATAAATGTACTACAATAGCTATGTATGCTTATTGTAAAACATACACTTAAATAAATTTAAAGGATGTCATGAATATAAAATAAACACATTAAAATGATATTTTATTGTATTTGTTTATAGTTATAAAATATTTTTGTTCTCATCCAAGTATTAGTACCATTTTTAAAGGAGAGCAATATACTTTAATATGGTTTATTTGTTTTTAAACGATTAGTTTAAAATTTTGCAGTGAAGCAATTAGAAGTTGTATTTCTACCTCGAGTTTATCTTGAGACTTAGTTTTCAATTATTATCATAGTTGAAACATATTTCTGAAAACATCCAAGTAGGAGGAGTGCATTACGGACTTCACAATCATGTAAGTCAATTTTCAATCTAGAATTCATCTTGCAATGGTTTTTGTTGAAATATGGCTAGCAAATTTCCATCTTCTGTGATCTCAATCAGATGTTCTTGCAAAACTAATTTGAAGATAATGCATTTTAATGTTTTTAACAAAGGCATTCAAAACCCACTGAAACTCTCCATTTGGAAGATTTAAAAACAGCAGAGAGGGAGTGTTTAGAGTGTATACTTACAGTGTTTTCCTCAACAAAATCATATAATGATGGAAACATTTCCAAACGTTCATTTTCACAATGCTCTTTCTATAGCATGAATTTCTTTTAAAAAGAAGTTGCTTTGTTGCTTATTGTTAAAACATCTAATTTACCTTGAAGGAACCGATTAAATGTGTAGCTGGCAAAGAGCTTGTACTGAAGGTAGAAGTGTCAGCTTTGCCATTGCTCTCTTCTTATTTTTTTCACTTGCATTTACATTATTAATCCATTGGATTCTTTGCAGAAATATCTTAAAGCCATAGCAGCGTTTGGTGAGAATTAGTTTGATTAAAATTAAGTAACATGATCTGTGAATCCACTTTGCTGGGCACATGCAAACTGTGATGTAGAGCCAAATGCTGAAAACCAAAGACAAAGAGAGGGCAGGCTGGCAGCTTCTCCCACTCTGTGATAGGGTACATCTAGATCAGTGATGTCTGACTACCTGGCTATTGGACACATGCACTGAGTGAGGGTGCCAGAGCTGGTCTGTACATTAGATATTAGTAGAGCTTGGTTTCTTTCTCTATTTATAGATTAAAATATAAACAAATGTAAATGCCCTAATATTTTTTTCCAGCACTCCAAAGGATCATCTTGCACACTCCTAAGGAATTATGCACCTCCTGTGGAAGGCTATTATATTAGATGCTGGCATTTTCAACTTGGGAGATTGAAAGTCCTTATGAGTCACAAAGGGTTAAAAAATCTTGCTGTTTCATCCTTTGAAAGATCCCATCAATAAAAGATCAACCACAAAAAAATAATGGTTTTAGGGATAGCAATAATTAATTACATCACAGTAGTAGTTGAAAGCAAAGTTAATTAAGCCTTTGGCTGCTCGTTGCTTACCTTCAAATACAAATGAGTGTCTACGCCTGTCCAAATATTACCTTGCACCAATGATTTCTAATAGTGAGGCACAAGTGGATGGCTTCCGGCAAGGCTTCTTTCTTTCATAAATTCTGTGTCCCAGCTAATTTCTGTACTGCATCTCCTTTTGCTATTCCCAGATTAGGTGTGCTCTTGCCCTGGGAGAGGGTAAGTTCCTGTATTCCTTCCTCACTTTTGGTATCAGGTTACCAGTGTTATTGCAGGAAAGTGGTTGGAGCCCAATGTACTACTCATCTCAAATTAATTAAATATTTTTAGTGGCATCTAATTCTGTGATGCTTTTGCTTTTACTTTCCTTTAAGCAGTTTTAAAATGGCTCTTATAAAATGAAGGCTTTTTTTTTGTTTGCTCACTTAATGGTGTGAATGCACCTCATGTTAAAAAATTCCCAGGGCTACTGCAGAACAAAAAATTTTTATAACCTTTTCTTTTTTCTCTTTCCTGCAAAATATCTTGGGAGCAGAGTAAACTGTTAAGATGCAGAGGAATTGCAAATGGTGTGTGGCTGCAGTGTTGATGGGTGTTGCCACAGCTGAATAATGTTGGCAATCCAGGGACATGAAAAAGCAGTATAAGGAAAAGGTTTAGTTTTATGAACATACAGAGGTGTGTGGTTAGAAAATGCCCCTGGGGCTGGGCACTGTGGCTCACGCCTGTAATCCCAGCACTTTGGGAGGCCGGGGGGCGGGGGTTGATCATCTGAGGTCAGGAGTTTGAGACCAGCCTGGCCAACATGGTGAAACCTCATTTGTACTAAAAATACAAAAAATCAACTGGGCATGGTGGCGGGTGCCTGTAATCCCAGCTACTCAGGGTGCTGAGGCAGGAGAATAGCTTGAACCCAGGAGGTGAAGGTTGCAGTGAGCCGAGATCATGACACTGCACTCCAGCCTGGCAACAGAGTGAGACTCCATTAAAAAAAAAATGTCCCTGGATATTTCCTTTTTTTTCTTCTTCCCTTTTCCTTTCCTCCCTACTGCCTTCCTTCCTTTCCCCTCCTCCTTCCTTAATTTCTTTCTATGGAACATAGGAACATTTACAGAACATTCTATATAGGAAAAAAGAGAATGAGATAAACTATTTCAGATATGAAGAGTTTAAGTGAACTCATGAACACACAACGTTCCCAGCCTGAGTGAAGTGAGAAGGGAGAGCCTGTGAAGGCAGCCCAGTGTAGAGTGCCAGAGCTAGAGAAGGTTTAGGTGGGCATCCATGCAGGTGGGCACTGGTGGCCTGATGTGGGGTGTCAGAGCCCGATTGGGGTTACAAAGTGCATCCAGGTGTGTAAACAGTGCAGGTGTCAGAGCCCAAGCAGGCTAAGGAAAGTATTCACATGGACAGAATGTGACTGCCTTTTGAAAAGCCTGATTTCCTACCTTTATGCCTCTTAAGGGACAGGAAACATTTCTCCACCTCTTCAAGCTAAGGGAAGCATTGCTAAATCAATGACAGTTTGACCTGCTGCACCTTCATTTTAGACTGTCACAGAACAGGATGTGAGAGATTAGCAGGGAAGCACTGGGCCCATAAGGCGTATTTCTGGGAAAGAAACAGGAAGCCAGTGTTCTAATGTGTTTGGATAAAAACATAAACAGAAACCTACCAGAAAGGACTCACAGTAAATTTTTGTCCATGCTTACAAAGCATGGACAAAAATAGAGTATCTCTTACTTTGAACATCACCTTCAGAATGGGAAACAGGAATTTTTTTCCCTCTTGCTATGACTTTGATATGACAGAGAGGAAAGGCTTTGGGATGAATTTTGTATTTAAACTTCATGAAGGGCATCGTTGTGGGGCTGTGGAAAGGAAAGACATTCTGGCCGGTGGAACTGGGCAAATCTTATAAAAAAAGAGTCAGGTCCCTCTTAGGAACCCCATACGCGGGTTTCCCAGCCCACCCTTTCATCACTGTAATGTGGAAATGGGGCAGATAGAAAGTGCGAGGAGTCTGTTGCACCCTCACCATGATTTCTCTGGGTGCCTCCAGAGTGTCAACCTCTTTCCACATTATGGCTGCCTTTGTGCCTTTCCTCTTTAAAGGTGGATGTTTTTGAGCTGAGATCCTGAACTGAGCAGCTTTTTTCCTTCACATTCTATCACTGTGGTAGGAAAAATTTTGCATTCTCTCTGTTTATTTGCCCATTTCACTGATGGTTATCATGGAGACTCTTATTTTTCTGCTCCAGAATTCACCTTTTTTAAAAAAAATTGTGTCTGATTCTTTTAACGCATTCAAGATGGGTGATGAGCTAGAGCAAGTGGTGTGCTGGTAAATGATTAATAACCAGCTTCTGCACAGCAAAGGAAACAAGAATGAAAAGACAATCCACAGATTGGGTGAAAATTTTCAAACCATACATCTGATTAATTTCCAAAATGTGTAAGGAACTCAAACAAATCAATGGCAAGAAAATAACCCAATTTAAAAATAGGCAAAATACTTGAGTAGGTATTTCTCAAAAGAACACCTGCAAGTGTCCAATGAATATGTGAAAAAATCCTCAACATCACTAATCATCAGGGAAATGCTGATCAAAATCATAATGGGTTTTCAGCTCACACCTGTTAGAATGGCTACTATAAAAATATGAAAGTTAACAAGTATTGGTGAGGATGTAGAGAAAAAGGAACTCTTGTACACTGTTCTTGGAAACATGAATTTGTATAGTCATTATGGAAAACAATGAAGCTTCCTCAAAAAACAAAAATAGAACTACCATATGATCCAGCAATCTCAGTTCTGTGTATATGTCCAATAGAATTGGAATCAGTAAGTCAAAGAGGTATCTGCACTCCCATGTTCCTTGCAGCTTTATTCACAATAGCCAAGATATAAAAATCAACCTAACTGTCCATAATGGGTTAATGGATAAAGAAAATGTAGTATATATATACAGTGAAATAGTATTCAACCATTAAACAGAAGGCAATCGTGTCATTTGTGACAACATGGATGACCCTGGAGGTCATTATGCTAAGTGAAATAAGGTACAGAAGGACAAATAGTGCATGATTTCACTTATATGTGGAATCTAAAGAGTCAAACCCATAGAAATAGAGAGTAGAATGGTGGTTACCAGAGGCGAAGGTGAGGGGTGGGGCAGGAAAGAGGAAGATAGGGGTAAAAGGATTCAAAATGTCAGTTAGACAGGAGGAATTAGTTTTTGAGATCTATTGCAGAAAAGATGACAAGTATTTGGGGCGATGGATATGTTAATTAGTCTGATTTAGTCATTCCAAAATATAAAGGTTTATCAAAACATCCCACTGTACCCTGTAAATATATACAATTATTGTTTGTCAATTAACAAAAGCCCTGATTTCTAGTAACTCTTGCCAATTTCTGTGGTGTAAATTCTCTTTCCAAAGCTGTTTTAAGCCACCAATATAAAATAACCAGCTCATAAAATTCAACAATCAGCCATTTCAAGCTGGTGCAAGCCAGCTCCAGCACATCCCTTGAACTCTAACCTACAAATGCTTCCTATTTAAACTGAGCTAATTTTAGAAACGATGCAATCATGTAGGAACTACAACCGATGTGACTGGCCATTAGAGTTGTAATATAAATTAGTAAAAACTTTTCCCTTTGTCTTTCTTTTATCAATTTCTTGGTAAGAAAAAAAGAAATAGAACTTAAATATTCTTAGATATTTTAAAGATTGATGTGGTAGTTAGTTTTATACCTTTTTTTTTTCTGGAGTGAAATGGAAATAGGAAAGAAGAGAGAGCTGTTATAGGCAACTTTCCGATTTGGTATAAAAATGGTAGAATAAGGCTATAATTACTTTTTCTGGGGAAATATAAAATAAAATATTTAAACCTGCTAAAAACTGATGAGATCAAGTCTGTGTGGTGGTTGAGAATGTTCTTGAGTGAAAACGAAAACTTCCAGTTCTTTTTTGATGTTTGATTTTAAGAGTGGATTGTATTTTATTTTCTTATAAAATTCTGAGATTACCTTTTATCTTCACTGTTTTCATATTTTATTTAATGTGTCTTGACCTAGCAGCCTAGCACTATTCTTACCTTTTGCTTTTGTTACCTGTATTATACGAGAGGGTTTTTCATAGTATAATGAGCACAGATTCCAAAATGGAGGCCAATTACCAATAAAACATATGCCTTTAACTCAGGTGTACTTGGAATTTATAATGTCATTGACCTTGGATTTCTAGGAGTTTTAAGTCATTCTGAATCTGCTCATCTGCGCTGAGTTTTAAATGTTAGAAATGGAACATTTTCTGAAGTGATATATGAAGAAATATGCTCTAAAAATTCTGTGGGGAGGCTCCTGTGTTTGTTCTCCTGCATTAACATTTTTATTTTCAGCAGATCTATACTATATTTTCCTCCAAAGTTAAAGTTTATAACATCTGCAAATTTATTTGCTTAGCTTATTTTTAATCCATCTCTTCATATTCTTTGTTTCTCTTGGTCCTCTCCTTTTTCTCTCTTGGCTTTTACGATGCTAGCAGATTGTGAACATTCTGAATGTAAGCTTGTCTTTTTATTCATCTTTGACACACAGCATTGGAAACTGCTTGGCACATAGTGGCTTTTAATAAATGTTTATTGAAATCCATTTTTAACTTCTTCAGGTAATTCATCTGCTCGTGAGTCAATATCTCTTGGATTTTAGACATTTTATCCCCAAATCTTTTGGATAGGGAATGAGATGCAGAATAAAGAACATTTATGGCACAAGTGAGAAACAGCAGATTTTGGTGTGTGATGGTTTGTTAATGGAAAGTGTAAGAACAACAACAATAGGATTGAAAGCTAGTTATTGAAAAAACAGTTCGGCACTAGGCTAACAAACTGCCCTGGTTTGCTTGGACTGAAGAGGTTCCTGGGATGTGGGTCTTTCAGTGGTGAAACCGAGACAGTCCTAGACAAACAAGGATGAGCTGGTCATCCTAGTATTGAACTCATATAGTAGAAAGGAAAGATACTCTACAGTTGTGGTTCTCAGCCTTGCATATACCTTGGAATCACCCAGCGAGACCTGAAAACCAGTGACACACCCCAGAAAATCTGACTTAGTCAGGATGCTGCCTAGGCAACTGGATTTTAAGAGCTCCCCAGGTGATTCTAATGTGTAGCCAGGGTTGGGAACCATTGATGTTAGGCAGTGCTCAGTGTAGGACAAAGTTGTTCTCATGGCTGTGACGTGGTACAAGTTGTCCTGACTTAGCAAGCTAGGGCTTATGACAAAGTTTGGTTTGGGTTTGAAGATTGGTGAGAATGACAACTTGGACTATGTTAAAGTTTGTTGTTACTTTTGGTGTTGTTTACTACCAAACTGACAAACAAGCAGTTAAAAGCTACACTCTAGGACAGGACACAGGTAAGTGGACATAGAACACCGACTCCTCACATGCTTCTCTTGGGAGGCATCTTGACATGGTCCATGTGGCACTGCTGGATTGGGAGATTCTCCTGATTAGAAAAGCTCAGAGCTGTTGGTACCATGAGGATAGATGAGCAGGTACCTCAACACTAAAAGCTCATCTACCATATAAGAATATTATTGCCAACCCCTGGTAACAAACTTCTGCCTTCTTTTTCTTACTGAATCATTGTCTTTACCAGGCTTTACCATGGCTATAGTTGGAACAGCAGAAAAATACAGCTGTGGATTCTATTTGAATATTTTTCTTACGATACACACCAAAGTCATTAATCCTGACAAAGACTCTGTGGAAGATGAGTTGTTATTGAGGGTATTTCTGTTTTACATCTTTACAAATGGAAGTGTGTCAAGGTTAAATTTGTCAAACCCAGTCAGCGCAGATGAGGTTAGAATCTGCTTTCCTTGATGCACTGGGAAATTGTATCTAGCTCTTTCTTCATAAAAGCTTTATATAGAGTTAGCCACTCTGTACTGTGTTTGTAAAGGGGCCAATCCCTTCCTAATGAGAGATGGCTGGAGATAACAAACTCATTATCCATAGGCTACCAGAGAGTTATTATGTGGAAATGACTTTTACTTACTTTTGATCTGGGTGGTATGGGGATATATCAATCTAGTAATAAAAGGCCTTAGCTCTTATGGATAAGTCCTGAGGTGTTCAGTTCCCTAACGGCTTACCCTTTTAAATTAAATTAGAATTATCCCTTTATCATTTAGACAGCAACACTGCTTTCTGGTCAAGCTCTGTGAATTCTTCTGGAGGTGTGGGGCATAAAAGCCTGTCCCAACTCTGCCCTTTTTCAATTCAGTGAAGAATAACAGAACAGCTAAAAGTTGAAAGGAGGTAGTGGTGCTTTGCAACATTTTAAATTGAACTGCTTTGAGGTTCTCTTCGGGAAGAATGACAGGGAAGAAGGGACACGATCATCTCTGTGCAATTTACCTTCTCTGCAGAGGTCCATCTTCCACCCAATGTGGCTTTACTGCTTTGGAATCGTCAAGTAGGACTGCTACTAATATGTCCATGTGGACACTGTTTTGGTGTAAACACAATCATCTTGGATTCAATTCATGATTAAATTTTGAACCTGACAGCTATTTATACTGTCAATATTTTATGTCCTTTTAAGGACCTACTCTTTTTAATCTGTCATTTATTTTTGTTCAAATTGGAAACACAGATTTCATAAATCATGGAATTTAATTGAAAATCAACCAGCTGTTCCTGAACTTTGACTCTCCAGGGTTGGCCACCTTTCCCTAGAATCTGTTCAATAGCAGTAGCTATTTTTTTTGTTGTTGTTGTTTTTTTTTTAGAAAAGCTCCTTAGTAGAGGCCCAGGCTCTCTCTCTCTGCATATCTTTTGCCTTTGCACAAGGAAGCTTAGGCTCTGTCTCTGATATGACAAAGGGTAAACTGTCAGAAAAATCCCAGAAAAAGATATGATGGGCTTTAATTCTTCCATGGAGGGGTACAGAGTCCCCTCCTCTCTTAAAAGCATCAACTCCCTCCCAACCCCCAAAAAAAGAGAGGCAGGAGGAGAGTGTTTTTCTTTAGAAAACTTCAAAAGTAATGGAGGAATGTATGTCCCAGATAGGAAGAAAAATCTTGTACAGTGGGAGTGTGACACAGGCTCAAACTGAGGAATGATCATAAACCATATCAGTCTTCCAGCTAGTACAATCCTGCCATCCTTAGTGGGTGGCTTTTCAGGAGCTCCGCATTAGCTAGGGTCACAGAAAGCACTCACTATCTGAATAGTGAACTGTGTCTTTCTGATGAGATGGTAGGTGTCAGGCAATGTGCTCTGTGACTTCTATATCTGCTATGTAGGAGAAAGGATGTTTTCTCACATGATGAAAATGTTTACTATATAGTCATAATAAGAATTTCAAAACTTAAGGGGCCAGCCTATAGGCTGAAATACAAATGTTCATTCCAATCATGAATCCTAATTATAAAGTGTAGTTTCAAAGGAGGATTGACTTATTTGAGGGTCTCATGTGGGTTTAGAATGAATGCCATAATGAATACATTAGGATGACTAGAAGGAAAACTAGAATGTGGCAAGTGGTGCAAAGAAGCTTAGAAACGGATTAAAAGAAGCTTCGCTTTGCCCATCCTTTCACACAACCCTTGAGTGTTATGCAAATGAGAAGTGGAGATTTTACATATGTGATTAGTGATGTGAAGCACTTGCTAAGATTTTGTAAAACAAGGATTATTATTTATTGAGCACTTATTATTTATAAAGAATTATTATAATATTTAAGCATCATCTCTTTCATCAAGAAACTTAAAGACCAGTAAGACAGAAGGATTATACCTCCATACAAGTGTAGTTAAACTCAGGAGGTACAAAGCAGTAGCAGATGAGTATAGTCTGAGTGTTATGGCTGTTCTGGGGAGAGAGAATTAATTTCTAGCTGGGTTGATGATGGAAATTTCATAAAGAAGGGGGCATTTGCCAAATAGCCAAGAACTAAGCAAAAAGAACAAAGCTGGAGGCATCACTCTTCCCGACTTCAAACTATATTACAAGGCTACAGTAACCAAAACAGAATGGTAGTGGTTCAAAAACAGACACATAGACCGATGGAACAGACTAGAGAACTCGGAAATAAGACTGCATACCTACAACCATCTGATCTTCAACAAATCTGAGAAAAACAAGCAACGGGGGAAAGGATTTTCTGTTCAATAAATGGTGCTGGGAGAACAGGTTAGCCATATGCAGAAAACTGAAACTGGATCCTTTAATTATACCTTATACAAAAATTAACTCAAGATGGATTCAAGACTTAAATGTAAAACCCTAAACTATAAACATCTTAGAAGAAAATCTAGACACTACCATTCAGGACATAAGCATGGGCAAAGATTTCATGACAAAAACTCCAAAGCTATTGCAACAAAAGCAAAAATTGACAAATGGGATCTAATTAAACTAAAGAGCTTCTGTGCAGCAAAAGAAACTATCATCAGAGTGAACAGGAAACCTACAGAATGGGAGAAAATTTTTGCAATCTGTTCATCTGACAAAGTTCTAATATCCAGAGTCTATAAGGAACTTAAACAAATTTACAAGAAAAAAACCCAAACAACCCCATTAAAAAGTGGGCAAAGGACATGAACAGACACTTCTCAAAAGAAGATATTCATGCGGCCAACAAACATATGAAAAAAAGCTTAACATCACTGATCGTTAGAAAAATGCAAATCAAAACCACAATGACATACCATCTGACGCCAGTGAAAATGGCAATTATTAAAAAGTTCAGAAACAACAGATGCTGACAAGGTTGCAGAGAATAAGGGACACTTTTAGACTGTTGGTGGAAGTGTAAATTAGTTCAACCATTGTGGAAGACAGTGTGGCAATTCCTCAAAGATCTAGAGGCAGAAATACCATTTGACCCACCAATCCCATTACTGGGTATATGCCCAAAGGAATATAAATCATTGCATTATAAATACACATGCATGCGTTTGTTCATTGCAGCACTATTCACAAATAGCAAAGACATGAAATTAACCCAAATGCCTATCAAGGATAGACTCGATAAAGAAAATGTGGTACATATATACCACGGAATACCGTGCAGCCACAAAAAGGAATGAAATCATGTCCTTTTCAGGGATGTGGTTGGAGGTGGAAACCATTATCCTCAGCAAACTAATGCAGGAACAAAAAACCAAACACTGCATGTTCTCACTTATGAGCAGGAGGTGAACGATGAGAACAAATGGACACATGATGGAGAACAACACGCAATGAGGCCTGTTGGGGGTGCATGGGGGCAAGGAGAGCATCAGGAAGAATAGCTCATGGATGCTGGGCTTAATACCCAGGTGATGGGTTGATTTGTGCAACAAACCACCATGGCACATGTTCACCTATGTAACAAATCTGCACATCCTGCACATGTACCCTGGAACTTAAAATAAAATTGAAGAAAAAAATAAAAAAAACAAACAGAAAGGGGCATTTGAACCAGGCCTTGAAAGGGCATGTAGCTCTAAATAGATGGAGATGGAAGGAAATCAGTCTAGACAAAGGCAACGGCATTATCAGGAAAGTGCAAGATGAGAAAGAATGAGCAGTGTGTTTGGGAAATGGCTAGTAGATAAAGTCAATTAGGGTTTAGTGTTTATGGAAGGGAGATGTAGAAGATGAGATGGGTCAGACTATGGGAAAGTTTGACTTCAGTGTGTAAGAATTTGTTCTTGAGTGTTGTCGTTCAGGTTTCTAAGTGGTATGGATTATGACAAAAATGGCCCTTTGAAAATCAAATCTCTATCTACTCTTGGTACTGAGGCTGACTTAGTTGTAAGGGGACTCAAAAGTCATGTGTAAAGAATATTGAAGTGATCACTGATTTGCTCTTAAAAAGTACATTAGGTTTGATTAAACGTTTAACCCAGAGACAATGTCTTATTCATAGCATTTTACATACTTTCTGAAGGGCTATGTGGAAGCATTTCAAAATCTTGTATAAGTCCAGTGACTATCACTGATCTTGTATGCTGGGGGAGACATGTGATGAGATGAGCATTGCCTTAGGAAATGCCTCCTTTAAATATCTAAGAGCTCTATTTCAGAGTGGTCCAGCTGATCGTGAGATTTAGAGCAATGATCTGTAGCTCAAAATCTAGGATAATGAATAAGGAAGCAGAACGCAAGCCTATTAGTCTCTAAATAATTGAATAAAATAAAATTTTGAAAAATATTTCCTATAATGTTAAATCTCTTTTAAAAAACAATTGTTTAACTGTGGTTCTGAAATTGGGCATGCAGAAGTAAAAAAGTCTCATTGGTTCTTCTTGTGTTAAAAATGATATTAATGACAAAATGTCCTTGTGTGGGAAGGATACTACCTTAGAGGATACCATACCTCATTCTCTTCTAAAAAGACTGAAAGGATAGTGTCATGGACTGTCTGTTTTATTTACCCATCCATCAGATAATAACCACTGGTGTAATTTCAGGATTTCTCTAACTCCTTCAGAATATGTTGACACATTAAATTGTTTGTTTACTGCATTTCTTCTAATTTCCACCTAGATTCTTTTTGCTGATGTATTAAGTACTAGCACACACCTCCTATTCATGCTACTAAATGCACATTCAAAGCGCATTTTGACCAGTCAGAAGAAATGAATATTTATTGCATGCCAGACAGCCCATTGAGCACTCTATACATTATCTCATTTAATTTCCTCCACTAAACCATAAGGGAGATATTTTTAGACCTCTTTTATTGGATGAAGAAACTGAGGCTCAGCCTGTGGAAGTGACTTGCCCAGGACAATCTGCAGTAGGTAAGGATACCAGGATTTAAATCCAGACAGGTCTGAGATCCAGCTTCTTTTCTCTGCCACGCTGTCTTTTGAGGTTTTGAAATGCGTAAAAACTATCTATATAGTTTCTGACCACAGACAACCTGCTACAAACCTTAGAAATGAGTTGGCAGGTTGGCCTTTGGTTCACAAACTCGATGATTCAATTTTATTCCATGTCTATTTCTCCATTATTTGTAACTCGCTGGCCTGCCCATGGATATTTTTCTCCTCAGTGGTTCTGAATGTAGGAAAATAGGGAATAATAAAGATCGCCACAGGCCAGGAGTAGACTTATGTGTGTACAGTTGTGTAGACTTCAAGTTCCTTAGCAACAGGAGGATGTTTTAGGAAAATCTCCTGACCCCAGTGCCAATTCTTTTTTCACTTGGGATTTCCTCAAAAAGGAGTCATCTTTTGATGACAATCACCTCATGATATTTAGTTTCCATCCCTGCTGTGGGTATTATGTTTGCTTGGCTTTAGCTACAGACAGACTTCTTATGTGTAGCTGTAACTATGCATGTGTCAGTGCTGATTTTATATTGAGTCAGACATTGACAGATGGAAGCAGGATAATGGAAAATGGAGAATGGTGATGAGGTTACTTCCCAGACTCTCGTCTTCCTATCATAACCAGATTTTCAGATTTGTTGATATGTACTGTCTTCACTTCCTGATTCAATTGGGCCCACCACTTCATTGAAACTGCTCTTACAAAGTTGTCTTGTTTCTAAGTCTAATGGATAATTCTTATCTAACTTGACTTTTTATGAAATTTCCATACATTCACTACTCACTCCTTCTTATTTGAAAAAACTCTATTCTTGGCTTCCCTGTATATTTTTGTCTTGTGATTTCCTGGTGACTTCCCTGCCATTATGGGGCCTTTATTAGTCCATTCTCATGCTGCGATAAAAAGCTGGTTGAGACTGGGTAATTTATAAAGGAAAGAGGTTTAATTGACTTACAGTTCCGCATGGCTGGGGAGGACTTAGAAAACTTACAATCATGGCAGAAGGGGAAGCAAACATATCCTTCTTCACATGATGGCAGGAAGAAGTACCAAGCAAAAAGGGAAAAGCCCCTTGTAAAACCATCAGATCTCATGAGGCCTCACTCACTATCATGAGAACAGCAGCATGGGGGTAACTGCCTCATGATTCAATTACCTCCCACCTGGTCCCTCCCATGACACGTGGGGATTATGGAAACTATAATTAAAGATGATATTTAGGTGGAGACACAGCCAAACCATATCACTATACCCCTGGCCCTCCCAAATCTCATGTCCTCTCCTTTCAAAACACAATCATGCCTTCCCAACAGTCCCCCAAAGTGTTAACTCATTTCAGCATTAACCCAAATGTCCAAGTCCAAAGTCTCATCTTAGACAAGGCAAGTCCATTCTGCCTATTAGCCTGTGCATTAGTCTGTTCTCATGCTGCTATAAGGACATACCCAAGACTGGGTAATTTGTAAAGGAAAAAAATTTAATTGACTCACAGTTTGGCATGGCTGGGGAGGCCTCAGGAAACTTAGTCATGGCAGAAGAAGAAGAAAACATGTCCTTCTTCACATGGTGGCAGGGAGAAGAATGAATAAAAGGGAAAAGCTCCTTATAAAACTATCAGAGCTCATGAGAACTCACTCACTATCACAAGAATAGCATGGAGGTAACCGCCCCCATGATTCAATTACCTCCTACCTGGTTCCTCTCACATGTTGGGATTATGGCAACTACAATTCAAAATGAGATTTGTGTGGGGACACAGTCAAACCATATTGTTCTGCCCCTGGCTGCTCCCAGATCTCATGTCCTCACATTTCATAACACAGTCATGCCGTTCCAACAGTCTCACAAGGTTTTAGCTCATTCCAGCATTAACCCAAAAGTCCAAGTCCAAAGACTCATCTGAGACAAGGCAAGTCTCTTCCACCTATCAGCCTGTAAAATCCTTAGATACAATGGGGGTATAGGCATTGGGTAAATACATCCTTTCCAAATTGGAGAAATTGGCAAAAACAAGGGAGCTACAGCTCCCATGCAAGTTGGAAATCCAATAGAATGGTCATTAAACCTTAAAGTTCCAAAATGATCTCCTTTGACTCCATGTCTCACATCCAGGCTGAGGTAGTCTCAGATGGAGCTGAGGAACTTGTTGGGAACTGGAGTAAAGGTCATTCTTGCTATGCAAAGAGACTGGAAGCATTTTGCCTCTGCCCTAGAGATCTGTGGAACTTTGAACTTGAGAGTGAACTTGTATCACGCTGATGCAAGAGGTGAGCTACTGTGGCCTTGGGAAGCTCTGTCCCTGTGGCTTTGCCTGGTACAGCCCCACTCCCAGCTGCTTTCATGAGCTGGTGTTGAGTGCCTGTGGCTTTGCCAGTTGTATGGTGCAAGCTGTAGGTGAATCTCCCATTCTGGAGTTTGGAGGACTGTGGCCGTCTTCTCACAGCTCCAATAGCAGTGCCTCAGTGGGGACTCTGTGTTGGGGCTCTGACCCACATTTCCCTTTCATACTGTCCTAGCAGAGGTTCTCCATGAGGGCTCTGCCCCTGAAGCACACCCCTGCCAGGACATTGAGGTGTTTCCGTACATTGTCTGATATCTAGGCAGAGGTTTCCAAACCTCAGTTCTTGACTTCTGTGCACCCACAAGCTCAACACCACGTGGCAGCTGCCAAGGCCTGGGGCTTGCGCCCTCTGAAGCCATGGCCCATGCAGTACCTTGGCCCCTTTTAGCCATGGCTGGGATGGCTGTGATGCAGGGCACCATGTTCCTAGGCTGCACACAGTGGAGGGGTCCTGGGCCTAGTCCAAGAAACCAGTTTTTCCTCCTAGGCCTCCAGGCCTGTGATGACAGTGGCTGCTGTGAAGGTCTGCAACATGCCCTGGAGACATTTTCCCCATTGTCTTGATGACTAACATTCAGCTCCTTTTTACTTATGCAAATTTCTGAGCAGACTTGAATTTTTCCCCAGAAAATGGGTTTTTCTTTTCTATGACATCGTCAGGCTGCAAATTTTCCAAATTTTTATGTGTGCTTCCTCTTGAATGCTTTGTCACTTAGAAATTCCTCCTCCAGATACCCTAAATAATCTCTCTCAAGTTCAAAGTTCCACAGATCTCTAGGGCAGGGGCAAAATGCTTCCAGTCTCTTTGCATAGCAAGAGTGACCTTTACTCCAGTTCCCAACGAGTTCCTCATCTCCATCTGAGACTACCTCAGCCTGGACTTTATTGCCCAAATCACTATCAGCATTTTGGTGAAAGCCATGCAACAAGTCTCTAAGAAGTTCCAAACTTTCCCACATTTTCCTATCTTCTTCTGAACCCTCCAAACTGTTCCAATCTCTGCCTGTTACCCAGTTCCAAAGTTGTTTCCACATTTTTGGGTATCTTAATAGCAGTACCCCACTCTATCACAACAATTTGCTATATTAGTCCATTCTCATGCTACTATAAGGACATACCTGAAACTGGGTAATTTGTAAAGGAAAGAGGTTTAATTGACTCACAGTTCAGCATGGCTGTTGTGGCCTCAGGAAACTTACAATAAATCATGGCAGAAGGGGAAGCAAACACACCTTTCTTCACCTGGCAGAAGGGAGAAGAAGAATGAGTAAAAGGGGAAAAGCCCTTTATAAAACCATCAGATCTCATGAGAACTCACTCACTATCACAAGAACAGCATGGAGGTAACCACACCCATGATTCAATTGTCTCCCTCTGGGTCCCTCCCATGACATGTGGGGGTTATGGCAACTACAATTCAAGGTGAGATTTGGGTGAGGACACAGCCAAGCCATATCGGCCTGTAACATCAAAAGCAAGTTAGTTATTTCCTAGATACAATGGGGGTACAGGCATTGGGTAAATATACCCATTCTAAATGGGAGAAATTAGCCAAAATGAAGGGGCTATAGGCCCCATGCAAGTCCAAAATCCAGCAGGGCAGTCAAATCTTAAAGCTCTAAAATGATCTCCTTTGACTCCGTGTCTCACATCCAGGTCATGTTGATGTAAGAGTTGGGCTCCAAAGGCCTTGTGAAACTCTACCCCTCTGGCATTGTAAGGTATAGCCCCCCTCCTCACTGCCTTCAAGTGCTGGTATTGAGTGTCTGTGGCTTTTCCAGGTGCATGGTGCAAGCTGTTGGTGGATCTACCATTCTAGAGTCTGGAGGAAGATGGCCCTCTTTTTATGGCTCCACTAGGCAGTGCCCTTGTGGGGCCTCTGACCCCACATTTGCCTTCACTGTCTTACCAGAGGTTCTCCATGAGGGCTCCACCCCTGCAGCAAACTTCTGCCTGGACCTCCAGGCATTTTCATACATCCCCTGAAATCTAGGTGGAGGTTCCCAAACCTCAATTCTTGACTTCTATGCACCTGCAGGCCCCAAACCCTGTGTAAGCCACCAAGGCTTGAGGCTTGCACCTTCTGAGGCAATGGCCTGAGCCATACATTGGCCTTTTTTAGCCATGGCTGGAACACAGGGTACCAAGTCCTGAGACTGCCAAATGCAGCAAGGCCCTGGGCCCAGCCCATGAAACCATTTTTTTTCTAAGGCCTCTGGGCCTGTGATGGGAGGGCCTGCTGTGAAGACCTCTGACATTCCCTGGAGACATTTCTCCCCACTGTCTTGCCAATTAACATTTGGCTGCCCCTTACTTACACAAGTTTCTGCAGCCAGCTTGAATTTCTCCTCAGAAAATGTGTTTTACTTTTCTATGCATCATCAGGCTGCAAATTTTCCAAAATTGTATACTCTGCTTTCCTTTTAAACGTACGTTTAAATTCCAAAACATATCTTTGTGAATACACGAAACTGAATGCTTTTAACAGCACCCAAGTCACCTCTTGAACACTTTGCCATTTATAAATTTCTTCTGCCAGATACCCTAAAGTTCCACAGGTCTTTAGAGCAGGGGCAAAATGCCACCAGTCTGCTTGCTAACACATAGCAAGAGTAAACTTTATTCCAGTTCCCAATAAATTCCACATCTCCATCTGAGTCCACTTCAATCTGGACTTCATTGTCCATATCACTATCAGCATTTTGGTTGAAGCCATTTAACAAGTCTCTAGGAAGTTCCAAACTTTCCCACATCTTCCTATCTTGTTCTGAGCCTTCCAAACTGTTCCAACCTCTGCCTGTTACCCAGTTTCAAAGCTGCTTCCACACTTTCAAGTATCTGTACAGCAGCACCCCACTAAACGGTACCAACTTACTATGTTAGTCCATTCTCATGCTGCTATAAAGAACTGCTCAAGACTGGGTAATTTATAAAGGAAAGAGGTTTAATTGACTCACAGTTCTGCATAGCTGAAGAGGCCTAAGGAAACTTACAATTATGGTGGAAGGGGAGGCAAACATGTCCTTCTTCACATGATGGCAGGAAGAAGTAGTGCTGAGCAAAGAGGGAAATTTCCCTTGTATAAAACCATCAGATCTCATGAGAAGTCACTTACTATCATGAGAAGAGCAGCATGGGGGTAACTGCCCCCATGATTCAATTACCTCCCACCTACCCCTCCCACGACACATAGGAATTATGGCAGCTACAATTCAAGATGATATTTAGGTGGGGACACAGCAAAACATATCAGGGCCCTTCTTCACTACTCAGTCTTTATCTGATGGAGACTCTCAGGACTCAGCCCTATGCCCTCTCTTTTCACTTGAAATTTGGACCTTAGGTGATTTCATCTTTTTCTGTGGCTTCAGTTAACTGCTTTCTGCCAATGATAATGCTAAAATTTTAGCTCCAACCTCTCTTCTGACTTCCAGGGCCACATCTCTGTCTTAATGACATTCCCTCTTGGATGTATTGCAGATATCTCAAAATGAACGTGTTCAAAATGGAACTCATATTCTTCTTACTCCTCTATTTTATCTCCAGTTCATCAAATGGCCCCACCATTTATCTTATGGCTGATATCAGAAACCTAGTGGCATTCTTGACAACTCCTTTTCTTACTACTCACATCCTACTGAATCATTGGTATAGAGTCCACATCCTATTCAGTCTATCTCCCAGATATGTTGAACCACCACCATCTTTCCCCTGGGCTGCTGTAGCCTTGTAATTGGGCTCTAAACATTTACTCTGTATAACCTCAAATATATTTTCCATTCAGCAGCTAGATTTATCCTCTTAATATGCAATCTGATCATGTCAAACCTCCCTCTAACATTCTCCTCAAGCGGCCATTTGCTCTTTTGATAAAAGCTCAAATCTTTGTTGAACTCTGATTCCTGCCTACCTCTTTAATCTCATTTTTTGCTACTCTCCTCTTTACCTATCATGCTGTCAGCTCATGGGCTTTCTATCAGTCCCTCATCCTCATCAGGTTGCTCTCCACTCAAAGGCTACTTGGACCACTTATTTCCCTGATCCCACCCCTCTCCCAGCCTCCAAGCTTGATAAATCTTTACCCATCCTTCCAATCTCAGATTAGGTGTCCCTTCCTTCATGAATGTCTTCTTGATCTCTTTCTCTCTTCCTGGTAGGCATATAGTAGTATATGTTGCAGCACTTTGTATATTTCCTTTATCACACTTTATTATAAACATTCACATAATTGTTTGCTTAATATCTTTGTTTTTGCCAAGATGCCAAATTCCAAGCTCTATAAGAGCAAAGATGTAGTAATTCTTTTCACTGACATATGCTTAGTGCCTTACAGAGTGTCTGAAACAGAGTAGGTGATTCTTATATATTAATCAAATGAATGAATGAATATTCTTGGGGTGCCTATAGAGCTATAATGTCTAATACAGTAGCCACTAGCTATGCATGGCCACTGATCACTTGAAATGTGACTAGTCCAAACTGAGATGTGCTACAAGGATGAAATATATGCTAAAGTTCAAAGACTTAGTAAAAAAAAAAAGTAAAATATCTCATTAATAAGTTTTTCTATTTACTACATGTTGAAATTGTAAGTTGGATATATTGGGTTAAATAAAATGTACTATTAAAATTAACCTTTTTTTATTTTTAATGTGGCTTCCAGAAAATTTAAATTTCATATGTGGCTTGCATTATATTTCTATTGGACAGTACTGTCAATAAGTATCACTTTGAACTGAAATTGAACGTCAAAGCTTTTTAGCTCCCTTATATTAAACGTTAAAAACCTTTATTTAAAAACTTTTTGCATTGTTCATACTGCAACCTCATCGTTTTTCCTTCCAATATGTGTCATTACTAAGCTGGTAGGGTCATCGGTCTCCTCATCCTGCACCTCCCTGCTCAGTTGCTAATTTCTCTGGGGTCAGAAGGGTACTTGAGAAAGATCTGTAATTGGCAGTCTCCTTAACACTGACTGTGGGTAAAATTTGCCCTTGGTGCAGTGATAGTGCCCACTTGTCGAGGGATCTCTGTACACACAAGTCTAAAAGCTATGTAATTGATATGTAAGTGAGATACAAGATTTGGAGGTTTGTCCTTGAAACATTTCTTCCTTCCAGTGTGACTACATTCTTGTCCAACAAGCCTTGCAGGAATGGTTTTGGCATTTGATAATAAATACTGTCCTCACCCACCCCATTGCTTAGATTTAAAAAAAGATAGTTATTTGCAATATCTATTTCATCGTCTCTACTTTCCCCTAAAAATGTGAAATCCCTATTGGGACACTTCAAATTTATTCAACAGATCCTACTGTTTTTGCCTTTGCTGCATCTGTACTAGTGATCTATTTTGAACATATTTGACATATTTTTTTCTTAATGAAACAGTCCAGAGAATTGACTTAATTTAAGAACATCCAGAGAAAAAGCCCAGTTTTCCAGTTATTTGTTACCTCCATGTTGTTATTTTATATATTTGGACACTGTGGATGCTGTATACCATTCATAAAATTAAGAAAGAAATGCTTTGGCTTCTGTTTTCAAGGAGTTTGTACTCAGATTCATTACACTATCAGTTTTTGACATTGCATACAATCCTGGACTGGCTTTGCCTGGCATGGGAGGCATTACATGAGATAAATAAATCAGACTGAAACTATCTGAGTGTCATCAGGCTTTGTGTTTGTGTCCAGCAATTTCTGATTAGGCTTATCAATAATGTTAGCATTTTCACTCTATGTTCAAAAAACGTCACCCTTGTTCGCTATTAATTGCTGTCTCTTACAAGGGCTGCTTTTTTGATCTTCAGGAGATGAAAATCCAGGAAATAATCAAGTTGTCTCCTTTCTGTGACTGTTGCAAGCATGAGGTCATCAGGAAGGACCATGGCCATTGTGACTTCTGAGTCCCAAATGATACAAAAGAGACTTTTTTACAGGTCTCTTTGGCCTCTCCTAGGACACACATGAGAATCCGTTTGAATGGTTTCTAACTTTGCGGGTACTGTTTTGGCTAGGTGGGCTGTTTCCCTGAGGAATCTTACGTCCATGTCTTCTGAGTGGTGCCCAGGTGAGGCATGGCCAGTGCTTCAGGTTTACTGGCTTTTCTTGTTGAGTCCCTGACTCGCTACCAATCTAGGTTGTCACAGTGGGAAGAGACAGCTGAAGAGGGATCTTGCAAGCCAAGTGGTCACTGAAGGTTAAAGAAAATAAATGCCACCTGGGTATTTAGATATGTTAAAATCAATGACACCTGTCAGGGTTCATTAGGCCATTGTGTTCCATATGCCTGGGTAGATAGGGAGCCCTATAGCAGCTTTTTGTGGGTTGAGGTGTTGGTGGATAAGTAGAACCTAGCTCTTGAGGGGATAAAAATGATCTCACAGAAAAGTTTCCTTCAATAACAGTAAAATTTTCTGGCATGCTACAAACTTCTAAAATGACTACTTCAAAGACACAGTATTCTAAGTTACACACACATGCACATACACATACACGTGTCTATATACATTTTAAAGCTTTGAAGCTTATATCTGCTTTGAAGATCTATGCAGTGTTAAGTGAGTTTGGGGGAGAATGTCTCTATTACCATCTAGATATGAGTAGTGATGTAGAATCAATTCTATAAAACATACATGGGGAAACATATGTAATGAATTATTAAAAGTATAGTTACAGAAAAATCAATACAGGTATACTTAACAAGTGAATGAGGAGATTTTACCTGTCCTAATGTACTCCCTGAATATTATTATTATAGTAATAAAGAATGTATCAAGGGTTTCTAGTTGCAGAGAGTTTACTTGTATATGTATATCCATGTAGCCACCCTCAGAAGAAAGTAAGAGAGCAAGTATGACAAAGAGAATAACTCAAGCAAGCAGATGAACCCACTGATTTGTGGGCTAGTTGACTGGACTTTAGAGCATCTTTTCACACATTTTGCCTTACAATAAGATTCCATGTAGAAAAATATTTACTTTTAAAAACTGTGTATTTTAAGTATGCTTTTCTCTTTCTGATGCTTCACTTAAAATGAATAAATCATGTCTGTTTCTGGAAGTACTTTTTTATTCTTTTTTTCTCCTTGAAAAAGCAATTTTTCTAATACCCCAAGCAAAGCAGGAATTATAATTTCAAGTAGGTGAAAATAGAATAAACACTGTTAAAAATATCATTCACAAAGTTGACAAAAATAAACAATGGGAAAGGACTCCTATTCAATAAATAGTGCTGGGATAACTGGCTAGCCATTTGCAGAAGAATGCAACTAGACCCTTACCTTTCACAACATACAAAAATTAACTCAAGATGGGCTAAAGATTTAAGTGCAAGATCTCAAACTATAAAATTCCTTGAAGAAAACATAGGAAATACCATTCTGACAGGGGTCTTGGCAAAGAATTCAAGACTAAGTCCTCGAAAGCAATTGCAACAGAAACAAAAATTGACAAGTGGGACCCAATTAAACTAAAAAGCTTTTGCACAGCAAAAGAAACAATCAACAGAGTAAACAGACAACCCATAGAATAGAAGAAAATATTTGCGAAGCATGCATTTGACAAAGGCCTAATATCCAGAATCTATAGGGAACTTAAAACAACTCAGCAAACAAAAATGAATAACCCTATTAAAGAATTGGCAAAGGACATGAACATACACTTCTCAAAAGAAGACATGTAAATGGCCAACAAACATGAAAAACTGCTCTACCTCATTAATCATTGCAAAAATGGAAATCAAAACCTCCAGACACCATCACACATCAGTCAGCATGGCTATAATTAAAAAGACAAAAAACAACAGATGCTGGTAAGGCTGTGGGTAAAAGCAAATAATTATACATTGTTCGTGGGACTGTAAAAATTAGTTTAGCCACTGTGGAAAGCAGCTTGGAAATTTCTCAAACAACTAAACTCCCAAAACCTCTTTTGATCTTAACTGCACAATGGAATGATATTGTAGTGAACATGTGATTTTTAGTCTTCTCATCACTCTCTCTTCCTCTTGAAACTCCTCTTTTCTTTCAGGCCAGAATCACATATTAGCTGTGATGTACTTTCAAAATCCCTGCCTAGAGTTGTCCTCCTGACCTGGACTTGGCCATTTAGTCCTTCCTGGGATTTTTCAATTTTTAAATTGAGAACTGGTGAGGTGGTCTCTCTCTGGTGGTGGACATCATAGAAAGTCATAAGGTGGAGAGAGAGAGAGAGAGAGAGAGAGAGAGAGAGAGAGAGAGAATGAATGGAGGAAGTAGTCAAGCTCAAGCTGTTCTGGTTGGCTATAGCTCTGCATATTTTACTTATCTTACTAGTTGGTTGGATGATTTCCCTGAATTTCATGAGCTGGTCTAGCTAACCAGATTTGAATCTTTTTTTTCTCTTGCAACCAAAAGAGCCCTGAATCATACACAGGCTTTAAAGCTATTTCAGAAGACAGTAGGGATTTGATGATATATCTTTCAAATTGTCTATATATGTTAGTGTAAAGGCTTGGTAATTTAAATTTCTTTGGGAATGATTTCTGGTACTCATGCACCTTACTTTAGCATAATGTGTTACAGCATACACTACCTTGTGCATGTTTTGGTATGGCGTTTAGTATACAGTGCTAACTAGTGTAGCTAACTATATATAACTATATATATATAGTTATAGTTACTATATATATATATGGAAAATATCTTTCCATATATTTACCCAAATTTTATGACTGGCCTTAATAATTTAAATGGGTCCAGGCTGGTTTTATCCTTTCTATCAAAATGAGAAAGTTTTATTTTTCTGAAGCTTTCTGTTACAGTTTGATGCAGGCAGGATAAAGAACATTAGCATTCCTGTAGCTGAGTGTAGTGGAGAATGATGTGTAAGTAAAGCCTCAGAGAAGAAGAGAATCCCAGAAGAGGGCGTACGTCCGGATCCAAAAACCTCATACTCACCATCCTGATGCCCTAGCAGCAAGTCCTGATGGGTATTCCCTAGTTTAGATGAATAAAGACCTACAGTAGGTAATAGAGAATCAATATCTGCTTTGTTTCTTTTTATTTCCTCTGAAAGAAAATGGCTCTGATCCCAAATTTTTAAAGCTGTTTTTATTTCAAGTGAAGCAACCATGATCAGTTTCACTGAAATCAAGGTGAGTAATACATAATTTATAACATCTGAAACAATTTTTTTAATGCAACTTCCTGGGGGTGGAGGATAGTTACTCTTTAGGGATAGCACATATTTTATTAGCATTCAGGCCTTTACAGAAAATGGATATAGACATAATAGGTCTGTCATATATCACCAACACATTAAAACAGTGTCAAAAGACTTAAAAATACCCTTTATGGTATTAAACTGTTAATTTTAAGTGTTTATTTCCATGTTGGTTTTTTATTTACATGTACAGTTTATTTGATGAAAATTATTTTTATAAGTGTAAGTTGTGACACATTCAGACAAAATTTAACTAATTTAGCTAAGAGTATTCATTAAGGGTTCTCCTTAACTGGGATTTCCTGTCCTTGAGAAATAATAGTTAGGCAGGGCTCATCCAAAGTAAAACTCTATGGATCATGATCTCTGCAAGGGTTCTTTGAATCAGATAATAAAAACTTTGTAGAGATTGACTGAATTAATGTGATCTCTAAACACTTTACTACTTACATTTATAAATGACACAGTATAAGGGTAGGTGGTGTTTTTGAAACAAATTTCAAGTTCTTACTTCATAAAGTGGCAATGCAAATCCATAGCAATATAGTTGCAAGTATAGTAAGAATATAGTAACTAATAATATAGTTACAATATAGTAATGAGACAATTTCTATTATGTTGTTCAGGTCCTTTTCATTGTATCTTCTTTGTGTCCTGGGCCATCTGTCCTGCTGTCCACCTCTGGCTGCAGGGCCCTTATTGCTATAGTTCCATAATTTTCTTTTTGTTCTCGACTGTCCTTAAACACAAATGAATCACTTATTAATTGATTGATTCCTGAATAATATTTTTACTTCTCACAAATAGGCTATGGAATGCACTAACTGTTTTACTTGTTAATGAAAATGGCTCACTGGGGTTCAGCATGTGGTGTCTGTAATTCTCTCCAGGGTCTTTGTTCCCTTTGTGGAACATAAAAGTTTTCTATGCTGAGGGACTGAGAGGGACCATTATACATCTTCATTGGTTAGAAGAGTCACTTCTTTCCTTGAGTCTGGTCTGGAAATAGATTTGCCCCACTTTGTACAGTACTCAGATTTTTTTTTAAAGTAAATCCCCAGAAAGACTTCTCCAAACAGCAACACCTTGAAATTATTGTAATGACTTCAAATTCCATATTAGGTGGGCTTTAAAAATTATTATTATTTTGTTTGTTTCTTGTGGGAAAAAAGCAGTATCCAGCATATTTAAAATTTAGAGTATGATGGTATTTGTTTTATGCTGGTATTTTCACCTATACAAGGTTAAACATTTTTAAGACACATTATGAGTCAGTTATACTTTTTGGTGGAGTTTTGCTTTATTTAGCCATACTTTTTTTTTATTTTTTGGTGGGGGCTCCTCGGGAAGTCCAGAAGCCTTGACTGAAGTGAGGCCATGATGGAGACAGTCAAGGTTTCCTAGCACGTACTAGAAATGACAGTGACTGAAGTGCAGGTTTAGCTATTTCAGGTGGTGACTGCAGGCATCTGCAGCACTCTGATTCATAATGTGTGCACACCGTGATGTGCAATAAATGATTCTTTCTGACACCAGCTGCATGTGGTGATGCCCTTAGGGCACTGGAAAGGGATGTGAAGGTAAGGTTGAGTGGCTTTCTATGTCTTTTTGAATGTGTTTAAGCAATTGAGGTATCCTGACTGAGATGTCAACTGAAGAATATGAGGGACTGAGGAAAATGAGAAAATTCAGAGGAGTTCGATGGATCTCAATTTGCCTGGTGATAGGTGATTACTTTAGACAGGGTCCTTGTATTAGAACAGATGACCAAGGGCTTAATGGATAGGTTGGTGGAGAGCTCAATGGAGAGTCTATGAACTTGGAGAGTGTCCCAATGTGTACTAAGTCGGGATTTTGTCAGCTGAGAAATGAATTTCATAAATATTCATTGTTTGGAAAGAAGATGGAACCAATGGGAAGGATAGAAAGTAATGAAGAAATACTGAGGTGTAACAGAGGACAATACCATGGTTTATTACTATATGTTCTATGGAGTTGTTTCTGGAAAGTATAAAGATTAGATGAGCCCTTTTGACTGAACTTATGTGGAAGTTGTTTCTTATGTACTTGCGTGCTTTTGTCTTGTTGTTTTGGTCTGAAGTAATCTTGTGACCTGGACTTTCTTATATAGAACTCAATATTAATTAAAATTAATTAGTGTCTTATATATGGGAATTAATTAAGCTTTACTAATATTTAATATGCAGATTGGTACTAGCATTTAGCTTAGTATACATGTCACATGTCATATGTCAAAAAATAAATGAGATGAATGATGTAGGGGCTCAACATGTTGCAATATTTTGCAGTACATATGCACCTGATTGGGTGGATCTATAGATTGTAATCTAGATTTAAACGACAACTATCACAAAATTAACAAGTGGTTTAAAAAGATTCTAGCCAAAGAATTTTGGCTTTGGGAGAAACTAATAATGCAGAAGAACTACAGGAAATGGAATTAGGACAGTCCTAGTCATAATTTTTTTCTTACTGAGATGGAGTTTCACTCTTGTTGCCCGGGCTGGAGTGCAATGGCACAATCTTGGCTCACTGCAACCTCCATTTCCACGGTTCAAGCAATTCTCCTGCCTCAGCCTCCTGAGTAGCTGGGATTACAGGCAGCCAACACCATGGCTGGCTAATTTTTGTATTTTTAGTAGAGACGGGGTTTCACCATCTTGGCCAGGCTGGTCTCAAACTCCTGACCTCAGGTGATCTGCCTGCCTTGGTCTCCTAAAGTGCTGGGATTACAGGCATGAGCCACCATGCATGGCCCCTAGTCCTAATTTCCTTTCCTTTCCTTTCCTTTCCTTTCCTTTCCTTTCCTTTCCTTTCCTTTCCTTTCCTTTCCTTTCCTTTCCTTTCCTTTCCTTTTTCTTTCCTTTTTAACTTTTATTTTAGGTTCGGGGTACATGTGCAGCTTTGTTATATAGGCAAATTGCATGTTGCAGGGATTTGATATACAGATTATTTTATCACCAGGTAATAAGCATAGTACCCAATAGGTAATTTTTCAATCCTCACCCTCCTTTCACCCTCCAGCATCAATGAGGCCACAGTGTCTGTTGTTTTATTTTTTGTGTCCATATTTACTCAGTGTTTAGCTTCCACTTATAAGTGAGAACATGCAGTGTTTGGTTTTCTGTTCCTGTATTAATTTGCTTAGGATAACGGCATCCAGCTCCATCCATGTTGCTGCAAAGGACGTGCTCTAATTCTTTTTTAAGGCTGTGTAATATTTCATGGTGTATATGTGCCACATTTTCTTTATTCAGTCTACCATTGATGGGATTTAGGTTCATTTAATATCTTTGCTATTGTGAATAGTGCTGCAATGGACATATGTGCAGGTGTCTTTATGGTAGAACAATTTATATTCCTTTGGATATATACCCAGTAATGGGACTACTGGTTCAAATGGTAGTTCTGTTTTAAGTTCTTTGAGAAACCACTGCACTGCTTTCCACAATAGCTGAACTAATTTACATTCCTACAGTGTATAAGCATTTCTTTTTCTCCACAATCTCGCCAACATTTGTTATTTTTGAATTTTTAATAATAGTTATTCTGTCTAATGTGAGATGGTATCTCACTGTGATTTTGATTTGCATTTCTCTAATGATTAGTGATGTTGGGCATTTTCTCCATGTGCCTGTTGGACATGTGTATGTCTCCTTTTGAAGTGACTGTTCATGTCCTTTGCCCACTTTTATATGTGGTTGTTTCTTTCTTGGTTGTTAATTTGTTTAAGCTTCTTATAGATTCTGGATATTAGGTCTTTGTCAAATGCATAGTTTGCAAAAATATTTTCTCCCATTTTGTAGGTTGTCTGTTTAGTCTGTTGATAGCTTCTTTTTCAAGGCAGAAGCTCTTAAGTTTAATTAGGTCCCACTTGTCAATTTTTGTTTTTGTTGCAATTGTTTTTGGCATCTTTGTCATGAAATCTTCGCCAGTGCCTATATTCAGAATGGTATTTCCAGGTTATTTTTCAGGATTTTTATAGTTTTAGATTTTACATTTAAGTCTTTAATCCATCTCGAGTTGATTTTTTACATCGTGTAAGAAAGGGGCCCAGCTTCAATCTTCTTCATTTGGATAGCCAGTTATCCTAGCACCATTTATCGAATAGGGATCCTTTTCCCCAATGCTTGTTTTTGCCAACTTTGTTGAAGATCAGTTGGTCGTAGGTGTGTGGCTGTATTTCTGGGCTCTCTATTCTGTTTCATTGGTCTATATTTTTGTACCAGTACCATGCTATTTTGGTTACTATAGCCTTATAGTATATTTTGAGGTCAGGTAATGTGATGCTTCCAGGTTTGTTCTTTTTGCTTAGGATTGCCTTGGCTATTTGGGCTATTTTTTTTGATTCCATATGAATTTAAAAATAGTTTTCTTTTCTAATTCTGTGAAGAATGTCAGTGGTAGTTTGATAGGAATAGGATTGAACCTGTTAATTGCTTTGGACAGTATGGCCATTAAAAATTGCTGATTATTCCTAATCATGAGCATGGAATGTTTTTCCATTTGTTTGTATCATCTATGATTTCTTTAAACAGTATTTTGTAATTATTGTTGTAGAGATCTTTTACCTCCCTGGTTAATTGTATTTCTAGGTATTTTATTCTTTTTTGTGGTTACTGTGAATGGGATTGTGTTCTTGATTTGGCTCTCAGGTTGGATGTTGTTGGTGTATAGGAATGCTATTGATTTTTGTACATTGATTTTGTATCCTGAAACTTTGCTGAAGTGGTTTATCAAATAAAGGAGGTTTTGTGCAGAAACTGTGGAGTTTTCTAGCTGTAGAATCATATCATCTACAAATAGAGACATTTTGACATCCTTTCTTCCTAATTGGATGCCTTTTATTTCTTTCCCTTGCCTGACTGCTCTGGCTAGGACTCCTATGTTGAATAGGAGTGGTGAGAGAGGGCATCTCTGTTTTGTTCTGGTTATGAAGGGGGAATCCTTCCAGCTTTTGCCCATTCGGTATTGTGTTCACTGTGAAATTCTCATAGATGGCTGTTATTCTTTTGAAGTATGTTCATTCAATGCTGATTTTGTTGAGGGTTTTTTTTTTAAAACATGAAGCAATGTTGAATTTTATCAAAATCTTTTTCTGCATTTCTTGAGATAATCATGTGGTTTTTGTTTTTAGTTATGTTTATGTGGTAGATGACATTTATTGACTTGGATATGTTGAACCAACCTTGAACCAATAAAGCCTACTTAATTATGGTGGATTTGCTTTTTGATGTGCTGCTGGATTCAGTATGCTACTATTTTCTTGAGGATTTTGCATCAGTGTTCATTAAGGATATTGGCCTTTTTGTGTGTGTGTCTCTCTGCCAGGTTTTGGTATCAGGATGATGCTAGACTCATAGAATGAGTTAGGGAGGAGTCCCCCTTCCTCAATTTTTTGGAATAGTTCCAGTAGGAATGGCACCAACTCTTCTCTGTACCTCTGGTAGTATTTGGCTATAAATCTGTCTGGTCCTGGGCTTTTTCTGGTTAGTAGGCTTTTTAATTACTGATTTAATTTAGGACCTCACTTTTGGTCTGTTCAAGGTTTGAACTTCTTCCTGGTTCAGTCTTGGGAGGTTGTATGTTGCCAGGAATTTGTCCATTTCTTCTAGGTTTTCTAACTTGTGTGCATAGAGGTGTCTCAGTAGTCTCTGAGGGTGTTTTGTATTTCTGTGGCATCGGTGATAATGTCCCTTCCTAGTAATTTCTGATTGTATTTGGGTATCTCTCTTTTTTAATTTATTAGTTTAAGCTAGTGGTCTATCTATCTTATTAATTCTTTCAAAACACCAACTTGTGGATTTGTTAATTTTTTATGATTTTTGGCAGTTGAATTTTCTTCAGTTCAGCTCTGATTTTGGTTATTTGTCTTCTGCTAGCTTTGGGGTTGGTTTGCTCCTGTTTCTCTAGTTGTTAGTTCAGGTGATTGCTTTTAGATCTTTATAATTTTTTTTTTTTTTTTGAGATGGGGCCCCACTCTGTCACAAGATTGCAGTGGTGCAATCTTGGCTCACTGCAACCTCCACCTCCCAGGCTCAAGAGATCCTCTCACCTCAGCTTCCCGAGTAGCTGGGACCACAGGTACAGTCCACCGTGCCTGGCTAATTTTTTGTACTTTTGGTAGATATGGGGTTTTGCCATGTTACCCAGGCTGGTCTCAAATCAGGAGATCTACCTGCCTCTGTCTCCCAAAGTGCTAGGATTATAGGTGTGAGCCACCATGCCTGGCCAGATCTTTATAACTTTTTGACGTTGGTGTTTAGTGCTATAAACTTCCCTCTTAACTCTGCTTTAGTTGTGTCCCAAAGATTCTGGTGTTTCCTATGTTTGCTCTCATTATTTTAAAATAATTTCTTGTTTTGTGCCTTAATTTCATTATTTACCCAGAAGTCATTTGGGAGCAGGTTGTTGAATTTCTATGTAACTGTATGGTTTTGAGCGATTTTCTTAGCTTTGATTTCTACTTTATCGCCCTGTGGTCTGAGAGTGTGCTTGGCATGATTTCTTTTTTTTTTTTTTTAATTTTCTGATGATTGTTTTATGTCCAATTGTGTGGTTGATTTTAGAGTATGTGCCGTGTGAAAATGACAAGAATAGAATATGTGCCATGTACAAATGAGAAGAATGTATATTCTGTTGCTTTTGAGTAAATAGCTGTGTAGGTGTCTATTAGGTCCTCTGGTCAAGTGTCAAGTTCATGTCCCAAATATCTTTGTTAGTTTTATGCCTTGATGATCTAATACTGTCAGTGTAGTGTTGTATTCTCCCACTATTATTGTGTGGTTGTCCAAGCCTCTTCATAGGCCTCTAAGAACTTGCTTTATTAATCTGGGTGCTCCTGTGTTGGCTCCATATATATTTAGCATAGTTAGGTCTTCTTGTTGAATTGAACCTTTACCATTATATAATGTCCTTCTTTGTCTTTTTTGATCTTTGTTGGTTTAAAGTGTCTTTTGTCTGAAAATAGAATAGCAATCCCTGCTTTCTCTGTTTTCCATTTGCTTAGTAGATTTTTCTCCACCCCTTTACTTTGAGCCTATGGGTGTCATTGCATGTGAGATGGGTCTCTTGAAGACATCATACTGTTGGGTCTTGCTTCCTCATCCAACTTACCACTCTCTGCCTTTTAATTGGGGCATTTAGCTCATTTCCTTTCAAGGTAAGTATTGATATATGCAGATTTGAGCCTCTGTTTGTTAGCAGGTTGCTACACAGACTTGTTTCTGTTGTTGCTTTAGAGTATCACTGGTCTTCTTTGCACTTAAGTGTGTTTTTGTGCTGGCCAGTAGTGGTCTCTCCTTTTCATGTTTAGCACTTCCTTAAAAAACTCATTTAAGGCACATTTGGTGGTAATGAATTCCCTTAACATTTGCTTGTCTGAAAAGGACCTTATTTCTCCTTTGTTGAGGAGGCTTAGTTTGGCTGGATATGAAATTCATGGTTGCAAATTCCTTTCTTTAGGAATGCTGAATATAGGCACCCAATCTCTTGTGGCTTGTAGATTTCTGCTGAAAAGTCTGCTATTAGCGTGAGGGGGTTCCCTTTGTAGGTGACCTGCCTCTTCTCTCTAGTTGCCTTTAACATTTTTTTCTTTCATTTTGACCTTGGAGAATCTGATGACTATGTGAATTGGGGATGGTCTTCTTGTGTTGTATTTCACGGGGGTCCTCTGTGTTTCCTGGATTTGCATTTTGGCCTCTCTAGCACAGTTGGGACAACTTTTATGGATGATATCCTGAAATATGTTTTCCAAGTTGCTTGCTTTCTCTTTCTCTCTCTCTGGGATGCCAGGAAGTCATAGCTTTGGTCTCTTTACATAATCTCATATTTCTTAGAGGTTTTGTTCATTCATTGTTTTTTCTTCACTTTTGTCTCACAGTTATTTTGGAGAGAGTCTTCGAGCTCTGAGATTCTTTCCTCAGCTTGGTCAATTCTGCTGTTATTCTTGTGATTGTATTCTGAAATTTTTGAAATGAGTTTTTAGCTCTATGAGGTATGTTTTGTTCTTTCTTTAAATGGCCATTTTCATCTTTCATCTTCTGTATCATTTTATCAAATTTCTTAGAATCCTTGGATTGGGTTTTGACTTCCTCCTGAATCTCAGTGATCTTCATTCTTATCCATATTCTGAATTCTATTTCTGTCATTTCAGCCATTTCATACTGGCTAAGAACTATTCCTGGGGAACTAATGTGGTCGTTTGGAGGTAAGAAGGCACTCTGGCTTTTTGAATTGCCAGAGTTATTGCACTGGTTCTTTCTCATCTTTGTGGGCTGATGTTCCTTCAGTCTTTGAAGTTGCTGTCCTTTGGATTTTTAAAAAATTTCATCCTCTTTCATGTCCTTGGGGGTTTGATTGTAGTTTTGTTTCTGGAAGATTTTAGTGGGCCAAGGCTCAGCTAAGGACTCCTGGGCTGCAGTCTGTATCTCTGGAGGGCTGGTTTCAGGCTCCCAGCTTTTTTTCTCTGGCCCCTAGAAGTTAGGAACCTTCTGCACTGGGGTTGTTGTGGTGTTTCTGGACCTCTGGTAACAACATTCTGATGTGTGGTGTCAGCCAAGGTGCTTCACTGTGTGGTGGCAACAGGATCCATGATGGTTTGTGTGTTCCAGCAGCAGCGGCAGCATGGTGAGGTGCACACTCATCAGCTGAGGCTGGGCACTGGCAGGCACAGTTGTGCCAGCCTCCATAAATATGTTTGCATTGGTGGCAGTGGCAGTGTGGCACTTGTGGTAGGGGGTGAGGCTGCTATCTTCTGTGCATGCATTCATGCTGGCAGAGGTGTGGGTCCTGCCATGGGGTGCTGGTAGGTGTAGGGCTGGCATCTTCCATGCATGTGATTGTGCTGGCGGCAATGGCTGCCCAGGCAGTGGGCAGGGCCACTGGTCTCCTTGTGTGTGTTTGCATTGATAGTGATGATGGGTTGTGGTGATGTGGGATGCGCTCACACTGGCAGCTGTGGCATAGTGGGGTACGTGTTCATTTGTGTGCCAGTGGGGAATGGGAGGTGTGTTCCATCCATGTGCACGCATGCTTGCAAAGCAATGTGGGTGGTGGCCATGGGCAAGTGCATGCTGGCAAAGTGGCATGGAGGGGCTATGGTGAGGGGAGGGTGTAGATGGGCTGGTGTGCATTGGAAGGGGCTGCTCTGCTGGAGTTCTCCAACAGTCAGGTACAGTCTGCCAGCGCGGGAGCAATGATGCAGGTCCCCAGGAGGCATCCCAGCTGGGCATCCCGGGCTTTACAGCAAACAGGCACCACCAGGTTGGCACCCCACGAGAGGCCAGCAGATGGGGTTGCTCAGGTCGTACCAGCCCCATCTCATGGGCAAGATTGCCCTGTTCTTTTCAGGTTTGACAGTTCCCCTAAGGCTGAAATCTCCTAAAAGAGTAAGGCAAGCCTTGGGATGGGTGTCCCTGGCTGTGCTCCATTACAGATGCTCCTGTACCAAACTCTCTAGGCTCCGCATCAGCTGGAGTTCTGTACCTACTACCTCTCTATCCAGTTTTCCCTGACAGCTCAAGTGTCCTTAGGGGTCTTGGGATCTCCTGCTGCCAGGATTCCAGAGGTCTGTGTCAAGAGTAAGTCACTCCTGGCATGCTCAACTCATTCCTTTCCCAGGAGTCACTGGGGGCCAGGAATGAGTCCTGGTGCATGGTAGTCCCGTGCAGGGTTCCCAGCTTCCTCCCGCTTCAGCCCAGCATCTGCATCCTTCCTTAGTCTGCTCTCAATACCTTCTCTCTGAAGATCTGCTCAGAGTGTATCAGTCTTCCTGAAGTCGCCATCCCTTGGTGGCAGATGTTCCTCCTAGCTGCATCTAGTTGGCCATCTTGCCTCCCCGCAAAAAAAGGCAGGGCCTAATTTAAAAATTCTTTATCAATCACATCACAAAACAATCACAAAACGATTGCCATTAAGAAGACTTTAAAAAATACACGACTAATCCACAGTTGTTAATGATTAAGCTCATCAAAAGTATATATTGTGCCAAATAATAGTAGCTAAGGACAACAGTACAAGGATATATTTATAAACAAATAAATATACAGGTATTGGGGGTGAGTGATCAAATATTTTTTACTGAGGGAGCATGTGATTAAAATGTTTGGAGAGCACTGTTTCAGATTATTTCTGTTTCATTAACACTACAGGTGTGCTTTTCAATCTTCAAATCTATTTAAAGTTATTAACATACTTAGATGTACAGCTCTGAGTTCTAATTTACGTATATGTTATAAAGCCTTGGATTACAAAGAAGCTAGGATGATTATCACTCCTCTGAGCTTCTGGGTACTCTATTATGTACATTTTACTTCTCTACCAGCTTATCCTGTTTAGCTGTGTGTTTCTGGTCTTCCCATGAGGGTTCCTTGCCAGCAATGGGACTCTCTTTTATGTTCCTTATCATTAGGAAGGCTGTATTTTTCAGCCTAAAAAAGAAGACAAGGTATGCAGCAGTGAACATTTAAAATCAGACATATTTTGAAAATATGGGCAGTAGGATTGCCATGGCTAAGGTGTTATGTATAACAAAAGTTAGGCAAATAAAAGCTCAAAATTACTTTGTTGTTTGTTTGAGGCAAATATTGTTTTAAAGAATTAATCTATGTAGAAGGATCAGGTATCTGTGCTGCCTTTAACACTGCATGTGCTCCAACTTTAGTGGAGTAATCACCCTGTTTTTGAGGGCTTATGTACAGTCAGAAGATGAGTCATAATATGTAAATGAGGCAGTAATCATGTCTGCACTTTAAAAGGAACTGGATCTGAGATCAAGACAAATTTGGCATGGTTTACATCCTATGTTCTTAATTATCTGATTAGAGTTGATTACTTTTCAGTCCCACTAGGAAATGTAATTGGGTAGGCATCTGTAATTTGCTTTGTGTGTTTGTTTTGGTGCATGTGTTTTTATGTGGATGTTTGTGTGTTTTCAATTTTCCTCCCAGTTCTTAGTGTGTAAGCAGGCAGTTAAAAAAGATAACTTCCATTCTACGATGAAGGCTCGGGTTATGGATGTAAGTAGTTGCTACAACTAGGATTTCTATTTCTCAACTGATTTATTGTGGTCTTTTTAATAGGTTTTTTGGTTGTTTATATTATAACCAGCCTTCCACATCCAGTTTTTAAATCAAGCTTTGCTTTTAGGGTAACTTAGAGTATTATTTAAAACATATTTTCTCCAGAGATTGTATTATACAGTAGAAGTATTTTTATTAAACAAATTTTGTATAACTTAATAAATTCTGCAATAGAAAAATACAGTAAATTATACCAGATAGGTAATCAGCCCAAAGCATATCTTTGAAAGAATTCAGACTCCATAGTTCAAGGAGCAGTGTCAATTTTAACTATTCTGGCCAATAGTTGACTGGCTAAATAAGTAATCATAAAACCATAACATAGAATATTATGTAGCCATTAAATAATTATATAATTATAGATCAATATTTGCTAATATAAAAAGTATCTATAGTATTTTATTAAGAACAAATCAATAAATAGTATCTTAGTATGATTTTGTTTTGGAAATGCTAGAAAAATATCCGCCAAACTATAAATGCTGAGTATCTCTTGACAAGTAATTTGGTAGTTTATGTTTTCTTCTTGGCTTTTTTCTGTGTTTTCTGAATTTCTTATGATGGACATGTGCAAGATAATCCTGCTCCTCATCTTAAGACCCATTGGTCTGAGTCTTGGACTGACCACTATCTTGTCCTGCAGCTTTCAGTTCAGGAAAGCAGAAGTATCCAACTGTGTTCAAGCCTTAGTCATGAAGTCTTTGCCCATGCCTATGTCCTGAATGGTATTGCCTAGGTTTTCTCCTAGGGTTTTTATGGTTTTAAGTCTTATGTTTAAGTCTTGAATTCATCTCGAATTAATTTTTGTATAAGGCCTAACCAAAGGGTCCAGTTTCTGTTTTCTGCATGTGGGTAGCCAGTTTTCCTAGCACCATTTATTAAATAGGGAATCCTTTCCCCATTGCTTGTTTTTGTCAGGTTTGTCAAAGATCAGATGGTTGTAAATGTGTGGTGTTATTTCTGAGGCCTCTATTCTGTTCCATTGGTCTATATATCTGTTTTGGTAGTAGTATCATGCTGTTTTGGCTACTGTAGCCTTGTAGTATAGTTTGAAGTCAGGTAGTGTGATGCCTCCAGCTTTGTTCTTTTTGTTTAGGATTGTCTTGGCTATATGGGCTCTTTTTTGGTTCGATATGAAATTTAAAGTAGTTTTTTCTAGTTCTGTGAAGAAAGTCAATGATAGTTTGATGGGAATAGCATTGAATCTATAAATTACTTTGGGCAGTATGGCCATTTTCACAATATTGATTCTTCCTATCTATGAGCATGGAATGTTTTTCCATTTGTTTGTGTCCTCTCTCATTTCCTTAAGCAGTGGTTTGTAGTTCTTGAAGAGGTCTTTCACGTCCCTTGTAAGTTGTATTCCTAGATATTTTATTCTCTTTGTAGCAATTGTGAATGAGTGTTCACTCATGATTTGGCTCTCTGCTTGTCTATTATTGGTGTATAGGAATGCTTGTAGTTTTTGCATATTGATTTTGTATCCTGAGACTTTGCTGAAGTTGCTTATTAGCTTAAGGAGTTTTTGTGCTGAGACGGTGGGGTTTTCTAAATATACAATCATGTCATCTGCAAACAAAGACAATTTGACTTCCTCTCTTCCTATTTGAATACCCTTTATCTCCTTCTCTTGCCTGATTACACTGGTCAGAACTTCCAATGCTATGTTGAATAGGAGTTGTGAGAGAGGGCATCCTTGTCTTGTGATGGTTTTTAAAGGGAATGCTTCCAGCTTTTGCCCATTCAGTATGATATTGGCTATGAGTTTGTCATAAATAGCTCTTATTATTTTGAGATATGTTCCCTCAATACCGAGTTTATCGAGAGCTTTTAGCATGAAGGGTGTTGAATTTTATTGATGGTCTTTTCTGCATCTATTGAGATAATCATGTCGTTTTTGTCATTGGTTCTGTTTATGTGATGGATTACATTTATTGATTTGCATATATTGAACCAGCCTTGCATCCCAGGGATAAAGCCAACTTGATCACTGTGGATAAGCTTGTTGATGTGCTGCTGGATTCGGTTTGCCAGTATTTTATTGAGGATTTTTGCATCGATGTTCATCAGGGATATTGGCCTGAAATTTTCTTTTTTTGTTGTGTCTCTGCCAGGTTTTGGAATTACGATGATGCTGGCCTCATAAAATGAGTTAGGGAGAAGTCCCTCTTTTTCTACTGTTTGGAATAGTTTCAGAAGGAATGGTACCAGCTCCTCTTTGTACCTCTGGTAGAATTTGGCTGTGATCCATCTGGTCCTGGGCTTTTTTGGTTGGTAAGCAATTTATTACTGTATCAATTTCAGAACTTGTTATTGGTCTATTCAGGCATTCGACTTCTTTCTGGTTTAGTCTTGGGAGGGTGTATTTGTCCAGGAATTTATCCATTTCTTGAAGATTTTCTAGTTTATTTACATAGAGGTGTTTATAGTATTCTCTGATAGTAGTTTGTCTTTCTGTAGGATCAGTGGTGATATTCCCTTTATTTTTTTTTATTGTGTCCATTTGATTCTTCTCTCTTTTCTTCTTTGTTAGTCTGGCTAGTGGTCTATCTATTTTGTTAATCTTTTCAAAAAACCAGCTCCTAGATTCGCTGATTTTTTTGAAGCATTTTTCACGTCCCTATCTCCTTCAGTTCTGCTGTGATCTTAGTTATTTCTTGTCATCTGCTAGCTTTTGAATTTGTTTCTTCTTGCTTCTCTAGTTCTTTTAATTGTGATGTTAGGATGTCAACTTTAGATCTTTCACACTTTCTGATGTGGGCATTTAGTGCTATATATTTCTCTTTAAACACTGCTTTAGTTGTGTCCCAGAGATTCTGGTATGTTGTCTCTTTGTTCTCGTTTGTTTCTTTTTTCTTTCTTTTTTTTTTTTTTGAGATGGAGTCTTGCTCTGTTGCCCAGGTTGGAGTGCAGTGGCATGATCTTGGCTCACTGCAACCTCTGCCCCCTGGGTTCAAGCCATTCTCCTGCCTCAGCCTCCTGAGTAGCTGGACTATAGGCACGCGCCACCATGCCCAGCTAATTTTTGCATTTTTAGCAGAGACCGGGTTTCACCAAGTTGGCCAGGATGGTCTCAATCTCCTGACCTTGTGATCCACCTGCCTTGGCCTCCAAAGTGCTGGGATTACAGGCGTGAGCCACTGCGCCTGGCCATTCTTGTTGGTTTCTAAGAACTTGGTTTCATTCTCGCCATCACTTTTCAGGTACACCAATGAATCGTAGGTTTGGTGTCTTCACATATTTCGTGGAGGCTTTGTTTGTTCCTCGTCATTCTTTTTTCTCTTATCTTGTCTTCACACTTTATTTGATTCAGAGATATCCTTTCTTCCGCTTCATTCATTTGGGTATTGATACTTGTGTGTGCTTCACGAAGTTCTTGTGCTGTGTTTTTCAGCTCCATCAGGTCATTTATATTCTCCTCTAAACTGGTTATTCTAGTTAGCAGTTCCTGTAACCATTTGTCGAGGTTCTTAGCTTCCTTGCATTGGGTTAGAACATGCTCCTTGAGCTCAGAGGAGTTTGTTATTACCCACTTTCTGAAGCCTACTTCTGTCTATTCGTCAAACTCATTCTCTGTCCAGTTTTGTGCCCTTGCTGGAGAGGAGTTGTGATCATGTGGAGGAGAAGAGGCATTCTGGTTTTTGGAATTTTCAGCATTTTTGCGCTGGGTTTTCCTCATCTTTGTGGATTCATCTGCCTTTGATATTTGAGGTTGATGACCTTTGGTTGGGGTTTCTGTGTGTGGGAGTCCTTTTTTGTTGATGTTGATGTTATTGCTTTCTGTTTGTTAGTTTTTCTTCTAACAGGCCCCTCTTCTGCAGGTTTGCTACAGTTGGCTGGAGGTCCACTCCAGGCCCTGTTTGCCTGGGTATCACCAGCGGAGGCTGCAGAACAGCAAAGATTGCTGCTTGCTTCTTCCTCTGGAAGCTTTGTCCCAGAGGGGCACAGGCCTGATGCCAGCAGGGGCTCTTCTGTATGAGGTGTTTGTCAACCCCTGTTGAGAGGTCTCTCCCAATCAGGAGGAACAGGGGTCAGGGACCCACTGGAGGAGGCAGCTTGTCCCTTAGCAGAGCTTGAGCGCTGTGCTGGGAGAACCCTTCTTGTCAACATCCGCCACTGTCTTCAGAGCCGGCAGGCAGGAATGTTCAAGTCCACTGAAGCTGTGCCCACAGCTGCCCCTTCTCCCAGGTGATCTGTCCCAGGGCAGTGGGAGTTTTATTTATAAGCCCCTGACTGGGGCTGCTACCTAACTTTCAGAGATGCCCTGCCCAGTGAAGAGGAATCTAGAGAGGCAGTCTGGCCACAGTCACTTTGCTGTGCTGTGTTGAGTTCCGCCCAGTCCCTAGCATGGTCAGGGGAAAGCCGCCTACTCAAGCCTCAATAATGGTGGACACCTCTTCCCCCTGCCAAGTTTGATCGTCCCAGGTCGACTCCAGACTGCTGTGCCGGCAGCGAGAATTTCAAGCCGGTGGTTTTTAGCTTGCTGGGCTCTGTGGAAGTGGGACCCGCTGTGTGAGATCACTTGGCTTCCTGGCTTCAGCCCCCTTTCCAGGGAAATGAATGGTTCTGTCTTGCTGGGGATCCAGGTGCCACTGGGGTATGAAAAACAAAAAACAGAAAACAAAACAAAACAAAAAAAACCAAAACATTCCTGTGGCTAGCTTGGTGTCTGTCTGAACAGCTGCCCAGTTTTGGGCTTGAAACCCAGGGCCCTGGTGGTATAGGCACCACCACGAGGGAATCTCCTGGTCTGTGGGTTGCAAAAACTGTGGGAGAAGCATAGTATCTGGGCTGGATAGCACAGTCCCTCATGGCTTCCCTTGGCTGGGAAAGGGAGGCCCCCCCACCCGGCTCCTTGCACTTCCTGGGTTAGGGGACACCCCACCCTGCTCTGCTTGCCCTCCATGGGCTGCACCCACTGCCAAGTCAGTCCCAATGAGATAAACAGGGTACCTCAGTTGGAAATGCAGAAATCACCCGCCTTCTGCGTTGGTCTCACTGGGAGCTGCTGACCACAGCTGTTCCTATTCGGCCATCTTGCCAGATCCCACTATATTCCCTTTTATATCACTGATGCTTATATTACTAAGTTTCCTCTAAAATGAGTTGACCAATATTTCTTCTCACAGTTCTGGAGGCTGGGAAGTCTAACATCAAGATACCAACAGATTGATTCAGCATCTGTCTGGTTAGGGCCTGCTTCCTTGTTCATAGATGGTGCTTTCTCACTGTGTCCTCCTGTGGTGGAAGAGGGAAATTTCTTTTCAATCATTAGCTGACCACTAAGCTAAACATGCAGGGACCTCATGGCTGCACATGATAAAGAATACAGACTTTACACAATTAGGTCAAGAAAGTCACTAAACAAACAGCAATAGCAACAACAACAAACAGCACCAAACAGCAAAACTAAAATACCACAGGGAGGGGGTGAATCTTATTTCCAGAACTGCCACATTATATTATTTAAAATGTCCAGTTTTCAACAAAAAATTATGAGACACACAAGAAATAGGAAACTGTGGCCCATATACAAGGAAAAAGAAGTCAATAGAAATTGTCCCTTAGGAAAATTTGAACAAGACTATAAACCAACTAGACCCGAAAGACATATATAGGACACTCTACCCCCAAAACAGCAGAATAGAAATTCTTCCCAAGTGTACAAGAAAAATTTCCAGGACAGATCATATGTTTGGCCATAAAACATATCTCAGTAAGTTTTCAATGGTGATGTCTACAAATGTTAAAAAAATTAATACCTGTCTTTCCCAAACTCTTCAAAATAATAGAAGAGGATTACTTCTCAACCCATTCTATGAGGCCAGTGTTACCCTGATATCAAAATGAGACAAAGACATGACAAGAAAAGAAACCACCAATCAATATCTTTTATGAGTATAGATGTAAAAATCCTCAACAAAATACTAGCAAATGAAAGCCAACAACACACAGAAAGGATAACATACCAGGACCAAATGGGATTTATCCAAGGACTGCAAGGCTGTTCAACATATAAAACTCAATCAATGTCATGTATATTAATAGAATAAAGGACAAAACCCACTCTATATCTCAGTAGATACAGAAAACACATTTGAAAAATTCAACACCTTTTTATGGTTAAAAACACTGTTAAATCTAGGAATAGAAGGAAATAATCTCAGCCTTATAAAGGGAATCTATGAAAAACCCACAGATAATATCATTATTAATGGTGAAAGACTGAGAGATTTCCTCCTAAGATCAGGAACAACTGAAGGATCTCCACTCATCACTTTGATGCCACATTGTTCTGGAAGTTCTTGTCAGGACAACTAGGTAAGTAAAATAAATAAAAGACATCAAGATTGAAAAGGGAGAAGTAAAACTATCTCTATTCATAGATGACATAGATGACACAATCTTCCTTTTAGAAAATCCTTAGGAATGCATACACAAAAAATTTCAGACTAATAAAGTGTTCAACAAGTTTACAGGATATAAGACAATATGCACAAATGAGTTGTATTTCTATACAATCACTAGCAATGAACAACTCAAAAATGAAATTGAGAAAACAATTCCATTAACAATAGTAAAAAGAAATAAAAAGCTTTTTTCCAAGATGGCAGATTAAAGCCTTTTTTTTTGACAGAGTCTTGCTCTGTCGTCCAGGCTGAAGTGCAGTAGCTTGATCTTGGCTTACTGCAACCTCCACCTCCCAGGCTCAAGCAATTCTCCTGCCTCAGCCTCCTGAGTAGCTGGGATTACAGGCCATCAAACCCAGCTAATTTTTGTATTTTTGGTAGAGACGGGGTTTTACCATGTTGGCCAGGCTGGTCTCAAACTCCTGACCTCAGGTAATCCGCCCACCTTGGCCTCCCAGAGTGCTGGGATTATAGGCGTGAGCCACCGCTCCCGGCCAGATTAGAGGCTTTTAGTATGCTTCAGCCACTTAGAAATAGCATGATAGTACATAAAGATAAAATCTATGAGATTTAATTCAAGAAGGAAAATGGGTATCTACGGAACTGTGAAGCACACCCCAGAATCTGGAGAGGAGAATACCAGCAAACAGCCCCATGATGGCGTCTGGCTGATAAAAGTGAGTGAAGACCCAATGGGTGAGAGAGGGAGAGAGCCTCCCTCTGTGACTCCCTTTTTCACTGGGGCTTTGAGCAACCCAGGTATAGGGAGAGTACATTTGTTTCTCTAAGCCCTAGAGTTAACTTGGAGAGAGGCTTGGAGACACTGTGAGGAAAAGACACTGGGAAAAGCTGCAGACATTTTCCCAGACTTGGGACTGAGAGCAGGATGCTATTTTTAATCCAGGCACATACAAAGTTAGCCATCCTTCAGCAACACAGCAGCGTGCTGCTTAGGCATTTTAGTTTTGGACTAGGTATTGGAGTGGCTGCTCTGGAGTGGGGTAGGGGCCTTTACAGCCAGAACTGTGGAAAGCACTTCAGCAGGAGGTGCTGGAATTGTGCTCTGCCCAGTTGCAAGCCTGGGGTGGGAGGAGAACTGCTACAGCTATAGTTTCTTGTGGTTGGCAAAACTTGCAGCCAGAGCCAGCTTGGAGCCCTGGAAATAGCCTGCATGTGTCATTGGTTGGTGCCCCACTGTGATCCCCTGAGATCGAGGTGTAGCAGGGCCCTCTGTGCTTTCCTCTCAAGCAGAAATCCAGGCATTTGGAGAAACTACTTGCCTGTACCAGCAGCCTGAGCCACTCTACCTTTCCTGGACGTATATTGTGGTGCAGCAATACTCTCTCTGCTCCATACTCAGGCAGTTCTCCAGGTATTAGGAGCATGCATTCACCTAGTTTAGCAGCCTGAGCTGCTTCAACCTTCCCAGACATAGATCTTGGTGCAGTGGGGCTCTTTTTGCTCCCTGCCCAGGAAGATATCCAGGCATTCTGAGTACCTAATTGCCTACTTCAGCAGCCTGAGCCACCCCACCCTTCCTCTGCAGAGATCCTGGTGCAGGGGGACCCTCTCCATGCACAGGCAGATTTCCAGGCATCGAGAGCACCCACTCGCCTATATTAGGAGGTTAGGCTGCCCCACTTCCCCATGCAGAGAATTTGTAGCCAAAGAGGTTTCCCAGTTCCACACCTAGGGACACCTCTGGGTGCTTGGTGGCCAACCATTGGACTGCCCCTTGTAACTGGTGCCTGCGTTTGCCATAAGAGGACTTTCAGGCAGACCTAGCTGGTCTGGCCCTGCCCTTCATGCCCTGCCCCCACCAACCTACCCTGCTCCAGGAGTGAGTAGGGAGCTCAGACTACTGTGAATTTCATGAATCAGCCCATGCCTGAGGCAATAGATAGCTTCTGCCAGTAAACGAGGATCAGGTATATACCCAGGAATGTTGACTGCAGCTGGCTCTTACCTATAAGTGCCATCTACGGGCTTGTAGGGAAAACTGTGCAGCCCGATATAAAACCTGCTGAAAGAAGTGCATAGGGCTATAGAAGCAAAGCCAAAAGATCCTATCCAGCATTCTCTACAGTCACACTCTCCCTAGGGAGGGGGGAAAAAGGAAAGGGAAAGAAAAAAGAAGACATTATAGAGAAAGAAAGAAAAAGAAAAAATCCTACCCACATGAAAATAATTACAACAATTAGAAGTGCCAGAGTCTGTAGATGAGAAGGGAACAGCACAACAATTCTGGCATTATGAAAAATCTGAATGAAGTGATACTACCAAAGGACTGCATTAGTTCTTCAGAAGTAGTCCTTAACCAAAATGGAAACTCAGAAATGACAGATAAATAATTCAAAGCATGAATTTAAAGGAAGTTCACTGAGTTCTAAGACAAGGTTGAACATTCACAAAGAAATTTCTAAAGCAATCCAGGAAATAAAGGAAGAGATAAACATCTTGAAATCGATAGAGCTTTTGGAATTGAAAAACTCACTTAAGAAATTTCAAAATACAATTAAAAGGTTTATCATTAGACTGGACTAAACAGAAGAAAGGACTTCTGAGCTTGAAGACCAGTCTTTTAAATGAATCCAATCTGACAAAAATTGAGAAAAAAGAATTTTTAAAAATGAGCAAAATTTTTGAGAAATATAGGATTATGTAAAGCAACCAAATCTAAGAATTACTGGCATTCCTCAGAGAAAAGGAAAAAAAAAAAAAAAGGAAAAAGCAAACAAACTGGAAAATATGCTGGAGGAACTAATTTAAGAATACTACTCTAATCTTGCTAGAGAGGTAGACATCCAGATAAAAGAAACCTGGAGAATACCTGTGAGATACTATACAAAGTGAACATCACCAAGGCATATATCACCAGACTTCCAAGGTCAATGCTAAAGAAAAAGTCTCATAGGTAGCTAGAGAAGAAGGGAAAATGACACACAAAGGGAACCTGATAAGGCTGACAGTGGACTTCTTGGCAGAAACCTTAACAAGCCTGGAGATATCGGGGGCCTATTTTCAGCATTCTTAAAAGAGAATTTCAACCAAGAATTCCATATCCCACCAAACTAAGCTTCAAAAATGAAGGAGAAATAAACTTTTCCAGACAAACAAGTGCTAAAAGAATTCATTACCACTAGACTGGCCTTAAAAGAGACCCTTAAAGGAGTTCTAAACATGGAAACAATAGAACAATACCTGCTATCGCAAAAACACACTAGAGCAGATATCCTGCAGGCTATAAAACAAAACACAATAGAAAGTACAAGGCAAACAGCTAACAACTTCACAGTAGGATTAAAATCTTACATATTGGAGAGGCATGGTAGCTCATGCCTGTAATCCCAGCAATTCGGGAGGCCAAGGTGGGTGGATCACCTGAGGTCAGGAGTTTGAGACCAGATTGGCCAACATGGTGAAACCTTGTCCCTACTGAAAATACAAAAATTTGCTGGCTGTGGGAGTGCATGCCTGTAATCCCAGCTACTTGGGAGGCTGAGGCAGGAGAATCACTTGAATCTGGGAGGTGGAGGTTGCGGTAAGCTGAGATCATGCCATTGCACTCCAGCCTGGGTGACAAGGGTGAAACTCTGTCTCAAAAAAAAATAAAAAAATAAATAAAAATAAAATAAAATTTTGTGTATCAATATTAACCTTAAATGTAAGTGGTCTAAATACCCCGCTTAAAAGGCAGAGGGGCAAATTGGATTAAAAAATAAGACTCATCTGTGTGCTGTCTTCAAGAGACCCAACTCACTTGTAATGAAACCCATAGGCTCAAAACGAAAGGTTGAAGAAAGATCTATCATGCAAACAGAAAACAACAACAACAAAAAGCAGAGGTCGCAAATATTATATCAGATGAAACAGACTTTAAACCAAAAAAGTCAAAGTGGACAAAGAAGGGCATTATATAATGATAAAGGATTCAATTCAATAAGAAAACATAGCTATCCTAAATATGTATGCAGCCAACATTGGAGCAGTGAAATTCATAAAACAAGTAATTCTATACCTATGAAAAGTCTTAGAGAACCATACAGTAATAGTGGGAAACTTCAACACCCCTCTGACAGTATTAGTCAGATCATTGAGGCAGAAAACTAATATGGAAATTCTGGACTTAAATTTGACACTTTATAAATTGGACCTTATAGACATCTACAGAATACTCCACTTATCTATCACAGAATATACATTTTTCTCATCTGCAAATGGAATGTACTCCAAGATTGACTGCATGCTTAGTCATAGAGTAAGTCTCAATAAATTAAAAAAAAAATCAAAATCATACCACCCCTACTCTTGAACCACAGTGGAATGAAAATAGAAATCAATACCAAAAAGATCTCTCAAAACTACACAGTTATGTGGAAATTAAACAACTTGCTTCTGAATGACTTTTGAGTAAACAATGGAATCAAGGTAGAAATAAAAAAATTCTTTGAAATAAATAAAAACAGAGACAAAACATATCAAAATCTCCTGGATGCAGCAAAAGCAGTGTTCAGAGGAAAGTTTATAGGGCTAAATTCCTACCTCGAAAAGTTAGAAAGGTCTCAAATTTTTGTTGTAACATCACATCTAGAGGAATTAAAAAACCAAGAACAAACCAACTGCAAAGATAGCAGGAGAAAAGAAATAAGTAAAATCAGACTGGACTTCAATAAAATTGAGACCCAAAAATTCATATTAAAAATCAGTGAAATAAAAGCTCTTTGAAAGGATAAACATGATCGATAGACTGCTAGCTAAATTAAGAAAGAGAAAAAGAAGATCCAAATTAACACAACCAGAAACAACAAAGGTGACATCAGAACTGATCTCACAGAAATACAAAAGATCCTGAGAGACTATTATGAACATCTCTATGTATACAAATTAGAAAATCTAGAAAAAATGAATAAACTCCTGGAAATACATAATCTCCTAAGATTGAATCAGTAAAAAATTGAGACACTAAACAGACCAATATCAAGTTCCAAAATGGAATCAGTAATTTAAAAGCCTACTGTATCAGTTGATTGTCATGCTGCTATGAAGAAATACCCAAGAATGGGTAATTTATAAAGGAAGGAGGTTTAATTGACTCACAGTTCCACATGACTAGGGAGGCCTCAGGAAACTTACAATCATGGTGGAAAGGGAAGAACACACAGCTTTCTTCACATGGTGGCAGAAGAGAGAAGAATGAGTGCCAAATGAAGGGGGAAGTCCCTTTAAAAACCATCAGATTTTGTTAGAACTCACTCAGTATCATGAGAACAGAAGCACTGGGGTAACTGCCTCCACGATTCAATTACCTCCCCCCTGGTCCCTCCTATGACATGTGAGGATTATGGCAACTACAATTCAAGCTGAGATTTGGGTGGGGACACAGCCAAACTATATCATTCCACCCCGACCCCTCCCAAATCTCATGTCCTCACATTTTGAAACACAGTCATGCCTTTCCATCATCCCACAAAGTCTTAACTCATTCCAGCATTAGCCCAAAAGTCCAAGTCCAAAGTCTCACCTGAGACAAGGCAAGTCCCTTCCACCTATGAGCCTGTAAAATAAAAAACAAGTTAGTTACTTCCTAGATACAATGGAGGTACAGGCATTTGGTAAATACACTCATTCCAAATGGGAGAAACTGGCCAAAAGAAAGGGGCTACAGGCCCCAGGCAAGTCCAAAATCCAATGAGGCAGTAATTAAAGCTCCAAAATAATTTCCTTTGACTCCATGTATCACATCCAGGACAAACTGATGCAAGAGGTGGGCTCCCATGACTTTGGGCAGCTCTGCCCCTGTGGTTTTGCAGGGTACAACCCCCTCCAGGATGCTTTCATGGGCTGGTATTGAGTGCCTGTGGCTTTTCCAGGTGCACGGTACAGGCTGTCAGTGGACTTAACATTCTGGGGTGTGGAGGATGGTGGCCATTTTCTCATAGCTCCACTAGGCAATGCCCCTGTGGGAGCTTCAATCCTACATTTCCCTTCTGCACTAGCATAGGTTCTCCATGAGGGCTCCTCCCCTGCAGTACACTTCTGCCTGGTCATCCAGAGTATTTCTATACATCCTCTGAAATGTAGGCAGAGGTTCCCAAACCTGAATTCTTGACTTCTGTGCACCCACAAGCCTAATATTACATGAAAGCCACCAAGGCTTGGAACTTGCACCCTCTGAAGCAATGACCTGACCTGTACATTGGCCCCTTTTAGCCAGGGCTGGAGCTGAATCAGCTGGGATGCAGGGCACCATGTCCTGAGGCTGTATAGACCAGGGAGGCCCTGGGCCTGGCCCACAAAATGAGTTTTCCCTCCTAGGCCTCTGGGCCTGTGTTGGGAGGGGCTGCTCTGAAGGTCTCTGACAAGACCTGGAGATATTCTCCCCATTGTCTTGGTGATTAACATTTGGCTCCTTGTTCTGCAGCTGGCTTGAATTTCTCCCCAGAAAATGTGTTTTTCTTTTCTATTGCATCATCAGGCTGCAAATTTTCCAATCTTTTGTGCTCTGCTTCCTCTTGAATGCTTTGCTGGTCAGAAATTTCTTCCACCAGATACCCTAAACCATCTTTCTCGAGTAGGAAGTTCCACAGATCTCTAGGGCAGGGGCAAAAACGCCACCAGTTTCTTTGCTAAAGCATAGCAAGAATCACCGTTACTCCAATTCCCAGCAAGTTCCTCTTCTCCGTCTGAGACCACCTCAGCCTGGACTTAATTGTCCATATCACTATCAGCATTTTGGTCAAAGTCATTCAACAAGTCTCTAGGAGTTCCAAACTTTCCCATATCTTCCTGTCTTCTGAGCCCACCAAACTGTTTCAATCTCTGCCTGTTACCCAGTTCCAAAGTCGCTTCCACATTTTCAGGTATCTTTATAGCAGCACCCTACTCTCTGCAGTACTCTCTACAGACTACTGTATTAGTCTCTTCTCACACTGCTATGAAGAAATACCTGAGACTGGGTAATTTATGAAGGAAGGAGGTTTAATTGACTCACCGTCCTACCAATCAAAAAAAGCCCCAGACCAGATAGATTTACAGGTGAATTTTACCACACATACAAAGAAAAGCTGGTACTAATTCTACTGAAACTATTTCAAAAAATTGAGGAAGAGAGCCTCCTCTCTAACCCATTCTGTAAAGCCAGCATCACCCTGATACCAAAGCCTGGCAAAGACACACTAAAAAAGAAAACTACAAGCCAATATCACTGACAAACATAGATACAAAATTTCTCAACAAAATACTGGCAAACTGTTTTCAACAGCACATCAAAAAGTTAATTCATCATCAACAAGTAGGCTTCATTTCTGGGGTGCAAGTCTGGTTCAACATATGCAAATCAATAAATGTGATTCAGCACATAAGCAGAATTAAAAACAAAAACCATGTGATCATCTCAATAGACATGGAAAAATTATTGGTAAAATCTAACATTCTTTCATGATAAAAACCTTCAACAAACTAGGCTTAGAAGGAACATACCTCAAAGTAATGAGAGCCATGTTTGACAAATCTACAGCCAGCATCATACTGAGTAGGCAAAAACTCGAAGCATTCCCCTTGAGAACTGGAAGAAAACAAGGATACCCATTCTTACTACTCCTATTTAACATAGTAATGAAAGGGCTAGTCAGAACAATCAGGCAAGAGAAAGAAATAAAAAGCATCCAAATAGGAAAAGAAGTCAAACTATCTCTTTTTGTGGATGATGTAATTCTATACTTTGAAAACCCTAAAGACTCCACTAAAAGACTCCTGCAACTGATAAACCACTTCAGCAAAGTTTCAGGATACAAAACCAATGTATGAAAATCAGTAGCATGTGTATATACCAATGATATTCAAGCTGAGAGACAAATCAGGAAAGCAATCCCATTTACAAAAGCCACACACACAAAAATACCTAGGACTACATCTAACCAAGGAAGTGAAAGATCTCTACAAGGAGAACTAGAAAACATTGCTAAAAGAAATCACAGATGACACAAGCAAATGGAAAAACATTACATACTCATGGATTGGAAGAATCAATATCATTAAAATAGCCATGCTGCCCAAAGCAATCTACAGATTCAGTGCTATTCCTATCAAACTACCAATGTCATTTTTCACAGAATTGGAAAAAAACTATTATAATATTTACATAAACCTTAAAGAGCCCAAATAGCCAAAGAAATTCAAAGCAAAAAGAATAAAGCTGTAGGCATCACATTACCCAACTTCAAACTCTACTGTAAGTACACAGTAATCAAAACAGGATGGTACTGGTACAGAAACAGACACAAAGGCCCATGAAACAGAATGGAGGACCCAGAAATAAAGCCTCATACCTATAATCCTCTAATCCTTGACACAGTTGACAAACATAAGCAATGAGGAAAGGACTCCCTATTCAATGAATAGTGTTGGGATTGCTGGCTAGCTATATGCAGAAGACTGAAACTGGACTCTTATGTTTCACCATATACTAAAGTCAACTTAAGATGGATTAAAGATTTAAATGTAAGACCTCAAGTTATAAAAATCCTAGAAGAAAACCTTGGAAACACCATTCTGGACATGACCTTTGAGAAAGAATTTATGACTAAGTCCTCAAAAGCAATTACAACAAAAACAAAACTTGACAAGTGGGACCTAATTAAACTAAACTTTTGCACAGCAAAAGAAACTATCAATAGAGTAAATAGATAACCCACAGAATGAGAGAAAACATTCACAATATTTGTGTCTGACAAAGGTTTAATACCCAGACTCTATAAGGAATGTAAACAATTAAGCAAAAAACAAATAACCTGAATAGACACTTCTCAAAAGAAAACATACGAGTGGCCAACAAACATATGAAAAAATGCTCATCATCAGTAATCATCAGTGAAATGCAAATCAAAACTGTAATAAGATACCATCTCACACCAGTCAGAATGGCTATTATTAAAAAGTCAAAAAGCAACAGATGCTGGTGAGGCTGCAGAGAAAAGGGAGTGCTTATGCACTGTTGGTGAGAATGTAATTTAGTTCAGCCACTGTGGAAAGCAGTTTGGAGATTTCTCAAAGAACTAAAAACAGAACTCTTGTTTAAGCTAGCAACCCCAATACTGGGTAGATTTCCAAAAGAAAACACATAATTATATCAAAAAGACACACATGTGTGCATGTTTATTGCAGTACTATTCACAATAGCAAAGACACGTAATCAACCAAGGAGCCCAAGAACAGTGGATTGGATAAAGAAACTGTGGTACCTATCCACCATGGAATCCTATGCAGTCATAAAAAAGAATGAAATCATGTCTTTTGCAGCAACAAGGATGCAACTGGAGGAATTAATGCAGGAACAGAAAGCCAAATACTCCAGGTACTCATTTATAAGTGGGAGCTAAACATCATGTACTCATGAACATAAAGAAGGGAACAATAGACATTAGGAACTATTAGAAGGGGGAAAGAGGGAGGGGGGCAAGGGTTGTAAAAATAACTGTTGGGTATTATGCTCAGTACCTGAGTGACGAGATCATTCATACCTCAAAGCCTAGGGCCAGGCAGTATACCCAGATACCAAACCTGCACATGTACTCCATGAATCTAAAATAAAAGTTGAAAAAGAAAAAAAAAATTGGACCAGAATAAAAGAATAAAATTCTTAGTTGTAAATTTAACAAAAGAAATGCAATACCTGATCACACAAAACCACAGAACATCATTAAAATAACTTGAAGACAAAGGGAATGATATACCATGTTCATTGATTAGAAGACTTAACATTTTTATGATAAAAATACTACTCTGGCTGGGTGCAGTGGCTCACACCTGTAATCCCAGCACTTTGGGAGGCCGAGGCAGGTGGATCACCTGAGGTCACGAGTTTGAGACCAGATTGGCCAACATGGTGAAACCCCATCTCTACTGAAAAAAAAAAAAAATTTGCTGGGTGTGGTGGTGGGTGCCTGTAATCCCAGCTACTTGGGAGGCTGAGGCAGGAGAATCGCTTGAACCTGGGATGTGGAGGTTGCAGTGAGCCGAAATCATGCCACTGCACTCCAGCCTGGGCCACAGGGTGAGACTCTGTCTCAAAAAAAAAAAAATTCTCTAATTGAGCTACAGGTTCAATGTAATCCCTTTCAAAACCTAGCTACCTTCATTGCAGAAATTGGTAAGCTTATCCTAAAAGTGATACAGAAATGCAAGGCACCTAGAATAGCCAAAATAATGTTGAAAGAAGAGCAAATTGGGATGACCCATACGTCCCTACTTAAAAACATATTACAGAGCTACAGTAATCAAGGCAGTGTGATACTGGGATAAGGACAGACATATAGATCAATGGAATCGGATTGAGGTCCAGAAATTCACCTTTCCATTTATGGTGAATTGATTTTTGACAAGAGTGTGAAAAAATTTAATGAGTATTCATAAGCACAACAATGAGGCTGGACCCGTAACTAATAATATAGACAAAAATGAACTCACAATGAATCATAGGCTTAGACATAGCTAAGTGTATAAAACTCTTAAGAGAAAACAGGGGTAAAGCTTTATGACTGTGAATTAGGTAATGGTTTCTTAGATACAAAAAATGACAAAATAGTTAAATTGGATTTTATAAAAATGAAAAGCTTTTCTGCTTCAAGAATATCATAAAGAAAGTGAAAATACAACCCACAGAATTATACAAAATATTTGCAAATAATATATCTGATTAAAAACTTATATTTAAAATGTATAAAGAACTCTTACAACTCAACAATAAAAAGAGAAGTACTCTAATTAAAATACAGGCAAAGATTTGAATAGACATTTCTCCAACGATGGTAGACAAATGGCTGATAAGCGTAAGCAATCAAAGCCACAGGAGATAACACTTTACATCCACTAGGATGGTTCTAATTTAAAAAAAGGAAAATAACAAGCATTGGTGAAGATATAGAGAAATTATTATAGAACCTTTATTGCTGGTGGGACTGTAAACTTCGTGTGCCCACTTTGTCAAACAGTTTTGCAGTTCCTCAAAATGTTAAAGTTATCATATGACCCAGAATTTCCACTCCTATTCACGTATGCAAACGGAATGCAAACATACAACCATACAAAAACTTGCAGACACAAGTTCATGGCAGCAGTATTCATGGTAGCCAAAAGGGAAACTACTTAAATGTCTATCAACTGGTGAATAGATAAACAAAATGTGCCAAATCCATAAAATGAAACATTCAACAATAAACAGGAACGAAGTGCTGGTATATGCTGCATGGATGAACCTTGAAAATATGCTAAGTGAAAAAAAACTAGTCGCAAAGACCACATATGTATATTTTCATTTGTATGAAATGTCCAGAATAGGCAAATCCATACAGACAAAAATTAGATTAGTGGTTTCTGAGGCTTGGAGGAAGGGATGGGAAGTGACTACTAAATGGTATAGGATTTCTTTTTCTAAAAGAAAATGTTCTAAAATTACATAGTGACGTTCTTTGCACAACTGTGAATATATTAAAAACATTGAATTGTATACTAGAAGGATGAATTTTATTATATGTGAATTATATCTCAGTAAAGCTGTTATAAGGATAGAAAGATTTAAAACATAGCTCACTGAAAAGAACATTTGCTGTTTAGATAAATGAAAAGCAAATATATAGCCTTTGGAAATGAATTACAAGACAATCCTATCATCTTAGTTTTTGGTTGCCTGTTACTTTATTTTTCATTTATTTAATTAAAAAAATTAAAATATAGAGCCTTGTAGGGAGGAGCATTTTTCAGTGTTATACACAAGCCCTGGTCCCTGTAAAATTGTTGTCAGTGCATAAGCTGTGATCTAAAGCAATGGCTAAACAAAGAAACTGAAAGCAGAAATCATGTTTTAGATGAAAAAAGAACCATGACAAATGATTATAGGAAGTTATGGAGGCTTAAGTCCCAATTAAGGGGAGAAGCAGGAGGCATTGAGTTGAAAAGCTACCTATTGGGTACTATGCTTATTTTCTGGGTTCAATACACCCATGAAACAATCCTACACATGTGCCCCTCTGTATCTAAAATAAATGCTGAAATTAATGAAGAAATAATATTCTGAATTGAAGAGTGTGATGAAATTTACTTTCTTTCATCTTTCCATAAGAAGACCAAAAACTGTATTGGGAAGAGGTAAACCCCACTAAGCTGTTTCATAAAAGGTCATAAAGAAGTCACTCAAATCTTTAAGAGAACATATCTCTTGGAACATTCTCTGCAGTAGAATAATAGGAAAGATGATGAGAGAAAAAGAAGGCAATGAATGGGGAGAGGGATAGGGTCTAGACCTCTGAAAACATGCATTGGTCAAAATACGTTAGTATGGAAATCGCAAGCTGAGAAGTTACTACTCTTCTATACAGACAGTGACACGACCTACTATGAGATTGGCTGGTAGAATCTCCAAAGATAGAGTCTCAGTTCTTGACCTTTGTTGTAGGTTAGATAGTGATTGTTTCATATGATTTAGATCTAGAAACTTAGGGTAAACTGTGCTTCTAGGAGTAAGGCCTTGAATATTAGAGTTTTGTATGATGGTTCAGTATTGGATCTTTCTAAATTTGGGGCTCCTTCCTATGTGTCTAATACTTTTTGTTCACTATTTCATGTACAAGGCAACTCTGTACTATGAGGGAAACAGAGGGAAAAGAAAAAGAACCCTAAAGAGTTTATGGTTAGTCTTTTTTTAAGTTTTGTGTTGTATTTGCCCAACTAGAATCAAAGAACTTTTTGGACAGTGATACTCATACAGCAGTAATAATAACTAGTACTTCTAAGGGTACTCTGCTTGTACCTTCTATGAATTATCTCATGCAATCCTCACAACAGCCCTATGATGTACATGCTTCTAAGCTTTAGCGGAACAGTGGAGGTGTGGAGGAGTTAAATAGTCTAAAGTCACGTAGCCAGTAAGTAAGTGCTAGAGCAGGGATGTGAATGGTGGCAGGTTGATCCTAGGACATACTCATAGTTATTAATCTGTATGTGTTATATGACATTTTATATATAATACTATTTTGTTTCCACAACTCACACAGATTATAATTATTTGATAGCTTACAAAATGAAATAAAAACATAAGACAAAAGTAAACAAGGTCACAAAGCAGCAGCATTAAGTCTATAAAAAGGACCCACATTGTTGGATTTCTAAGAGGAGTGGGGTTTGAGCCAGGTTTAGAAACAGATGGTCTCTACATCTTTATGCAAAAGAACTGCTTGAGAGTCCTGGTCAAAAATGCAGATTCTTAGGCTCCATCTCCCGGAGATTGTAATTCATGTCTGGGAGAAACCTGGGAATCTGCAGTTTGACAAACAACCCAGGAATTTCTGATTCAAGTAGCAGCTGGCCCATATTTTGTGAGACCCTGTCTCAAAGACTATGTAGAACTTGACTAGCAAAGGGAGAGAAAAAGGAGGGCATTCAGGCAATGGTGATGATATGAGTCATGCCAGGAAGCTGAAAAATATAACACGAGTAGAGGGAATAATGGGCAGGCCTATTTGCTCCAAGCAGTCGATTCTGATTTTGTTTCTATTTCCCTTCTTCATCCAAATATTTTTGAGCACCAACTGTGTGCTGCTTATTATGAGCCCTCCAAGAATACAAAGATGGATAGCAGCATAGTCGTCTTCCCCAGGGAGCTTCATATCACAGAGGAGAGGCAGACATACACATAAAGAAATAGCAATATAACAACCACAGCAATAGATGCATCAATAGATGTAGCACAGATGCATTAATAAATGCAGCGACAGATGGTGGTGTGGCAAAAATGGTCATAAATATAATGACAGTTAACTTTGAAAGATGGATGGGACTTGAATACAGAGAGATATTGGTATAGGGTGGTCCAGACTAAGCATACACGTGTACAAAAATTTTCCCACGATGGGGGAGGGGTGGGAAATGTAGAAGTTCTGGAAATGACAAATAGTGTATTTTGGACATAAGGTATGGATAAGTAACAATGGGGAAGATGACTGGAAGGATGTGTGTTAACTAGATTGTGGAGGGCCTTAAATGTTAAGCAGGTACTGGGACTTGATTTTGCCAGCAATGGGGGCCATGAAAAATTTTGCCTAAGGGCTCTAAATTAAGTCAATCTGGTAGTACTGATTACAGGAATCATCTGGGAATACTTAGAAAAATATAAGTTCCCAAGTTCCTCTGTTATAGTAGGTCTGAGGCAAGGCCTAGAAACTTGTATTTTAAAAACAACACAAACTGATGTAATTCTTATGGTCAGGATTGTATGGGCAATAATGGAATAAGGAAGGCCTGAAATCAGGGAGAGCTTTTGGGAGCCCATTCCTGCAGTTTGATGAGGGGGTAATGGGCAGTTCTAGACTTGTTGGTGCCCATCTGGTTTGTACTGGAGCAGATGGACCCTATAGCTATTACAGAGGTCAAATTAACAGGGCTTAGTGCCTGGATGTGAGAGAAAAAGAGATGACAATGACTAAAATAGTTTTTGCCTGAATTCCTGGAAGATGTTGGTGCCATTAACCTCATTAGGGAATCCAGAAAAGAGGAGAAATAGTCTTTCACCTTGAATATAGGAGTGCTGACTCTGAGATGCCTTTGGAGATGCAAGTGGAGATGGAGATCTGTTCATGAAACTGGAACATGGGATCTGCATGGCCAAAGGTTTGGGAGTGAAGGTATAGATTTGGGAGCCACCAGACAGGAGGTATTAATCGAGGACATGTGGTTAAATACCAAAGGGATGAGAACCATCTACAAAACCTGGTGAAGACCAGATGGAGAAAGAAAGGAACAATCTGAGAGGAGGGAAGGTTGTAAATGAATGCTGTGTCAGGAAACCAAGAGAGAAAATTTTAAGAAAGAGAGGGAGAATGGCCAACGGCATCAAATGGTGAAGGCAAACACTTCCGTTTCATTCTTGCTGGCCTTGTAATGTAGTTGTGACTTAATTCTCAGCTTTGTGGTAGACATGAAAAATTTTAACGTGAATGAAGCTGGATCACTATGGTTGACAAGTAATATTACAGAGACAGCAGAATTGTAATTTCCCCTCTTTCTCACAGTCCCTTGAGGGTTAGAATTATATATATCTCTTTAATTGCCTAATTCAAGGTGGTTTATTTGTGTGGTATGCTTCTTTCAATTGGCCAGTCATTTTCTTATATGTAATTTTGAATGACTTTTTGTATAATTCACATTTATGTAATTTTAAAAGCTTGTCCTATGAGTTGCTATGCCATTTTATGTCTTGCTGTTGTCATAGCAACTGGTTATATTCACCTCCCTTTTACCTGAATCTCTCAGCCTGGCCACTGAAAATTATATGCAAATGTGAGCTTCCACATTTTATGGGAAGGGTGGGATGAATGGGGAACTTCTGATTTGCTTTTTGTCTGATAAGAAGGTTGAAATTCAGAACACTAGAGAACAACTTCTATATTGCAGAAGGTTAGAGAATAGTAAAACCCTGACTGGAAGCAAGAAACAGTGGCAGTGGAAAGGAAGGAGTCAGGTCAATCCATGAAGCCTGAGGAGGGACAGTAAGAAGGTGGTAGGGACCATCTCAGATGTAGTCATGTCCTGGGGCTTTAATGTGGCAGGAGACTGTGAACCCCCAGTGTTGCCCACTCAGAGCCTTGAAAGCGTCCATCATTAGTCCTGCCTCAGCTTGTGGGAACAACAACCAGCACAGACGTGAAGCTAGAGGAGTCTCCTGTCCTAGAGCTAGGAAACCATGGATGGGCTGAGAAAACCTCTGCCCTTATCCCCTGCAGGGGTGGAAGAGATGAGTGTGTCTGTCTCAAGGTGAAACTTGGAATCTCTTTTCCCATTTTACTATTTTTAAAAGCTATAGGTACAATGACAATGCTATGTTCAGCTACATTTTGGGTTTAATAGGCTTTTGTAGACCAGTCTGACAGATACAGTATACGTATTTCAATCATGGATTTTGGAGCCATGTGGATCTGAGTTTAAATCCTTACAGGATCTCTACTCATTGTGTGACAAAGGGCAAATTACTTAACCTTTTAATGCCTTAGTTCTCTCATCCATAAGATGGGCATTATTACATATTCTTATAGTGTTTCAATAATTTGCTGAGGTTTTATATATACAAAGCACTTGGCGTAGTGTCTAACATGTAATTAGTGGCTAATAGAGTAGTTAATGTAGTAAAATATACTTTACATTCTAAGAAATGACTGACAGGGACTTCTTTTGTGAGTTGCATCTTCATGCAGTGGGTGAAAGGCTAGATTGAAGCACATTGATGCCCAGGACTGGCCTACCCTTTGACAAGCATTTAAATGGACATTATTTACTCAACACATCTTTAGTAGGGACAAAGAAAACTCAACTTTCTCTTAGCAAAAATATGCCATGTTCTTTATGATCAACCTAAGAAGGTTATTATTTGTATTTACAATTATACAACATTTTCAATTTACTCAAAATTGTCTTATTTTACAGTTTTCAATAATTTATAAGTGGATAACCTTAATCATATTCACCATGAATAAACATCTCTTTCATGAGTTTAGTTACAGAATTTCTATAAAAATATGTACAGCAGGTCAAACTGATTTTTAATTACATATCTTTTGGGGACATGTGGATAAAAATGTGTGTCCTTTATTTTATTTCTAATTAAACTGGCCCCTCTCATGATCCTCCACTTTTTAACAATTTAAAAAATGTACTGTTGATTCTATTTGACACTTTTTCAATTCTGTCTGCCCTCATGATTTCAAGTTTGTTTAGGTAAACCTTAATCTCTAGAGGTAAAAATGATCAGTCTCTGAGATTTTGAGTCTGTTTCCCCTTCCTTGTATCCTTTTGAGACTGTGTCTGGGTGTTTGAGGAGAAGAACATGAAGCACGACCATATGGTGTGTGCGTGTGTGTGGGGTGTCTTATGGCTCTGTGGTCTCTGGGATGACGGTCAGCATGATCATCCTGGTTATTATTTGTTCTGCATAACTCAGTTTGCTCTTTCCTCTCTGCTGGTTAGAGCCCAGCGTGGAGACCAGATCCTAGAATGACCTAATATACTAGTGTTCACACCTTTGTGTAATCCCCTCTCCTTGAGTTGGGGTGAGACCTGTGAATTGCTTCTAACCAATAGAATGTGGCAAAGGTGATGGGATGTCACTCCCATGAGTAAGTTACATTATATGGCAAAGGTGAAGTTATTTTGCAGATATAATCAAGGTTCCAAATGAGTTGATTTTGAGTAAATCAAAATAAAGATTATCCTGAATGGGCCTGATTTAATCAGGTGAAAGTGCTTGAAAGGACTGGCCCTCCTTGAGGTCAGGGGCTCCAAGCAGCAGAGATTCTCCTTGTGGATTTGACTGGGAAGCCCATGTGGTAAGGACTGGGGGTGGTCACAAAGGATGATCTTTTTCAGGAGTTCTAAACAGAAAATAAGGCAAGTCTTTTTCTTCTGCCTTCAGTGTATCTCTACCTGTCTAATGCACAGAAACCAGGGCACATGCTTCTAGGTGTCTTGCTCCATCTTTTCTCTTCTTCCACAGTCTCCACGGGGGAGGTTATGGTGGAACCTCTCACCTGTCCTCCAGCATTGCATTCTCTTGCTTTAACAGAACAAGTGACATGCCTTCATTATAACAAAACGTTGTATTTTCTACCCCATAGGAGAATTCTGTGAGTTTGGCAACTCCAGTCTGAATTGGAAACTCTGGACTTGATTTCTGATATGCTAGAGGAGGAGACAAAAACATTTATACAACTCCCTCTCATTCATTCCTTCACTCACTAAGTATATATTAGATGTCTACTATGTACCAGGCTCTGTTGATAAGGGATGCAGCAGTGAACAAAAAAATACCTGTTTTCTTGGAGCTTTTATTCTCTTAAAATGAAAGCCTGACACACAGGGTTATTTCTTGCTGCACAATTTTATTTTGCAGGTTAGAAGTTGGATAGTACTTCATTCTTTCTCTTTGCATTCTTTCTGTGAAAAATCCTTTTTTGGCTCTAGGCAAATGCCAATTAAAGCGATGGTCTCATACTCAAAGGCAGAAGAAAAAGTACATTAATAGCTTTCAAAATATTCCTGGGATGGTTAATACTGAGTGTCAACTTGAGTGGATTGAAGGATGCGAAGTATTGATCCTGGTGTGTCTGTGAGGGTATTGCCAAAGGAGATTAACATTTGAGTCAGTGGGCTGGGGAAGGCAGACCCACTCTTAATCTTGTGGACACAATCTAATAAGCTGCCAGTGAATATAAAGCATGCAGAAAAACGTGAAGAGGAGAGATAGGCCTAGGCTCCCAGCCTACATCTTTCTCCTGTGCGGACGCTTCCTGCCCTCACACACCTGACTCCAAGTTCTTCAGTTTTGAGACTCGGACTGGCTCTCCTTCCTCCTCAAGCTTGCAGACAGCCTATTGTGGGACCTTGTGATCATGTAAGTTAATACTTAATAAACTCCCCTTTATATATGTGTGTGTGTAAATATACATATTATATTAGTATATATGTATATATACACATATTATATTAGTATATATACACATATTATATATGTATATATAATATATAGTATGTATATCTACATATAGTATGTATATATGTGTATATATGTACACACATATATAGTATGTATATATGTATATATGTGTGTACATATATACACATATATAGTATGTATATATGTTTATGTGTGTGTGTATATATACACACATATATAGTATGTATATGTGTGTGTGTGTATCTATATCTATATATATCCTATTAGTTCTGTCCTTCTAGGGAACCCTGACTAATACAATTCCCATCATTGAAAATGTTTAAAAATGATTATTTTTCTGAATTTATTGTTAGAAAGTTAAATTTCTTTTTTCTGTAGTTCTCTTCAATTTTTTTTGTTTTTTTTTTTGAGACAGAGTCTCACTCTGTTTCCCAGGCTGGAGAGCAATGGCACGACCTTGGCTCACAGCAACCTCTGCCTCCCAGGTTCAAGCAATTCTCTTGCCTCAGCCTCCCAAGTAGCTGGAATTACAGGTGTGTGCCACCACGCCTGGCTAATTTTTGTATTTTTAGTAGAGATGGGGTTTCACCATGTTTGCCAGGCTGGTCTTGATCTCCTGACCTCAGGTCATCTGCCCACCTCGGCCTCCCGAAGTGCTGGGATTACAGGCCTTTCAGAGTTTTTCTGGGGGGTAATTTTTCAAACAAGACAATGTATTAGAATAAAATTTGAATAATAAAACAAGTGAGGTGTTTCCAGGAAACTACTGTGTCATTCTGTGTTTCCTCAGAGTTCAGCTATTTGACAACATTGGTTTGAAGTAACCATTGGCTGGCAAGTCTCAGGTTGCTCCTGTGGCTGTGGTTGCACCATGAGTTTTGCATACGCATGCTGCAAAAATACTCGATGAAGGTCAAGTTGTTATTGATGAGAAGTTGTTTGTTTCTGATTTACTTTATTGAAAAAAATTTCACTTAGGGCATTATTTGGGCGGGAATAAGGTCAGTTTCCATTTCATCAATTGTATAGTGAGTTGTATGTGAAAATGTGAGATAATTGCTACACTATTTAAATTTATTCCAGTGATGTTTTTGTACTCCTAAAAGATTAGTGCTTGAATGAGCTGTACTTTATTTGTCCTCTGTATGTGTGTATCTATGTGGCATTGTAAAAACATGGGAGAGTGCTCTGTGTAGAGATGTTGGGGATTCATGTGGTGATTCCATTATTACATTTCCTCTAGTCAGTAGTTAAACCAGAATACAGTGTTGGCATATGTCAGTGGACTTATTTCTATTATCTACTGGATACTATACTATTTTCAGCAACATGATAGCCTTTATAACTAGTCTAGTACAACATATTATAGGATTATGATATACTTAATTGGAAAAAGAGGAAAAATTGGTGAGGGCTCTAGGAAATGTAACCTTTCTTTACACTGTAAGGTGTGTGACAGATACCTTTTTCATGTAAAAACATTAGTATGGCAAATTCAAGCCAGAGTTTTAAAAAGTAAAATGGCAAAGTGCAACCCAATGCCATTCAGAAAACTTGGAACACTCTAACTCAATTATATTGTCTGCCATTGGTTGGAAAGTTCCAATTTTCATATTCTTCACTGGCATAGCAACTGTGAACAGAAGGTAACCAAGGTAGCTTATGTGATATGCCAATGTGTATTTCCATCTGGAGTAATATGGCAGATAAGAGAGAGACCTAGTTGATTTTCTAAATATACTACACCAACACCCCATCACTTGGGCACTATTAAATAAGTAAATAAACATCTAGGGCATAGACGGAATGAGGAAGATAACTGAATAAATAAAACATAGGCGAGAGGTTGTGGTCTTTTTAGAAAATTAACCTTTATTTGGAAATAAAATTTCAATTATAGCACAATATTTAAAATCAACAATTAAAAGTAATTAGTTTTCTCCCAATTGGAATCTTCCCTAAACTCATGGTTTAGCAAATACAAGAATTGTGAGAAGTGCAAATAGTGATACGTACCAGAAACAGGTAAAAACCTGACAACTCCCGATTATATGATGTGAAGACGATTTGTATTATTTGGTGTTTGGGGGGTTTGTGTGTTGTTTTTATTATACATTTTTTAGACAGATGTTGGAGTCCTGGTTGGGTTGTGGAAACTGATGCTCCTGTTATGATGGGCCAAGATAGATAAACTGGTAGTGGGGCACTGAGAGCCAAGGTGGCAACTACCAACAGAAAGAATGGTTTTCCGATTCCTGGGAGTGGAGAGGGTTTGGTTTCTGATATGACTCAGGTAGAGAGCAGGTAAGACCGTAGATCCTTGCTTCAGGACAACATGCGATTTTCCAGAAGGGGAGGCACTACATGCCAAGTTTTCATGGAAGAGAGCCAGCCACAAAAGAAAAAAGAAATGGCTGTTTGAAGAGGAGCTGACAGATGATTTCTGGTTATTTTTTAAGACTTGGCATATACAGTGAAGTCCTGGCAAAGCTGAGAAAGAACACAGAAGCAAGTCTTGCTGCTGGGTTTTGCATAAATGTTAGGGAAGAAGAAAAAGCATGTGGTCAAGGACAAAGATAATGGTTTTTGCAGATTAAGGTCATTTGAATTCTCAAGGCTGAGAAGCAGTGTATCCACATAATATGTGATACGCTGATATGAAGTATTTTCAGCTATTTAAGCACTCACACTTTTCTAACTTCTTAGTCTGTTTTTTTACATAGCAGTTATCACAACCATATTATATTTATCAGTTTACTGTCAATCTCTTACTATATTTATAAGAGCAAGGACTTTTTTGTTTCATTTATGTGTGTTGAATGGTACCTGACACATAGTAGATACTGAAATAAGTGCATTTAGGTATAACTGTGATTATGATTGTCCTGTAAGTCCAATGCTTTACAGAGTTCTGAGAAAGAACTAGGGAAAGAGCAGAGAAATGTGCTTAGGAGGTGTGGTGGTTTTGAAAGATGCCCACAAATTCTCTGATACTCCTCTCTTCAAAATGTGGAACCTAATTCCCCTTCCCGTGAGTGTGGGCTGTAAAAGACATTGTAGTTTTTTCCTTATTCTCTCTGTTTTACTCACTGTCTGTTTACCCACCTTGGGGGAAGACAACTGCCATGTCCTTAGGATACCCAAGCAGCCTTATGGAGAGGCCCAGGTGGCAAAGAACTGAGGCCTTTAGCCAACAGCTAGTGAAAGGTGAAGCTTCTGCCAACACACACATGAGTAAGCTCAGAAGTGGATGCTCCCGCTCCAGTGAACGCTGGCTGACTGCAGTCCCTGCCAGCAACTTGTTTGTAACTTCATGAAAGATCCTGAGCCAGAACCACCCAGCTAAGGTGCTTCTGAATCCCTGCCCCATACAACTGAGATAATAAATGTGTGTTGTTTTAAGCCACTAAGTTTGAGGGCAATTTGTTATGTAGCAAAAGATAACGACTATAGGTGGGAATCTGCCACTCAGAAATAGTTCATAAAACTGTTTCTTGGGAGACTAAAGAAAAATTGCATGGATGGAAATGCATGCATTGATTCCTGCATATTTTAATTTGTTTTCCTTTAGTCTTTTTAAAATAGAAGACTATATTCTTACATTTTTATAACAGTCTGCAATGCCCAGAATCTTGTACGTTATGAATGGCTAACAAATGATGATGATGATAAGTTTTGCATTTTTATGATAAAATTCTCAGGTAGGACAAAAGGCAGTTTCTATATCACGATGTCCTTCTTTTTTTTCAATTCAGTTCCATTTATGTAGATCAAAATATGTCACATCTGTGGAATGAAGAAACATGATTTGTGTGTGTGTGTGTGTGTGTGTATGTGTCTGTGTGAAAGAGAACAACTTCCAACAACCATGTCATAGCTTCTTTCTATAGCTGCTTTTCAAAGTCACATCACACACATACACAGCTTAAAATATATGCCAAAAACCCCAGAATTAAACAGCTTCAAGATGATTCGTGTTTTTTTCTTAAACATCTGCTGAAAACACAGTCCTTACCTGAAGAGGATTAACTCCTGGTCAGACATATTTAGTGCAGAAATATATTTTATTTTAACTAACAAATAAGACATTTCAAAATTTGAATGCAGAAGTAAAATGACATTAGATATTGTTCATAAACCTGGAAAAAATTTCTCTTAGATTTTTGAAGAAAATGTGTTTAATCACTTTCTGGGAACTTGTTGTGCCATAATCTCTTTCTGAGGAATCAGAAATGAAAAACTCCAGTGAAGTCATCTATCTTAAATCCGGGCAGTGTTTGGCTTTGGGGTCACAGTGATATGGCTCACATCATTTACAAGTTATAGGACCCTGGACTAATGATTTAGCCTTGCTGATGCTTGGCTTTCCCATCTGTAGCACCTCTTCTCTTAATTCACTCAAACAGTTCAGTGGATGATAAGGACGATGATACATACTCTATATTTGAAGCCAATGCATATGGAGTTGGGTTGTCAGATTGATACTTAAAATGATCTTTAAATTGGAAAAAATAATTCTATTTCTTCTCCTGCCAAGATGAGATTATTCTAAAGGGGCAAAAGAGCATGGCTTCGGTTATAGGCCAATAATACAATAACATAAACATGATATGGAGAAAGGCTAAGTGGGCCCAACAAGATCTTGGGGTTAGCTTTGGCTGCTATTGGAATGCATCTGCAGTGGCATGGCACAAAAGAGCACGGCAATGTTCCATCACTTGTAGGAAAGATATTGATCAGGATGGCATTGCTCAGCCAAAGTTAGATGACTTAATTCTATCTTGACAAATCTAGGTTTTCCAGACGGCAACATGTCTGTGCTTGATACTTTCCCACCAGTGAGGAGATGAGGATTTTCCTCTCATCTTTAGGCCCATACCCTGACTAGCTAGTAGTGTGAAATGGATTTAGGAGTGATGAAGTTCCCTTAGCCTCAGTGGCTCTGGGCCAGAGCAATGTGAAAAATATATTTAAAAAAACCCCTCACACCAGCTAACAATTACTCAACACTTGACTATGTGCCAGGCAACATTGTTTACACAGAGCATGTAGCTCAACACCCCCCACCTCTCCACCTCCTGCCCCAGCCAGCGTAAGAGGGAGGTGGTATTCGTGGCTGCCATTGGCAGGATGGCAGTCATGCTATGCATTATCATTTCACCTCACTGAGTCCCAATTACCTCACGTTTTTCTAGCTGTTAGCATTCTAGGATCTCTCTCTCTTGGATTTCACCCACTGTTCACTCTGGACCTCCTCCATCATCTATTTTTTCCCTTCTGCTTCTTTGTACAAATGACTCACTGTTATTGAAGAAAGTCATTTAACTTTGGTGTCTCAATCTCATGCAGAGGCAGCCCTGCATTGAAGGTGCCTTGTTCTAGGCACTGCAGACAGGGAGTAGTGAACAAACAAACAATAGATGCCTGCCGTAGTTTAAATTCTAGTAGCGGGAGGCAGACAGCAATACAACAAAGTGAAACCTATAGCATGACAGAGAGTGGTGAGTACTGAGAAGGAGAATAAGGCAGGGAACAGCAATAAGAGGTGAGGCTGGTGGAGAAGGAGTTGCAGTTTTAGGTATTGATAGAATGACCAGGGAAGGCCTCACTGAGAATGTGGTGTTTGAGTAAAGAGTTGCAGGAGTTAAAGAACAGATTGTTGCAATAATCTCAGCTGAGCCCTCACTTATGAGGAACATCATCTAGCATTATCTTATCTGCCTCATTTTGACTCTGCATCACATACCGCTGAGCTTTCCCAAGTCCCCTTCTTTAGGCCTCTGCATGACTCCTGCAACATCCTTGCCAGCTCCTTACCTTGAGATCAGCACACTTCCTTCTTTACCTGGTAGGGCTGACTGCACAGAATTTATTCTGCTGATATTTATTAAAAACTAGTCACACAGAATAATCAAATACTTCTGATCTCCTGGAGCTTATATTTTACTGACTTTATATTCTAGCATCACTCCCTACTCTACTTTACTCCTCTCTTCTCAAGAATGTCTCCATATTTATCTATTGTTTACTTACTACTATTTAAAAGAAGTGCCTCACCTTTTTCCATCTTGTTCCATTGATCCCAACTTCTGCCTTTTTCTGGAACCAAGTGCCATTAATAAATCTCTTTTTGTTTGTCAAATCTTCATTCTCCTGCTTTTGACAGCTGCTCACTTCCATACTGCTTGCAGTTGTGCACAGGACGCTCTACTCCAAAAAATGCCTTCTTTTGATTCCCCTTCAAGTTATAAGTACTTATTGCTCACTTTCCTTCCCTTGACAAGCATCTTGAAAGCTTTAACAGCATTGTTTCCATCTATTTACCATTAGGTTACCACAGTTTCAAGTGGAGAACCAAAACACATATGGTGTGTAATGGGATAAAATAAACTATAATTGGGAGTGTTCCAGAGAATCTGGGGCTTCCTATCTATGAATTGAGCCGTGCTTCCTCTCTGTGAACTGGCCCACCCATAATTTTACAGAAAATGCTCCCTCAATATTTCTCAATACCTTCTATCAATGACTCAAAAATATTTTTCTTATCTCATTGCCCTTGAACACTGTAAAAATGTACAATTGTTGATGTTCATTATTGATATCTTTTTTCTCAGTATGTGGCAGAGGACCATCTCAACTAACCCTTTCTCCCTCTTTTATGGCTTCCTTTCCTTCATTGTCTTCTTTTGCTCTTACCCCACCAGATTGCACATTCTTTAGTGTTCTGCTCATGGTCCCTTTCTCTCTGCTTGATGAAGAAATATAATTTCATGTCTTTAAGTGGTAGACACTCTGATTTGTATCCAAAATCCTGACTTTTCTCTAAAAGTAGGCCAACATTTCCAATTATTTGTCGAACATTTCTACAAGTGTCTCTGATTTAATACATCTGAGGGTAGATCACTATCTGTCAGGTCCTCTCTCAAATTGGCTCATCTTTGTTTCTGTTGATGCCTCCATCTGTTCAGCTATCCAGGCTTGACTCCTTAGTGGGAATTTTGACTCCATCTTTTGGCTTTCTCTGTACAATTTACCCATTGCCCTGACCATCTCATCACTCTTCCAGGTGATCTTTTCTCAGTATCTTGTTTCATTCACAATTTGTAAATGTTTTTAAAAGTTGCTTGTAAACTTATTTATTCCTTTGTCAGAATGAGATTACAGATCATATCTACTGTATTCAACACTGTAACTCCAGCTCTGGCACAATGCTTGGTATGGGGTAGTTCTCAATAAATGTCTGTTGAATAAATAAAGAAATGGGATCTTGTTAATTATTTCTTGGAGATGTCTCCAATTTCTATTCCTTTGAATTGCCATCTCCACCACTTTATTTCAGCCCTTATTACTGACTGCTGAGATTATTGCAACAGCTTTTCAAATGGCTTTGTCCTTATTCCTTCCTCTGACCAATCTCTGCTACAAATAATGACCAGAATTCCCCTCCTTTTTTAAAAAGCAAAACTTGTCAAAAAACTTTCTTATAGAAAAAAAAATAGTATGCCTCCTCAGCTGGCCATTAAAGATCTTCTACACTTAGTGCCAACTTACTTTTCCATCACTGTCTCCATTAGTCTCCCATTTATAGAATTCTGTATGGCAAGAGCTCATTGGTGTAGAACCAGTTATGTAATTTCTAGTTACCTTTGATCAAGAGTCGTTATTCCTGGGAAAGCGATTTTGACAAATAGTCTAAAGACTGAATGATCATTACCAAATCCATAGTTATGAGGAATTAATCATATAAGCTAGAACGTTATCTTTATATTCAGACCCTTCTTTAGAATCTGTTTTTACCAAAAAGGGGAAGGAGAAGTATTGTAGGCGTAGAATTAATACAATATCCTAGGAATACATTGTAGGTATGGAGGAGGAGCCATAAACAAAATTGCAAAACTGACAGAAAAGTACACGGACATATACTTAATTCCCTGAGTAGCAGGCAAGAAGCAAGTCTGTGCACTTGGGGAGGTTGGTTGGAACAAATAGGCTCTGGAAAAAACTTAAAGTATACTTGGATGATTATTTTCTCTTGTGAAAGTATAACTGCAGATCCTCATTAGTTTTGCTTAGAGTAAGGTTACTTGAGTATGGATGGAATTAATGATTTGGCATATTGCTGACCAGAAATGGTCCTATAGTAGATGTGGAATAAATGTTCGTTAAATAAATAAAGGGCTTGTCTAGGCACATTATTTGGCATAGCAAATGAAGAAAGATAATTGTATTAGTCCATTTGTGCATTGCTATTAAGAAATAAATACCTGAGACTGGGTAATTTATAAAGAAAAGAGTTTTAATTGGCTCATGGTTCTGCAGCCTGTACAGGAAGCATGATGCTGGCATCTGCTTGGCTTCTGGGGAGGCCTCAGGAAACTTACAGTCATGGAAGAAGGTGAAGGGGGAGCAGAAATATCACATGGGCAGAGCAGGAGCAAAAGAGTGGGGAGGTACCATACACTCTTAAACAACCAGATCTCATGGGAACTTACTATCGAAAGGGCAGTAAGGAGATGGTACTAAATAAACCATTCATGAGAAATCCGCCCCCATGATCCAGTCACCTCCCACAAGGCCCCATCTCCAACATTAGGAATTACAATTCAACACGAGATTTGGTTGGGGAAAACATCCAAACTATACCAATAATGTAATTGGGGAAGTCAGTGATTTGCAGTTCCAGGAGGGGCAGATTAAAAAATTCAATGACACAGTAATATGGTGCCTTTATAACTGATACATAAATTGAATATTTATTGAATGAAGAAAATATAGAGAAGATTTTGGTTGGATAGCAAGACTTTGAGAGCATATAGGGCTGGTTAGGATACTGATCTGCCATTTACTTTCTCTATGGCCTTGGAATATCATTCTTGCATTCTTATTATAAGCTTGAGAAGATATAAGTAAACCACCCAATTTAGTGCCTAGTACTGTTCATTTCACCTTGTATCTGGTCAACAAATGGTAACTGGTATTTAGCTGAGAATTCTAGGGAACATCTCCCTGGAAATATTCAAGTAGAAAATACATAATTGGTGATATACGTAGTTTAGATTTCCTCACTTCTCTGAAGACAATCCAGGTAATCTTTTATGTTCCATCACAACTATAAAATAGCATTTTACATGAAATATGCAAGCCAATTTCAAATAGCAGGGCATGATTACTGTTTTGGTGGCTTTATCTTAAATTTGGAGACATGGAATTAAATTGTGAGTGGAAACATTGCCTGCCCATTGAACCACACACACTGAGTAAAAGAACATCGCCAGGATGGAAAGAGACAGGATAATATTTCTGTTCTTACAGAAAAGCAGTGGGATACGGATGAGGGGTGGTTGCCCAGATGACAACCTATGGGATGACTTTTAGTGGTTGATGGTTCATTTGCAGAAAGCTCTGTTATTAATGACTGAGTTTCTTTTCTTTGTTTTCATCCTAGCAGATTGTTAGGAGTATTTGCTTTCCTCTCATTCCAAAGAGTAATTACTGAGTAAAGCTAAGGAATCTTGAGATATACAATTTGAACTGTTCGGGAAACATTTTAAAATAGCCTTATAGAGTATTTACTTCTAAATTATTTAATATACTTTAATGCTTAATTAATAACATTCACCTGAAAGGATGCATACAGTCAGTATCCCCTCTACATGGGCTTAAAATTTGTTTTATTTGGCTATATCAACCACTTTCCACTAAAAGGTTAATGGTATTTCATGACTTTCCAGTAAAGGTACTCTCTACAATTCATGTCTATACCAACAATGTAATTTTACATGTCTCACAGTGGAATGTAGCAGACTAATAGTTTTTTCTCTACTGCAACATACTTTAAGCCATGGAATGTTTTAAAGATTCATATGCTCTGGAGAATATTTTATATTATGCAAGAAAATGCATGAACTTACATAGCATTCAAGATATGTGGAAGGGTAACTACCTTATTTATTTCTTAGATATAGTTTTCCTCTCAATACCGCTCCCTTCCTCTTGTATTCTAGCCTGAGGTTTGAAAAATACGTCTTGCTTTAAGAAATGATGTTTCTTTAAAAATCTGAATTTATAAATTAGGTACATTCTGTACTAAAGAATACATCATAAGTTATATGATGTGAATCTGGGAGTCAGAAGCCCTTCTGGTCCTGCTTCTATTAAATATTGGTTGCCTTAATCAAAGAAAATAGCCTTATTTGTGTCTCATTTTCAAATCCATATAATGCGGATAATAATATATTTATTTACCTTACATAGCTAGTATAAAGATCATATTAGAAATGATTTGGAAATACTTTGTAAAATTCAGGTTTGAGCAAATTAATGGTGCCTTTTATTATTCTCTGTCTTAATTTAAATGCAACTTCTAGTTCTCTGTATTTTAAAGAGTAATGTTATAATATTAAACAAACTAATTTTTATTCCAATTGAAAGTGACCTGGAGCCTTGACTCCAAACTGTAATTTAGTTTCTGTTCCCATTGTCTAATGAGTAAGTGTGATGAAATTACATGTTATGAAAGAGTCCTGGATTTATTGGAATCAGATTTTGTATTAGAAAACTGCATACGGACTATTTTAGTTAGAGCTTTCCGGGGAGACAAAACTGATAGAATATCTATATCTATATCTATCTATCTATCTATCTATCTATCTATCTATCTATCTATCTATCTAATCTAATCTATCTGCCTGAGGGGCGGGGGTGGGGTGGGGGGGGAGGGAGAGAGAGAGAGAGAGAGAGAGAGAGAGAGAGAGAGATAGAAGGGGAAATTGGCTCACTTGATTATGGAGACTGAGAAGTTCCATGATAGGTGGCCATAGAACCAACGAAGCTGATGGTGTAACTCAGTCCAAAGCCTGGGAACTGCTGGTGTGAGGCCTGTAGTCCAAAAAAAGCCAGAAAGCTCAGATTTCTGGCATTTAAGGGCAGAAAAGGAAGAGTGTCCCAGCTCAGTTAACGACAGAGCAAGAATCTGCCCTCCCTCTGCCTTTTTGTTCCACTTGGGCCCCAGCCTATTGAATGATGCCTGCCCACTTTGAGGGTGGAATTTCCCCACTCAGTTCACTGACTCACATGCCAGTCTCCTCTGGAAACACCCCCATAGAAATTCCTGAGGCCACCCAATCATACTAATCAAATGCCAAACTACCTAAGTTTCCCTTTCAGCGGAAGAGGGATGGGCCCAATGCCTATTGACGCATTGATTCATATTGAATCATCAATACAATGATTGAGAATAAATAATACTTTACTGCCTATCTGGGTATCCCTTAATTCAAGCTGACACCAAAAATCAGCCATGACAGGGACTAAGGATATCTTTTTTGATATTCAGATTTCTAAAATATCTTTGATGGATGGAAGTAGCCCCAGCGAAGTTCAGCTGCAAGAAAGTACCAGCTCCTAAGGGAAAATTCCCTATATAGCAAGGCAGGTCTGAAGTAGCACCTGGGATTGCCACCAGGTCATTGGGTGTTGAGGAGGAATGGTTTCAGGTATAAGATGAGAATAAGAATGTGAAGCTTTTTTCTTACCAATCCACCTTACAGTGAACACAGTCTGAGGACATTGGCTGTGTGTGTTTGAAATGAAAGATTATAACCCTCAGGGAAGAAATGTCCTCCTTCCGCAGCCTAAGGAATCTTTGCTACCTGGGCAAGATCTAGACCAGCAGCAGGTGGCAATGATCAAAGCAGGTATCTTAGCCCCAACTCCAGCTCTCTAGGTGTTGTCAAGTAGAGACATTGGCGCATTGGCATTAGCAGGGATAAATGGAGGGATCTTTTCTTTCTACCAACATTTTGACTGTCTCTAACTTGTTGAGTGGCAACACCGTTGGATGATACATATCTATAGATATTCAGTACTTGTTAGACTTTAATGTGGATATCAATCATCTGGAGAGCTTGTTAAAATGCAGATTTTAATTCATTGAATATGGGGTGAATTCTGGAATTCCAAATTTCTAACAAATTCCCAGGTGATGTGAATACGGCTGGTCAGAGGACCACACTTTGCATAGCAGGGTGTGGTAGATGAATTTATGGTCCCCCAAGAAGATCCCACACCCTAATCCCTGGGACTATGAGTATGTTACCTTACATGGCAAAAGGACCTTTACAGATATAATTAAGTTTGCTAATTTATTGACCTTAAAATAGAGAGATTCTCTTGGATTATTTGAATGGATCCAGTGGAATTATATAAACCTTTGACAACAGAGAGCAGAAAAGAAGAGGAAGTCAGAGAGATGTGATGTGTCAGAAGGACTTGACATACCATTGCCAGCTTGAAGATGGAAGGACCATGTGGAGTTCTGCCAACATCCTGAATGAGCTTGGGAGTGGATTCTTTTCCAGGGCATCCAATAAGGAACTCAGCTCTGCTGACACCTTGATTTTGGCCTTCTGAGACTCAGGGAATCCAACTGAGCTATTTGCTGCCCAGACTTCTGGCCCATAGAAACAATAAGGTGATAAGTGAGTATGGGTTTAAGCTGATCCATTTGAAGTGATTTGTTGTGGCAGCAATATAAAGCTATATACAAGGTAATCCACAGTACCTTGCATGGACTCATCCAGCAGTTTCACATCCAGGAAGGATGTGAGAGCAATCAGAATTGGCTTTTGCCTTGACCAGGCCTCTAGGGTTCTCAGAATTATTAAGGAAGGCCGGGCCCTGGGAGAACAAAGACGTTTTCACAGTAGAGATAGATAGGGCCTTGGAGTTCTATTAAAAGAGAATATTTAAAGAGATAGGAGGCTTTCCAAGGAAACTGTGACTTATAGGTCACAAACAATATATATAGGTTACAGGTAATATCAATGTATTGGGAGACAGCTCTTCATGGGTCTCTTGTATTTCTCTGCACTCTTGTGAGCAGAAGCACTGACAGCTTTTTGTTGCAGATGATCCTTCAAGGATGTTTTTATAGTGAACAGCCTTGGAAGACAGAGATAGAGTCTGGCCTTCTCTGGACCAAGGGTAGGTTTATTTACTGCTAGTATAATACAAATCATATTTCCCTCAGGGTTGAAGGTGGGCAGGTTTGTTTGCTGCCCATTGTAAAAGACGGGGTTTCCTTTAGCTTGGTGTTCCTGTGTTCTGTGGCTGTGAAGCAAACCCACTGTGTGCTCAGCATCCACCTGGGCTTCTTGAGATTACCCCCATGGGCTTCGAGGGGCAAGGGGAACCGGTGTAAATGTGAAGCTTATGCCTGCTGTTGCGAGTAATAAAGTTCTTTTTCTCTCACCTAGGAGGCTAATCTCTTCTGCCATCATCTGTGAAGCTATGGCAGGCTCACTTGTTAGCTTGCAAGAGGTTAAAACCTCAGTCCCTTCACAGTTCATGACTATGTATGAATAAAATCTCTGTGTGTGTGTGTATGTGTGTGTGTGCATGCGTCTGTGGGTTCCAAATATTAAAACTTTAAAAAAAACTATTAAAAAAGTCAAAGAAGATGTACTTATTATGAAATAATATGAAGTTTCTCAATACCATGAAGTAAATAGGTTTTTGGCTTTAGTGCTCTCTTCTAAAGCCATGCTGTTTTTAGTGAATCTCCTGCTAACAAAGAAATATTATATTCAATCAGCAAGAAGTCCAGAAGTTAACTGAAATAAACAGCTCTGCTTTTCTTTGATATTTATTTTGCTACCATGCCTCGCATGTTTAAGTAATACAGATCTTTCCCAAATATTATTTTATTTTATGTGAAATGTTTTTTGTATCCTGCAATTTTTTAGTATCTTTGTTTCATTTAAATAATAATAGTGGTAATGACGATGAGCTAGGTTCTCGATAAAATTTTTTTTAAATGCTATATTCTAAATTTTGGGAGCTGACATGAGCCTTTGGTAAACATTGTAAGCAATTATAATTATTTTCAAAAATTTTTAAGAAGATTTAATTTTGTAGAAGGGCCTCAGTGTAATAGTACTTCACTAGAAAAAAAATCAAAATTTAGTAGATATTTATTGCTCTTTCTAGACAGATTGAGAAATTCTGTGAACTATCACAGCCCTATTTTCACCTTTTAGATCCATCAAGGAGGAATATAAGTGTGCGTGTAATCTAAAAACACTCTGTGAGTTTTATTTTCCAAAAATGTGTTACTTAGAGACTGGGAAAGTTTCAGGTATTCAAAATATAGATTGCTTGGTAACAGATATCACTTGATAGTCTTCTATATCAAATTTGTCTTTTTCTTGACTGTGCCTATTGAATATTCATTGTGTCTACCAAGACAGATTAAATATTTGCATGCAGAACTGTTCCGATTTTTATAAAAAGACTGTAAGTGTGTTGTTTTTTGTTTTGAGTCACCACTATTTCTCCATCTGCTTTTCATAGATTTCTGCCAAGTGGAAGAACATGAAAAATAATCTAGGCCAAATGTTACCTTTTTTTGATTGAAATTTTGTGTTTGTTTATAGCACAAAAGCAATAGAAAGTAATTGTATAATAAGGAGTTCCTGCTTACTGAGTGGAAGATGATTGCCTGGCAGATTTGGTTGAAAGTAGAGGTGAGTGGTGGTGAGGAAAAGTATGAAGACAGGTAAAATTCCCTCTTATCATACAAAAAAATGGTAACTATGTGAAGTGAGGGTTATGCTAATTAGCTTAATTGTGTTACTCATCTCACAATGTATACATATATCAAAACACCATGTTGTATATCCTAAATATATACAATTTTAATTTGTCCGTTATACCTCAATAAAGCTGGAAAAAAATAAAAAGACCTGTCTTCATTGTATAGGCAAGGCTAAGCTGATTAAGGTTTTTTGAATTTGAAATTTTCACAGTTAAAATAAGTTAAAATAATTAATTCTTTACTATTTTTTTGAGCATTTCCTATATACAAAATACTTTCGGCTAAACAGTGCAATTCTTTTTTCTTTTAAAAACGTAGCAAGTCTTGCCAAACTCCCTCTTTATTTAACAACAACAACAAAATGCCAATCTCTTTTTGCTGCAGATTTGTTTTTAGTATTTTGCATCCAACCCTTGAATAAGATAACTTGGGTTTTCCAGCAGCTCACTGCTAGAATGCAGATTGTTTTTGCTCTTATATTTGCCTTGAGAACTGCTCATTCACTATTTCCAGGTTACTAAAGATCAAGCTAGAAGAGTAATAAAAGGTCACCAAAATGATCTGAAAGGAAGAAAAAAACATCTCCAAGGAGAAGAGTAGTTCTTGTTTTGATAAAATGTTAGAACCATTAACTTTATCTTCAATGTTCTCTCTCCCACTTTCTCACTGGGTTAGTAAAGTGTTATGATTTAAGACTGAAACTTCTTTTAGCTACTAAGACACCATTTTAATATTACAAGTCCTGCTTTCTCTTATTCTTTGTTGTTGATGTTAATGCTTGATTTGTTTATTTCCAAACTATTTCTTAATGTTGGAAATATAAATTCAACGCACATGACTGAAAGTTTAGCAGTTATAGTACTTTTTGACATCTACTAGCCTTTGACAGGAATGCTTTTATTCTGTGAATTATGAATGTTATGTAATATTCCTATGCTGTGTTTTGTGAAATCATAAAAATGAGACTTGAAGAATCTGAGGCATGGAATCTTGTGCCTTCATTGATCTCTGGTGTCTCTCTTTGGTCCAATTCAACACAAGCCATCATGTCTTATTAGTATTGTCATTTCCACATATAATGTAATTTGTAAATACCAATGTAAAGAGCATTTTTTTTCATAAGAGAGAGAGTAAGTCCAAAGCACTTCTGTGTTTTTTTTTTTTTTTAATAATAGAATGAGGCGAGAGTTGAGAGCGTTAGTGTTTCCTCCCTTAAGGGAAAGTAATATTGCTCCAGGAGTAGTTTTTCACATAATTCCCTTTGCACTCTCCCCCTAACCCCAACCTAGGATATTTTCTGTACTTTGTATGCATGAAGGGAGTATTTTCAACCATTTCTTTGATCAAATTGGGAAATATTCTGGGCAGTCTTAAAAATGCTGTGCAAATTCTCAACTCAGCACCCAGCTCAAGTGTTTGCTTTTCCTGTGATGCGATCCCAAACCCAACTCCACTAGAAAGTACACTCAGCTCAGATGACAGCTTTTCTGAATGTCCTAAATTTTGTCTGATTTAGCCCACATTTAAGTACCCCTTTTTGTTGACTCTTATCTGCCTTAGAAGAAGCTCTTTCCTTTGTCTCTTACGACTTTCTCTAGTTATTTGATTTGTATGTGTTTTGGCTTTCAAACTGCTATGTTAAGTCTGTGGGAGTAGGGCCTCTGTCTTATAAATCCTCTGCAACGCTGTGATGCTGGAAACAGAGTAGCCACTTAGGAAAAAATTGTTACTGATGAACTGAATGACATCCAGTGAGCAGTGGTGTTTACCTCCTCATGCCTTTGGCTTCCTTTGTGGGAAGGCCCAGTGCCTTCATACAGAAGCGGCTTAAAGAATATTAATTGAATATATGAATGTGATAATGAGATGTGGTCCTTTTGGTTTTATTTTATTTGTTTTTGAATTAGGTGAGATGATCTTTTTAAAAAAGTCATAGAAATGGTATAAAACCTGCCTGAAATGGAGTATTACAAATGGACATGTCAAATATGGTGGCAGCCAGCTATATAGGACACTGAAAACTAGGCAAAAAGATGAGATGATAATGAGTTTCTCCTTACAGGGACGAGACCATATGCTTAGACCCATGCTATATGGGAAATGGAAGCTCTGATTGAGAATCTGGGCATCTTAGTCCCGTGCCTGCGACCTGACCATGCTTTTTTATTGGTTTTAAGAGTCTGACCCCTTTGGCTAAGAACGAACCTTTCCTAAATACCATTGGAGAAAGCGATGCGGATAAAAACCAACCCCAAAAACCCAAAGCTGCTGACTCAGCAGCAGTTCCCCCTAGAGGAGTGCTGTGGTGGTGGGTCGTTTGTAACAGAGAACAGCTGTCTTTGGAATATTGGCGCCAGAAATTCTTCTGCTTGAGCTTTCATAGTATGTTTCTTGCCAGGAGAGCTGTGTTGTTTTGGCTTCACAATCTGTTAATGTGAGAAGTTTTTTTTTTTTTGACTCCAAAAATGGCTTGGTGAGTGCAGCGTCAGAGATGTGCCCTCGTGTTGCTTTCCTTGGTGGCAGGTGGCTATGTAGACTTCTCAATATTCCTTTATTTGTGCAGCATTTTGATGTCATCTCATCAGCACTGTCATCAGTAGGGATGGAATTTTCGAGTAAACGTCTGTGTGTTTTGTTTGTGAAAAATACATTTAAGAGAATGTAGTTGAGGTGCTGTGGCCTAGAGATCAAGGGACAGAAACTGTTTTGACTTCAGCCTGGGAGAGATTTGCTAGGGGCTATGTTAGCAGAACTTGAACTGGTTAGAAATAAACTGTAGTTTCTTTTGTGGAAGGAAGCACCTAGGAATACTGCAATGTCTTTGTGACTTGGAAAAGAATCTGCTACGCTAAAAATGTCTTAAGACCTAATAGTTATTTGACATATTATGAAAATTATGCTGCAAGATTTTGAAGAAAGATAATATAGGGAAACTACATAAATGTAATGCCTTACAATAAAATTAAGTCCTTAACCCTGTGAAAATATATACCTTTCCTTTTCCTATCTGAATATTAACTTTTAATTACATTAAATCTTTGCTTTTTTTCTTACTTAAAGGAAAAAACTTTCCTCCTTTTCAAGGATAGTTCCTCCATTTTTGCCAGTGATCTCATTTATTTGGACTACTTTCAGAGTACTAAAATAAATTTCTCTTTCTTTTTTCATTTGCATATTTATTCCCTCTTCCTTCCTTGGCTCTTTTGCCATTTATCTGCAATAAATTAAGGTTTCTCATCATCTTGAAACCCACTTTTTTTTTTTAACCTTGCTTCCCTTTGGTCTACTGTCCTATTTTTCTTCTTACTATTAATTGAATTCAATTTGGCTTTATGGGTTATGCATTGTGTTAGCTACTGGGGTGCAGAGATGAATTATCATAGAGTGTCTGCTCTCAGATAGCTCATGGTCTACTAGAGGATACAGACAAAGCAGGCTACCTGGTAGACTGTGCTAAGTGCAAAGCAGAGTTAGATATAGAAGAATTGAAGGATGCAGAGCATGGGACATGTGACTCCATCTCAAAGACCGGGAAGTTTTCTCAAAAGAGATCATGCTTTAGTAGAATCTTGAAAAATTAGTAGAGAAGATAGAAAAGTCCTGCATCAACAGGCATAGAAACGTGAGAAAATTAATATATGATTTGGCACTTGGGAGGTATGGCTTCACTGGTAGGTAGGGCCCGTACAGACACATACAACGGCTCTGTATGCCAGACAAAGGAGTTTTAGCTTTCTTTTGCCTTTGTAACAAATTATCATAGACTTGGTAGCTTAAAACAATACAAATTTATTATTTTACAGCTCAAGAGGTCACATGTCTGAAATGGGTCTTATGGGGGCTAAAATTAAGGGTTGGCAGAATTATATTCCTTTTGGATGCTCCAGGGGAGAATCTGTTCCTTGCATTTTTTCAGCTTCTAGAGCCTGGCTGTATTCTTTAGCTTATGGCTGTGTTACTAGTACTGGAGACCAGGACACGCACGTCTTTGGAAGGCTATTACTTTTCTTACTACAGAAGGTGTTTGAATTTATCCTGAAGGCAAGAAGAAGCTCTTGACACATATTTAGCCAATGAATATGGTGGTAGTTTAGAAATTTATGCTTTAGAAGAATCACTCTATGGAAAATTGACACTGGAGGTAGGGGGAAAACTAAAAGGATATTGTAGTTGTTCACACAAGAACAATGGGATTCTAAAACAAGGCAGTGACAATGTGGATGGAAGGGGAGATGGCTGACTTAGCTAAAAGAATGAATATGGAGGCTGATCCAGGTCTTTAGGATGAGTTATCCTGGATGACTCTCAACTTTCAGTCTTAGGGAGCCTAAGTGGACAGTTATTCTGTTAACCAAGATAGAAAATACAAAAGAAGGTACCAGCAGATTTGGGGTAACAAAATATTTGACTTCAGTTTTGGTTGTGTTCAGTTTGAGCAGAGAGGCATTGTACCCAGGTGAGGAAGATCTGGAACCCAGGAGAGAGGGTGGTATTTGGACTCATAAGACAACAATTGTGTAGAAGAGATGGCCTAAAGATAGTGTGTAGAATGGAAAGATTTAAGGATCAAGTCTATATTATTAATGACTGGTCTTACAGAGCCCTTGCTATGCTTTTTACAAGCAGTACTGAACACAAACCAATGTATATCCTGTATTTTGTTCAAACCCATGGTAAATAAGAGCAGATAATTTTTGAGGATAGGAATAACCTTTATTTCTGAATCTCCTCTTGTGTCCTCCCATTGATTGAATGAATACCCACCCACATCCAGGCATAAATCTAGCTTAGAGTTATATTGCACCTCTTTGTGTTAAAATATAAATCTTGAATTATTAAAATCAATAGCATTTTTGGTCTGTTGTTACCTTTGCTAATATAGACCTTTACTAATTTACAAGAAGAAATATTTGGGGTTTCTCCCATTTGATAATTGTCTTTCAAAGTCACAATTAGTCACAAAGTCACAATAATTAACCTACAATTAGGTTAAATATAGTTGCTTTCCAGGGAACTAGTTGAAATGTGTGTGTTGTTAGTACTGGACATCTGAAGAAAAAGTTTATTTTCTTTACTTTAAATTAATGAATACACAAAGTTTTATGTTTTTTGTGTTTTTTTAATCACAAAGTTTTATGTTCATTCCACACAACTTTATGATCCTGTTAGTGTCAGTAAGAAGTGATGAGAGACAATCTGGAAGTTCACAAGGCTTCCAAACTCTCTCTGGGTTTATTTTTCCGGTTAATAGCATCCTTTCCTGTCTTTTAGAAACCTCAGAGCTTCAGAGTCATCTTTGGCCTTGCTTTCCTTCTCTTTGTTCAACTGGCCACCAAAATTGGTCAACTGACCTCTGAAATGACTCATCATTTTCTACCTCTGATTTCTCCCGAGCTCATGTGTTGTGCTGAACCCTTATGAACCTCAGTAGGGAAGGCACCTGGTTCAAAAGGCCGAAGAACAGAGACCCAGAACCATCAAATGAGACATGGGGTTTTATTAGGGGCTTACATACAAGAAAGAGAGTCCAGGTGCAGTGGGCTGGGCAGGAAAACCACAACCACTTGCAAACAGCATGCAGTTTAGACAGCAGTTTCACTTAACACCCTCTCCTTAATGACCTCCACCTGGCAACCTTCATTTAACTCAAAACTTAGGGCCTCAATCCCCTGCACAGCCTGTGCTCCATGAGACAGGACAGGGGCTCAGATGTTCCTCATAGACAGGGAACGGATCTCCAGGTAGGCCACTTCTGGATTCCCTAGCTTGGAACACACATTCAGGGGCATCTGCCATATAGGATTATTCTGAGTACGCTTAAGTTATTGCTGTCAGGTGCATTTACCTTACATCTTGAAATAACCTTTTAATAAGTCTCTCAGCATCCAGCCTATCCCCAGTGCTAGTTTATTTTGAACATTGTCAACTAGGTAAGTTTTCTGAAACACACAACTGATCAAATCCCATACAAACCCTTCAGTAGCTCTCCACCGCCTGTCAAATAAAGCCCCAAACATCTAATATCCAAGATGCAGCCTGCCCTCCTCCAGATATTTCCAACCCTGGACACCCCACTCTATGCTTTGTGGTTTTTTTCTCTACTGTTCTGATGGGAATGACTTTCCTTTCTCTGCCTTCCTGGCTTCTATGTTGACTTAATGAACAGTGACTTATTTTCAAAGGTCCAGCTCAAGGGGCATCTCCTTTGTGGGTCTTTTACTCTCTTCTACTGCCACTACAAGTATTCTTGCCATACTAACTCTCTCTACCTTAATTCTTATCCCCACTCCTCACCCCTCCTTACCACTCTCAGATTCTGTATCCTTAGCACATAACTGGTATTTAATAATGATTGAATGGTTTGAATGGTTTGACAGAAAATCTAGTTAGAGTCTAGTTTCAGTCCCTCTCCTGATTGACTATGGCTCTCTTTTTCTCTTTTGTTTGCCTATAAAAAGGGAGAAAACCTAAGTACAGGTATATCAGATCAATTCGTGATAGCCTGAGTCTCTACTGTAAGTATTCTTAATTTACATAGTGAGGTTTTAAGATGAAGAATGAGAATGTTACTAAAATCTTGTACAAACAGGTGTTTGTGCCTGGGAGTGGCTAGCAGGTACAATATAACTCCAAGTCAGATATATGCTTGGGAGTTTCAGAAGCAGCCATTGTTTTTATTTTCTTGCAAGCATGCTTGGTAAAACAATTTCACAGGAATGTGTACTTTAACCTTATTCAGTTTTCTGGGTTTCCCAGGAGACTTGCTCATGTCTTTCAGGTATCATATAGGCTGTTGTCCAGGGTTAAAGAGCAGGTAGGGCTGCAAGTAATCTTTGATAGTGAAACCTGGCTTCTATTCAGAAACATGAAAATTTAACCTGTTCCAGGATTTGAGAGTCCATTGGTTATCAAAACCCCCTAGTTCCTTAAGGCTGTGGACTCTCTGATTGGGTTGTGAGAATGTACTCACTGGGCTAAAGAACAATCTTGCTTTTATCTTTCCAAGATTTGAGTAAATTATGCTTATGTTTTATGGAAAGCCAGGGAGGTAGACACCACCTCATGGAGAAGTGCAGTTCAGAAGTGTTGTACTGGGGCCGGGCATGGTGGCTCACGCCTATAATCCCAGCATTTTGGGAGGCTGAGGCAGGTGGATCACTTGAGGTCAGGAGTTTAAGACCAGCCTGGCCAATGAGATGAAACCCTGTCTCTACTAAAAATACAAAAATTAGCTGGGTGTAGTGGTGCATGCTTGTAATCCCAGCTACTTGGGAGGCTGAGGCAGAAGAATCACATGAACCTGGGAGGCGGAGGTTGCAGTGAGATGAGATTGTGCCATTTCACTCCAGTCTGAGTGACAAGAGCAAAACTCTGTCTCAAAAAAAAAAAGAAAGGTATTGTATTGGTTTGTTGATAACAAAGTACCATTGAACAGATGTTTTAAAGAACTGAAATTTATTGTCTCCCAGTGATGGATGCTTGATGCCCAAGATCAAGGTGTCAGTAGGGTAGGTTCCTGCTGAAGCTGTGAGAGAGACTCTGTTCCAGGCCTCTTGCCTAGTTTCTTGTGGTTTGCTGGCAATCTTTGGCATTTCTTGGCTTGTAGATGTATCATCCTGATATCTGTCTTCATCTTCTCATGGTGTTCTACCTGTGTGCTGACCTGTCTCTGCGTCCGAATTCTCCTTTTTTATAAGGATACGAGTCATGTTAGGTTAGGGCTCACATGAATGACCCCATTTTAACAAAATTTTCTCTGTAGAAACCCTGTTTCCAAATAAGTTTATATTCTGAGGTACTGGGGGTTAGGGCTTTGACTTATTGTTTTTGGGAGATCCAATTCTACCCATAACAAATGGTAGATGCTGGTCTGGCACACTGGCTGTAGCCCTGGAGTAAGATCTTGGAGGCTTCTGGCTGGGCCAGTGTTAGCAATCAGTCCTTTGATGCTGGACTGTGGGGATACCCGGAGAGCTCTTGGAGAGAGGATTGAAGGGAGGTGCTAGACAAATATGTGAGGCAGAGGCTGTTTACCAGTTGGTAGGACAGCATTTTAAGTATCATCCTTGGGTAGAGAGATTGATTTACTTTGCAGTATATTTTAGGGGTGCTGAGAAGGCCATTTCCTTGTAAAATTCCTGTTTGTTGACGAATATTTGAACTTATATCAACCAACTTCTACAAATTATAGAAGTTGTTTCTTATAAAGTGTTCTTTTTGTGCCAGGCATAGTTCTTTCTCATCACAACTCTATGAGGATGGTGTTTTATTGTCTACAAGGTGAGAAAACTGAGTCACACTGGCTAAACAACTTGTCCAAGGCCACAACTAGTAAGACTTCCAGAGTCTATGCTGCTAACCAGTATAGTAGTGTGCCTCTATGTACACTCTATGTAAATAGCATATGTGCTAATAATAAGAGAACTACCGTATTTTCACTGTTCTTGGGTTGGTCTCATGATATATTTTTAAATGATTTTGGCACAATCTATCTCAGATTCATTTTGTAGTAATGAGGAACATAGAAAATAAATAAAACTAAAGATTGGCTCACTGGGATGCATTCCATTCCCTCCTCTCCCTTTCTCCAGCAGAGGTTATAGGCCTTGGCTCTGAGCATGGCCACATTGATTAGGGGCAGATGTTATATGATCTGAGACATTTTCCTGGCCTCAGCTTTTGATAATGTCTGAAATTTTAATCCTGGGGATTCATTGTACTTATAGAAGCTCTCAGATAAATAGTTGTTGATATGATTTACCTATACTGGGATATTCAAGTTTGAGTACCTACTCCTTGCTGTTAGCATTTTAATTGCATCTGAGATTACTTTCTTAGATGACTAGCTGTGATAAGACTCTCAAGGACAGGGACCTCGTTACAACGATGTTATAGAACTTGGCTGATGGTGGCCAAGGAATCCAGGAATATAATCAACCAATTAATTAATCAATTAGTTGATGCCATCAATATTTATCGAGTACTTCTTCTGGGCCAGATATTGTGCTATATGCTGGTATGAAGCCAACCACTACTGTGGCAAAAAAGAGAAGCTGAAAGGAGAAGTGTATAGAGCTCTGAAAATAAACCCCATGATTTTGGGAGTTTTGCCTCAGGCTGGCTGGTCCTTCTCCAATACAATATTATCTCCAGTGGATAAAGTTCAAGATAAGATGTTTCCAGGGAGAGATGATGGGTAGTGATCTGTGGAATCTTGTTGCTTGGCTTTCCTTCTTTTGTTTTTTAGTTATGCCACAGACTATGAAACTCTGTACTGGAATTGGATGAGTCAAGGGAAGATAAGAACTCCCACCAACATTCATAGATCTGGAAAAGAAAATTCATTTGTGTTTAGGTTGCTACTTCAGACAAAGAAAACTTTTGGAATTATCTGTGATTAGAGTTTTCTGTGTTGTCATTATTGTATCTCCTGTTAATACAGTGTCTGACACGTAGGAAGCACTAATTAAATGTTTTTACTGTTTTACAATTGAGTTAAATAGTATTTTTCTATATGGGCAGAAAATAATTGCTTTGGTTTTCAAGGATACCTGAGTTTTCTTAGATTGTAGAACCTGAAGACCTTCATTAATTAGAGAAGTTAAACACAAACACACACACAAAGGAAAAAGTTGTATCCCTTATCTTAACGCTCACAGAACGGGTGGGGTAAAAATAGGGCTATAGTGGGTAGCAACTTACTGAACTCAACATCTGGAAAAAAAGATTCTCCAAGAAGACTGGCTGACTGAATTGAAGCATGGGCATACAATAGCATTAGACTTTGCTTTTTTTCTGCTATTATCTTTATGAATGACCTGTTAGAAGTTTCTAAATATAGTTAACGATTTTAATTTTCTCAAAGTTTTTCAACTAAGAGAGCCACAGAAGCACATTATGGTTGAAAACTTGGAAACGGTACATGTCAGAACCTGGGTGATGAATGTGGCTTCTTCTGCACTGCTGAGTTGATGAATGGGAACTGCTGACAAATCCATACAAATGAGAACTTTCTGTAAGGTGGGCAGTGATGAAAGACAGCTGTTTTTGCCCGTTGGTTCCAAATTGTCCTGTTTTACTGCATGCTTGGCTCTTGCATATCTCTTTCTGTGCTAGTAACGGTAGATTTTTTTTGTGGGGTGCACTGGTGTTCTAAAGGAGGTTCCAGATGGGAATTTTGGGGTTAAGTACTTGTGACTGAGAGCTGGCCTTGATATTTTGGTTCACCTGCTAGTTACCATTTTAAGATGCTTAAAATATTAGTCCTTTTAACATACATTTTAAATGTTTAATACCAATCTAAAGTGAAACCTGTATCTCTTGTGTTGATGATACAGCAATTACTCTATCTAGTAGTTAACTGCATCAATAACGTTCATTAATGGAACTTTTATGGCTTGTTGTTGGGTTTACCAGGAGTCTCTAGTTTTCTTGCTTTATGAATATTTGAGACACAATTATAGAGACTATTTCTCTTCTTCAAGAGGGCTAGTTTTCCCTCCCTTGATTCTCCTATTTCTATAGTATTTTACAGCTCTAAGCTGCCTTTTATGTTATCTTACTATCAACTCTTAAGCTCATTAATAATTTATGCTCCACATGTGTGACTTGGTAGCTTTAATTAGCTGTTACTATTTTCTAGAAAAGATGGTTTTGAGTATCATTACATGGAAAAAACTACTTAAGGAATGTATGTAGTTAAAAATGAAATAATTTTATTGGAACTGTGTTTTAGCCTCCAAATTTACTTTCCTTTGGTATTTTCCTTTTATTTTATGTATGAAAACTTGTTTATAAAATATTATTTTTGTATATTAGCGGATTTTTTACTTTAAGTGCTTACAGTGTTTTGGGAATGCTTTTGCATTGCCTTTCCCCAATATCCCATTTCCATTGCCACATCAATTTTCAAGTGGTTAGTTTATATTCTTTTATAGGCTATAAATTTGTAAGCTATATGAAGAATGGCTTGTGTTTTTGTCTAATATTTCATAAGCCTTTGTACTTAGTCTGACCACAATTGGGTATCTTTTAAAGACTTGAAATGATTGCTTCCAGCCATTGTATTTTTTTAAATTATACTTTAAGTTCTAGGGTACATGTGCCCAATGTGCAGGTTTGTTACGTATGTCAGACTCAGCTGACTCGAAGGGCCCTGAGCCTTCAATCAGGTAGAACTTGGCTCCAAGAACAATATAGCTCAATGCACTTCTATGGAAGTAGAGTCTCTGTGTATGTGTTGCTCTCCTTATCAGAAGGTATGGCTGTTCGAGTATCCCAACAGCGGTCATAAAGATGTCTTAAGACTAAATTAGTTTGAAATCAACTTGAATGCATCAGAATTCACAGGAAGTGGGGAAAGAGAAGATATTGCAAAATCTAATATCACAATCTGTCAATTTTTTAAAGCTTTGAGCCATTGGGTTTGACCAGTGTTCCTCTGAACTGGTCTTTTTAAAGTGATGGTGGGATAATTTTATGATTGAAAAGTTCTGTAATTAAATGTAGCATAAAAGAAAACTTCTAGAACTAAAGAAATTTAGAAAACCGTGTAAGTTTGGGTTTAATTTACTGGGATGAATGAACTCTTATTTCATCTGAATAAGTGCCTCTAGATAAACCTGAGAAAATCAGAGAACCCGTTCCAGTGATATGTTTTCATTTACTTCTAGAAAGACAGTAAATAAGTCAGTCTGGGAAAATATTCCAACTGAGGCAAATTGTTAGATATGTAGAGGTTTACTTAGATTTGCTTTCTTGTGAACTGTTTGAGCTAATGACATGTTGAAAAGGTTGTCTAAAAATTTTTTGGTGTTTACAGCTACTTTATTGAGTAATCACTCTTATTTTAAATTTTATAATATGCAGAATTCTGTGTAATCAATTCTGAGCTTCTTTTGCTGCTTTTTCAATTGAAATAAAAACTTCACAATAAAACTTTTCCTATTAGGCAAGTACTTTTATTGATTGATTGTCTAATTTCAAATTAGGTGTAACTATGTGTATCTGGCTTACCACCATAATGTTGTATGTGGTGTAAATAATTATAGAAAGGACTGTGCTAAATAGTTGTTTGCCAAGTACTCACAAGCTCATTGAACATATTAGGCAAAGTGTTAATTTGCCTGTTTTATTGCTGTCTCTGCTATCAATTGCCTTCAAGTCTTCTGGGATCAAGGTTTGGTTTCTAGTCACTTGCTAATTGCCATTTGAATTATATTTTCACAAATTACAAACAGAAGATTAAGTCTCAGGCTCTAAAGCCCATTTTTTTTTTTTTTTTGCTCCATGAAAAAATTAATTTATTTCTGTGAAAAGAGTGACATTACCTTTTACACTGATTTTAGTTTCTTAGGATAAATGAAACTGGAAGGAGTTCTGTTTCCTCATTAGGCCTTAATACCCCCTGTTCAAAAACCATGGCCATATTACATTTTACATTCCTTTTGCTGCTTTGCCTTGTTAAGGTTTCTGTGAAATGATTTCAAGGGCTGATTGCATTTCAGAGCATGTTTTAAATGGAAATATGAGTCCTCAAGCGAATTTATGTTATCTTGGAGTACTTTAAAAGAGCGAAGAGGAAACAAAGATATAGGGGAGGGGAAAGCAGATAAAAGGACCCTTTCTATGAAGAAAGGTGCACATTTAGGTGTGCATAGGGGAAGTCGTATTAATTGACAGAGGTTTATTTTATGGGGACTCTAAAAGGTAACTGTCAAACTATAGTGCTGCATTTTCAACTACTACTTTAGTCAGGACTCTTTTGGTTGCAAGTGACTGAAAACCCAACCTAAACTGGCTTATGCTGTTTAAAAGAGAGAGTTTATTGGTACATATGAGTCATATGTGAAACAGCCTCAACTGTGCCTGAATTCATGGCTAAAACTACACAACCAGGAGCTGGGTTCTTGATACTCATTTATTGGATCTGCTTCTTCAATGTTGGCTCTATTTTGGGACTTCATATAGTTAATAGGTGCCTGTCAGCAACTCAGAGATTTAAATCCAGGACAAAAAAAGTTAGAGTCTTTGTCCCAGTATTCCCAGAAAATGCCCTGACAGCCACCAGGCCCAGACTGAATTAGGTTACCAGCCTGCCTTACACTGATCATTGTGGCCAGGAAAGGTAATACTCTGACTGAAAGAGGTTCACCCCCAGAACTGACGATTGGCCCTGCCCAGATCATATTAATTGAGAATGGGAGGGGGTACATCCTTAAGCAAACATTAAGGCAGTTGCCAGAAGAGGGAAGGGAGGTTGGAGAGGCGAAGGGCAAATAGACACTATAGATACTGTATGCATCTCCCTCCTTAGACTGGGCATATTATTCAGACACTGTGGTATGTTTGCATTCCCAGGGCTCCATAAGATGACTACAAAACCCAGTATCACCTCAAGTGTAATTATTCAGTAGAAGGAAAATTTATTCTTTTACTCTCAGGCCCAGAAAAAGCAAGGATTAATACTGGTTATCATCTTTAAACTGTCATCATATAATGTCAGGTAAAAAAGTGAATCATCTCCAAATATTTGACATTAAACGTGCAGATTGAATTTGAAGATGCTCTGGAGTTTTTCTAAAACAGTGCTATGTACATTTTTAGAATCTGATAAAAAGCTGTCAACTCTCTCCAGAAAATGTACATCGACACATACTCACAAAATACGATGTGTAATTTGAGAGTTTAGCAGTCCCAACCCCTAAGTCCTGATGTAGTCCAACCACTCATCCAAAGCTTGAGCACCTTCTGTAATATCCTAGCAGAAAGTTGTTCCAGTCTAGATTTGAAATCTCCTGGCTATGCACTCAAATTTGGCCCTAAAATCTCTAGGCACCATAGCTGTCTCTGTCCACTGGTCACCTCAGGAGCTTCTTAAGGCTTTGCTTCTCATCCTTTACTTTAAAATCAATTTCTTCTTTTCTTTGTTTTAAAACAGGGTTTCTCTCTTCTATGTCTGTTTCTTTAGGGTGCATTTGTTTATCTTCTCTTTCAGATCGATGACTCTTTGGGACAATTTGATAAACTTTCTAATTATGGTTCCTGTTAAGGTTTTGCCTCTGGATGTATTTCCTTTGGGGGAAATGCCAGAAGGGTATGTTTGCACTCTATCTAGCCTCTTTAGACTTCAAGAGCTGTCTTGGTTCAGGCTGCTATAACAAAATACCATAGACGAGGTGGCTTAAACAGCAGCCATTTATTTCTCACAGTTCTGGAGGCTGGGAATTTTTTGGGGACACAAACATTTAGTCCATTGCAAGAGTCGCGATTCCTCACTTATCTGCGAGAAGGGACTGGGCATCCACTGGCAGAGAACTCATTGCCACTAGCAGGTGACAACACTGTGTCTAGGATGCTCTTTAGTTCCTGCTTATATTAAACCCAAATCTGTTCTTTTGTAGTTTCTGCCCTTTGGCACTAGTCCTACCTCTTGGAACTACATGGAGCAAACACAAGGCCACACATCAGATGTACCAGGGCATATTTACAGTCCATATGTTCTCCAGGCAGCTCTGCCTCCAGTGCTGAGGAGGGTCTCCACCTGAATCATACCTGAGAGTTCTCCCACGCAGTGGTCTTTTTGATGAAAATACCCAAGGCTTTGATAAAGGAGAAACATTACCCTTTTTTGTGGTTATATCTGCAGTTCTCTTTTCTGTCTACCCAAACCAATGCTTCTGGAATGGGAGTTCAGTTTGAAATTGGTCTCTTAATTCCTAGTAATCTACTTGCAAATTGTATTGGTGAGTGAGGGAGCTAGATGCTAGAATTCTGTGGGGTCAGTACTCAGTGTCTGCTTGACACAAACAGGTTTTATTTTTACTTTAAAAGATGGAGCAGATAGACTTTCCAGCATGCATTCTTCCTTTTTAAGCCCCATCTGCTCTGCAATCAGTAGATATGTGAAGGACCATGGGTGTCAGCTGCCAGCATTTTTGCAGTCTCTTGCTCTTTGTTTCCCAGAAAGATTGTCTTTGTGCCAGTGGCGTGGGCTTTTTGGAGTATCTAAACTGTCATGCTGCTTAGCCACCCTGGCAGGGAAGCCACTGGCAGCAGCTTTGCAATTGGCCCTCTAAACTGGACGAGAGAGAGAGAGCTCAGGGGAAACTGATGCCAGAGTGTGACTAGGACATTCCTTTCAGTCTGTTGTAAACACAGGATTTCAGCTTTTGGACTGTAACTAGCCTGCTCTAGGAATCCTTTGAGCACATAAGCAGGATTGACATGGTGCAGATATGGCAGCCTTGGTGGCTTGTTGAGCCTTGTATGCCAGTCAGCATATTTAAAATCACCCCCTCTCCCAGCAGCAGGTGCTAACATCACAGCGGGAGTGGTATAAACTAGGGGACAGCCCAGGAAGAGTTACAAGTGAGGCTAGAGGAAGTTAGCTCACAGCAGACTCCATAGGAAATAAGAGAAGAGGAAAGGCAACGTGGCAGAAAGAAATTCTATGGCAGTAGTGAAACCATTGTACAGTGAAGTTGGTGATGCACAAACATCTGTGTTAACACGGAACTGCTGACTGGGGGAAAGCACCACACCACTAACTTGACCAAGTAGTTTGTAGTTCCCTTGCTTGGGCAGATAAAACTTACATAAGCGTGGTCAGAGTTTTACATCAATGCAAATTATTAATGTTTTCTCAGATCCTGCCTGCTCTCTGATTTTATCTCAGATAAAACTAGGACAAACGCTAGAAGAAATCCTATTAGGGAGATTCTGGCTTATCCAGAGCAGCCTCAAGGGTGGCCACGCAAATGGATTTTCAGGGCAAGTGGAGCAGACGTGTTGTCAGCCCTCCTTATAACCAGTTTATCCTTCTCTGCCTCAGGAAAGGGCAGGAAATGGGCAGGGATTGCTGGGCTGGCTAACCCCACCCCAGTTCCCAGGCCATCTGAGACTTAGGATGCACATTCATAGTTTCACCATGCTCCTGGCCTCTTGCCTTTTTCCCTTTATCCTTTTCTTCTGTCACCAATAAATAATTACTAAGCACCTCTTAGGTGTCAGGAATTGTGTTTGGTGTTAGGAAACCAGAGGAGATGAACACAGATGCAGTTCCTGCCCTCATGGAGCTTATAGCTGAGTGAAAAAGAGAATCAAATAATCATATAAAAATGTGTATGGTTATAAACCTGGATAAGTGCCAGGAAGGAAGGTATTAGATGCTATAAAAGTGTCTAACAAGGGACATGCCATGATGTACTGGAATCTGTCCACCTGCTCACTCAGCACCTTCTCCAAGATAGACAGTGTAGTTCCAGTAGGGCCCCTCCCTATATTATTTTGTTTCAATTTATCTTTCTTTTCTCCAAAGTTGCATTGCAAAAATACATACTTTGGTTCTTCAATTTATTTTACCTTCATTTTATTTTGTCAATTTCAATATTCACCTTTTCAAATCATTGTTGACAGTGCATGGATCACTTAGCACAAGGCCTAGAATGTAGTAGCTACTTAATATTTATCAGATCCCTTCTCAGCAGGAGCCTATGTCTTGCATTTATAATGACTTTCTCTAAGGCCTTAATTGCTCCCATCTGACCAAGCAGTTAAGTTACTATGATAAGAAGTTGGGATCCCTAAGTCCAGTCTCTGGCTCAGTGAACTCTTAGGCTTCAAAGATATAGATTTCAAGGCTTCAAGAGATACAAGGATGGGTTTGGGGGGAATTTTATTGTGTTCCTCTTGGAAGATTGGCTTTGGCCATTCTTTATGAGTATAAGATCCAGACCAGTCCTTTGCCCTAGGAAATTTCTCCTGTCATTATGTAACTACTAATATTGAATGTTGAACTCACCTCTGGTCACTCAATAAACCCTACTGATGCAACAGTAAAATCCTGTTCTTGTCAAATTTAGTTTTATTTTTTACATATGTTATTAGCCCTGGAAAAGTTGACATGGGTGTAACTTTCTCATTCTTATCAATGGGAAGGTACTAAATTATAAATTTTCATTTAAATATTGCTAATTGGATAGCTCACACATAGCATTTTAATGGTTTCTAGGGCATCTTAGGGCAACTTTTTTCTTGCATATTGATTTTGGAGAGCAGGGGGTCAGCAGGGAAATATGAAATAGGTAATTCAAATGCATTTAGCAAATGATTTACTGAAGATTAGTTTTATGACACCACTCTTGCCCTTTTCCATTAATGTTAGAAAATATGTTATGCCATAGGAATTTTTATGTAATACTTGCCATTCAGTCTCAAAGCAAATAGGAAATTTGCTTGTAGTTTTGTGCTCATTAGAATTATTTTTCAACCAGAAGGATTTTCTGAAATCAGAGTTTGGCCTTTTTAGTCTGTGTGATTTTCAGGGAGAAGAACTTGCTCAGTGTTTCTTCAAATCCTTCCCTAATGGCTGATCCTCCTCACACAGCACCCATATGTAAATGTATTTCTGAGTGAGGGCTTTACAAAAAGGTGGCTGCAAAAGTTTTCTTTTTATACCAATCTAAACATCAGCTTCTACTAAATGCAAATGTTATGCACATGATTGGAGTGATATCATTTTATTAAAACTCTTCTCATAATCTACCTCTAAAAGGCTTTCTGTTTCCATTATAGCTAGGTTATTGATGCTAAATAGTTCAGCAAATTGGGTTGTTGAAGCACATCTGCCATGCATTATTCATTAAGTACGTCTTTCACAAATCGTAGCTGTCTGTTGCCTAATCCTGGAGTCCCAGTAGCACTACTTCTTGGGGAATCTGCTTCCTTCGTGAGCCAAGAAATGGAGTCACAGGCATATCTGTCAAGGCAACACTTGGTTACACTGTTGTCTTCAAAATGTAGTGCATAATGGGGAAAAGGTTTAATTAATGTTCTACAGTAATGTGTCTGTTTATAAAGAAATAATGTACTATAAAATTAAGCAACGTATAGTGAATGTACCTTCTAATGGCGAGGCTGGCATTTTAAGTGATCAGTAAATCACTTAAATATTAGGACTTTCTTGAACAAGGGTAATAAAAGGAGACATTTAGAAATGGTAGATACCAGTACATACAATTATCCACTAAATAAAACATTTTTATTGTGATCACAGTGTTAATCATATTCTAGAACAGCCTGATCAGGAAACGTGAGAAATTGTATATGAATTTTTTCATCTTTGACATGATTAGCTTTTGCATTAGAATGTAAGTCCCAAATATTTAAACCAGGATATGGCTTTCCTCAGAGGACAGCCCTGTTTTAGTTTCCTGAGACTGAAAGATTATTTGTAAAACCGCTAAAGCTGCTTCTTCCCATAATTAAAATCTTCCTTATTTGGATCAAGGTATGTAGGCATGTGACTTTTCTCCAGCACCCTACCTCTGGATTGTCTTTTCAGCTCTTGGGGCAGAACTTTTTATTCTTAGGCCTTTGCTGCTCCTCTCACATTGATGGGGCTTTCCTACTTCTGGCATCGGCAGACGCGATCAGTCCTGCATGGTCCCACTGGCCCAGTACTTCAGTAGGTGATGTCCCTTTGCTTAGAAGAAAGAAGTCTGAGGGCTGACCAATAAGACTTAATGTTGTCAGGCTGTCCCCTGGAACTGTTTAACGTTGTCTCTATGCTCTGCCTTCCTTTGATCATGGAGGTCACACCCAAGCAAACAAAATTGAGAAGGGGGCTGTATTGTTTCCCTCCAAGAGTTCGGGCTTTCCCACTTAACTCCTCTTTTCTGGCATAATACAATTTGATCATCAAAATTTTCTACTTTAAGTCTTCTAACATCATGCTCCCAAACCATCATGTTTCATCCCCAGTCCCTCACTAGTTTTTTCTTTTAAAGAAAAGCTTTTGAAAGAGCAGGTTGACAAATAGTTACATTAAATACTTATCATTAAAAGCAAACAAACAAGAATTTGAGATTTCCAGTCTTTGCATATTATGTATGATTAAGAGTATTTTTCAAAATGGAAATTGTATCTGAAGTGTTAAGCAAACAGTAATACCTTTAAAATGCTTTAGAAAGCATCCATTTATATTTAATCTTTTACAAGGCTAATATATGTAAGATAGACTGTCTGTGGAGGGTTTTGTAAAACAAAATTGTAAATTCCAAGATGTTATGCTTAATGGGTTGTGTTGTCTGAATCCCAGATCTCTACTGATGAAAATTTGGCAGGTTGGGAAGTGAGATGCGGATTTAATGAACAAAATCTAATCTAAGAGATGGAAATGCTGTTACTCTTAAATACAGAGAAATTAATGGGCTGGAAAAGGTACAGTTTCCACGGTGGCACAGAGTGATTTCCATAAAGGAGAGAATTGGGGCTGGTTGGTTGCAATGTGTATCAATGCGCTGATGGCCAGGGCTGAGCTCGGCCAGTGGGAATTATGAATGCATTGTTATTCCCACACCAGATCCCCTGGTTTAGTTCATATTGGTTTTCCAGAGCTCTGTTGGGGTGAGGGTAGGAATGGGAGCTGTTTTAGATTGATTTAAATGCCTGTGGATGTTTGTTTCTTTAGTCTGATAAAACATCATGTAACCAGAAACTTTTTTACTGTGACCTTGAGTAATAAGGACATAACCACACTTATAAGATAGAAATTCAAAGATTTTAATGAATGGAAAAAGCTTCTCTTACAACCTGTTAATTTTCTGTTTTAAATTCTTATCCAATTTCTCTTCTAGTGTAAGTCAACAAAATCTCTGAGAAATATCCCTTGCTAGAATTTAGTTATGAATCAAAGCCAGTTGCTAGGGCAACCAGGCCAGAGGCAGTTAATTAATTAACCTCTGTCATTGTGTACAGATAAAGCCACTGAGTCCTGCCTAGAAAGTGAATGGGCAAGGTCAGGGTGCTTTCATGCTCTCGGGAGTGGTGAAGAACAGCCTTCCCTTAATCCTATTCCTGCTCCTCTCCACCTCCCTTTCCCAGCAGGAAGTTGGTGGCTTTTGTTTTGAAGTCAACAAGGGAGAAATATGAAGAAGCAGGGCATGAACTTAGGAAGCTTATGGGGAAAAGATCCTTAAAGGGAATAAAATGAAACCATGGAAATGAGAGATAAGGTATTGGTTAATGCCTAGTAGGTGGCAGAGCCTTATTAACTTTCTCTGTCTCTGATTCATTCTCTCTCTCTCTCTCTCTCTCTCTCTCTCTCTGTGTGTGTGTGTGTGTGTGTGTGTGTGTGTGTGTGTGTGTGTTGGGGGATGAGTGAGAGCTAAAAAATATCTGAGTGGTTAGTGATAATTCCAAGTCTGTCAGTGAAGAATACACGGCACTGTGGTGTGAAGGTAGTCTGGGTTTCTAAAGAATCACAAACGAGGCCCCAGAGAGTTAGTGACACAGTTTGTTTGCTGACTGTGATTCTTTAGGTGGCCCATTAGATGGTAAGTGGTGGGCAGTGGGTGGCTCTGTGCCTGCAGTGCTGATTGTTACCAAAACAACATCAGAGGGAGTGATGGTCAACAATAGGGTAGAGTAGGTGGTCTTCTGATCATATTCCCTCAGCATCAACAATTAAACAGCTATCTATGGATAAAAGTGCCTTTGGGTGAGCTTTGGGATTTAGGTAGGAGGTTGTGAAATCTTGGTGGAGCCCAACATCTAGGAGAGCCATTTTGAGAGGACAGACCTGAGTCCAGATCTGGATCTAGAACCCATACCCAAAAATATACCCATCCCACTGCAGACTCAGATACAGCTCCATTTAGCCTTGGTCCTGCCTCCAGAGCCATCTGCCAAGATATCTGGGAGGTGTCATGACCATTTTCATGACTTAGGTGACAGGCCTATCAACCTTAGTCTCAGCCGTAGACCCTGAAATTGTCCTGTAATTTGGCTCTAACCCCTCTTAGCTGGGTCTGAAAGCAGTTCTGCCCACTCAGGGACCTGGTGGGAGACATACCTATCTATGCCTTGTAGGCAGGGCCATTTGACCTGGATCTCACTGCAGATCCTGACATGGCCTTGCAACTCAACCCCAGCACCTCTCAGCTGCAGCCTGAGAGCAGTTCTGCCTACCCTAGACTTGGAGGGAGTCACACAAGTCCATGTCCCCAGAGGCGGGCCTGGAGACATTGGTCTTAGCTGTGGATGCTGAACCATCCCTGTTACTGAGTTCCAGCCCCTGTCAGCCATGGTATGGGACTAGCACCACCTCCCAAAGGACTCACCCAGTCACTCAATGGAAGTTCTCCCAGGCATACCTGGAGGAAGCCACACCCATCTGCATACCTTGTAACAGGCCTGCCATTTGCAAACCCTGAAGCAGACCTACATCTTTGCACCAGCCCTACTGACCAAGGTCCTGAAGGCAATTCAGTCTACCCAGCGACTGCATAGGATCCATGCCTGCTTGAGCCCCTGGTAACTGTGAACCCAGCAGCAGTCACGTGACCCAGCTCCAACCCCTATTTACCATGATTCTGGCAATCCTATCAGCCCAGCGACCCAACAGGAGAAGATCTTCAGCTGCTGAAACCGTGTATAAAGACAGGAATAGGTATTTGCTCCTTTAAATGCACAGACACCAATGCAAGGCTACACAAATAATGAAGAAACAGGCAAATGTGAACCACTAAAGGAAAATAGTAAAGCTTTAGCAACTGACCCCAGAAATAGAGATCTATGAATTGCCTGAAAAAGAATTCAAAATAATCTCAAAGAAATTCTATGGGATGCAAGAGAACAAAGATATAAAACTAAAAAAATCAAGGAAACAGTGCATGAACAAAATGAAAAATTTAATAGAAATCAAAATAATAAAAAAGAGCCAAGTGGAAGTACTGGAGCTGAAGAATACAGATGCTTCCTGATATACAATGGGGTTATGTCATGATAAACCCATTGTAAATTGAAAATACAATAAGTCAAAAATGCATCCAATACACCTAATCTATGAAATGTCATAAATTAGCCTAACCTATCTTAACTGTGCCTACAGTTGCCCTAAAGGGCATTAGTCTATGGTTGGGAAAAATCATTTGGCAACACAGTGCACTGTAGGGGTATTGGTTGTTTCCCCTCATGATCATGTGGCTAAATGGGAGCTATGGCTTGCTGCTACTGCCCAGCATTGTGAGAGGGTATTGTACCACTTTCTACTGAATGCCTATCACTTTTGCACCATCATAAAGTAAAAAAAAAAAAAAAAAAAATCGTAAGTCAAACTGTCATAAGTTGAGGACCATCTGAATAATGACAGAACTGAAAAATTCAGTAGAAAGCTTCAAGAAAAGAATTGAAAGAGTTGGCTAACTCAAAGACAGTTCATTTTATATTAGTCAATTAGAGAAACAAAAAGAAAAAAGAATCTAAAAGAGTGAAGAACGCAAAAGAGTAAAGAAAGCACCATCAAGCAAATGAGCATATGAATTACGGGATTTTCAGAAGGAACAGAGAGAGATAGATGTCTTATTTTAAAAAATACTGGCTGTAAACGTTCCAAATATTGGAAGGGATATGGACTTCCAGATTCACGTGTTCAAAAAAATCCTAAAAACCTTAAAATACTCTAAGACATATTATAATCAAACTGTGAAAATCAGACAGAGAATCTTGAAAGCAACAAGAGAAAAGAGATACTAGGGAACTCTCAAAAGTCTCAGTAGACTTTTCAGCAGAAACCTTGCAAACGAGGATGAAGTGCTAAAAGAAGAAAAACCTACCAAACAATAATACTGTGCCCAGCAAAGCTGTCCTTCACAAATGAAAGAGAGATAAAGACATTTCTAGACTAACAAAAGCTGAGGGAATTTCATCATCACCTACTTTACGAGAAATGCTAAGGGAGTTCTTTGAGTTGAAACAAAAGGATGCTAAGTCATGACATGAAAACATATGAAAGTCTAAGACTCACTGGTAAAGGTGAGTCTTAGAATATATAGTCAAATTCAGATACTCTAAAACTACAATAGGGATGTACAAATCACTTTTAACTCTAGTGTAAAAGCTAAAAGACAAAAGTATTACAATAACTATAGCTACAAGAATTTGTTAGTGAATACACAATATAAAAAGATGTAAAGTGTGACATCAATAGCATAAAATGTGTCAGGGGAGGGGAACAATGAAAGTATAGGGTTTTTGTATGTGTTTGAAGTGTTTTCAGCTTAAAATAGAATGCTATAACTACAGATATTTTATGTAAGGCTCATGATAACCTCTAGTAACCACCCAAAGAAAAAAACCTCTAGTAAATGCACAAAAGATAAAGAGAAGGAATAAAAGCATACCACTAAAAACAAATAAACAAGCAACAAATCACAAAGGAAGACAGCAAGAGAGAAAAAAGGTACAAAGGAACTATAAAACAGTCAGAAAAAACAAACGGCAATAATAAGTCCTTCCCTATCAATAGTTACTTTAAATGCAGATGGATTATTTTTCCAATTGAAAGAACAGAGTTAATAGAACTATCATATAATCAGGCAATTCTACTACTGGGTATAGATCCAAAGAAAATGAAGCCAGTATATTGAAAAGATATCTGAACTTTCATGGTCATTATATTATAACATTACTAACAATAGCCAAATATGGAATCAACTTATGGCCATCAACAGATGACTGTATAACAAAAATGTGGTATATATACACAGTGGAATACCATTAAGCCTTAAAAAAGAATAAAATACTGCATTTGTGACAACATAGATGAACCTGGAGGACATTATGTTAAGTGAAATAAGCCAGGCATAGAAAGACAAATAATACACGATGTCACTTACATGTAGAAACTTAAAATGTTAAAGTTGATGATGAAATTCCCTCAGCTTTTGTTAGTCTAAAGCAGAGTGGTGGTTACCAGGCATTGAGGGGATGTATATCAAAGTTTACAAAGTTTCAGTTAGAAGGAATAGTTTCTGGAGATCTATTGTACATCATGATGACTACAGTTAATAAATGTTTTGTATACTTGAGGATTGCTAAGAGAATAAATGTTCTCACTGCAAAAGTGATAAGTATGAGAGGTGATAAATATGTTAACTAGCTTTATTTTTTAATCTGTCAATTAAAACAAAGAAGACACAAATGTGGCAAAATGGATGCTATGATGTGGATGTTTGTCACTACCAAACCTCATGTTGAAATTTAATCCCAGTTGTTGGGAGGCAAGGCCTAATGGGAGGTGTTTGGGTCATGGCAGCAGATCTCTCATTGGTATATCAAGGTCCTCCCTTGGGAGTGAGTGAGTTCTCACTGTATTAGTTCCCAAGAGAGCTGGTTGTTAAAAAGAACCTGACACTTCACCCCTCTCTGTGTGATCTCTGCATATGCCAGTTCCCCTTCACCTCTTACCATGAGTGGAAGCAGCCTGAGGCCTTCACTAGATACAGATGCCTCATCTTGCATTTTGTAGACATCCAGTATTGTGAGCCAAATAAACCTTTTTTTTTTTTATAAATTACCCAGCCTCAGATATTCCTTTATAGCAACACAAAATGGACTAAGTGAATAATAATAATAAAAAGAAGATCCAACAATATGTTGTCCACACGATTCACTTAAGCCTTAAGGACACACGTAGGCTGAAAGAAAAGGGGATAAAAAAAGATATTTTATAGACAGGGTAACCAAAAGAGCACATATATTGTGAAATGATAAAGTCAAGCTTGTTAACATATTCATTGTCTCACATAGTTATCATGTTTTTTGTGGTGAGAATATTTAAGATCTAGTTTCTTAGCAATTTTCAAGTATACAATACATTATTACTACATGTAGTGATTTTATTTCCGTCAGATATATACCCAGAGGTGGAATTGCTGGAACAAATAGTAGTTCTACTTGAATTTTTTGAGGAACCTCCATGCTGTATTTCACATTGGCTATTCCAATTTACTTTCCCACAAACAGTGGATTAGGGTTCACTTTTCTTCACATCCTTGCCAATACTTGTCATCTTTTGTCTTTCTAACAGGTGTGAGGTGATATCTCACCGTGACTTAATCTGAATTTCACTGATGATTACTGATGTTGGGCATTTTTTTCATATACGTGTTGTCCATTTGTAGTTTTTTGAAAAATGTCTATTCAGATTATTTGCCCAATTTTAATTGGGTTGCTTTGTTGTTATTACGTTATGTGTGTCATTTATATATGTTTAGGATATTAACCCCTTATCATCTGTATAATTTGAAAGTATTTCCTCTTACTTGGCAGGTTGTCTCTTCATTCTGTGGATTGTTTCCTTTGCTGTGCAAAAGATTTTTAGAATAAAAATAAAAGATGTAATTTTATTAGTCTGTATTTGTTTTTTTTAAAAAATTGCCTGTGCTTTTGGGGTCATATCAAAAAATCAATTAGTCCCAAGTCCAATGTCAAGAAGCTTTATCAACTATGTTTTCTTATAGTAGTTCTACAATTTTAGATCTTGTGTTTTAAGTCTTTAATTCATTTTGAGTGTATGTTGTACATAATGTGAAATAAGAATCCAATTTTATTCTTCTGCCTGTGGACATCTAGTTTTTCCGACACAATTTACTGAGGAGACTGTCTTTTCACTATTGTGTATTGTTGGCACCTTTGCTGATCTATAAATGTGTGGATATATTTCTAGACATTTTTTAACTTCTTTTTTTAAAATAATTATTATTATTATACTTTAAGTTCTGGGATACATGTATAGAATGTGCAGGTTTGTTTATGTATGCCATGGTGGTTTGCTGCACCCATCATCCCATCATCTACATTAGGTGTTTCTCCTAATGCTATCCCTCCCCTTGCTCCCCACTCCCCGACAGGCCCCGGTGTGTGATGTTCCCCTCCTGTGGCTATATGTTCTCATTATTCAACTCCCATTTATGAGTGAGAACATGTGGTGTTTAGTTTTCTGTTCCTGTGTTAGTTTGCTGAGAATGATGGTTTCCATCTTCATCCATGTCCCTAAAAAGGACATGAACTCATCCTTTTTTAGGGCTGCATAGTATTCCATGGCATATATGTGCCACATTTTCTTTATCCAGTCTATCATTGATAGGCATTTGGGTTGGTTCCAAGTCTTTGCTATTGTGAATAATGCTGCAATAAACATACGTGTGTATGTGTCTTTATAGTAGAAATATTTATAATCCTTTGGGTATATACCCCGTAACGGGATTTCTGGGTCAAATGGTATTTCTGGTACTAGATCCTTGAGGAATCACCACACTGTCTTCCACAATGGTTGAAGTAATTTACACTCCCACCAGCTGTGTAAAAACATTCCTATTTCTCTACATCCTCTCCAGCATCTGTTGTTTCCAGACATTTTAATGAGCGCCACTCTAATTGGCATGAGAGGGTATCTCATTGTGGTTTTGATTTACATTTCTCTAATGATCAGTGATGATGAGCTTTTTTTCATATGTTGGCTGCATTAATGTCTTCTTTAGAGAAGTGTCTGTTCATATCCTTTGCCCACTTTTTTATGAGGTCGTTTGTTGTTTTCTTGTAAATTTGTTTAAGTTCCTTGTAGATTCTGGATATTAGACCTTTGTCAGATGGATAGATTGCAAAAATTTTCTCCCATTCTATAGGTTGCCTGTTCACTCTGATGACACTTTCTTTTGCTGTGCAGAAGCTCTTTAGTTTACTTAGATCCCATTTATCAATTTTGGCTTTTGTTGACCTTGCTTTTGGTGGTTTAGTCATGAAGTCTTTGCCCATGCCAATGTCCTGAATGGTATTGCCTAGGTTTTCTTCTAGGGTTTTTATGGTTTTAGGTCTTGTGTTTAAATCTTTAATCCATCTTGAGTTAATTTTTGTATAAGGTATAAGGAAGGGGTCCAGTTTCTGTTTTCTGCATATACCTAGCCAGTTTTCACAACACCATTTATTAAATAGGGAATCCTTTCCCCATTGCTTGTTTTTGTCAGGTTTGTCAAAGATCAGATGGTTGTAGATGTGTGGTGTTATTTCTGAGGCCTCTGTTCTGTTCCATTGGTCTATACATCTGTTTTGGTACCAGTACCAAGCTGTTTTGGTTACTGTTGCCTTGTTGTATAGTTTGAAGTCAGGTAGCATGATGCCTGCAGCTTTGTTCTATTTGCTTAGGATTTTCTTGGCTATATGGGCTCTTTTTTGGTTTCATGTGAAGTTTAAAGTAGTTTTTTCTAATTCTGTGAAGAAAGTCAATAATAGCTTGATGGGGATAGCATTGAATCTGTAAATTACTTTGGGCAGTAGAGCCACTTTCACAATATTGATTCTTCCTATCCATGAGCATGGAATGTTTTTCCATTTGTTTGTGTCCTGTCTTATTTCCTTGAGCAGTGGTTTGTAGTTCTCTTTGAAGAGGTCCTTCCTAAATATTTTATTCTCTTTGTAGTAATTGCAAATGGGAATTCACTCATGATTTGGCTCTCTGCTTGTCTATTATTGGTGTATAGGAATGCTTGTGATTTTTGCATGTTGATTTTGTATTCTGAGACTTTGCTGACATTGCTTATCAGCTTAAGGAGTTTTTGGGCAGAGACGATGGCGTTTTCTAAACATACAATCATGTCATCTGCCAACAGAGATAACTTGACTTCCTCTCTTCCCATTTGAATACACTTTATTTCTTTGTCTTGTCTGATTGCCCTGGCCAGAACTTCTAACTATGTTGAATAGGAGTGATGAGAGAGGGCATCCTTGTCTTGAGCCAGTTTGCAAATGGAATGCTTCTAGCTTTTGCTGGAAGTAAAAATCATATGAGGATTATACTGGCTGTGGGTTTGTCATAAATATCTCTTATTATTTTGGGATACATTCCATCAATAGCTAGTTTATGGAGTGTTTTTAGCATGAATGGGTGTTAAATTTTATTAAAGGCCTTTGCCGCATCTATTGAGATAATCTTGTCATTTTTGTCATTGGTTCTGTTTATGTGAGGGATTACATTTATTGATTTGCATATATTGAACCAGCCTTGCATCTCAGGGATGAAGCCAACTTGATCATGTTGGATAAGCTTTTTAATGTGCTGCTGGATTCAGTTTGCCACTATTTTATTGAGGATTTTTTGCATCAATGTTCCTGAAATTTGGCCTGAGATTTTCTTTTTTTTGTTGTGTCTCTGACAGGTTTTGGTATCAGGATGATGCAGGGCTGTTAAAATGAGTTAAGGAGGTGTTCTTTTTTCTATTGTTTGGAATAGTTTAGAAGAAATGGTACCAGCAACCCTTTGTACCTCTGGTAGAAGTTGGCTCTGAATCCTTTTGGTCCTGGGCTTTTTTTGGTTGGTAGGCTATTAATTACTGCCTAAATTTCAGAACTTGTTATTGGTCTATTCAGGGATTCGAATTCTTCCAGGTTTAGTCTTGGGAGGGTATATGTGTCCAGGAATTTATCCATTTCTTCTAGATTTTCTAGTTTATTTGTGTAGAGGTGTTTATAGTATCCTCTGATGTTAGTTTGTATTTCTGTGGGATCAATGGTGATATCTCCTTTATCATTTTTTTATTGTGTCTATTTGATTCTTCTCTGTTTCCTTTATTAGTCTGGCTAGTGGTCTATATATTTTGTTGATCTTTTCCCAGCTCCTGGATTCATCGATTTTTTTGAAGGGTTTGTTGTGTCTCTTTCTCCTTCAGTTCTGCTCTGATATTAGTTATTTCTTGTCTTCTGCTATCTTTTGAATTTGTTTACTCTTGCTTCTCTAGTTCTTTTAATTGTGATGTTAAGGTGTTGATTTTTGGATCTTTCTCACTGTCTGCTGTGGGCATTAGTGCTATAAATTTCCCTCTAAGCATTGCTTTAGCTGTGTCCCGGAGATTCTGGTACGTTGTGTCTTTGTTCTCATTGGTTTCAATTAACTTACTTATTTCTGCCTTAAGTTTGTGATTTACCCAGTAGTCATTCAGGAGCAGGTTGTTCAATTTCCATGCAATTGTGTGGAGTGTCTTTACATTTTGGTATGTTTTTGCAGTGGCTGGTATCGGTTTTTTCTTTCCATATCTAGTGATTCCTTCAGGAGCTCTTGTAAAGCAGGCCTGGTGCTGACAAAATCTGTCAGCATTTGCTTGTCTGTAAAGGATTTTATTTCTCCTTCACTTATAAAGCTTAGTTTGGCTTGCTATGAAATTCTGGATTGAAAATTCTTTTCTTTAAGAATGTTGAATATTGGCCCCCACTCTCTTCTGGCTTGTAGTGTTTCTGCAGAGAGATCCACTGTTAGTCTGTTGGCTTCTCTTTGTGGGTAGCCCAACCTTTCTCTCTGGCTGACCTTAACATTTTTTCTTTCATTTCCACCTTGGTGAATCTGATGATTATGTGTCTTGGGGTTGCTCTTCTTGAGGAGTATCTTTGTGGTGTTCTCTGTATTTCCTCTCAATGTTGGCCTCTCTTGCTAGGTTGGGGAAGTTCTCCTGGATAATATCCTGAAGAGTGTTTTCCAACTTGGTTCCATTCTCCCCATCAATTTCAGGTACACCAATCAAATGTAGGTTTGGTTTTTTCACATAGTCCCGCATTTGTTGGAGGCTTTAATTGTTCCTTTTCATTCTTTTTTCTCTAATCTTGTCTTCTCACTTTATCTCATTGAGTTGATCTTCAAATTCTGATATCCTTTCTTCTGCTTGATGGATTCGACTATTGATACTTGTGTATGCTTCACGAAGTTCACGTGCTGTGTTGTTCAGCTCCATCAGGTCATTTATTTTCTTCTCTAAACTGGTTATTCCAGCTAGCAGTTCCTGTAACTTTTTATCAGTGTTCTTAGCTTCCTTGCATTGGGTTAGAACATGCTCCTTTAGCTTGGAGGAGTTTGTTATTACCCACTTTCTGAAGTCTACTTCTGTCAACTTGTCAAACTCATTCTCCATCCAGTTTTGTTTCATTGCTGATGTGGAGTTGTGAACCTTTGGAGGAAAGGAGACATTCTGGTTTTTGGAATTTTCAGCCTTTTTTGCACTGTTTTTTCCTCATCTTTGTGGATTTGTCTGCCTTTGGTCTTTGATGTTGGTAGCCTTCAGATGAAGTTTTTGTGTGTTCTTCCTTTTTGTTGATGTTGATACTATTCCTTTCTGTTTGTTGGTCTTCCTTCTAGCAGTCAGGCCCCTCTGCTACAGGTCTGCTGGAGTTTGCTGGAGCTCCACTCCAGACCCTGTTTGTCTGGAGCGGAAGCTGCAGAACAGCAAAGGTTGCTGTCTCCTCCTTTCTCTGGAAGCTTCATCCCAGAGGGACACCCACCAGATGCCAGCCGGAGCTCTCCTGTGTGCGGTGTCTGTGGACCCCTGCTGGGAGGTGTCTTCCTGTCAGGAGGCATGGGAGTCAGGGACCCACTTGAGGAGGCAGTCTGTCCCTAAGCAGAACTTGAACACTGTGCTGGGAGATCTGCTGCTCTTTTCAGAGCTGGCAGGCAGGAATGTTTAAATCTTTTAAAGCTGTGCCCACAGCTGCCCCTTCCCCCAGGTGCTCTGTCTCAGGGAGATGGGAGTTTTATCTATAAGCCCCTGACTGGGGCTGCTGCTTTTCTTTCAGAGATGCCCTGTGCAGAGAGGAGGAATCTAAAGAAGCCGTCTGGCTACAGTTGCTTTGTGGCACTGTGGTGGGCTCTGCCCAGTCCAAACTTTCTGGTGGCTTTGTTTACACTTTGAGGGGAAAACCACCTACTCAAGCCTCAGTAATGGTGGCTGCCCCTCCCCCCACAAAGCTCGAGCATCCCAGGTTGACTTCAGACTGCTGTGCTGGCTGTGAGAATTTCAAGCCAGTGGATCTTAGTTTGCTGGGCTCTGTGGGGGTGGGATCCGCTGAGCAAGACTACTCAGCTCCCTGGCTTCAGCCCCGTTTCCAGGGGAATGAACAGTTCTCTCTCACTGGCATTCCAGGGGCCACTGGGTTATGAAAAAAAAAACTCCTGCAGCTAGCTTGGTGTCTGCCCAAATGGCCGCCCAGTTTTGTGCTTGAAACCCAGGGCCCTGGTTGTGTAGGCACCCGAGCGAATGTCCTGGTCTGCAGGTTGCGAAGGCTGTGGGAAAAACATAGTATCTGGGCTGGAATGCACCATTCCTCAAGGCACAGTCCCTCATGGCTTCTTTTGGCTAGGGGAGGGAGTTCCCCGACCCCTTGCACTTCCCAAGTGAGGAGACGTTCCACCCTGCTTTGGCTCACCCTCCGTGGGCTGCAGCCACTTTCTAACCAGTCCCAATAAAATGAGGCGTGTACCTCAGTTGGAAATGCAGAAATCACCCACCTTCTGCGTTGGTCTTGCTGGGAGCTGCAGACCAGAGCTGTTACTATTCTGCCATCTTGCCCAGGAATTTATTTCTAGACTTTCAATTCTGTTTCTTTGGTCTATGTATTTGTTTTTATGAGTTTCATGCTATTTTGATTTGTGGATAAATTTATGTCTGGATATAACTTTGTAGTATATTTTGAAGTCAGGTGATGTGATGCTTTCAGCTTTGTTCTTTTTGCTCAGGGTTGCTTTGGTTATTTGGAGGCTTTTGTGGTTCTATTCAAATTTGAGGATTGTTTTTTCTACTTCTGTTAGGAATCTCATTACTGTTTTGATAGGGATTGCATTGAATCTGTAGATCACTGGATAGTATGGACATTGTAACAGTATATTAATTCATGAACATAGGACATTTTTCCTGTTTTTTTAGTGTTCTCTGCAATTTCTCTAATCAGTGTTTTATAGTTTTCACTGTAGAGATATTTCACTTCTTTCGTTAAGTTTATTCCCAGACATTTTTTTTTGGTAGCTATTAAAGATGGTATTGCTTTCTTAATTTCTTTTTCAGATTGTTCACTGCTGGAATATAGAAATGCTCTTGATTCTCACTTGTTTGTTTTGTATCCTGCAACTTTACTGAAGTTTTTGACCAGTTCTAAGAGTTTTTTTTTGGTATAGTATTTAGGTTTTTCTAAATATAAGATTATGTAATCTGCAAACCAGGACAATTTGACTTCTTCCTTTCCAGTTTGGGTACCGTTTGTTTGTTTATTTTGTCTAATTGCTCTGGTTAGGACTTCTAGTATATTGTTGAATAGAAGTGGTGAAAGTGAGCATCCTTGGCTTATTCCAGATGTAAGAGAAAAGGCTTTTAGATTTTTCCCATTCAGTATGATGCTATGGGTTTGGGTCATATGGTCTAGGGTCATATTTGTCACATATGGCCTTTATTATTTTAAAGTATTTCCCTTTCATAACTAATTTGTTGAGAGTTTTTATCATAAAGAGGTGCTGAATTTTGTTAAATACTTTTTTGTCATCTATTAAAATCATCATATGGTTTTGGTCATTGATCCTAGTAATGTGATGTATCACCTTCATTAATTTGTGAATCCCACTTAGTAATGGTGAATGATCTTTTTAATGTGTTGTTGAAATTGGTTTGCCAGTATTTTGTTGAGGATTTTGCATCTATGGTTATCATAGACATTGGCCTATAGAGGTTTTTGGTTCATTTGTTTATTTTTGTGTCTTCATCTGGCTTTAGTATCAAGGCAATGCCAGTCTCATAGAATGAGTTTAGAAGTATTCCCTGCTCTTCAATTTTTTGGAATAGTTTGAATATAATTGTTGTCTATTCTTTAAACAATTGGTAGAATTTAGCAGTGAAGCCATCTGATTCTGGGCTTTTCTTTGATGGGAAACTTTTTATTACTGCTTCGATCTTGTTACTCATTGTTGGTCTGTTCAGGTTTTCTATTTCTTCATGGCTCAATATTGGTAGGTTGTATGTGTCAGAATTTATCCATTTCTTCTAGGTTTTTCAAATTATTGGCATGTAGTTTCTCATAATAGTCTCTAATAATCCTTTGAATTTCTTTGGTATCAGTTGTAATGTCTCCTTTTTCATCTCTGATTTTATTTATTTAGCTCTTCTCTCTTATTTTCTTAGTCTAGCTAAAGGTTTTTCAGTCTATCTTTTCAATAAACCAACTTTTCATTTCATTGATCTTCTGTATTTTTTGGTCTCAATTTCATTTATTTCTGTTCTGATCTTTATTATTTCTTGCCTCCTACTAATGTTGGGTTTGATTTGTTTTTTATTGTCTAATTCATCATTAGGTTATTTGAAGTTTGTCTACGTTTCTTATCTAGGTATTTATTGCTATAAACTTCCCTTTTAGTACTGCCTTTGCTGTGTCTCATAGGTTTTGGTATATTGTGTTTCCACTTTTATTTATTTCCAGACATTTTTAAACTTCCTTCTTAAATTCTTTATTGACTTATTTGTTGTTCAGAAGCATGTTGTGTAATTTCCAAGTATTTGTATGGTTTCCAAAGTTTGTCTTATTATTGATTTCTAGTTTTTTTTTCTATTTTGGTCAGAATGGATATTTTATATGATTTCAATTTTTTTGAATTTGTCAAGACTTGTTTCATGGCCTAATATGCAGTCTAACTTGCAGAGTACTCCCTGTGCTGATGCTTTTTATTTTTAGCATATCTATTATAGATTTTTGCTTTGTGGTTAGTAAGAGGCTTGCAAATAACATCTTATAGTTATAGTATGTTATTTTAAACTAGTAAAAACATAACTCTGATCACAAAGAAAAAAGAAATTTCTTTTTTGTGTGTAAAGAAAAAAATTCTATACTTTAACTTTATCCCCCCTTACCTTTTAGACTTTTGTTGTCTTTACTTATATCTTTTATATCGTCTATCTGTTAACAAATTGTTCTAATTATTATGATTTTGAGGCATTCATCTTTTAGTCTTCATACTAAAGATATGTGTGGTTTATAACCACAATTACAGTAATAAAGTATTCTGAATTTGTCTGTGTACTTACTTTTATCAATGAGTTTTATACCTTCAGATGATTTCCTGTGGCATGTTAGTAGCATCATTTTCCTTTGGATTAAAGAACTTTTAGCATTTCTTGTAAGACAGGTCTGTTTGTAATAAATTTCCCCAACTTTTGTTTGTGTGAGAAAATCGTTGTTCTTTATGTTTGGAGAATTTCTTTTCTGAGTATAATAGTCTCAGTTGGAAGTTATTTTTTCTTCAGCCCTTTGAATACGTTGTTCCATGTTTTCTTGGCCTGTAAGGTTTCCACTGGGAAGTTTGCTGGGAGATGTATCAGTGTTCCTTTATATGTTATTTGCTTCTTTTCTGTTGCTGATTTTAGGATTTTTAATTTTTTTCTTAATCTTTGAGAATTAAAGTGGGGCCACCACCTGCAGTTACCCTTTTGAGGAATGGGAAGCCCAGAACTTCATTTCCCAGAATCCTTCTACTTCAGATTCCACAGATGAGAGGAATTCATAGAAAATTTGGGACAGGAAGAGAAACAAAAGTCATTGTCTACTCCTTCACTCAATCTCCTATTACTCCTCGCTTATTCACTCCACTGCAGCCCTCCTCTTTACCTATCTATCTCCCAACCTCTCAACCTGTTTGCTGTTTCTCAAACACTTCAATGATACTACCCCCCAGGCATTTTTCACTCAATTATCCTTTTACCTGGACTGTTTTTTCTCTAGATAGTCACATGACTCTCTCCCTTACTTCTCTCAGGTCTTTGTTCAATTATTCCCTACTACCTGAAATCTTCCCTGAGAACCTTATTTAAAATGACAAAACCCATTTTGGCATGTTTCTATCCCCTGTCTCCTGCATTATTCTTTTTCATAGTATTTATCATTATCTGATATATATATATATTTTACTTGTTGATTAATTCTAGTGTATTTCCACTAGAATATGAGCTTCACAAAGGCAATTATTTGTGTCTGTTAATTACTGATTCCCTGGTCTAAAAGCAGTATCTGGCTCAAGTTGAGCACTCAATAAATATTCGTTGAATAAAGAAAGAGAGGCTTTGAGGTAGTCTTATTTGGGTGAAAATTTCTTGTTGTTCTTTGACCTTCATTTACCTGTGTATTTATATCTTTCTCTTTGTTTGGAAAGTTATTTTTTTAAAATTATTTCTTTGAATTAATTTTCTACCCTGATCTCTCTCTATATCTTTTTTTGAGGCCAATAACTCTTAGATATTCCCTTTTGAGGCTAATTTCTAGATCTTGTAGGTGTACTTTATTCTTTTTCATTCCTCTGCTTTTTTTCCTCTGACTGTATTTTTTTCAGATAGCTTGTCTTTTAGGTCACTAATTCTTTCTTCTCCTTGATCAATTCGTTATTGAGACATTCTGTTGTATTTTTCAGTTTGTCAATTGAATTTTTCAGTTCCATATTTAAAAAAATTATTTTAATCTCTTTGTTAAATTTCTGTGATAGATTTCTGAATTTCTTCTTGTGTTAGAGGGTGCACACCATTACTCCAGGGTTTTCTGCTGATGCCTTCTTTAGTTCCTTTGGTGAGGTCATTTTATCCTGGATGTTCTTGGTGCTTTTGAATGTTGTTGCTGTCTGGACATTGAAGAATTAGGCATTTTTTTCCAGTCTCGACAGTTTGGTTTTGTTTGTACTGGTCCTTTTTCAGAGGGCTTTCCAAAAGTCAAAGGAGACTGTTATATGTTAACTAAGCCTGTGGTCACTCCAGCGATTTCAGCACTAGAGGGCACCCTAAGCCTAGTTATGTTGTGACTTGCAGCCTCTCAGATACTCAGCCCTGATGCACTTAAGGGAGAATACTCTGGGAAATGATGCAAAATCCACCACTTTCTTCCTTCTCTTTCCCCCAAGTGGAAGGAGTCTCTGTCTGTGCTGGGCCTCCTGAGAATGAGGGAGGGGTAATGTGAGACTGTTCTTCTAACCCTCTTCAATGTGTTCTTTCTTGTTATGCTAAAATCAAGTACTGTAATCTCTCACCTGAATTTTTTTTTTTTTTTTTTTTTAGTTTGTATGAAGCTAATTTCTTGCACGGATAGATGTTCAATTTGATATTCCTCTGTGTGTGTGGGCAATTGCTGGAGGGCAATTTGCTCATCTTGCTTGGCTTCCTCCTTCAATTTATTTTATCAATGTTTTATAATTTTTGGTATACAGGTCTTTTATCTCTTTGGTTAAACTTACTCCTAAGTATTTTTGTGGTAGGATTGTAAATGGAATTGTTTTCTTAAATTCTTTTCATATAGTTCATTTTTATTGTATAGAAATGCTAATGAGTTTTGCCTGTTGACTTTCTGCAATCTTATTGAATTGGTTTATTATTTTTAACAGCTTTTTGATACAGCCTTTAGTGTTTTCTATATGTAAGATCATGTCATCTGTAAACAGAGACAAGTCTATGTCTTCCTTTCCAATTTGAATGCCATTTTTTTCTTTTTCTTGCCTAATCACTCTGTCTAGGACTTCCAGTACTATGTTGAATAGAAGTGGTAAGAGAGGTTATCCTTGTCTTGTTCCTGATTTTAGAGAAAAAGCTTTCAGCTTTTCAACATTGAGTACAATGTTAGCTGTGGTCTTTTCATATATGGCCTTTATTATGTTGAGTTCAGTTTTTCCTATACATAATATGTTGATAGCTTTTATCATGAAATATGTTGAATTTTGTTAAATGCTTTTTCTATGTCTATTGAGATGATTATATGATGTAGCTTTTATTACACTAATGTGGTGTATCACGTTTATTGATATGAGTATGTTAAACCATTTTTGCATCCCAGGGATATAGCCCACTTGGTCATGATGAATGGTTCTTTTACTGTGCTACCTAATTAGGTTTGCTGGTGTTTTGTGGAAGATTTTTGCATCTATGCTCACCTGTAATTTTATTTTCTTGTAGTGTCCTTGTCTGGCTTTGGATTCAGGGTAATACTGGCCTCCTAAAATGAGTTTGGAAGTGTTCCTTCCTGTTTAATTTTTTGAAAGACATTGAGAAGAACTGTTATTAAATATTATTTAAGTTTTTTGTTGAATACAGCACTAAAGCCATCAGGGCCTGGGCTTTTCTTTGTTGGAAAGTTTTTGATTATTGATTCAATCTCCTTACTCATTACTGGTCTGTTCAAGGCTGAATCATGAAAGAATAAAAGGCTATATGTCTCTTGAAATTTATCCACTTTTCTAGCTTATCCAATTTGTTGGCATAATTGTTTATAGTAGTCTCTTGTGATCCTTTGTATTTCTGTAGTATCAGTTATAATGTCTCCTTTTTCATTAATAATTTTATTTACTCGAGCCTTCTGTCTCTTTTTAGTCTAGCAAGTTTGTTGATTTTGTTTCTTTTCAAATACTCTTAAGTTACATTGTTATTTTTTATTGTTTTTCTACTCTCTATCTTATAATAATTACTCAGAATAAAACAAAGCAATGCATTCATTCAAATATAAACAAAATGGAATGCAACTTAAAACAGAAAACAGGTTCAAAATCAAAATTTAACTTCCCATTTTGCTTGTATGAGATCAGAATCAATTAAAAAGCATACCTTTGTCTCCCAATGATAACTGTGCCTTGTTTTTTTGAATTGTTACTTCCTTAATTTTAAAATTGTAAATATTTAAGGTATAAATGATGTTTTGATATATATAAGCATAGTGAAGTGATTACTATAGTCAAGTAAATTAATATATCTATCTCCTTACATAGGTAGATCTTTATTTAATCTTTTTTTTGTAACAAGAATGCCTGAAATTTCTCTTTGTAAATTTCCAGTATGTTATATAATACTATTATCCATAGCTATCATGGCATAGGTTATATCTCTAGACTTATTTATCCTACATAATTGCAACTTTGTACCCTGACATATGACTCCAGATTTCTCTCCAACCCCTACCCCTGGTAACTACTGTCTACTCTCAATTTCTATGTATTTGACTTTTTATTTTAAGATTCAATATGTTAAGTGGGATAATCAAATATTTTTATTTCTGTGTCTGGTTTATTTCACTCAGCATAATGTCCTCCAGGTTCATCTATATTGCCATGAAAATGGCAGGACTTCCTTCTTAAAGGCGGAATAGTACCAAAGTTTAGAATTCATTTATCCATCCATGGACACTTAGGTTGTTTCCATATCTTTGGTATTGTGAATAATGCTTCAGTGAAAATGAGAGCCCAGATATTTGTATGAAGGGCTGATTTCATTTCCAATGAGTATATACTCAAGAGAGAGATCACTGTGTCACATGGCAATTCTATTTTTAATTTTTAATAAACATTTATATATTCCCACCAACAGTGTGCAAGGGTTCTCTTTTCTCTACACCCTAACCAACACTTGTTATTTTGTGTCTTTTCAATAATAGCTATCATAACAGATGTGGGGTATTATGTTGTTGTGGTTTTGATATACATTTTCCTGATGATTAGCGATGCTGAGCACTTTTTCATATACCTGTTGGCTTCTTATTTCTTTTTTGGAGAAGTGATTATTCAGATCTTGTGCCCTTTGTTTATTTATTCATTTGTTTGCTTGAGACAGGGTCTTGCTTTGTCATCCAGGCTGGAGTGCAATAGTGCGATAATGTCTCACTGTAGCCTCAATCTCTCCGGCTCAAGCGATCCTACCACTTGAGCCTCTGCAGTAGCTGGGATTACGGGTAAATGCCACTATGCTTAGCTATTTTTTTTTTCTTTTGTAGATACGGGGTCTCACTATGTTGCCTAGGAAGGTTTTGAACTCCTGGAATCAAGCAATCCTCCCTATTTGGCCTCCCAAACTGCTGGGATTACAGGGTGAGCCAATGTGCTCAGATGTCCATTAAAATAAAATGGATTATTTTTTTTTGCTGTTGGATTGTGAGATTTTCTTATATATTTTGGTTGCTAACTTTTATCAGATATGTGATTTTTGAGTATGTTCTCTCAATCCATAGTCTGGGTTTTCATTTTGTTGATTGTTTCCTTTGTTGTGCAGAAGCTTTTTGGTTCAGTGTAGTTCATTTGTTTTTGTTTTTCCTGAGTTTTTAGTATGATATACAACAAATCATGGCTGTGGCCAATGTCATGAAGCGTCCTGCCTATATTTTTTTCTAGGAATTTTATAGTTTCAGGTCTTATCTTTAAATATTTCATCCATTTTGAGTAAATTTTTGTGTATAATGTTAAATAGGGGTCCAGTTTTCATTCTTTTCATGTGAATAACCAGTTTTTTCAATACCATTTATTGATGAGAATATCCTTTCCTCATTGCATATTATTGGTCTGCTTGTCAAACATTAGTTGGCTATATATGCTTGGGTTCACTTTTGGGCTCACAATTCTGTTTCACTGGTCTATATGTTTGTTTTTATGCCAGAACCATACTGTTTTGATTGCTATAGCTTTGATCCAATACGAGGCAAAAATGCATGCTCTCACTACTTCTATTTAGTATAGTACTGGGACCAGCAACAGCAATCAGACAAGAGAAAGAAGTAAAAGGCATCCAAACAGGAGAGGAAGAAATAAAATTATCCCTGGTTGCATATGACATAGTCCTATATATAGAAAAACAGACTCTACCAAAATATAGCAAATACATAAGAAACAAAGGAACAAAAGGCTGTTAGAACTAATAAGTAAATTTAATAAGATTGCAGGATATAAAGTCAATCAGTTGCCTTCTTTATACCAGTAAAAATCTACACAAAAACAAAATCAAGAAAATGATCTCATTTACAGTAGCATAAAATATAGAAATAAATTTAACCGGGAAGAAAAATATTTACACACTGAAACTGATAAAACATTGAGGAAAGAACTTGAAGAAGACATAAATCAATGGAGAAATACCCTGCATTCACAGATTTGAAGAATTAATATTGTTAAACATGTCCATCTTACCGTAAACAATTTATAGATTCAATGTATTCTCCATCAAAATTCCATGACATTTTTCACAGAAATAGAAAAAGCATTTCTACAGTTAGTATGGAACCACCAAAGACCTCTAATAGCCAAAGCAATCTTGAGAAAGAACAAAGTTGGAGGCCTCACACTTTCTAATTTCAAATTATGTTACAAAGCTGTAGTAATCTCCCAACAATAATTGTGAATGTACTAGGGCTCACGATAGCTCTTCCTTGTTATGGCACTGGTTATAATCCTCATACCTGAGTATGTCATACAGGCACTATCTTCACTCTCCAGCCAAACACAACTGCTCCTTAGATTTTAGGTGTGTGCTACTTTCCATCACTACCTAGTAATACCATTTTCAAATTGCAGAGGATAATTTTGTGAGAGCTGAAATTACCAAAAAGAAAAGAAAAAAATCAGTGAGTGATTCTTTTGGTGGTATAATTTTTTTTTTCTGAAAATATTCGGAATTAAAAGTGGATGAAGCTGCTATTTTTCATTCTTTTAAACAAAATCTCCCTTTTAAAAATGTGGAAGTTTTTTTTTCTTAATTTTGAGAGGCATTTTCCTAATATAATTCTTTCAAAGAGCACATGGATTAAGGAATTTGGTCATGTGTTCTTCCACAAGATTATCTGCCTCCCAGTAAATAACTCCTGTGAACAACAGAATGAGCCTTTGAGGGCAGGGTAATGGACTAGCAGGCACTGTATGTATAGGCATCAGGTGCTTTAGCTCAAAGCACTGATTTGAAGTAAACTTCTCTGCATCTCTCATCTGATACTCTACTCTTGGCAGCATTAGCTGAGCTAAAATAGTGACTGACCCCCAGAAGCTGACAAAGAAACATTTCAGAGAGGGGAAATTAATTTATTCTGACTGCTTGTCAAGCATCAGCCTAACTAGCCTCATCTTTTTGCTCTAAAAGGTGCAAGATTCTAACCTTTGCTTCTACAGCATCTGCATTAAGTAACAAAGTGGCAAAGCAGTTTGATCAGGAGGAATATGCATTAGTATAGCATCATTAATAATAGCAGCGAGTACTTAAAAGCAGTGATCTTTTGAGATCAGGGGCCAGATGGTCAGATAAATTGACCTTCATTTCTCTCCTATTAGCAAAAATGACCTTTCTTTTTAATTCAAAATGATTTATCAAGGAAATGAATGAATTCTCTAAACTTTCATATGTAATGCAGAGGTCTTTTAGCACATTTCTACTTGAGACAGATTTAGGAGGACTTCCCATGACTTTCTTCACAATAGGCTTATCAAACACATTTTTGATATGGGGAGTGTGGAACTAGAGACTTGGGAAGTTCCCTGTTAACCATAGGAAAATTTTTGGATCCCTATCTTTTTCTTTTCTTTATTTTTTCTTTCTGAAGTTCACTGTAACTATACTTCATATGTGATCTAAGCCAACCATCCAAAGGGAGTGGTTTTGTGTACTGCATGGTGCTGAAGTGGAGGGCACAGGATCTAACAACAGCTATAATGACCTTTCAAAAAAGCAGATTGAATTATGTCAACTCCGTAGCTTGGGCTCTCCCGCAGCTTCCCATTGTGCTTAGTATGAAATCTAGAAATCCTTATTGTGTCCCCCAGGTCCTCTGGAACCAGCTCCTTCTTACTTCTCCGACTGCATCTGCTCCAGCCACTCTGGCCTTCTTGCTATTCTTCAAGCACCCCACACTTCCTCCAGCCTCAGGATCTTCCCACTTGCTGTTCTTTCTCCTTGGAATACTTGCCCTCAGATTCCCAGTTTCCACCAGCAGGTTCTTCTTCATCATTCAAGTCTCAGCTCAGCTATCACCCCAGCTCAAGCATCACCTTATTCTTTAGCCCTCCCTGAACACCCAATCTAATACTGCCTTTTCTTCTCTCAATCTCTTATCATTATATTAATTTATTTCCCTCATAATATTTATCACTATCTGTAATGCCCCAAGAGAAAGATTTGAGCCTAAGTAGTTTTCTTGGAGGCGATCTTAGAAAGAACAGGTGGGGCAGTGTGGAAGTAAGTATGGGAAGCAATGGAAGCCAATGCAGGGTGCCTGCTATGGGAAATTGGGGCTGTTGCCACTGGGGAACTCTGGGTGACAGTGTAGAAGACTTTGCTTCAAAGTTGTCCCACCTGAAAGGTGAGGGAGCTGGGGTATTTATCCACTAACTCTAATTGGTTATTAGTTGAGGGCTGTTGCTGAGACTATCAAGTCCCCAGCACTTGAGGCGGGCCTGTCCTGTGTGGGGGCCAGGTTCACCAGAGAGAGTCTTGGGGGAAAGTCATGGGTGCTTATAGGAGGAAGTGGTAGGACTGGCATGCATGAGAATGGGAATACACAGGTCATATGAGCAGGCAGAGACAGTGTCCACTGCGCTTTTGTTCATTTATGTTTGTTCTACTTTACTGACTGTTCCTCTCCCCTAGAATGCAAGCTCCATGACACCAGGGAGGTTGACTATTTTGTGTTCCCCTGGCACAATGCCCAGAATAAAATAGGCACTCAATAAACATTAGTCGAGTGAATGAAGAGACATGAAGTTTCAAGAGGAAAACATATAGTTTTTTATATTTATTTCATGTTAAGGTAGGTGACACTGATATGGCAGATTCAGGAAGGAAGAGATATTAAGTGAGACCTGGAAATGGCCAAAAAATTCAGGGTTTCTGACTGGGGAGGGGTCAGGATTTGCATGGTATACTGGAAAGGCCATCAGAGCCTGGTCTAGATTGAGATTTAGACTTCGTAGGAACACTACCTGTGGAAGTGGCTGCAGTCAAAACCCTCACACTCTCTGGGATTCTTTTCCTTCAAGCTACTTTACCTGCTTCACAGAAATATTAAGATAATAAAAGGAGATAACAGATTGGAAAGCACTCCTAAAAGAAGTACTCTTATGGAGAAAGCTACTATTTAACTGTTGGAAATATGTTATGTTCAAGTTAAAATTGTTCAGAAGTGCTTAGTCCCTTTAAAAAGTGATTGCTGCTGGCAATAGCCATTTTGATGGACAGTTATTGCCTCCCAGCTGAAGGGAGTAGAATAATCAATTTCCATGGTGTACCTGATGACCTGTGGCTGAAAAGAGAGACTCAGGGGTGATCGGGTGACACTTATCTCGTAGAAGGCTGGCAGCCTGGGAACATGGGGACCCATGAGAGATGTGCTCAGGTAATGCCGGGAATTCACATCTCCATCTGATCTGGAAATCCATTTCGATAAAGTGAATAAGCCAGGGGAGCAGGGAAAATAGAACTGCAGAGGGAAACAGCTTCTTGATACAGTTAGAACCAGGTAGAGAGGAGAGTTTTACTTTTGGCAAGGGAGTTTTGGTATTCTGACTTATCATTTGAAGGGCTTTGATAGCTAGGCTGCCTGAATACTTGCAGGGCTGCGGCTGAAGTGAAAATAGGCAGTGGCTCCCAACCCACCCCCTCTGGCTGCATCTACACTTCAGGGGGCCTCCAGTCAATTGCATATGTCAAAGCCTATAGAACCTCCATCATCCCAACAGCCTGGAAGTCCAAGCTCTATCTCCCTCTGTAAACTCCCAGCCCCTGGTCATCTTGGGTTGCACGCTGAGAGAGCATGGCCTGGTCAGAGAGGACAGCCCAGGAAAAGGGGGTTGTACATGCCCTGGGAATGGGAGTCTTCTTTTTTAGGCAGAAAGTTCCTGGGTATTGGACTGTGGTCTGGAAAAAGGGAGGCAGGTCTAGGTGGGAAAATGCCTAGATCTCTTCAACTCTTTACTCCATGGGGAGAGATATAGCCAGGAAAAGCCCATGAGGGTGGGCCCTATTAAATGTGACATTTGACAGCAAACTGACATTGCCCCTGTTAGTAAAAGCCAGGACAGCTAACTGCAAAAGTCCCTAATTTTCCAGTGGGGGAGAGGATGGCAACTCTAGGCAGCTGCTTATAGGAAGAGAAAAGTAAGTAGAGGCAAACTCTCCAATGGGTCTCCATGTGACTCAGAGTAAAATCATAGTTTTTGTACTGGCTACAGGGCTATGCCTGATCTGCCACCCCTCCGTCGTATGGCCTCTCTGACTTCATCTACCCCGTCCCCATTCCCTGCCAGTACACTCTGCTCCATTCACACTGGCCTCCTTGCTGAACTTAAATGCCAGGTACATTTTCTTTGGCTTTTTCTCCTATGTGGAACACTCCATGTGTGATGGTTAATATTGAGTGTCAATTTGATTGGATTGAAGGATGCAAAGTATTGTTCCTGAGTGTGTCTGTGAGGGTGTTGCCAAAGGAGATTAACATTTGAGTCAGTGGACTGGGAAAGGCAGACCCACCATTAATCTGGGTGGGCACCATCTAATCAGCTGCGAGCACAGCCAGAATAAAAGCAGGCAGAAGAAAGTGAAAAGACTAGACTGGTTTAATCTTCTGGCCTACATCTTTCTCCTGTGCTGGATGCTTCCTGCCCTCGAACATCGGACTCCAAGTTCTTCAGTTTTGGGTCTCTGACTGGCTTCCTTGCTCCTCAGCTTGCAGACGGCCTATTGTGGGAACTCACTTGTAATCATGTGAGTGAATATTCCTTAACAAACTCCTCTTTCTCTATACATCTATCCTCTTAGTTCTGTCCCTCTAGGGAACCCTTACTAATACACCCTGACAACTACTTGTGCACCCTTTGTACAAATGTCACCCTATCATTCACCTATCCTGAGCAGCCTATTTAAAATTGAATCCAGCACTCCTGATTTCTTCATCCCCTCTGTCCCTCTGTTGCTCCCACATAATACCCCCAACATCTGCCACCTTCTTGGATACCTGATGACTTACTTATTGAGGTAGTGTTACTATTATTTTATTTTTTGTCTATCCCTGCCCTTGGGAATGTAAGCATCATAAAGGCAGGCTCCAGTACCAAAGGAATGCTTGGTACACAGGAGATGCTAAACACATCTTTTTCAAATGAGTGAAGTAACTAGCAAATAACAATAGGAATTCTTAAAAAAGATTATCAGTGTTTCTTAAAATATCTAGGATTTATAATTTCTTAAAATTCTTGCCGTATGCAGAGGGATAATGTGTGGATATTCAAATGAAGGCTTTTCCTTGTTATCATTTTTCTTGTGGCTTTGTGGATCTTTCTCGTTGAGCCAGCAACATCATTTTCTCTGAGAGTACAGACTCAGACCAGAGCAAAGAGCCAAAGAAGTCCACAGGAGGCTCTGGAAATCTATAACAAAATTGCCTGAGAAGAGAGACTTAAAACGTGGAGATTTGATTGTGTACATTTTGTCTTTTCCCTCTACCCCTTTTGATTTTTTCTTTTTCCCTTTTGTCTGCTTTCTTTTCTCTTTCCTTTCCTCCTTCATACTTTGGAGCAAGGCGCTATGTTAGGACTGCAGGACTCAGAGATGGATAAGGTCAGTTTTCAGAAGATGACAGTTTGGTGGGGGATTTCTACAGGAAGAAATCATCAGCATTATATGGAAAGTGCTCTCATGGAGGCATGCCAAAATACTGTAGAAAGAAAGACCTTGAAGGATGACTAGAGTGACCTGATAAGGGGCTGCCAGGGGAACACTGGGGCAGATGGGAAGAATTCCATATCTCAGAGACTGGGACGAATATGTGGTGATTGTTTCCAGATGTTTAAATGATTTTAGGCCTGAAAGACAATTTTTGATTATTAAAAAAATTATCATCTTGAAAGTCCTATTTCCTACACATTCTGCATAAATTCTGTCTCTATCTGTGTAGTTATATATTAATATGTACATATCAGTTACAATATCTGTAAAGATATCACTATATCAACAACACCAATAGTAGTAATTATACCAACTACGATGCCAGGCACAGTGCCAAGCTCTTTATTCCTTAGAACACACCAAGGCAGAAGATAATATCATTATTCTGATTTTATAGTTGGGGAAACCAAAGCATCATGAATGAAAAAACACACAGTGATATCATGATTTAACAAGTCTTACTGAAAGTGATTGTTCATGTGTTCTTTCCGCATCACCAATATGTCTTATAAATACATTTATGTTCTAAGATGAGGGAGAGATGTATGTGCCAAAATATGCTGCCGGAAAAGTGGCTAAGTCAACAAGCATAAATGTGTACATTCTAGAGAAGTGGTTGCTTTAAGATGCTCCTAAGAATGGAGAGGACTCAGTGACTGCTGCCTGTGTCTTAAATGTCAGGTAGAGATTTTCTGTGATGAACAGAAACAGCTGCTTTATAATAATGCTCAAAATAAGGCCCAATTTCCTTATAGTAGACTATTTAAATGAAGCTATTCACATTTTATTTTGTGGTTTTAGAGAATTTTAGTGCTCAGCGAGTTAAAGAAATGGTAGCATGGTGCCTGTGTTGGCCTGGTGTGGTGGGGATTTCCTTGAAATAATTTGTCAGTGAGATTTAATTCTTCTAGCCCTTTTTTGTTCTTATGTCTTATTCCTGTTGAATTGTGGTAATGGGTAGTGGTTTTGAATACTTCCCAATTATTCCTGTAGTGCTTTATACTAGCCAAAAAGTGCCAGGAGGCACACATTCTTTTCTATTCACATTCCCCAAAGCCTTGTAATTCAATTAATGCTCTGATAACTAGATCATGATTCCCAATCATGGGATTTTGAGACATTTCAGATGATCTCCAGTTGTCTGTAGGGATGCAAAAAATGTGAAGTTCTTCAATATTTTTCAAATGAGATGTATTTTGTTATTATTATTATTAACATGGAATGAATTATCTGTATACGGCTTGAAAAGTCGATGAGGGACCAGTAGCCTTTTTGCTTTGATCAATGAGTAACTTTGGCTATTCCTCAAAGAGCCCACGACCACATTGCATAACTGCACCTCTATACTTACAGCCATGTAAGATATTCAATGAGAATCTGGAATCTTAGAGAACCTGAAATGCAGGGGTATGCTAAGTGGGCTTTATTGTATTTGTCTTTTATATTTGTGGGTTTCTGTATGCATAAAGTTGCTGAGTAAATAGTAGTTCTGTAACTCCTTGATAGAACCCAGCGTTCCTCATTTCCACTTCACTCAGTTTCATCAGTTCTCTGCTTTGACCTGCATATATGGGTGTGTTTAATTGGAAGGAACTGAAGGTTCCTATGCCCACATTGTTTTACCTGTAACAGTGGTATGCTCCTCAAAGATTGTATAACAGAGAGGTTCTATACTGGTAACACTAGGTATATTCAACGGGCATTTTTTCTGAAGAAAATAAGAAAATTTTCAGAATTAAGCCTGTGTATCTTAAGAACACATAGAAATAAACTGTAAGCTCCTTGAGGGTAATTTCTGTCTCATTCTTAATTAGATCCCCAACATGTGAACATATTAGGTACCCCAAATATTTGAATGAATGACTCATGTATAAAAGCAATGTTTAGCATGATGATGGATATGGGATAGATGTTCAGTAACTACTTATTGACTTAGAGGAGAATCCTGAATCTTCACACTGGGAAAGGAACTGTTATAACTGGAGTGGCTTTCTAAGGCATGGGTGTAGGCATGGAACTGAGTAAGGTGAGACGTAGTTTTTCACCTACTCTTTTCTTCCTCTTCTCCTCCCTGTTTGCTCCATTTATTATCATTTTGCTGTCATAAGCAGCTAATTCAGAATCCTTTGTGATTTAACACCATAGGCAAATGTATTTCAAAGTTGCTCCTTACAGTAAAACCTTGAACTTCCTGCCATAGTATATTTTAAATTTACATCTCAAAACTCACTGTGAAGGGACTGCTTAAATTTTGAACTGTGCCCAGTGCCTAGAGTCGTGTGAGTGCATGTGGGCCAGGCGTGGTGGCTCACGCCTGTAATCCCAGCACTTTGGGAGGCCGAGGCGGGTGGATCACGAGGTCAAGAGATCGAGACCATCCTGGCCAACATGGTGAAACCCCGTCTCTACTAAAAATACAAAAAAATAGCCGGGCATGGTGGAGGGTGCCTGTAAACCCTGCCTGTCAGGAGGCTGAGGCAGGAAAATGGCATGAACCCGGGAGGCAGAGCTTGCAATGAGCTGAGATCACGCCACTGCACTCCAGCCTGGGAGATACAGGAAGACTCCATGTCAAAAAAAAAAAAAAAATACATGCATGTGCCCACAAGAGTTTACAACATTCACAGCAGAAGCTTTAAACTTTCACTTAAAGGTTAGAGAAAGTTGGCTGGATAGCAAAAGCAAATTTATTTAAATACCATTTTTACACTCTTTTCATAATAGTAACATTCTATCTTTTTTTTTTTTTTTACAATGATTTATAGGCATTGGAGCAGAACAGGGGAGTCAGGAAAAAAAGCAATTAACGAGTAAAGGAAAAAGTACCAATAGTGAAGGGGAAAAAAAATCTTCTGAAAGCTAAAGAAGAGAGAATAATTGATGGTTCCATTTTAGCTTAATGTTATTTCTGGATCTCTTTTATAATGTATTATTTACTGCATAGTTTATAGTTGACAGAAAATAAACAGCATTTGCAATATAATGTCTTTAGTTCTGCCATGCACTTGCTCATCCCACTTGCTTGTCAAGTTAGAACTTCAACCAACATCCGTCAACGTCTCCTGTGATGGAGTCTGTTTTTAATAAGCCCAGCACTATAATTACCTTATTGCAAAGTTAAGGCCAAATGACACTTATGATGAAGGTTTCATGGCTAAACAGTAAAGTCAGTGAAGCATATGCATACCAACTGTCAGACAGGAAATAGCTGTTGGAGGATTTGTTTCTTTATTGCTAGATGAGGGTCACTTCATTTGTACTTGGAAACTTTGTCACAACTGCAACAGGTAGCAGAGAAGGAAAAAGAATAAATAACATAGAGGATAACTTAGAAAGATACCATTATTAACAGATTTTTGAAAAGATGAATTACTGAGCATCTGCACCCAGTAATGTCTGTGCTAGGTGTTTTCACAAATATTTTTTAACTTAAAACTTCCCAATAATCCAAAGAGTTAAAATATTGTCCAAATTTTGTAGATGGGGAAACTGAGGCTTTGAAAATTTTAAAACTGTGTGCTGGAGGCCCTTAGCTGACAACTGGCAAAACTACACCAGCAACCCAGTCTAGATTATTCAAAGTCGAGTGAGGTTTTCCCTATGTGATAGCTGCCATAAGGTAAAGGATTTGGTCAAGCATGATCCAGATTGTGGTCTGGATGGAAATGAGCCATGGTTTAGACAGGTCCACCTACTGAGTTACTAATACTAGAAAGGCAGAGAAGCAGATAAATGATGATCTTCTCTATTTAATAGCAAAGATCCCCCTCTATTTTACATTGTCTGAAGTTTTACATTTTTGTGACAATTACAATCAACTGTGAATTGATATATCAGTATACATCACATTGCACATCACAGCATCTTTCACCAGAGAAGCTCTGGAAATAAATGGAGTCTTGCTCTCATCTTAGCATGTGTGGATGACAATGACAATGACAGAATGGTGCTGTGTCTGAAAAGTTAGGAGCATCATTTCGTTTAACAGATGATGCAAAATGAATCACTGCATCATTTGACTTAATGCATCATTTGACTCATTTAGTATTCACCAGGCTACTAAATCTGGGATATTTTTTTCTCCATTTAATATCTCAAGGCAGAAATATGGGACTTCTTTTCTACTCTTCTCTTGAGGTATTTCCAAGCAATAGTAAGAGCATCAGATTCTTCCCCCGGTTTCCCTGAGGATTCATGTTGGATCAACCTCAAGAATTGCTCTGCTGCACATCTTGGAAGAGGAATGCTCTGCTTTTCAATGGAGTGCTTAGCATCGGTGGCATCAGACTTGAAGTTAATTTACTGAATAGGGTATTTTGATTCTCAAGACTAATTCACATCAGGACAGGGTTTTAAAATAATGAATTGATGCAAGGTAAAAATAACTTTTAAATGTTTTGGTTACAAAATCAATGTTAAAGAAAGTTGTATTTCAGGCTATGGAAGTTAATATTCAGTCATTGCCCTGATCCATCAGCAAAGATGGAGACTGTAGAAATCAAACTCTTGGCTCTTCAATGGCATCTCTGTGTAATGCCTGTCATCTCTGTATAACTCCTCAATTGAGTTATCAAATACCACTCAGGATGTGAAAAACAATTAGGAAGTCAACTAACAAGTGGATTGCTTGAAAGCAGGAGCCCTCTCTCACTACATAACACATACTGTTCACCCCTTCTCTTCTCCTTAGTCTGTTGCTTCTGAGGTTAGGAGGTTGAAAGGGCCTGGAGATTGGCTAGGTCAATGTGGTGATGGTGGGGTCACAGGACTGATTTGGCTTCTCTTAGTAATCAATGGAGGGGGTATCTGGCCATCAGTTTTCTACAGCTTTCTTTAGAATGTGGAGTATTTGATGTCACTGTCATCAGTTTTGTCTTCAAGCCACCATTTCTGAGGTAACAGGTTAAGTTCCCCCTCAACATTTGGTTATATTCACATGTCTTACCCAGAGACACTGAGGTTTCCTGTAATTTCTCCTAAGAGTACTGGTATCAAGAATTTGCAGGCCTGGGCTTTTTATGTCCCACTACTTCCTCTAGTCACATGATCTTTTTGTGGTTTTTTAACCTTGCTCATATCAAGACCAAGTGCATAACTGATGTGAATAAGGTAAATTTAGTTTGGCAGGAGGAAAGCATTAGCAAGGAGATCATTGGAATGCATTCTTTCCCAGCATTGGAGGGGGAGGATTCACTTCTGTTGTGTCCAGCCTTCTTGTGGATTTAAAAATCATCCATCTTGAGTTGATTTTTGTATAAGGTGAGAGATGAGGATCCAGTTTCATTCTCCTACATATGGCCTGCCAGTTTTCCCAGCACCATTTGTTGAAAAGGGAGTCCTTTCCCCACTTTATGTTTTTGTTTGCTTTGTTGAAGATCAGTTGGCTGTAAGTATTTGGGTTTATTTCTGGGTTCTCTATTCTGTTCCATTGGTCTATGTGCCTATTTTTATATCAGTTCCTTGCTGTTTTGGTGACTATGGCCTTATAGTATAGTTTGAAATCAGGTAGTGTGATGCCTTGAGATTTGTTCTTTTTGCTTAGTCTTGCTTTTGCTATGTGGGCTCTTTTTTGGTTCCATATTAATGGTAGAATTGTTACAAAAATCAACTCAAGATGGATTAAAGACTTGAACCTAAGACCTGAAACTATAAACATTCTAGAAGATAACATTGAAAAAACCCTTTCTATACGTTGGCTTAGGCAAGGATTTTATGACCGAAAACCCAAAAGCAATTGCAATAAAAACGAAGATAAATAGCTGTGACCTAATTAAACTAAAGAGCTTTTGCACGGCAAAAGGAACAGTCAGCAAGAGTAAACAGACAATCCACAGAGTGGGAGAAAATCTTCATAATCTATACATCTGACAAAGGACTAATATCCAGAATCTACAATGAACTCAAATAAATCAGTAAGAAAGAAACAATCAATCCCATCAAAAAGTGGGCTAAGGACATGAATAGACAATTCTCAAAAGAAGATACACAAATGGCCAACAAACGTATGAAAAAATGCACAACATCACTAATGATCAGGGAAACGTAAATCAAAACCACGATGCAATACCACCTTACTCCTGAAAGAATGGCCATAATCAAAAAAACAAAAAACAGTAGATGTTGGCGTGGATGTGGTGATCTGGGAACACTTCTTGTGGGAGTTCAGTCAGGCTGGTGGGAAAAATTTTAAGATGAAGTTATAGGATGTAAACACAAACCTTGGAAGGCCGGAAGGTTTTGCAAATGTCTCAGGCTAGGGTTATGGCTGAAAGCAGCCTAATCCTTACCTTGAGCTAACAGCTTGGGGCACAGATACAAAGGAATGTAGAGTAGTTTATCTAAATAGCTTGTTTACTCATGTGGTCCTAAAATCAACCTTTGATCATTTGTGGGCAAGATGGCCCTCTTCAGGGTGGGGATGACCACAAGTGTGTTGACTCAAAGTCCTTGTCAATTAAATCTGTACTAAATAAATGGAAGCGTTGCCAGCTTGGAAGGGGCTGCAAACTCTCTTTGGCCCCTAGTGCCAGCAGCCCCCAGCCCACTCTTCCACTGAATATCGGTGTCTGAGTACGTGTCTCATCCGTCATGCACCTGGGGTCTGCAGGACAGACCCCCGCTACTTCTGCACTGCTGATTGGAATGTAAACTAGTACAGCCACTATGGAAAACAGTGTGGCGAAGAGTGGGAGGGCGCGAGGGATAAAAGACAACAAATATGGTGCAGTGCATACTGCTTGGGTGATGGGTGCACCAGGTTCTCACAAATCTCCACTAAAGAATTTACTCATGTAACTAAATACCACCTGTACCCCAATAACTTATGAAAAAATAAAATTAATAAAATAAAAATAAAAATCATCAATCATATTGTGTCATTTCTAACATCCACAGTGGGTACAACAATAAAATGACAATAAGATTACATTTATGCAAATGTACCACATGGTACAATTTTTTTTTTTTTTGATACAGGGTCTCTGTCACCCAGGGTGGAGTGCAGTGTGGGGCCTATGAAACTGCATTTTCATTATTCTTCCCAGGGAATTCTTAAACTCACTAAAGTTTGAGAATTACTGATGTAAAATAAGCTGAAAGCCCATGCACACCTGTGATGGAAATGATTTAGGGAAATGTTATCATGTGATAGAAGCCCTGTCATGTCGGGGCTGAGTGTTGTGAATAAATGGTTTTTTTTTGCAAAAACCAGAGTTGTCAAGAGACATTATTTGGCTGTCTCAGGAAGAGCCTCATGGGATGGAGTCTTCATGGTTTTGGGGCCTGGACACCTACTTTGCATGGGCAGAAATTAAATTGGATGTTTTTGCCTGCAGGGAGACTGGGTCATGCTAATAAATTCACAAGAGACTTACTGGTAAAAAGACTACTGCTTTATGAATTTGTGGTAGAAATTATACCGGGTTTAAGAACCAAGACCACATTGGTGGGTCCCCTGGAGACAGGATATACATCAAGTGACTCAGTGAACAGTGAGTTATCAAACTCATTAGTAATTGTCTGCGTACTAGTCTACTTCTCTTACTAGACTGAGCTCTCTTCGAGCATTTTATTCCTGGTATCTCCCTCATGTACTGAAGTGCTCATTAAAAAATCAACACTTATTGGAGAACTGTTGAATGAACAGATGAATGATTCTAAACCAAGGGGATCAAATAATCAGAGGCATATTTATATTGATCTGGGCCAATAGGATGGATTGCTCTTCATACCAGGAATATTTCTGCCTACTAAAAGAGTATCCTCTGTCCTTTGCATTTGTTAAAACTGTGATAAATTCTTACTTCTGCCTCCTCTTCCTGCAGGTCCCCACTTTATGTTGGACATAGCTCTATCTCATAATGTCAAGGTAAAATCCATGTGGATAGATAATGCTTCATTGACTTGTTTCATAAGTTGTTGTTTAGTTGGTATCCTGACGTCAACTTGAACCACCTTACTAAATTTGAGAAACATTCAAATCTAGTTTAAATAAACATAATTTTGGGGGTGGCTTTTTTCTTACCTCAGAGAATAAAAACTTTCTGGCCTTGCTTTTATATTCTGGGACATTTCTTATTTGCTCTTTTATATTCTGTTGCAGCAGATTGTCTCTCGTATTTTTGGTAAAAAAAATATTTGTGCAGAGGTTTTTCAATGAGATATTTACTAATGGGAAGTGCATAAGAACAGTGCTTAGAGGTACTTAAGGTATGTCAAGGGCTGAAGTGTCCAAAAAGACAAGGTATGTTTTGTATCAAATACACACATGTGTTTCTCTGGTGTGAAATACAGTCAGTGAAATACTCTTTTTAAATTTTTTTTTTTTTTGAGATGGAGTCTCACTCTGTCACCCAGGCTGGAGTACAGTGGCGTGATCTCGGCTCACTGCAACCTCCGCCTCCCGGGTTCAAGCGATTCTCCTGCCTCAGCCTCCCAAGTAGCTGGGACTACAGGCGCCCACCACCACACCCGGCTAATCTTTTGTATTTTTAGTTTCACCCTGTTAGCCAGGATGGTCTTGGTCTCCTGACCTCATGATCTGTCCGCCTCGGCCTCCCAAAGTGCTGGGATTACAGGTGTGAGCCACTGCGCCTGACCCCAAATAATTATTTTTAATTGACACAATAGTTATACATATCTGTGGGATACAGTTTGATGTTTTGATACATGTATACAATGTGTAATGATCAAATTAGGGTAATTAGTATAACTATCACCTCAAACAGTAATCATTTCTTTGGGGTGAGAATATTCAAAATCCTCTCCTCTAGCCATTTGAAACACTGTTAAAATGATGTAACCCCCCTTATCTTGCTTGATTCTTGTGGAGATGGGGCCTGTCTCATAATCATATACCTGAAACACTTAGTAAGACGTGACACCGTGGCCTGTCTTTTCTTCTTCATTGTTTAAAGTCACCTAAGAGACTGGGAATAAAGGAAACAGTGTGAAGAGGAAGTTCCCTGAGAAAAGAAAATGTTCATTGCTGTGAAATTGATAAGATCTTTCAAACATTTCATATACAGGAAAATAAAAAACTGAACTCATATAGATATATATGTGTGTGTGTCTGTATATACACATAAATAATATTCATATCTATGTAATCTCTTAGGCAGCGGAGAGCCTTTTATTCATTTAATAGCAGCAAGATCTCAATAGCTCACAATTTCTAGCCATTTGGGCTAGAGCACAGAATATGTGTGTGTGTGTGTGTGTATGTATACTTTTTTTAAACACTAACGCTAAACACTAGAAGCTCAACAAGGCCCTTTAATGAGTAAAATATCTTGTCAGAGTAGAAATAGAGCAAAATTAAGTCAATTTTCTTCACCTGTTGGTGAATAGGATTAGCTTTAAAAAGGAATACAGGAAGCTTTTGATCAAATACGGTGCCAAAAATAAATAGCTTCTCAATATTCTGTTATCTGCCTATCTCATAATAAATGGAAAATATGAATTTTTTTGTGTGTGCAGATTTCTCTAGGAAATTTTTTCTTTGCTTATTACTTCTTCTTTTGACCATGACTCAGTCAACGAAAAGCATAAAAGCCTAAGTTCAGAAACTTATGATGTGCATAATATGACATCAGTAGTGATGAATGAATAATAATTTAAAAAATGAAGACTTCCACTGTGCAAGAGATTTAACTGTATTTTTTTTTCACCTGACGGTTCTGTGAGTTATTAGATTTTTCCCTATTAGACATTATAATATAAATTGTTATGTGCACTTGTCAGTAAATGACCTGCTACATGTATTTATCATTGAAAAATATAGGAAATAGCATATCTGGAAACATTTATTAAAAGAGCATCTATGTCTATTAGTGTTGTTTTTTAAGAAAAAACAAGAATCCAAAGATGTTTTCATGGTCTGCCTTTTTCTATTTCTAAGTCTATTAAGAGCTGGGTATTTCAGCTACCCACATCTTTGTAGGTGATTGCAATTATGGGCTGTATTGAAATTCTACCATAATTTTGTAAATACCTCGATTAACGCAGTAGCAGATTTTTTTTTGAGCTTTAGTAAAGCTCAAAAAAGCTTAGTAAAGCCTTATGGGTGTGGAAGAGGGTGGGGAGGGATACTTAGTTTCAAAAAGAACGGAATTACTTGAAAACAATCTATATTCATCCAGAAGTATTCCTGAAGCTTCAGAGTTGAGAATATCAGTCTTAGAACTCACCTGAAAATCCTTGCTCTGGGACATCCCTGGACAATGTTTTTGTTTGTCTCTGTGAAACTCTGTGAAAGTATCTGGAAAGAGAAACTTTTGTGAAACTACTGAAAGGGAAACCCAGAGGCATCCCTGGGTGAGGGAAATTGCGAGTTGGAATTTAGGTATGTCTTGGCTGAAAACATCACACTTTTAAATTTTTTATTTTATTTTTTATTTTTTTTCTTGAGACAGAGTCTCGATCCGTCGCCCAGGCTGGAGTGCAATGGCGTGATCTCCACTCACTGCAACCTCCGCCTCCCGGGTTCAAGCTAGTCTCCTGTGTCAGCCTCCCGTGTAGCTGGGATTACAGGCACCCGCCACCACGCCCAGCTAATTTTTTGTATTTTTAGTAGAGATGGGGTTTTGCCATGTTGGCCAGGCTGTCACACTTTTGTAAAAGGATAGCTCAGTTTGTTAAATGCCAGAGTTCTCATTCACTTGGTAAAAAATGTTTAATACTGTTAAGCCTAGATTGGCACATGTCTAAGTAAAGTTGACCCTTTCTGAGACTGTGTTTAGAGCCATACTTCTGGATGGCCAATAAGATAAGTCCTTTGCCATTTTTACAAAAACGGATAGGGTCTACACAGTTGGATTTCTGATTGGCCCTAATTAAAATTTTATGACATCTCTGCTATAGAAGTTCAGGGATAAGAACATGTAGTGCGTGTTTTGGGAAATCACGGAGGTCAGCAAGGTTCTGAAGTCTGGGCACGGTTCTTTGGGTAGACTGAGAGGGTACAGACATGACAGCCGGAGAGAACACAGAGGTGAAGGACAGGGCGCATGTGCAAATGGGCTGGATAGGAAGAGAGGGTTCCCAGCATACCTACAGGCTGTGGAGGTTGGGGTTCTAATAGAGGGCTTTTAGAACTTCCCAAGAGAAGTTTGTATTCAGCAAAATAGGCAAAAAGTCAGGCTATAAATTATATACTGAAGAAGGGAGAGAGGAGTGTGAAGAATGTTTTGGCCTAATGGTTGGAGCAGATGGGGAGAGACTGAAATCAATCCGCCTGTAAGGATAGACACCTAATTAGTGGGTCTGCCTCAACATTTGCATAACTTTAATTCTGTTTTCTCTTTCGTTATTTAATACACATGGCAGCCCCTGGTCTAATGCCTGAGCCCATTGTCTTCCCAGCCTGAGCACAGTCCTGTTCTGGAGGGGACTTCTGGTTTATGACTGTGGACATTCCAGTGGGCAAATCCAAACTCTGTCAACCACCTCCACTCTACCCTGAAATACCCATACCATGGTCATGGGTTAGAGCTAAGGACGTGGTCACTTGTGTTGCTGTCTGCACTCAGGAGAATGAACCCAGGAAGATGCATATGTAGGCTTCAGCTCAGGGTTGTTTGGGCATCTGGGGTGAGGTCTAGGAGTGTGGAGGCACAGCTCTAGGTAGGTTTGGGCTTATCCCTTGGCCTTAACCCCCTTTTCAGCCTGTGTGGAGAGGCTTAGCTGGCGGAAGGTCAGAACAGGGTCCTACGGACAGGGGCCTGAGTTACAAGCCTTAGTTGACTGATTCTAGGTATAGCAGTGCTTATTAGTATGTTTAGGGCCTGGAGGCATTATGAAATATATATAGATATCTTAACCTACTATTTCATTCCTTTAATTAACTTTCACAAAAGCTCTGGTATGTCTTTGGGAAAAAAACACTTTTTGGGACTAACTGAAGGAATAGTTTCTTATTTTTATTGAACTTCTCACATGATTTCTTATGGTTTTTCTAAAAAGGGAGGAGCAGAGATGTAGGGCCAAGCCTTACCAATTTTCCATGTATGGCTCTAATATTTTTCTTTTACTTTTTCAGGAAGATATTGAGCACCTTTTCTATAGGGCATCTTTCAGAATCTGTACTAAGAGCAGATCCTACAAATATAAACAAAATAGACACAGCTCCTTTTCTCAAGGAACTTACAGTCTAGCAGGAGAGGCAGTCTTTAAGTAAATAATCAAAAGATCACACAAATTGATGTAATTTCAGTAGTCAGTGTAGTTGCTGACAATGTAGGTAATTATAAAGGACACAAGTCAAAGGATATGACATAGACTGCAGGGTCAGAGAAAGCTTCTTTGAGGAAGTGATTATTGAATTAACTGAGAGGTAAACTTTTCTTTCTAGAGCACACAGCTGTTGCTAAGACCATGGAGGAATATTGACTGTTCAAGGAACCACAAGAACGCAAAGAAGGAGGAACAAATGGGGGATGATGAAATAAACAGGCAGCAGGTAAAATACGTAGATCGTTTAAAGAACTTGGAGGTCTTTTAAAGGTCTTTATCCTAAAAGAAATAGTAAGCCATGGAAAAGCTTATGTAAAAAGGGCAGGATGCCACGGTCAGATTTGCATATTTAAAGGACATTTCTGGCCTCATAGTAGAGAGAGAGGGGATGGGGTGCAGGAGGAGGCCAGACAGGAGGTTTGTGCAGTACAGGGAAAGATGATTATAACTTGGATGAAAGGTAGTGATCATGGAGATGGGGAGAAGTAATGGATTTGAAAACTGGGAGGCAAAATTAATCAGACTTGAGCAGGGAGATTCCAAAGATGATTCTCAAGAATGTCTTGGGACTTCTCTCTTTGTCAACATTTAATGGCTGGTAGACGAGAATGAGCCCACAAATAAATTTAAGATGAAGCAGCTGGAGAAGGAGGAAGGAAACCAGGAGAGTGTGATCCACAGGCCAAAGGAAGATTAATTTCAAGAATGTTTTGAAGTGTGTAAATAAAATGAAGTCTGAGAAACATCCTTTGGATTTAGCACTGTGGAGATAATTGGTAACCTTAGCAAGTATTGTTTCAGTAAAACAATAGAGGAAGGAGGCAAAATTAATTGGTTAAGACGAAAGCGGTAAAGCAATATGGATTACAACAGAAATTTGGCTGGAAAATGAAAATGAGATAAATATCTGTATATGTGTAAGGAAGAATTTTTTTTAAACTATAGCAACTTAAGGATGTTTGAATTTCTAGAAGAAGATCCAGGAGAGAGGGAGAAATTGAATATACTGCAGAGAGAGGCTTTCCCTTATCTTGGCATTCATCAATATTCATTGCTTCATGAAAACTTTTCATACTCTGGAAAAATTCTGAGAGTAAGAATTTGAGAACTTTGCAGCAATAGCAATAGCAGTTGGGATTTTGCGGGGTAGAAAAACCATCAAGGAGAAGGAGTGACAGGTTTGATAATTGAAGGACCGATTTAGAATTCAAACACTCCATTGTTTGCAACTGCAGCAGAGCTTGTGATTATGCTGAGTGGGGATGTGACTTATATAGACCAATTTCATAAAATCTTTTATTCCTTGGGGTCCCCGGAACAGTGCTACTGTAAGTGTCTGTGCCAGTTTCTGAAGCTTGACTTACTCCATTGAAACCACAGGAAGAATGTTATTTGATTTATGAAAGGAGTTAGCCAGCCATTCACCTAATTTTGGAACAGTGACAGGAATAGGAGGAAAGAAAAAGGATATTGAACCAGAACTGTACAACTTGCAAGTTATCGAGATGCTGAAGGAAGACAAAGATTTTTTAATATTTAGAGTCATACTCATTCAAATAAAGTTAAGAAATCAATTTTCAGGACAATACAAACTCACTAATGCAGACAGACTTTAAGGGGTGGATATATTTCAAAAAGTTTAAACTATAGAATATAGGGAAAGCTAGGTTAGCTACTTTAAGTCCATTCTGGAATGAGAAAAAGAAAAAGAATGGGTTTCTTTTAAGTACATGAAATTACTCTACAAAGAAAGCATTAGCATTTCTAGTTAATAAACTGGTAACTTATTTGTATAGAAAAAAGCAATCACAAAATGCTAAATTTCTTACACATTTGGTTTCCTTCAGTCAGTTAAACATGCTTTCTGCAGCTTCACCCATAGTCATTTGCATAACAAACTTTAACAACAGATAGGGGAGAGGAGCCAAGATGGCCGAATAGGAACAGCTCTGGTCTACAGCTACCAGCGTGAGCGACGCAGAAGACAGGTGATTCCTGCATTTCCAACTGAGGTACCGGGTTCATCTCACTGGGGAGTGCCAGACAGTAGGTGCAGGACAGTGGGTGCAGTGCACCCTGTGTGAGCTGAAGCAGGGTGAGGCATTGCCTCACCCGGGAAATGCAAGGGGTCAGGGAATTCCCTTTCCTAGTCAAAGAAAGGGGTGACAGATGGCACCTGGAAAATTGGGTCACTCCCACTCTAATACTGCACTTTTCCAATGGGCTTAAAAAACGGCACACCAGGAGATTATATCCCGCATCTGGCTCGGAGGGTCCTATGCCCACGAGTCTTGCTGATTGCTAGCACAGCAGTCTGAGATCAAACTGCAAGGCGGCAGCGAGGCTGGGAGAGGGGTGCCTGCCATTACCGAGTTAGTTGTTTTATTAGGTAAACAAAGCAGCTGAGAAGCTCGAACTGGGTGGAGCCCACCACAGCTCAAGGAGGCCTGCTTGCCTCTGTAGGCTCCACCTCTGGGGGCAGGGCACAGACAAACAAAAAGACGGCAGTAACCTCTGCAGACTTAAATGTCCCTCTCTGACAGCTTTGAAGAGAGTAGTGGTTCTCCCAGCATGCAGCTTGAGATCTGAGAATGGGCAGACTGCCTCCTCAATGGGTCTCTGACCCCCGAGTAACCTAACTGGGAGGCACCCCCCAGTAGGGGTGGACTGACTCTTCACATGGCTGGGTACTACTCTGAGACAAAACTTCCAGAGGAACGATCAGGCAGCAGCATTTGTGGTTCACCAATATCCGCTGTTCTGCAGCCACCGCTGCTGATACCCAGGCAAACAGGGTCTGGAGTGGACCTCTAGGAAACTCCAACAGACCTGTAGCTGAGGGTTCTGTCTGTTAGAAGGAAAACTCACAAACAGAAAGGACATCCACACCAAAAACCCATCTGAACGTCACCATCATCAAAGACCAAAGGTAGATGAAACCACAAAGATGGGAAAAAAACAGAGCAGAAAAACTGGAAACTCTAAAAATCAGAGCGCCTCTCCTCCTCCAAAGGAATGCAGCTCCTCACCAGCAATGGAACAAAGCTGGACAGAGAATGACTTTGATGAGTTGAGAGAAGAAGTCTTCAGACGATCAAACTACTCCGAGCTACAGGAGGAAATTCGAACCAATGGCAAAGAAGTTAAAAGCTTTGAAAAAAAATTAGACGAATGGATAACTAGAATAACCAATGCAGAGAAGTCCTTAAAGCACCTGACGGAGTTGAAAACCAAGGCACGAGAACTACGTGACGAATGCAGAAGCCTCAGGAGCTGAAGTGATCAACTGGAAGAAAGAGTATCAGTGATGGAAGATGAAATGAATGAAATGAAGTGAGAAGAGAAGTTTAGAGAAAAAAGAATAAAAAAAATGAACAAAGCCTCCAAGAAATATGGGACTATGTGAAAAGACCAAATCCACATCTGACCCCGCTGTACCTGAAAGTGATGGGGAGAATGGAACCAAGTTGGAAAACACTCTGCAGGATATTATCCAGGAGAACTTCCCCAATCTAGCAAGGCAGGCCAACATTCAAATTCAGGAAATACAGAGAACGCCACAAAGATACTCCTCGAGAAGAGCAACTCCAAGACACATAATTGTCAGATTCACCAAAGTTGAAATGAAGGAAAAAATGTTAAGGGCAGCCAGAGAGAAAGGTCGGGTTACCCTCAAAGGGAAGCCCATCAGACTAATGGCTGATCTCTTGGCAGAAACTCTACAAGCCAGAAGAGAGTGGGGACCAATATTCAACGTTCTTAAAGAAAAGAATTTTCAACCCAGAATTTCATATCCAGCCAAATTAAGCTTCATAAGTGAAGGAGAAATAAAATACTTTACAGACAAGCAAAGGCTGAGAGATTTTCTCACCACCAGGCCTGCCCTAAAAGAGCTCCTGAAGGAAGCACTAAACATGGAAAGGAACAATCGGTACCAGCCACTGCAAAAACATGCCAAATTGTAAAGACCATTAAGGCTTGGAAGAAACTGCATCAACTAACGAGTAAAATAACCATCTAACATCATGCTAACATCATAATGACAGGATCAAATTCACACATAACAATATTAACCTTAAATGTAAATGGGTAAATGCTCCAATTAAAAGACACAGACTGGCAAATTGGATAAAGAGTCAAGACCCATCAGTGTGCTGTATTCAGGAAACCCATCTCATGTGCAGAGACACACATAGGATCAAAATAAAGGGATGGAGGAAAATCCACCAAGCAAATGGAAAACAAAAAAAGGCAGGGGTTGCAACTCTAGTCTCTGATAAAACAGACTTTAAACCAACAAAGATCAAAAGAGACAAAGAAGGCCATGACATAATGGTAAAGGGATCAATTCAACAAGACGAGCTAACTATCCTATATGTGCACCCAATACAGGAGCACCCAGATTCATAAAGCAAGTCCTTAGTGACCTACAAAGAGACTGAGACTCCCACACAATAATAACGGGAGACTTTAACACCCCACTGTCAACATTAGACAGATCAATGAGACAGAAATTTAACAAGGATACCCAGGAATTGAACTCAGCTCTGCACCAAGTGGACCTAATAGACATCTACAGAACTCTCCACCCCAAATCAACAGAATATACATTCTTTTCAGCACCACACCACACCTACTCCAAAACTGACCACATAGTTGGAAGTAAAGCACTCCTCAGCAAATGTAAAAGAATAGAAATTATAACAAACTGTCTCTCAGACCACAGTGCAATCAAACTAGAACTCAGGATTAAGAAACTCACTCAAAACTGCTCAACTACATGGAAACTGAACAACCTGCTCCTGAATGACTACTGGGTACATAATGAAATGAAGGCAGAAATAAAGATGTTCTTTGAAACCAATGAGAACAAAGACACAACATACCAGAATCTCTGGGACACATTCAAAGCAGTGTGTAGAGGGAAATTTATAGCACTAAATGCCCACAAGAGAAAGCAGGACAGATCTAAAATTGACACCCCAACATCACAATGAAAAGAACTAGAAAAGCAAGAGCTAACACATTCAAAAGCTAGCAGAAGGCAAGAAATAACTAAGATCAGAGCAGAACTGAAGGAAATAGAGACACAAAAAACCCTTCAAAAAATTAACGAATCCAGGAGCTGGTTTTTTGAAAAGATCAACAAAATTGATAGACCGCTAGCAAGACTAATAAAGAAGAAAAGAGAGAAGAATCAAACAGACACAATAAAAAATGATAAAGGGGATATCATCACCGATCCCACAGAAATACAAACTACCATCAGAGAATACTATAAACACCTCTACACAAATAAACTAGAAAATCTAGAAGAAATGGATAAGTTCCTGGACACATACGTCCTCCCAAGACTAAACCAGGAAGAAGTTGAATCTCTGAATAGACCAATAACAGGCTCTGAAATTGAGGCAATAATCAATAGCTTACCAACCAAAAAAAGTCCAGGACCAGATGGATTCACAGCCGAATTCTACCAGAGGTACAAAGAGGAGCTAGTACCATTCCTTCTGAAACTATCCCAATCAATAGAAAAAGAGAGAATCCTCCCTAACTCATCTTATGAGGCCAGCATCATCCTGATTCCAAAGCCTGGCAGAGACACAACCAAAAAAGAGAATTTTAGACCAATATCCTTGATGAACATCGATGCAAAAATCCTCAATAAAATATTGGCAAACAGAACCCAGCAGCACATCAAAAAGCTTATCCACCATGAGCAAGTGGGCTGCATCCCTGGGATGCAAGGCTGGTTCAACATACGCAAATCAATAAATGTAATCCAGCATATAAATAGAACCAAAGACAAAAACCACATGATTATCTCAATAGATGCAGAAAAGGTGCAAAAGATGCAGAAAATTTTGCCTTTGACAAAATTCAACAAACCATCATGCTAAAGACTCTCAAGAAATTAGGTATTGATGGGACATATCTCAAAATAATAAGAGCTATCTATGACAAAGCCACAGCCAATATCATACTGAATGGGCAAAAATTGGAAGCATTCCCTTTGAAAACGGGCACAAGACAGGGATGCCCTCTCTCACCACTCCTATTCAACATAGTGTTGGAAGTTCTGGCCAGGGCAATCAGGCAGGAGAAGGAAATAAAGGGTATTCAATTAGGAAAAGAGGAAGTCAAATTGTCCCTGTTTGCAGATGACATGATTTTATATCTAGAAAACCCCGTCATCTCAGCCCAAAATCTCTTCAAGCTGATAAGCAAATTCAGCAAAGTCTCAGGACACAAAATCAATGTACAAAAATCACAAGCATTCTTATACACCGATAACAGACAAACAGAGAGCCAAATCATGAGTGAACTCCCATTCACAATTGCTTCAAAGAGAATAAAATACCTAGGAATCCAACTTACAAGGGATGTGAAGGACCTCTTCAAGGAGAACTACAAACCACTGCTCAATGAAATAAAAGAGGATACAAACAAATGGAAGAACATTCCATGCTCATGGGTAGGAAGAATCAATATTGTGAAAATGGCCCTACTGCCCAAGGTAATTTATAGATTCAGTGCCATCCCCATCAAGTTACCAATGACTTTCTTCACAGAATTGGAAAAAACTACTTTAAAGTTCATATGGAACCAAAAAGAGCCCGCATCGCCAAGTCATTCCTAAGCCAAAAGAATAAAGCCGGAGGCATCACACTACCTGACTTCAAACTATACTACAAGGCTACAGTACCCAAAACAGCATGGTACTGCTACCAAAACAGAGATATAGATCAATGGAACAGAACAGAGCCCTCAGAAATAATGCTGCTTATCTACAACTATCTGATCTTTGACAAACCTGACAAAAAGAAGGAATGGGGAAAGGATTCCCTATTTAATAAATGGTGCTGGGAAAACTGGCTAGCCATATGTAGAAAGCTGAAACTGGATCCCTTCCTTACACCTTATACAAAAATGAATTCAAGATGGATTAAAGACTTACATGTTAGACCTAAAACCATAAAAACCCTAGAAGAAAACCTAGGCAATACCATTCAGGACGTAGGCATGGGCAAGGACTTCATGTCTAAAACACCAAAAGCAATGGGAACAAAAGTCAAAATTGACAAATGGGATCTAATTAAACTAAAGAGCTTCTGCACAGCAAAAGAAACTACCATCAGAGTGAACAGGCAACCTACAGAATGGGAGAAAATTTTTGCAACCTACTCATCTGACAAAGGGTTAATATCCAGAATCTACATTGAACTCAAACAAATTTACAAGAAAGAAACAAACAACCCCATCAAAAAGTGGGCCAAGGATATGAACAGACACTTCTCAAAAGAAGACATTTATGCAGCCAAAAAACACATGAAAAAATGCTCATCATCACTGGCCATCAGAGAAATACAAATCAAAACCACAATGAGAAAGCATCTCATACCAGTTAGAATGGTGATCATTAAAATGTCAGGAAACAACAGGTGCTGGAGAGGATGTGGAGAAACAGGAACACTTTTACGCTGTTGGTGGAACTGTAAACTAGTTCAACCATTGTGGAAGTCAGTGTGGTGATTCCTCAGGGATCTAGAACTAGAAATACCATTTGACCCAGCCATCCCATTACCGGGTATATACTCAAAGGATTATAAATCATGCTGCTATAAACACACATGCACACGTATGTTTATAGTGGCACTATTCACAATAGGAAAGACTTGGTACCAACCCAAATGTCCAGCAACGATAGACTGGATTAAGAAAATGTGGCACATATACACCATGGAATACTATGCAGCCATAAAAATGATGAGTTCATGTCCTTTGTAGGCACATGGATGAAACTGGAAACCATCATTCTCAGCAAACTATTGCAAGGACAAAAAACCAAACACCGCATGTTCTCACTCATAGGTGGGAATTGAACAATGAGAACACATGGACACTGGAAGGGGAACATCACACTCTGGGGACTGTTGTGGGGTGGGGAGAGCGGGGAGGGATAGCATTAGGAGATATACCTAATGTAAATGACGAGTTAATGGGTGCAGCACACCAACATGGCGCATGTATACATATGTAACAAACCTGCACGTTGTGCACATGTACCCTAAAACTTAATAATAATAAAACTAAAAAAACCACAAAAAACAGATAGTGTAAAAATAGATTGTTTTGGGTCTCATAAAATTGAAATCAAGGTGTTGGGCAGGGCTGTGATCTTCTCTGGAGCTTGGGACCCTCTTCCAAGCTTCTTTGGCTTGTGCTTGTTGGACTGAGGTCCCATTTTGTTCCTGGCCGTCAGTCAGCAACAAAATTTTTTATGGTTTCTTACGGTTTTTAGCTCCTCAATGTTGCTAACAATCCCTGCCTAGTGGCCTTTTTCGCAATATGGCAGTTTGCTTTTTTCAGGGCTGACGGGAGAGTGTCTGCTATAGTTTTGGATATCTCTGATTTGTTTCATCTTGGACTCCTAGACTTTCTCTTTTTAAAGGCCTCACTGATTGGGCCAGTCTTACTCACACTTACGGGAAGAAGATTATATAAAGTGTGCAAACAGAGGGGTAAGAATCACTTCCTCAAGGTCATATGGAGAGCAAAGAACAGAGCCTGACTGAAACCTGTGTATCTCGAATGCCAAAGTCTGTGTTCTGTAATCTCCATTACATACTGCCTCCACCCTTAGGAGAGAAGCCCAATGTGGTATTCATTTGTTCTTGTTTTGTTTTTCTCTCTTTTTCTATAAGTTTCTATGGCATATGGCATGTGTGTTGAGAGAAACTGACCTAGCTGTCCTAGCCAAAAATACAAGAATGGTAGGGGCTCAAGCCAAAGTCTAGATATAAAGGTTTGCAAGGTGTCCTAGAGTGTTTTCTGCCCAGTAGAAATATCCCACGTGAATTACAGCAAGCAGTACCATAGGACTTCCTTGGATAGTGTGCAAACAAAGGGGTAGGAATATTGAGACCATCTTAGAATTATGCCTCCCACAAATGGTTTAAATGAATAGACATTAATAAAGGGACTAAGTACAAAGGTGTGAGCAGGGTTAAGGAAGCAAAGGGGGCAAAGTGAAGCAGTCAGAGCCCAACAACAAGAGGATGTTATTATCATAACCTGGTAAGACTTTGGACTGTAGGGGAATGCTCTGGCCCTAGAGGAAAGTAGCCACTGCCAGAGTTTTCTACTGAGGATAGAATGGAGAAGGAAACCCCTATGTCTCTCTTCCTGCCTTCTGATCTTCTGTCAAACTGAACCAGAAACCAAGGGCTCAGAAATTGGATCATGCAGTCCATAGAGGTCAACCTCCTAGGGCCTAGAAGGGCAGTGAATTGACTTGACGTGGCAAATAACCATCACACTGCTTAAGAAATGGTAGTTATGATTAAACCATTATCTCTAGTTTATGAACATATTTCTGAGTCTACAAGTGTGAAGGACTGGCCTACCCTTTCAACTTTATAAGTGGCTCTGATTGGTGGGTGAGAGAGAGGAAGTGGCCTTTTTTTTTTCTTTGAGCTGAACTATAATAATGAGCTGCCTCTAGCACGTTTGTTTTCATGGAGGAGATAATTGGCATATATTTGTAGCAACTGGCAATGTAATAATGAGGTTATAAAAATTCATAATGAATTGGAACTATTCCATAAATATGTATTAAAAGAAGAAAACAGAATGTTAACTTATATCCATATTTTAAAAGAAATAAGTAGATTTTTTTTAAAAACGTGAATTCTATAGGTTCCATTGATAGATTAACGAAAGGGTAGAAACTTTCTCAAAGGAGGGAGGCAAGAGAGTGTGTTTCTGTTTTGGTTGTCATTGACTGAAATACATGACTATATTTACAACATCCATAAACAATGGCTTAATGAAACTTTTGAGTAAATTTCGGAATCAAAATGATAATGCCACAACAATCACATTGAACCCACAGCCAACCAAGGAGAATGCTCAAAGTTAGGGTCTTTCTTTTATGAATTCCTTTAGTTGAAATAGTGAAAACAGCAGTACCTATTTCAAACTTTTAGAACCAGAATTTAAACATTTATACTAATCCTTCCTCTGGTGAATTTATTTTTTATCTTTATGTGTAAAGCACAAAGAATTTCTGTTTTCTTTTGAAAGTCTAATTTTTAAACTTCACCTCGTTTGTATTTGGGGATAGGGCACCAGGGGCTTGGCTTGTTCGTTTCTATCGCACTGACAATTGAACATGGAAATTTAATCTTTTGCATTGAACAGGACAGAGGGAAATTTAGATTCTGATTTTTGTGGGTATCATCTCTTCACATTACATATTAGAAATCAAAATTAGAAAATAGAAATCATTTTCCATGGGAGTAATTCTTGTTTATAGGATTTCCAGTGGTTTTTGGTTATTCATTAGTGAGCAATGGATTTAGATTTCTATCCAAATTAATAATGCACTTAGCAGTGTTAGGAAATAACACATAATTCATATTTCTTTTCAAATATGCAAAGTCTGATTTAAGAACTTTTAATGTTCCAGTGCCTGTAATACTTAGTTTTTAATGTTCATTTTGCATTGAAAAGACTGCCTTAATGTTCTAATTAGCATTTCCATCATATTTGCTTACACACTTTTACACCTATGTAGTGAAAAACTACAGTCAAATATTCCCCTAGGAAAATAATAAGCTTCTTCATTTGGATATATATTTTTCCAACATATCTTGTAGCAGGAACCTCAGAAGAAACCATTGGTTAGACATTCTGAGGACAGAATAGAAAGTCTGAAGCTAGAGACAGTCTAATATTATGCTAATTCTGTCTTTAATATTGGACCTGGAAATTTTTCTGATCTACTTTCTCCTTTGACTACCTATATTCATATATATTATTTAAATTGGGCCAGTGAATATAAAAATTCCTCTCTGAAATGTATGTAGAAGATAGGATTGTACCAGTGTTAGACCATTTGGTATTGTTTGAGTACCAGTGGAAAGGTTGCTCTATTTTTATTAAAAAGACTTATCTTTACTTCCTTAAATTTTATGAGTAGTTCAAACTAATCTAAACCTTTCTGTTTCTCTCTGAATTTTCATTATTCTTGGATATCTAGCCTGAGCAGCAAGAATATAATTTTATTTCATGATTAATGTTACTCTAATTCAAATTTTTCCTCAACTTAACTGTAGTTATTCAAGAAACAATAATCATACCTAAATAGAGTAATCTAGCATTTTAATGGTAATATAACTTACCTCTTTATAACTTAAAAGCTTTATTTAACATATTTTAAAAGATAAACACTTTAAAAATAATAAATGTTACACTTTTGCTAACAACTTTAAAATAATCCAGTACATTTACCCTTTGTGATTTTTAGTTCATTTTCTATTACCCTCTCCAAAATTCAAGTTCTCACTGGAAAATTCTTCATCAAAATAGGTTGGAATATCTCCAGAAGTAAGTACTACATTAGTATAATTGGGTAGTTCCTCTCTCTGCATTGAGAAGGGAGGGAAATAAAAAGTAATGTTATTTTGTGACCTTGGAAACACTGTTTAACTGCTACATTGGGAGCTTTCTGACCTGTTTGTGTATGTCATGTGGCCACATAGTTACCTGGAAGCCTTGTTCTGCATACTTGTGTTTGTTATGGAATGAGAGAGTTTACAACCTTTTTGGGAGTGGAATTTATGGTTCTTTTGTCTTGGGATCCTAGCCCCATTATATACAGTGCGATTTATTTTTTTGCCCTGTAGAAGATGTGGTCATGTCATAAATGGTAGTTGTAATCTTGAAAACTGAAAGGAAATTGGGTAGCTGGATTATAGAAAATCCATTTTTTTTCCAGGCTGTTTGACTTCAACAGAAGTAATCTATTTGTGTGTGTTAATAAATTATAGTCTGCCAGGGTTTAACACCACTCTCTATTGTGCAGTTTTAGATTCACTTAAGGTTTGCTTAACCTGCACTCTGTTCCAGAATTTCAGGATTCTGGATGGTATAGGAATGTAAATATTTCCATAAAGTACAAATACAGATTGACTATTTAGTAACAGTCATAATAAGTGTTTGACAATGAACTTCAGTGTTTTCCTATTATTCCAGTCTCTGGAGAAACAATACACTTAATTATCTTAGGAACAATATTTAGGTGTGTGGTATTTATATTCATGTAACTACAAAGTTTGGGTAGGCAATTGAATTGGTTTGCTTTGTATTTATTCAGTAAATTTGTCTAGGATAAGTTTATTATGATTAGCAAGCTAAAGTGGTTTTATCTTTATGCCCTTGTTGTTTCTGGCATAAATTCTAGGTCAAATACTCACACTGCTAAATGAGTATTTTTCAGTGGAGTCTTGTAAGTTGTAGACAGTGCTCTTAAATCTTCCTGGCTGAGTTGCCATCCATTGAATCACCAAGCTGAGATAGGATCAAAGTCATTTTTTACCCCGAAAAAAAGGTAAGTTTTTATTTTAAAAAAAAAAAAAAGAAAAGACTCACTCCAGAGAATATCTTTAGTCACTGAAAGGGAAGGTCACAGTGTATTTTTTTCTAATAAATTATTCACTGATGCATTTGGAATAATTCTGGAGAAGAAGAAATTCACATTTCTTACTATAAGGAAGTATAGCTCTTGCTAGAACATTCTCATGATTTGTGTTTTCAATCAGTTTACTGTTATTATAGTTAATCCACCTACTATCTCTGAGAAGTGGGTTAAAATTATTAACCCTGTTTTACAGATTGGGAAATGGAGACAAGGTGAGGTTAAGTGAAGTTATCAGTATCCTACATTAAGTCATGTCACAAAGAGGATTAGTCTGGTGTTCATGTGGTTTATTCGGTCCTCAATATCTTTGATTTTACTTGTAATGAGTTACCCTGTTGCACCCTCGGTTCATATTTGGAAAGAAAGCACTGACACTTGACCACCACCTTTCTTTTTTCTGCTTAATGATCCTTGTGAGCCATTGAAGATAAACTGTTGTGACTGTTGAAAGACTACAGCTTCTCTTAATCTTTTGTAAAATATGCATATGTTACATCTGTAGCTGACTTTCGTTTTTCATGTTAATGTTAAAAGTCTTTGATGTGTCTGAAATTTAAACTGAGATTTAACTCATGGTATATTTTAATTGCTTGCCTTTTCATATCTAGGTCTTTGGAAAAAATCCACCAACTAACCAATCAACTAGTATTTACTGAGCATCTACATGTGTGTTGCTTGATTTTTGGCCACAGATTTTCCTAGGCGATTGTGATATCTTTCTCTCAGGTATTGACTATACCTGTGGCAAATTTTGGGTTATAACTCATCCTTCCTCAGTTGGTACTGGATGACTTAACTAGGGTAAGATCATGTTATAAAATCTCAGGGATGGAGGGCTCAAAAGCCACTACTCACTCTCATATAATGTTGCTGCTCTCTGACCCCCACCACACACACAGAAAGGTCAGCATAGCTTACCCCCAGATAGAATTTGTTCTTCACACTCCAAGCTCCAGCCATTTGGGAGAAATGCCTTTAGGATTCCCTGCTGTCTCCTCTCAGGGCCAGCTTCTGTACATGAGTCTCCCTAATCCAGTCACCTCTCTCTCCTCTCCTTTTACCCTCTATTCTCTGCCCCAGGATGACTCCCTAATGCTTAACTCCTATTCAGTTTACATCTTCACCTAGGTTCTACCTCCTGAAGGAGGTGTTTCTCCAACATCTGGCCTAGATCAAGTCCCTTGCCATAGGAGCACCCATAACAAACACCCAAAGCTTTCTCTTTGGTGTGATACTCTGCTACCTTCTGCTAGCAACTAGATTGCAAACTCCACGAAAGCAGAGACCATGCCTTTTGTGTTTTGCATTGAATGATAAATTCTTAGCACAGTCCCTGAGACATGGTAGATGCTCAGTAAATACTACTTGGTTGGTGGGTTGGTCGATTATCTCTAAAAGTATGGGAATTAAAAATTAGCAATAATATATACCTGTGGTAGCACTTCCAATGAGAAAAAAATATGAGAACTTCTTCCCCCATCCTGGAAAAGGGGTTAAAGAAAAAAAAAACAAAATTATTATAGAAATGAAGACAAAAGCATGGATTGTGGTTTTCATCATAAACAAGGTGGAATTTATGCCAAAAAAGTATTACATGAAATAAAGCTAGTTCTTTTTAATGAGAAAATCAGAAATCGTAAGGAATATAACTATAATTATAAATAGATTTGCACTAAGCAACAAAAATATTTCCACTTAGTGAAAACTTGAGACATGGAGGACAAACAAGATAAATACCATCAAAATACAAAAGAAAAAAGAAAAGAGATAAACATGACAAAATATAAGAAAAGAGCTATGGAAATTCAAGTCGTGGATACAAATAAGTATTATTGAAGGATAAGACAAAAAATTAATGTGGAGTAAATAATCAAAGAAATAACAGAAAACTTTTGTAGACTAAAAGAAGATCTGAGTTTGGGAATGAAGTTTCCCTACAATATATGTGTAACTAAAGAAAAGAAAGCTGTATTTAGACTTGTTCCAGTAAAAGACAATCACATATCCAAGCACATAACCCAAAGGAATAAAAATGAGTTTGGCATCAAGTTTCTTTTTCAGAACACCATATATCTTAGGATGGTACTTAAAGAGTATTTTGGGCAAAAAATTATGGCCTCGGAATTCACTGTCACTCAAAATTGAAGTTCATGGATAAGGGAAACTTTTTCTGACATGCAAAATTCCAGAATATAGGAGTACTTTGGAGAAATTCTAGTTTGGACTTCATAGTAAATAACCTGTAATTCTTCTAAGAAATTTTCCATTTTCATATCCATGAATTGTACAACTACAATGGCTTTTATTTATTTTTAAAATTTTGAATCATTTTATTATTACTGCCATCCTTATAATTCTATGTTTAAGAGTATCATTAATGGCTTTTCTTTTTATATTGGTTGTAAAAATGGTAAGAGTCAAATATATTTGAGGCCTAATGTGATGAGATGAAAGCATCTGGTTATCCACTGTATCTGTTCTTCCCCTCCCTTATACAATGATAGAACTTGACGCTGAGTACCTGGATGCCTAGGTAAAGATTATGTTTCCCAATCTTCCTTGCAACTAGGTATAACCATGGGAATACATGGCCAATGAGATAGAGGGGAATGGATGTGTGCAGTTGAGATGCAAGTGTAATGAGAAACCATCTTGAACAGCGTGAATGTAGACTATGCCTTTGGGACGACAGAACCACAAGGTACACAAAGTAGCATGGGCCTCCAAAGACTGTAGAGCAGATCCACTTTATCTGTTGGAAATTTTCTCTGACAGGGAAATAATGTTCTATCTTTTAAATTCATTGCCATTTTATTCTCTGGCACATTAGCTGAATTTCAATTAATACAGGTAAAAAGTACATACAGTGCATTAGATGTCTCAGTCCTGGCACTAATTTATGTTCTCATCATTCTTTTTCTTTTCCTATTTTAATATTTCCTATTATTTTATGTGTCCTTGTATTCTTCCTTAAATATTCTAAATATAAATAATTACGTTTATCACCTAGGTATTCTTCCTAATAAAGCTACTTGGAGACAAACTCTAGATAACCAAGAGATGAATCAAAATTTAGACTCAGAAGTTGGGAGTTATAGGATTGGATTAGTTTTGAACACTGAAATATAATATATAGCAATTGTAGATATAGCCAGATTGTCTTTTTCTTCCATCTACTCTTTCCTTCTTGGCCATGGGACATAATGAGCTTAATGTAGGAGGAGAAGAGAGTCTAGCAATACAACTGAAGCCTCACCCTATCCCAGCCTTGTCATAAAAATAATAAAAATTGAGGCTTGACCTTCAAATATCTACTTGGAAATAACAGAACAGTGCTCCCATAAACATCCTTCACTAAGACATTCATGACCTTGAAGCCTAGCTCGAGTCTCATCATCTCTAACCACTGAAGAAATACACAAACCACCTAAGGCATTTTGTTTCAGTGTCCACTTCGTCTAATATTAATATTATCCCTCTACTCTCTTTGTTCCCATTTGCTTGATTTACTTTGCCTATCTTTAAAAAATTTTGTTCTAATGAGAATGGCCTTGGCTTTTTATTTTGAGAAGTTTTGTCTTTTAATTAACTAAAGTTCTGAACACTGTAATCTTGGGTGAGACTCTATCTTGGAAGCTGGGGAAGGCAGTAAAGTAATGTTAGGTACAGAACTGTGACATTGTAGGTCACTGAGCAGCTAGGCAATTCTCCCAGTGTACACTTTCATTAGATAACTTGTGTGTGCTGTAGTTTTTGCCTTCTGGTGACAGGAAACTTGCTGATCTTTTTATCATTATAATCCCTAAAAATGTACAAAGGCTATCTTTACAATTTTTCATCTCCTTGTTTTAGGCACAATATTGTTTCAGGTACAGCGTGTTGCTGACCTTAATATGTTAACCTTTTGAATTTAGAAAATAAAATAAATTTTGATTATTTATTAAGGGAAAGTGAATTTCACTTTATGTTAGTTTGTATTAATAAAAACCAAATTATTGTGTCAAAAATTGTTACTGCATCAGCACTACTGCTGATTTTAAGTAGTATTGTAAAATCATTCTGTTGCATATTTTTTCCTAATGGATAATACTTTAAATCTACTACTTAATGGGGATAATCTAGGCTTACAGTGTCCCGTGGTTTTAATGATCTGAAAAACATAGTTTGGGGTCTGCAGGCAGATATCCTGCTTTGGACAGCCTATGCTTTTTGAAGTGTGATGAGAATACACATTGGCTGGAGTACACTGAGATGGTGGTGGTTTAACTCCCACCATTAAGTTTATGACATCGTCCAGGGTTAGATCTCACTCATAATGGTGGTGATATCTCACATTTACAAGGCACTTTCATCATGAAGGATCCCACAGTGCCCTCTAAGCATACGTCTACAGGAATGACGATTTTCTGTGATGCAGCCATTTCTCAGGAGAGCAACACCACCACCAACTGGTGGTTGTACTCACTGAGGACAGGGGGATGGTGACAGTCAGGCCTTAATTTTAAAGCAATAATGTTTACTTACCCACTTTGACTAGTAACATTCTTCAAAAGATTTTCTGAAAGATTTTGATGATTGTGAACTCAGAGGTTAACTTTTACATGGCCCTTGGTTGGACTGTCTCTTAACATCAAACCAATTTAGTATTTTCATTTTAAAAGATAATAGTTCTCTCTTCTGATTTAATAAAAAATAGATGTTCTGTGTCTCCTCTACTACCCAAATGTTCCTTGGACATTTCTTTCTTTCTTTCTTTTTTTTTTTTTTTTTTTTTGAGAGGGAATTTCTCTCTGTCCCTCAGGCTGGAGTGCAGTGGCATGATCTCGGCTCACTGCAACCTCCACCTCCAGGGTTCAAGCGATTCTCCTGCCTCAGCCTCCAGAGTAGCTGGAATTACAGGTGCATGCCACTGCACCTGGCTAATTTTTGTATTTTTATTTTATTTTATTTTATTTTTTTAGAAGAGACAGGGTTTCACTATGTTGGCCAGGCTGGTCTCGAACTCCTGACCTCAAGTGATCCACCCTCCTTGACCTCCCAAAGTTCTGGGAATACAGGTATGCACCACCATGCCTGGCCAGAAATTTCTAATTTCTGTATTTCACTTGTGTATGTCTATGTGGGTTTTCTCATTAGGAAATAATTGATAATCAGCAAAAGACACCAAGAAGCTTTTAAATTCCTCCCAGATAACTGCTTTTGCAATGGCAAATACAGTTTAAAAATAAGAGGCTTAATTCTCCCTGATGAAAATAAAGGAAGACACTTTCCTTCTCCCTTTTCTTAGATGATATGTTTTAGAAAACTGGTCATTTTAAGGTCTTTTTTCTGTCTTTTCAAAATGCATGTAAACCTTTTTAAAAGATAAGTTAGCCTCTTACCAGTTTTATGGCCCAAGAATGTCTTTCTTAAGATCAGAGCACTATCTCTTTGAAAAGTAATCATCAAGAGAGAAAGATAATGCACCTATCTTCCAGTCTCTGTGGGAGGGCAAGATCGTAGCATCAGATGATGCCTGGCTTCACGACTACGTCCTGTCATAAAGATATAATAAATTTATTTTACCTTTTGGTAAAGCCAAGTAAGCTAACACAAGTGGTCACCTCAATTACTGAGTGAATTTTGTATGAACGTTGTGTGAGAAATGGTGCCGTCAAGCCCTCTTGCTTGAGGACTAATTATGTATCTCGAGAACATGTATGTACTGGGTTGTATCCACTTGGCGATATAACAGAAGGAAGTTTCTGCTTGTCTTTGCATTCTCTTTGCAGATTGGCTGTGATGAGCATTGCATTTTGGTTTAATGCTTACTCAGTAATACAACTTTTCTTTGTTTTCTACCTTCGTGGAGAGGTTTTCTGGGTTGGCAGGAGATTTTGTTTTTAATTTTATTTTCCCAATACCTTCCTTTGCAGCAGCTGTCATTGTGTGATCACTGAAGTTTTATTAACGTAGCCTAGGCACAGCTGTTAACATCACTGTGCGAGGGTATCATGGAAAATAACAACAGCTAATCTTGGCTGAAGACTCACGACTTGCTAGGCACTTTTCTACATGCTTTAATGTATTATTTTCTCTACAGTTCTGAGAAAACCTGTGAGAGGTCAGTTCAATTTTCTTGTACATTTTAAAAGATAAAAAGGTAACTATTAAAAGAATAACACATTAGTTATCATCTTCAATGTATAAATTTTATAAAATATCATGTAGGACTAGCATCAAAAATTCCTAAATTTCACTTCTGAGTGCCTTTGATTCATTCTCCAGTTATCTCCCTCAAGCCTTAACTTGAATTCTTCCTTCCTTCCTGTCTTCCTTACTGATCTTGGGAAAGGCCTGCCTAGTGCGGGAGGATGGAGGTAGGGGCAGAAACTACATTTCTGCAGGTGCTACTGTTGTTTGATGGCAACTTAATGTGTTATACAGTAAACTCGAGTAAGGCTTAAGCTACCTAAGGGAGATTCCTGTTGGTCTAATTCCATCAACACTTGGCTGGAATAATCATACTGCTTTTTACTTAAAATTTTTTCTTTTGCCATATTAAGACTCTTAATAAAACACTGCCAAATCTTTTCTTTTCAATAACCTTTAGGCTCCCATTTTCCATTAACATTTACTAGAATTAAACACGATAGTCAATACAATATATTCAGTACACGGTGCATATAAAAGAGGTCAATAAATTTTAGCTCTTATTAGATACCATAGGCCTTGAATGTGACTCCTGTTATTACATATCTTTTATAAAAACATGGGAAAATTCTATGACCCCTCTTTGAGTCTGTCTCCTCATTTTCAGGCTGGGGATAATTATTAGATGATATATTAAAATCTAAAATGGTTTCTAGGGAAAAGTGAGAAAATCGAATGTAGGAGTGAAGAATCTTGGAGGCAGTTGCAGTGGGTTCCTCTACAGGACTTGGGATAAATGCCAGGTACAAAAGCCCAGGAGAATATATGATGCAAGCTTCCTCCATAGTCAATCTAGAAACTCACAGGTTTGCTGTAACCAGAGCTCAGGATGCACTTAATAGTAGCACATCTTAGCACTGGTCCAAAAACAAACTTTGTCAGAAATACCTAGAGTGAGGTCACCAAGCCAATGGAAGCAGAATCATCAGGGGTGGGGCTTAAATATTTGCATTTGAAAAACTTCCCAGGTGATTCTTACGTACATTGTATTATAAAATCACTTTTTTTTTAATTATAGAAAGGCAACTAAGGTGGCCAGATGTTAATCCAAGTCCGAAGTCCTTCAGTTGTTCAGTACAACTTTTCTTGCCACTAATTGTCATCTGTACTTAAAAAATGTGTACTAGGTAGCTGGCAAGATGGCTGAATAGGAACAGCTCCAGTCTGCAGCTCCCAGCAAGATCAACACAGAAGGTAGGTGATTTCTGCATTTCCAACTGAGGTACCCAGCTCATCTCATTGGGACTGGTTAGACAGTGGGTGCAGCCCACAGAGGGTGAGCCGAAGAAGGGTGAGGCGTCACCTCACCCGGGAAATGCAAAGGGTCGGGGGAACTCCCTCCCCTAGTGAAGGGAAGCCGTGAGGCACTGTGCCTTGAGGAATGGTGCACTCTGGCCCAGATACTATGCTTTTCCCACAGTCTTCGCAACCTGCAGACCAGGAGATTCCCTTGGGTGCCTATACCACCAGGGCCCTGGGTTTCAAGCACAAAACTGGGCGGCCCTTTGGGCAGACACTGAGCTAGCTGCAGGAGTTTTTTCTTCATACCCCAGTGGTGCCTGGAATGCCAGCGAGACAGAACCATTCATTCCCTTGGAAAGGGGGCTGAAGTCAGGAAGTCAAGTGATCTAGCTCAGTGAATCCCATCCCCATGGAGCCCAGCGAGCTAAGATCCACTGACTTGAAATTCTCACTGCCAGCACAGCAGTCTGAAGTCAACCTGGGATGCTCGAGCTTGGTGGGGTGGGGGGGGGGGTGGTGGGGGGCATCTGCCATTACTGAGGCTTGAATGGGCAATTTTCCCCTCACAGTGTAAACAAAGCCACCAGGAAGTTTGAACTAGGTGGAGCCCACCACAGCTCCGCAAAGCTGCTGTAGCAAGACTGCCTCTCCAGATTCCTCCTTTCTGGGCAGGATATCTCTGAAAGAAAGGTAGCAGCCCCAGTAGGGACTTATAGGTAAAACTCCTATCTCCCTGGGACAGAGCACCAGTGGGAAGGGGTGCTGTGGGTGCAGTCTTCAGCAGACTTAAATGTTCCTGCCTGCTGGCTCTGAAGAGAGAAGCAGATCTCCCAGCACAGCACTCAAGTTCTGCTAAGGGACAGACTGCCTCCTCAAGTGGGTCCCTGACCCCTGTGCCTCCTCAATGGGAGACCTTCCTGCAGGGGTTGGCAGACACCTCACACAGGAAAGCTCTGGCTGGGATCTGGCGGGTGCCCCTCTGGGATGAAGCTTCCAAAAGAAGGAATAGGCAGCCATCTTTGCTCTTCTGCAGCCTCCACTGGTGATACCCAGGCAAACAGAGTCTGGAGTGGACCTCCAGCAAAATTCAGCAGACCTGCAGCAGAGGGGCCTGACTGTTGGAAGGAAAACTAACAAACAGAAAGGAATAGCATCAACATCAACAAAAAAAATGTTCATACAAAAACCCCATCCAAAGGTCAAAAACATCAAAGACCAAAGGTAGATAAATCCACGAAGATGAGGAAAAACCAGTGCATAAAGGCTGAAAATTCCAAAAACCAGAATGCCTCTTCTCCTCCAAAGGATCACAACTCCTCACCAGCAAGGGAACAAAACTGGATGGAGAATGAGTTTGACAAATTGATAGAAGTAGGCTTCAGAAGGTGGGTAATAACAAACTCCTCCGAGCTAAAGGAGCATGTGCTAACCCAATGCAAGGAAGCTAAGAACCTTGAAAACAGGTTAGAGGAATTGCTAACTAGGATAACCAGTTTAGAGAAGAACGTAAGTGACCTGATGGAGCTGAAAACACAGCACGAAAACTTCGTGAAGCATACAAAAGTATCAATACCCGAATCGATAAAGCAGAAGAAAGGATATCAGAGATTGAAGATCAACTTAGTGAAATAAAGCATGAAGACAAGATTAGAGAAAAAAGAATGAAAACGAACGAACAAAGCCTCTAAGAAATATGGGACTATGTGAAAAGACTAAACCTACGTTTGATTGGTGTGCCTGAAAGTGACGGGGAGAATGGAACCAAGTTGGAAAACACTCTTCATTATGTTATCCAGGAGAACTTCCCCAACCTAGCAAGACAGGCCAACATTCAAAATCAGGAAATACAGAGAACACCACAAACATATTCCTCAAGAAAAGCAACCCCAAAACACATATTCATCAGATTCACCAAAGTTGAAATGAAGAAAAGTATGTTAAGGGCAGCCAGAAAGAAAGGTCGGGTTACCCACAAAGGGAAGCCCATCAGACTAACAGCAGATCTCTCACAGAAACCCTGCAAGCCAGAAGAGAGTGGGGGCCAACAATCAACATTCTTAAAGAAAAGAATTTTCAATCCAGAATTTTATATCCAGCCAAACTAAGCTCCATGAGTGAAGGAGAAATAAAATCTTTTACAGACAAGCAAATGCTGACAGATTTTGTCACCACCAGGCCTGCCTTACAAGAGGTCCTGAAGGAAGCACTAAATTGGAAAGGAAAAACTGGTACCAGCCACTGCAAAAACATACCAAATTGTAAAGACCATCGACACTATGAAGAAATTGCATCAACTAATGGGCAAAATAACCAGCTAGCATCATAATGACAGGATCAAATTCACACATAACAATATTAACCTTAAATGTAAATGGGCTAAATGCCCCAATTAAAAGATACAGACTGGCAGATTGGATAAAGAGTCAATATCCATCGGTGTGCTGTATTTAGGAGACCCATCTCATGTGCGAACACACACATAGGCTTAAAATAAAGGGATGGAGAAATATTTACCAAGCCAATGGAAAGCAAAAAAAAAAAAAAAAAAAAAAGGCAGGGGTTACAATCCTAGTCTCTGATAAAACAGATTTTAAACCAAGAAAGATCAAAAAAGATGAAAAAGGGCATTACATAGTGGTAAAGGGATCAATGTAACAAGAAGAGCTAACTATCCTAAATATATACACACCCTATACAGGAGCACCTAGATTCATAAAGCAAGTTCTTAGAGACCTACAAAGAGACTTACACTCTCAAACAATAATAGTGGGAGACTTTAACACCCCACTGTCAGTATTAGACAGATCAACAAGACAGAAAATTAAAAAGGATATTGAGGACTTGAACTCGGCTCTGGACCAAGGAGACCTAATAGACACCCACAGAACTCTCCACCCCATGCCAACAGAATATACATTCTTCTCAGCACCACATTGCACTTATTCTAAAATTGACCACATAATTGGAAATAAAACACTCCTCAGCAAATGCAAAAGAATGGAAATCATAACAAACAGTCTTTCAGACCACAGTGCAATCAAGTTAGAAATCAGGATTAAGAAACTTAATCAAAACCACACAACTACATGGAAACTGAACAATCTGTTCCTGAATGACTACTGGGTAAATAACAAAATTAGGGCAGAAATGAATAAGTTCTTTGAAACCAATGAGAACAAAGACAACATACCAGAGTCTCTGGGACATAGCTAAAGCAGTGTTTACAGGGAAAATTATAGCACTAAATGGCGCAGAAGAGAAGAAATAACTATGATCAGAGCAGAACTGAAGGAGATAGAAACATGAAAAACCCTTCAAAAAATCAATGAATCCAGGAGCTGGTTTTTTGAAAAGATTAACAAAATAGACTGCTAGCCAGACTAATAAAAAAGAAAAGGAAGAAGAGTCAAATAGACACAATAAAAATGATAAAGAGGATATCACCACTGATCCCACAGAGATACAAACTATCATCAGAGAATACTGTAAACACCTCTACACAAATAAACTAGAAAATCTAGAAGAAATGGATGAATTCCTGAACACATACACCCTCCCAAGATTAAACCAGGAAGAAGTTGAATCCCTGAATACACCAATAACAGGTTCCGAAATTGAGGCAGTAATTAACAGCCTACCAAAAAAAGCCCAGGACTAGATGGATTCACAGTCAAATTCTACCAGAGGTATAAAGAGGAGTTGGTGCCATTTCTTCTGAAACTATCCCAAACAATAGAAAAAGAGGGACTCCTCCCTGACTCATTTTGTGAGGCCAGCATCATCCTGATTCCAAAAACCTGGCAGAGATACAGCAACAACAACAACAACAAAAAGCAAAATTCCGGGCTAATAGCCCTGATCAACATTGATGCAAAAATCCTCAATAAAATAATGGCAAACCGAATCCAGCAGCACATCAAAACCTCATCCACCACGATCAAGTCAGCTTCATCCTGGGATGCAAGGCTTGTTCAAATACGCAAATCAAATTAATGTAATCCATCATATAAACAGAACCAATGACAAAAACCACAAAATTATCTCAATAGGTGCAGAAAAGGCTTTTGATAAAATTCAACACCCCTTCATTCTAAAAACTCTCAATAAACTAGGTATTGATGGAACATATCTCAAAGTAATAAGAGCTATTTATGACAAACCCACAGCCAATATCATACTGAATGGGCAAAAGCTGGAAGCATTCCCTTTGAAAACTGGCACAAGACAAGGATGCCCTCTCTCACCACTCCTATTCAACATAGTATTGGAAGTTCTGGCCAGGGCAATCAGAAAAGAGAAAGAAACAAAGAGTATTCAATTAGGAAAAGAGGAAGTCAAATTGTCTCTGTTTGCAGATGACATGATCGTATATTTAGAAAACCCCATCGTCTTAGCCCCAAATCTCCTTAAGCTGATAAGCAACATCAGCAAAGTCTCAGGATACAAAAATCAATGTGTAAAAATCACAGGCATTCCTGTACACCAATAATAGAAAAATAGAGGGCCAAATCATGAGTGAATTCCCATTCACAGTTGCTACAAAGAGAATAAAATACCTAGGAGTCCAACTTACAAGGGATGTGAAGGACCTCTTCAAGGAGAACTACATACCACTGCTCAAGGATATAAGAGAGGACACAAACAAAAGGGAAAAAACTTATCATGCTCATGGAAAGGAAGAATCAATATCATGAAAACGGCCATACTGCCCAAAATAATTTATAGATTCAATGCTATTCCCATCAAGCTACCACTGAGTTTCCTCACTGAATCAGAAAAAACTACTTTATATTTCATATGGAACCAAAAAAGAGCCCTTATAGCCAAGACAATCCTAAGCAGAAAGAACAAAGCTGGAGGCATCATGCTACTTGACTTCAAACTATACTTTGAAGCTACAGTAACCAAAACGACATGGTACTGGTACCAAGACAGATATATAGACCAATGGAACAGAACAGGCCTCAGAAATAACGGCACACATCTACAACCATCTGATCTTTGACAAACCTGACAAAAACAAGAAATGGGAAAAGGATTCCCTATTTAATAAATGGTGCTAGGAAAAATGGCTAGCTATATGCAGAAAACTGAAACTGGACACCTTCCTTACACCTTATACAAAAACTAACTCAAGATGCATTAAAGACTTAAACTTAAGACCTAATCCATAAAAACTGTACAAGAAAACCTAGGCAATACCATTCAGGACATAGGCATGGGCAAAGACTTCATGTCTAAAACACTAAAAGCAATGGCAACAAAAGCCAAAATTGATAAATGGGATCTAAGTAAACTAAAGAGTTTCTGCACAGCAAAATAAACTATCATCAGAGTGAACAGGCAACCTACAGAATGGGAGAAAACTTCTACAATCTATCCGTCTGACAAAGGTCTAATATCCAGAATCTACAAAGAAGTTAAACAAATTTACAAGAAAAAAACAACCCCATGAACAAGTGGGCAAAGGATATGAACAGACACTTCTCAAAAGAAGACATTTATGTGGCCAAGAAACATATGCAAAAAAGCTCATCATCACTTGTCATTAGAGAAATGTAAATCAAAACCACAATGAGATGCCATCTTATGCCAGTTAGAATGGTGATCATTAAAATGTCAGGGAACAACAGATGCTGGAGAGAATGTGGAGAAATAGGAATGCTTTTACACTGTTGGTGGGAGTGTAAATTAGTTCAACCATTGTGGAAGACAGTGTGGCAATTCCTCAAGGATCTAGAACCGGAAATACCATTTGACCCAGCAATCCCATTACTGGGTATATACCCAAACGACTATAAATTTTTCTACTATAAAGCTACATGCACACGTATGTTTATTGCAGCACTGTTCATAATAGCAAAGTCTTGGAACCAACCCAACTGCTCATCAATGATAGACTGGATAAAGAAAATGTGGCACATATACACCATCGAATACTATGCAGCCATAAAAAAGGATGAGTTCATGTCATTTGCAGGAACACGAAGTTAGAAAGCATCATTCTCATCAAACGAATACAGGAACAGAAAACCAAACACTGCATGTTCTCACTCATTAGTGGGAGGTGAACTTATGAACAAATGGACACAGGGAGGGGAACATCACCTGTCAGGGGTTGGGGAGCTAGGGGAGGGATAGCATTAGGAGAAATACCTAATGTAGTTTATGGGTTGACGGGTGCAGCTAACCACTATGGCACATATATACCTATGTAACCTGAATGTTCTGCACATGTATCCCAGAACTTAAAGTATAATAACAAAATGAAAGATCCCAACAGGAAAATTTAAAAAAGTACTCTAATTCTAAAATTAGCTTAAGCTAATTTAGCAATTTTGCTGCAAAAGAATTGTATAGTTATCCATTCTTAGGTCAGAAGTCTGTCTTACATTTGGATTATACACTTCCTTCTCTTCCCTGGGAGAGGTAAACATTGCTCATCTTCCAATATCTCAATCTTCTTTTGCATCAGAGGTGCTCTGCTGTCTCCCCTCAGCACCAGACTGTGGGGTGGTCTGCCCTGAATGACATTGGATTATTGCCCTAGAGGCCATCTCTTGCATTCACTGCTGCATTATCACCCTGACCAGGCAGCCTGTCCCCACCCCTCCTCTGCTTCAGATTGTTTTCAATGTGGAACAGGAAACCATATTCCTGAAATCTACCCTTCACGGTATATTTTAGCTCGCCAGTGGATGTAGTACACAAGGCTAAACGTTAAAAATGGAATTTTCTCGGTGAACCAAGCAAAGAATTTTTCATTTTATTCATCATTTGTCTCCATTGCAGCAGCTTCTCACAGTCTCTCCCTAATTTTTAATACAAAAGATGGAGATGGGGAAGAGTGTGAGGTATTGATGCTATGGTTAGAAAGTTCAATACACTGAACAGAAGTAGGGAGATTTCATTTTCCAAAGAGCCACAGAAAACAGCCCAGGCCAAAAGCCATACTTTTTTTTTTTTAAATGAAACTACAAATGAAAGTCTGCCTAGTTGCAGAGATGGCTGTAACAGAGGGAGGCTGGATAAGATGTGGGCAGGAGTTTGCCTGTGTTCCAACATGCTGAGAAAACATTATTCTACAAAGTAAGTTTATTTCTAATGTCAATTGTATTGCTCAGGATTATTTCTTTGCTTCGTGCTTGAAGACATATTAGTACAAATGGGGATAATAATAATAACTACCCTCTATTGAGCTACTGTATTTTTCCAGGCGCTTCATGAGGAGTAGTATGATATAGCATAGTGGTGATTCTGGCAGTACCTACTTCATGGGGTTGTTTTAAAAATGAAATGAAATAATTCAAGCAAGATGCTTATCAGTACCCTACATAAAGAAAGTGCTCAATAAAAGTCAGTTATTATTGATTTTATTATTGCTGCTTTGAGAGGCAGTCTTAGTGTAGTACAGGTTAAGAGAACAAGCTCTGACCCTAAACTGGCTGGGTTGAAGTCCAGACTCTTTGAACAGGGGCAAGTGAACATCTCTGGGCCTCAGTTTCCTTACCTGTAAAATAGGAATAATAATAATATCTATACATGAGACTATTTTAAGGATTCCATGTGTTTAAAACAATGCTTGGTATATAACACAATTTTTTTTTTTTTTTGTTTATTTGAGATGGAGTCTCTCTCTGTCGCCCAGGTGGAGCGCAGTGGCGCGATCTTGGCTCACTGCAAGCTCCGCCTCCCGGGTTCACGCCATTCTCCTGCTTCAGCCTCCTGAGTAGCTGGGACTACAGGCGCCCGCCACCACGCCTGGCTAATTTTTTTGTATTTTTAGTAGAAACGGGGTTTCACTGTGTTAACCAGGATGGTCTCGATTTCCTGACCTCGTGATCCGCCCGCCTCGGCCTCCCAAAGTGTGTTTGTCATTTTTAAATGTTTTATATGCTCTGTTGCTAATCTCAGAAAAACAAGTGGGTATGATCAACATTTTATAGATAAGGAGGAGAAAGTGACTTGCCTAGACCATGGCTTAGAAGTAGCAGAGCACAACTTCATCGGTAATACTTACTCCTGCTTCCAAAGCCTACATGCTCACCACAGGCAGGGCTGCAATTGCAGCAAACACAATATGTTTTGGAATTCCGTAATTTTTTTCTTTTCTTTTTCTTTCTTTCTTTTTTTTTTTTTTTTTTTTGAGGTGAAATCTCACCCTTGTCCCTCAGCCTGGAGTGCAATGGCGTGATCTCGGCTCACTGCAACCTCTGCCTACCGGTTTCAAACAATCTTCCTGCCTCGGCTCCCCGCTGAGCAGCTGGGATTACAGGCGCCTGCCACCACCCCCAGCTAATTTTTGTATTTTTAGTAGAGATGGGGTTTCACCATGTTTGTCAGGCTGGTCTCAAACTCCTGACCTTGTGATCTGCCCACCTCGGCTTCCCAAAGTGCTGGGATTACAGGCATGAGCCACCGCGCCTGGCTTGAGTTTTTATTATTACTATTGTTATGGTTATTTTATTTTAGAACTTGGTTGTAGGGGCTTCTACAAACAAAAATTAAAATTTTTATTACTTAACAATAAATCTTTTATGGTGGGGCAGATTGATATTTATCTTTATCTTCATAACTTATTTTTACTTTTCCTAAGCACATTTAATGATGGTAGTACATTATTTAAAACTTTGTATTTCTATGCCAGAATTCAGGGAAGGGCTAAGAGAGAAAGTGCCCATATCTTTTGTCAGTTTCTGTTTAATGAAGGGATAGGAGAGGAGGTGCTTAAAGCTTTGAGAACAAGTTAAATTATAAACTCCCACGGTAAATTTGAAAATTGGAAAGAGTAATCCCTCAGTGTACCAAAGGCTGCAGTGTTCTCAAAGTGCAGGTGCTGTAATCAAGGCATGGTTCTATCCTAAGGAAAGCTGAGGGAAGTGAGGTTACATAAAACAAACCATACATGTTGGGGATTTTTGCCATCATCTAGTAGATGTAAGTCTACTGCTATGGTTTTAGTTTGTCCCCACCACAACTCACATTGAAATTTGATCCCCAACGTGGCCGTGTTAAGAAGTAGGGCCAAGTGAGAAGTGTGGGTCATGGGAGGCATCCCTCATGAATGGCTTGGTGTGGCTCTTGAGGTAGTAAGTGAGTTCTTGCTCTTGGGAGACTGGATTAGTTCTTGCAAGAGTCGATTAATTCCCACAAAAATGGGTTGTTATAAAGCCAGGACGCCCCGCAGACTTTGCCTCTTTTTACGTGCCTATTTCCCCTTTGATTTTCTCCACCATGATATGATGCAGCACAAAAGCCCTTGCCAGAAGCCAGGGCCATGCCCCTGAACATCCCATCCTGCAGGACAGTGAGCTAAATCAACTTTTCTTTATAAATTACCCAGTCCTAGGAATTCTGTTATAGCAACACAAAACAGACCAAGACAGCTACTTACTCAGCAGTTCCTCTCATCTTATTATGCTCCTAAAACCTGGGCATCCTAGGTAAAATTATTTTTCTTTTCTCTGCAGTGGTAGTGCTAAAAGGTGACTTTAGCTATCAACCTCCTGCCCAGCATCCTATTTTTTAAAATGGATAATTCATGTTTTAAAGTTTTTATATAAAGTCTACAGTCTAGGCAAGCACATCTGAAGACAAGTTTTTAACCTCCCTCCCAACAATATAGTGCTCCCAAATCCTTTCCTGAACTGCCACTTTCTCACCATTAGAGCTTTTCTGTATGAATCCAGCTTTCTGAAGGGATCTAACTTTGATCTCTATTATTTAAGACACTATAACTCGATCTTTTATGGTGTTTTCCTAGTGTCTATTTTGTAAGCTAAATTTCCCCCTCCCAGTTACTCTGGAACATGCAGGTGTTGATGTATTTGCAGCTGATGTTTTCTGAAACCTTGCTGCTTTATTACATGTCCTTGGGTTTCTGGTTTTGTTAGCTCTTCAGTGAGCACTGAGATATAGTTATGTTAATGAAATGAACTGCTCTGACTCTTTACTAATGTGGAAAGTAAATTTCAGTCATAGATCAATTAAGCAGATGTATTGATTTGTTGTAAATTTTACTTTAGTCTTCTTTTCTTATATAAGAAATTGCATAGATTCAAACTGCACAGGCTATCAACATTTTACTTTCCACAAATGTTTATTTCCATCCCCCCATCTCCTGCCCCCACTGTCCTTGGCTCCATATTTGTCCTTCTAACTTGAAAGTCACACATATGCTATTTTACTTGCAGAGTAAGAGACAATATATTCATATATTTTTCTATCTCTACCTCCAATTTTTTTGAGCCTAAAAGTCAACCTCATTTATCACCTATAAAGGCACTTTGAATAAAAGGGACATGTACTACAAATGCCAACCATGTGTCATTTCTCTACATCTGTAATGAAACTATTGTTAATGGTTCTATAGCTGTATATTTAAAAAAACAACCTGAAAAAGACAGGCAAAAAATTTATAAGAAGTCATCTGTGGTATTCTTTTCTGAGAATTCTCTCTCATCATAAACCATCATGAGGGGATGATCCAGTTTAGAGCAAATGAAACATCAGCGAAGGATGCTCTATTAATGGATGTAGGGACAACGAAAATGATGTGTCTGAACGAGGAATAAATTGGTTCACTTTGGTGGTGCATAAATTCTATCAGGCCATTTGGACACAGTTTAATAAATTTTGATTCATTGCATGAAATGGTTTCCCATTAGCTGGAAAGAGTCGCAGTGTCTCTGGGAAGGAATAAAGTGACAAAAGTAAATCATAAAATGTGCACACTAGATTAACCCACCAACCCAAGAGTCAGTAAGATTCCGAGGAATAGGAAACATGATGTGAAAAACAATGAATTGCTGGTCTGACTATGTTGGTTTGGCATTCTCTACAACCAGAAGTCCTACTTTTCTAGGTTTGGTTAGTATATTTGTTTTCTATTGCTGTGTAACAAATTATCCCAAATTTAGTGGCTTAAAACAGCATGCATTTATCATCTCACAGTTTCTGTGGGTTAGTAGTGCAGGCAAGACTTAGCTGGATCTTTTGAAATGATACAGTCAAGGTGTTGGCCTGGGCAATGTAACAGCTTCCAATCTTACTCAGTTAACTGACAAATTTCATTTTCTTGCAGCTGGGAGACTGAAGGCCTGAGCATCTTGATGGCTATGGTTCAGAGGCTGACTACAGCTCCTAGAGGTTGCCCTTAGTCCCTTGCCATGCAATCATCTTTACAAAGCCTCTTTTAACATGGCAGTTTGCATCTTCAAAGCCAGCAAAGGAGGAAGAAGCAACCCTCTATAGCAAATCTCTTAGCAAGATGTAATTAGACATAATGTAATCTTAGTTATGGGATCCCATCTCCTTTGCTATCTTCTGTTGGTTAGAAGCACGTACTAGGGAATAAAAGAAAAAAAAAAAAGGAAGAAAGTCACAGGTCCCACCCACACACAAGGAGAGGAGATCTCACAAGGGCAAGAAATCCAGGAGGCAGGATTATGGGGCAACTTTAAAGTGTGTCCACATTTAGTGAGCACATTTGAGTCATGGAGAAAAGTGGGAATCACTCCCTTTGTAGGAGATGAAAATGTCTCCAAGATACTGATCTACCTGCAGTAACCTAGGCAAATTATCACTGAATCCCCTTTGGGTAGTAGTGGAGGTAGCTACTTTGGACTTTTTTTGCTAATATCAAATTTTGTCATTGTCAATTGCAGTGTTTATCTTTGGAGGTTTTGCTGGGTCGGAGAGTTGGAATGAACTAAAAACTGCCTTGGATTGCTTCCATCTATTTGAGATTTTCGTAGAGGAAAGAGAATAGATGTTCTTTTGAACTATATCACAGTGACTTTGGCATTCCCTATCATACAATATTATTTTTAGTAGCTGAGAAGAAATGACGTACAAAGATGTCCTCATATGTATCCACTACCACACACTGACTAATGTTTTTGCAAAGCCTGTCATACGTATAGGCTTTGCAAAAACATTAGTGTATATACCTTATGCACTAATTACCTCATATACTATATATATAGTGTATTATACACTATATATACACATATATGTATGCCCATATATATATATATATGCTTAAAAATAGAGGGAATTAGTTTTTGCAATCAAAGGCACTAAATTCACTGACCCTAGGAACAAGGTGGCTTTTTTTTTTTTTAGATACTTATCCCAATTTTCTTTTTTTTTAAAATTATTATTATACTATAAGTTTTAGGGTACATGTGCACAACGTGCAGGTTAGTTACATATGTATACATGTGCCATGTTGGTGTGCTGCGCCCATTAACTCATCATTTAGCATTAGGTATATCTCCTAATGCTATCCCTTCCCCCTCCCCCCACCCCACAACAGTCCCTGGTGTGTGATGTTCCCCTTCCTGTGTCCATGTGTTCTCATTGTTCAATTCCTACCTATGAGTGAGAACATGCGGTGTTTGGTTTTTTGTCCTTGTGATAGTTTGCTGAGAATGATGGTTTCCAGCTTCATCCATGTCCCTACAAAGGACACGAACTCATCATTTTTTATGGCTGCATAGTATTCCATGGTGTGTATGTGCCACATTTTCTTAATCCAGTCTATCATTGTTGGACATTTGGGTTGGTTCCAAGTCTTTGCTATTGTGAATAGTGCCGCGATAAACATACGTGTGCATGTGTCTTTATAGCAGCATGGACCATAAATCATCACCAACTCTAAATGTCTTTCGGTAAAAGCCACAAGGTGGCTCATTTAGAGCTGGTGATGATTTATGGTCAGGATGATGATTGTTTAACAATTTAAGGATCTGAGAGTGGCTTATTGCCCACAGAGGGCTGGCTCATAGAATGCCACTCCTAGCTTTGTTTTGATGGTTTTCCTCTAATAATAGTTAATCCATTTTTTTCCTCCCCATTTTTGGTTGCCCCATCCCCAGTCATTTATTCTCCAAATTGCTTTTGGGCTCTCCCTAATGCTCGTGCTGCCACATCTACAGACCTAATATGAATAGCACATTCTGCCTTGAAAGTGAACACTAATTGAATTTGCTTGCATTCAGTGATTTTAATGGGGCTCTGGAGTATTATTTAGTGACAACTTGTATATGGAATACACTGAAAAAATTAACATGTTACATTTAGTAAATTAGCAATTAGCTCCATTATATCAAAAGCAGTCACCTATATTTATTAATATTATATTTAAAAATCATGGCTTTTATGCTAGGCTTTAGGTCTCTTTATTTCCATGGGATAGTGTTTATGTCAGCATCATATTTTCTCAAAAAATAAAAATAAAAAAACTCCCAAAGATTGTAGCAAATGAATTCTTAGGTGAAAAAAAAAACCCTAAAATGTAGAAACCGCTATTATTCATTCCCCTGTTTTTTTCTTTCTGACAAATCCTTCCCAAATGGTGTCAGTAAAAGCTGATTTGTCCCCAGTAGTAGAAATAATTGTTGGTTGTCTCTGTTCATCTTTGGGTCACGTTCTTCTCACCAGTAACGTTTAGGCAAAGGAAATAAGTTGTGCAATGAGGTCTGCATGTGAGCTTTTGGGAAAATTTATTTTGCTGTTATAAAGAAGCCAAAGAAGAAATGGCCCCTTTTCTTTTTTTGAAGTTTTTGTGTTTATATGTGATAGTTGGAACTCTGGCAGCCATCTTGAGGTTATGAGGGGAGTTGACATTCGATGAAGGCAGAGAGGAAAGAGGGGAGGAATTTGAATCTTTATTATGTTATTTAACTTCTGAATGAGCTTATCTTGGAGATGTCCTATCTTGGTACATCAGGATTTCTAAGATAATAAAATGTCATTATTATTTAAGCCAGCTTAGTCATCATTCTCTCTTTCTTCCTGTCTTTATTCCCACTTGAAAACAAGGGTGTAAATCATGACTGATTCACAAAAGTATCTGGAAATATCTATAAGATATCTATAAAAAATGAGCATCTTATCAAACTTTCTACCTCCTGCTGCTGCCACCTAGGAACTGGAGACTCCTTGTTTATTTTTAGGTCAATTGTTGAAGGGCTTAACAATTTTTTTGGTGAGTGATGAGATTAAGGAGCAAAGGACAAATGAATCCACTGCCTATATCTACCAAGAAGTTGTTTATCCATATAATGGATTTAGAATCCAGCTCTTTATTAAAAAAAAAATTCACGGAATTTTTTAACTCTGACTTATGCTTGCTTAGTTACTAAAGTCCAATCGAGAGCCAACAAATCTAGGATCTAGACACAGTTCTGCTCCCGCTTGCGGATCAAAGGAAGGACATTTTCAAAACCGTAGGCCTTGGATCCTGCCTAGGAAATGGAGACGGCTATATCGGTGTTTCCATACTTCCCTCATGACAACAACTACATCTTCCACATGCAATAGTGGGTGGGAATGTTGTATCTAGCTTTTCTACTTACAAGCTATGTGATGCTGTTAACCTCTCTGAACACTGGAGTCCTTGCTTATAAAGTGGAAGTAATGCCTCCCAGATTGTGGTGGGTGTAAAATAGAACATATATGTGGAAATGCTTTTGTAAATAACAAAGTGCTATATAAATGTAAGCTGAGGTGAGAGTATATTGTTATCGTTATCATCATAGCCCATCTTTTGTAGTTCCTGGTGAAACCTATACCGTCTTTTTAAAGTCAGAGTCTCACTTGGTCACCCAGGCTGGAGTGCAGTGGTGCGATGATGGCTCAGTGCAGCCTTGAACTCCTGGGTTGAAGTGATTCTCCTGCCTCAGCCTCCTAAATTGCTGGGATAACAGGCATGAGACACAATCCCCAGCTTGTATTGTCTCTTTAGCTCTAACTTGTTACTATTCTTGGTCTACTCTAGCAGGGTTCCCAAGATGCTTTTTAGAGGAGGTCAAAACTGTTTTCATAATAATACTAACATGTTATTTGCTGTTTTCACTCATTCTCTCACAGTTGGAGTTTTCCAGGGGCTCCGTGATTTGTAATATCACAACAGATTAAATATAGAAGCAGATATGAGACTTCTAATATGCCAGATTCACAAAAACATAAAGCAATGCCACTCTTTTCACTATAGTTTGTTGGAGGAAAATATAGTTGCTTTTCATAAATATATATCATTTATGTTGGTAGTGGGTTTACTTTATGTAAAATGAATTAATATCTTTTTCATAATTTCTTGGCTTTTTCAGTACACCAAATATACACAGATATAACCCACATTAGAAAAAGATATTTGAAGTCTTTGATAATGTTTAGGTTTGTAAAGGGGTCTTAGTGATCAAAATGTTTGAGAACCACTAAACCAGACTAGGCTCTTTTCTTCTGACTCTATGAGAAGCACTATGCTTCTTATTTTACTGCTTTCTAGGCCAAATTTCTTTGTCTGCCACACTGATTGTTCCTACCTAATGACCTGTTTCTAGTTTTCTTTTTTTCTTTCACTTTTCTGTGTTTTCTACCTGATCGGTGACTTGCGGTGATCTCTGTTTTCTGGTTTTCATAGTCATTCTTCTCTTTCTTGATAGGTCAGCGGACCTGAGAAAGTTCTCTTCCCGGCAGCTTAGAACAGTAGTAGACTTCTGTTTGGTTTGGCTTTGGTTTTTTCCCCTCCCACATCTAAACTCCCTTCTTGTTTTGAAGGATCCCCACAGTGTTGAATCTTGGTAGGAGGCAGAGCCCCATCTCCCACTTCAGGAACTAAAGGGACTGGATATTTCTTCTGGCTGGTGCTTGGTGGATATAGCCAGGTATCCGAGGCTTGGCCACTGAATGCCCTGCCTGGGGCTTCAACTCTGGAGCTAGTGATATAAAGAGGAAGGATCAGTTAGGACTTATTTGGGGCAGCATACGGTATCCAGTGGTCGGGGGGGCAAACACAATGCCTGGCAGTGGCACTGTCCTGTGGTGTTGGGGCCATGCTGCTGGCCGTAGCGTGTTACACCATCTGGGGGATCCTGCTGCATGGCTGTCTTTGTTCCTGTCCATTTTATATGCTTTTTTCAGCTTTCCTGTTGATTCTGCAAGATACTTAATTTCCTTTCAGTATATTTCTTCTGTAAGTTAGCTAGAGACCATGTCTATTGTTTACAAGCAATAATAGCCAACATTTGAATAGTGCTTACTGTATGCCAGGCGCTGTTCTAAGCAGTTTACATATATTAATTCATTTGATACTCACAACAACACTGTGAGAAAGATACTATCACAATCCTCTTTTTACATATGGAGAAATTGTGATAGAAGTGAAATGACATTCCCCAAATCTCACAGATAGTGAGTGACCATGCCAGGATGCAAGCCCAGGCTAACTGGTTCCAAGTCTCTTTTTGTGCTGTCTGTATGGCCTGTGACTGATGTACACACACCACTGAGACAAGATATATGTTTAAATCACCCCTTGGCAAGCAACAGTGGCTAGTTCCACATGAAATCTGTGTTGTTTTGTCAACTCTTACAACTATAATCTTTTCGACACACAGACATGTACCTTAATTTGCAAATAAAGTAAAAAAATAGAAAAGTAATTACTTGTTGTCTATTACAGGTATTTTTCTGAATATATATTTTTGATTTTCCTCTCCAGCTATGCTTTATTTGGATAATAAAGAGACACTATTTAGAATCTGTCAAATAAGGGTGGTAACAGCCAGTGTACTTAAAAAATTATATATATATATATATATATATATAAAATCAAAGTACATGCACACATGCATACATATTTAATAGAGTTAACTGGCAATTGCATTTAGTGTTGATGGCTTGCTGGTAGTATGAAGGAAGCAACAACAAATGGTGCAGTGGATCAGCACTTCAGTGTGTGCTCCCTCAGAACTCCGAATAATCCAGAGTCAGTTACAGCTTCTCCACTTCCATTCCCACACTCCCTCATTCTCCAGAGGCTAAGCAAGGGAATATGGATGTTACAGCTTATTTTATTTCAACACAAAATGCACACCAGGCAGTGGAATTAGGAAGAAAAAAAATCAAACAATTAATAGATTTCAGGGCATTAGCTCAGTTCCATATACTGCATTGTGTAATTACCAACCACATGGCTTCTCAGCAGTTACATCATCATGAACAGGGAAATTATATTTCAATGATCATTTTAAAGCTACAATAATAGCAATCCAGTATTAATAACTCTGAATGTGATTTTGAAAAGCTAATGTCTATGGTTCAGTAAATACTACTGTTTGTAGCTAGAGTTAAATTTTCATTTACTGTAGATTTAACGTGCTACTGCTTTAACCTTCATCGGTGTGTTCCCTGTACTTTAAATTTTATAATCCCACTTAAACAAAGGCAAAAGGTAGTCCCACCGACCCCTGACAAGTAACAGACAGCTGGACTTTGAGAGCAATGGAAGGGTATTCAGGGAGCCTGCTTTGCAAAGTTCCCGGGAAATGATTATGTAATTGTGTCATATTGACAGCTCTGATAACTTGCTGAGGAGGAGGCAAGAGCAGAAATGAATTCTGATATGATGAAATGAGCTGTGTTTGAATACAGGCAGAGAATGGGACTGCTGGCCAATCTCTTCTTGCTCCACGTGAAGATGACAGTACACCATGTTCTCTTTTGGAACACAGAGAAACAGGACTTCTGTTCATTTAAATTTTCGTTATTCTTCCCTGAATTGTCAGAGCTATTTGACAGCCTAAGACTCACATTGTGAACTTTAGCAGCGGCCGAAGTAAGGGCTTCAGGCAAAATTTTGCTCCAGGGATACTGATCCATAGGAGGGTTCAGTTTAGATTTTTGTGTTTGGTCCAATTTTACCAGAGGGCCACACTTTGATCATCACTGTGGTTAAGGCTGCATAATTCTGAGCCTTTCAAGTGCTGCTTGTGAAATGCCCTTGCTCTGCTAGGAAAACTGGGTCAAGCATAGCATATGTTCCTCATGGAAATAATTTCACAGAAGTATTTATTTCTCTCTGTCATAACTACAGAAAATCAGGGACAGTACTTGCAACAATACAATTTCTTGCTGGAACTTACAGATAATACAAAGAACCATAAATAGGAACCATATTCTCTATTAGCTTTCAGGGTATACACTTTAGATTTTAGATGCCGCCACAGAGCAATCAAACTGCCTTATGTCACCCTCTCTTTCTTACTGTGCTTGACCACTATTCCTCACAATGTACATACCTATCTCTCCTAAGGGTTCTTTCTATTTTACAGCTGTTGGTCTGCTTCTCTCTCACCCTGCATTAGGCACATCTCACCTTGCATTAGGCACATGTTAAGAGGGATGGGAGATTGACGCTGTATACTCTATCTTATTGCCTTCCACTGTGTTTTGAAAAGCATCCTAGGACTTCTGTGTGTCCTCCAAAAGTGTTTCTCCTGTTGACTTTTTGAGAAGTTGGGTCACTGGCCTTCCCATCATGCCAGGGAAGATAAGAGGACATTGAATTGGCTCCCTGGAGTAAAGAATCGGAGTGATAAATTGGACTATCAACACCTACAGGACTGGGAATTGCTTCTGATTTGTCTTATGTAGCTTGTTCACCTGAGCATACCTTTTATACCAACAGCACACTTTGCAATAGATACTCACATGAAACATTTGTAGTGTTGAAATATAAGGAGAAGAGATCAAACTAAGTTCAAGCATTTTTGAAATGGAATCAATGGAAATTCCAGAAGATCCAGAGTAATAAAAGCTGTAAAATGAGGAAAAGTCCATGCCATAGATTTAAGATAATTAATGCCTTAATTGTAAGAATCCATGGGCCTTGGAACTTGGGAGTGTTTGTAAAGCACTGCAACCTACTTGGGTCACGTGCAGGGACCATGGTTTGAGTCAGAGCCCAGGGTATTCTGGGGCAGCTGAACTCTGTAGCAGCTGAGTAGAAGAAAAAGTAGAAAAAGTGGAACAATTCTCCAATATGCTGTCTGCTGGATATTGGGAGGAACTGTCAGATTAGTGGTAAATGATGAAGGTTTTGCCAACAATTGATAGTCCACCGTACTATGCAAAGTGGTAAAGTATTCAGAAGTATTGAATCTAAACACAAGGGAATAAACACAGGCAGTTCACTCTGGCAGACATCTGTGGGAGCTATTAAAGACACTGTCATTCATTCATCTCACAAGTATTTGCTGAGTACCTAGAATATGCTAGGCATTCTTCTAGACACTAGGGATATAGCAGTGAGTAAAATAGTGAAAATCCGTTCCATTCAAGTAGAGGGGCATAGACAGTAAACAAAATAAGTAAAATCTCCAATAAGTTAGATGGTGTCACAAAAAAATAAAGCAGAGAGAACAGATAAGGATCGTTGGGGTAAGGCTGTAATTATAAGCAGCTTGTTTATAGAACCCCATCCTAAGAGGAGCAGACAATGAGGAAAGTGTTCTAAACTGTACTTACCTTTTGGATTCTTGGCTTGAGGAGAAAGTGAAAACTATTTGGTAATACATATTCTCTACTTCCCTGCATATTATCTAGAAGAAAGAGGATAACTGAAGAAATAAAAGGGAGCCAGGAAATTGAAGATTCTGAGGCTACAGAGGAGAGTCAGAATCAGAAATAAGAGAGAGTGAGTAGAGGAGACTGAGCCAGAGGAAAAACTGATCACAGGAGTTCCAAATGTGATGTGATGTTTTCCAACATAAAGAAACAAGAATCTTCTGAAGAGGAACCAGACACAGAATGGTGGACTAGCATGGAAAGGGAAGAGAAGCAGATACAGAATGTGGGACTTAGCATGGAAGGGGAAGAGAAGCAGATACAGAATGTGGGACTTAGCATGGAAAGGGAAGAGAAGCTTGCCTCCTGTCCTGTGCATATCCTCAGTGTGCATGTCCTAGTGGCCCCTCCAACTCTACCTCGAATGCATTAATGTGCTGATTACAAGAGAAATCTGTGCTTTTCTTACATTGATGTAACTACTTCTATAGTCTTTTATCTAGGTCAGGGCATCACAGTTCAAGACAGACAATGGCAAACTGGTGTGTATTCAGGAAAGCGTGACCATTGTGATGAGAGGAATTGAAACCATATCACAACAGGAGTAAGTGAAAGAAGTGGAGATGTTTAATCTATTGAGTAGTTAGGGTGCCGATCTATTGGCTGTTTTCAGAAATTTCAAAGTTCTTATGGGAAGACATTTTCAATTTGTTTCGTGGCACCAGAGGAGAAAACCAAGATCAGGCAGTACAGATTTCTGGGATGTAGATTTCAAATGAGTACCTTGAAGTTCTCTAAATCTCCAGATCTCTCAAAACTATAACAAAATATTTCTTAGGAGACTGAGATTTTTTACTACCAGAGGTAGAGTCTTGTCAGAAGTAGACTGGCCACTCGAGGGGCTATTCTAGAGGAAATAGAAGTCTCTGCTGCTGTAGCGTTCAGCTTCAAGCATGCAGCTGAGAGATGAGATGTTTGTATGGGTCGGGTTGGTGTTCTGGAAGAGGATTATGGGAAGAATCACGTTATTGTTGTTAGGGCTGGATTTAACGTTTGGCCTCACCACAGCCACTGTCTAGGACAGGTGTTCTCAAACTGCCTGTTGAGAATCGGAATCACCTGGTCTCATTCCTTGAGGATTCTGATGTTGATGGTTGGAGTGGGGCCCAGGCATGGGAGTTTTAAAGAAGCATCTCAGATGCTTCTAATGTTCAGACATAGTTGAGAACAACTGATTAGAAGAAAGCCCACACTGGCATTCAAAGCTTTCCACAATCAAGCCCCACTCTACTCTTCTCACTTGATCTTCCACTGTTTCATGAGGAAATCCTAGGCTGCAACCAATTCCACCTGATTGCTATTTTCCAAATCTCTGTTGGGATTTTCTGTGCCTGGAATATGATCATGCCCTTACTTCTGCCGGGAATACGACCCTCTCAAACCCTCATTCTGCTATCCCCTGCCAGTCCCCTTCCAGTCATGGATACACTTCTTAAACTGTTCTCAAACTTTCATGTGTTAGCTCTTATGAGAAGTTTGGGGCCCAGTGAGAAGGTAGGGTCAGTGGTGCTCAACCTTTACCTTAGCCTGAGCTGATTGTTCCCTTCCTTTTCATGACTACATACTTGGTAAATGTCACATCTTTATTATTATTATTTACTAATGTTTATGCTCACATTTGCTTGTGTGTCTTTTTATTCCCACTATAATACATGCTTCCTGAGAACAGGGCCATGACTCAGGCATTTTAAGATCTTTAAAGTAATAGATGATAAATATTTTCAGAAAGCATCTACAGCAGTGGTTCTTAACCAGCAGAGATTTTGTCCCCCAGGGGACATTTGGCAATGTTGTTGCTGCCAGCATCTAGTGGCTAGAGGCCAGAGACACTGACAAATATTCTACAATGGACAGGGCAGCCCCTCAGAACAAAGCATCATTCAACTGTAAATGTCAACAGTACCTAGTTGAGGAACCCTAATCCAGAATAATACACCTAGTTCATTCTGCCTACTCCAGAATTCAAACCCTGGTTTTAAGGGCTAAAACCGGGATTTCCAGTTAAAAATTTAGGTTTTTTTTTTTTTTTATATATATATTATTAGAAAAATAGGCTAGGCACAGTGGCTCACACCTGTAATCCCAGCACTTTGGGAGGCTGAAGTGGGTGGCTCACCTGAAGTCAGGAGTTCGAGGCCAGCCTGGTCAACATGGCAAAATCCCATGTCTACTGAAAATACAAAAATTAGCCGGGCGTGGTGGTGCATGCCTGTATTCCCAGCTACTTGGGAGGCTGAGACATGAGAATTGCTTGAATCCGGGAGGCGGAGATTGCAGTTAGCCAACATCGTGCCATTGCACTCCAGCCTGAGCAACAAGAGCAAAACTCCAAAAAAAAAAAAAAAAAAAAAAAAACAGGATGTGAAGAAAATAAAAAGAATAAAAACGAAACAAAAAAACCCTATAATCTCACCATCACAACATACTCTGTTATCCTTTTTGTATATATTTACTAATAATCTTTCATATGTATTTTTATATAATTTTAATCCCATTATGAACTATATATCTAGATTATTTCACTTAAAATGATACAATAATCATAGCCATCTTATTTATTCATTGCATAATATTTAATCAGTTATACATATATACCATAATTTGCCTAACCACTGTATTATTGATAGACATTTAGATAAGCTTTAATTTTTCACCATTATATATTAAAAAGTCTTAAGATAGGTTTTTAGTAATCACAAACTATGATGGTTAATTTAATGTGTTAGCTTGACTGGGCTAAGGGATACCCAGATAGCTGGTAAGATATCATTTCTGGATATGTCTATGAGGGTGTTTCTAGAAGAGATTAGCATTTAAATTAATATACTGAGTAAAAAAGATCTACCTTTACCAGTGTGGGTGGGCATTATGTGATCGATTGAAACACTGAATGGTACAAAAGGGTGGAGAAAGGGCTAATTCGCTCTCTGTCTTCTTAAGCGGGGACATTTATCTTCTTTTGCCCTGTGACACTGGAGAGCCTGCCTCTTGGGCCTTTGAATTCTGGGACTTACACTAGCACCACCCGTCTCTGATTCTCAGGCCTTCGGACTCACAGTGAGAGTTATACTGTCAGTTGCTCTGCTTCTTAAGCTTTGGACACAGACTACATTACACCACTGGCATTCCTGGTTCTCTAGCTTACAGATGGGCGATAGTGGGACTTCTTGGCCTCCAAAATTGTGTGAGTCAATTCCCTTAGAAATACACACATATGCACACATTATGTGTGTGTATATATGTGTGTGAGTGTGTGTTTATATGTGTGTGTGTGTGTGTGTGTTTGTATAGGTTACCAGGTTACCAAAATGTTATCCCTGAGGTTGCTAATTTTCCATTAGAGGGTTTCTGGATATAGCAAAAGTATTCTGAATCAATGAGTGGAGGTAAAGGAAAGAAGGAAAGGAACAGAGAAAACTGCTTTTCTCATATGCCTTAGGTCCAAACTTGCTTCTTTACCTACATTTAAAGAATTTGAAGGTGTCTCTCTACACCTTGATTTTTCCATTTTTATTCCAGGGAAGTCTTGCCTCAACTGATTGTAGGCAAATTAGCTGATGGGGCTTCACAGCTGTGATTTTTTAAGAAACTGCACCATAGAAAGAGGCAGTTTTTTCCAGCGTTAGGTTTAGTGCTTTTTAAATGTAAGTTTATTAAGTGGTAATGTGCCTATAGATTGGTTTAGTGGCTTATTCTTCTTGAGGATGTAAAACCACTCACAGTCTTCATGGGCACAAAGATTGTCTGCTTCTTTATTTTACTTTATTATTATTATTATTATTATTTTTGAGACAGTCTTCGCTCTATTGCCCAGGCTGGAGTGCACTGGTACTATCTTGGCTCACTGCAACCTCCACCTCCTGCATCAGCCACCTGAGTAGCTGGGATTACAGGTGCATGCCACCATGGCCAGCTACTTTTTTTTTTTTTTGTATTTTTAGTAGAGATAGGGTTTCACTATGTTGCCCAGGCTGGTCTTGAACTCCTGGCCTCATGTGATCCGCCTGCCTCAGCCTCCCAAGGTGCTGGCATTACAGGGGTGAACTACTGCGTCTGGCCCTGTCTGTTGCTTTTATACATGGCTAAAATGGAGGATTTTTAATGCCACCCAGAATTTCAAGGATCATAATATAGTTCCTAATATTTTTATGCTTTGAAGGGAGAACTCAAAATAAAGATTTTGAGATTTTGTTTTTTGCTTCTTGTGTCCTTTACATATAAAAATTAAAAAGAGGTCCAAACACACTTCTCCAGTTGGGAAAGAGTTATGTTTTGTCTCTAATGTGAAACTGTGGAACTCTTGTCTTAATTTTGGCTAGTGGTAAACCAAGGAAAACTGACCGAGCTGACGCAGAGTTGGAGAGCCCAAGTTCCTCAGTCCTTCACAGCCTCCCCTTGGTGAATTGTGATGTGTAGGCTAACATAAAAGCTTTGCGGGATTTGCCAGGTCAAATGGGATTTTCACACTTTGTACTGATTGGGAGATGATAGTGGTTTCTGTAATCGGTGCCTCAGGGATTTTTAAAATGTGTATTAGACAAAAACCATCTTAAGAACTTTTGTGATTAACAAGAGGTAGAAGTCAGAAACTGCTGGAAAGAAATAGGAAGATTTAATATAAAAGCTAAATGATCTTTGCAATCTCTTCGCAGGATTTTTAGAAACAGTAGAGGCAGTTTAGGTACTCTAGCATGCGGAAGTATGATAGTTCATTTTGATCATCCAAGAGGGAAACAAAACCTGAATGCATTAGATATGGGAATTTCTCTGCCTGAGTGGACTTACAACACTGCTATACTAGTTTATTTTTTTCTTTTCTCACTCTCCTTATTCCTTCTTATAAATATAAGTAAATTTTGGGGGGCAATGGTCTGATATTGTGTATTCTGATTTTTCAATATTTTAAGAGAGTTTAATACTTTTTGCATAAGAATAAAACAAAATATCAAAATTGTGTCTTATGAATTGTATAAAACTTTATGACTGTCTAAATAAAGTTATTTGTTTTTCAAAAAATACTAGAGAGTATAAAGTCCCAGAGAGTTTACATCCTTATTTATTTATTTTTTGAACGAGCTAGTGAGCTTCTGCATTTTGAGAGTACTGGACATGTATTTGTTCTGCAGTGGACTGACGAAAGGGAGACAGTCTATGTTAAAAATGTTTATCTGGGAATAAACTAACATGAGAAGGCCTGCCATGGTTAGTAGCTCTTTTATTTTCTAACATAGGCATTACAAAGGGAAAGGGCTTGGTTCCAGGACTCTGGCTCCAAGGGAAGGGTTGTCAGCAGATCCTTGAACGTTTCTGTTTCTGGCTGGACAGTACAAAAGATTTATCTCTGATTAATATTCAGGGATAAATTCCTCCAGCTATCTCTTTCAGTCACTTCTGTATTGGGGGAGCTCCAAGACCACTCTGAAGTTTGATAGATTAACTAGGATTCACAGGACTCAGAAATACTGTTAGGCTTCTGTTTATGGTTTATCATAGTGAAAGGATACAGATCAATATCAATAAAGGAGAAAGGTACATGGGCAAAGTCCAGTAGAAACCAAATGTAAGCTTCCAGGAATCCCCTCCCAACAGGGTTGCACAAAGAATGTGCTTAATTCTCCCAGTAATAATTTGTGAAAACATGTGTAAAGCGTTGACAACCAGAAAAGCTCACTGGAGCCTTGGTGTCCAGGGATTTTATTCAGGACATGACTAACTTTAGCTATTCAGCGTCTAGCCACTCCTTCATCCTCCTACCACTACTGAGACGTCAAACTAATATAGGGAATCCCGGAGACCCAGGCATGCAAAAACAGTCACCACAAGTCACTGTTAGCATAAGCTGTCTGGTCAAACTGACGCATGGGGGCCTCAGGCCTCAGGAATGCCAAAACAGTCTTATAAAGGAAGACATTCTAAGGGGTCAAAGGTTATCTCATAGGAGCTGATCAAGGGCCAGTTCTCCTGAAGACAGGCTTTTCTTTGGAATGTATAGATTTAGAGTAATCATGATCTGATGAATTAACCCTCTACTGTACAATTTCCATCCTGAAGTTTCTGAGAGACTAGTGTGGCAGACTAACCACAAAGTCAAACCCTATAGAAAGGAGATTCAACTTAAGGTTAAGGTTAGGGTTAGGGTCGGTGTCTAGTTCGCCCTTGACCTCCAAATTTCTTTCCCTCTTTTTTTTTTTTCTTCAGTCCTAAACCATCTTTCTTCAAATCAAGGCACCTTGCTTCCTAGCCTGCTCTGGTTACCAGAAATAATGGTTGCTTCATTTTAATCATAACCAGCCCCTAAAAAAACAGAGATAATTTTTATGTATATTTTTCATTTTGGGGATATTGTAAGTATGACTAAATGACACAGTACGAAATGCTGTGTCCCTGCATGGAAAAAGTGCTGGATAACTCCAAAAGAATAATGTGATTATGGAGAATTGACTTAGAGAAGGTTTCTCAAAGCTAGATGTCTTCCTTTTCCTTCTCTGAGATAGCATTTTTAGTTGCTCCCAATGTAGCAATATATAATAAGAGTTTTCACTTAACTGTGCATGAGGAAAATTGCAGTTCTGCCAAACAGTTATCCTAAATGTAGCAACTCAAAAAGTTATAATAGAAATGAGTTGGAAGTATAAAGACAGCTCCCTGCCTCCAAGTAGGGGTTGTGTACAGTAGAATGTGTATGCTGGGTTTATGAAACAGATATTGTTGACTGGAATTAGAACTGCTATTAGCTCCCTGGCAAAACACATGCTTTACAAGCCAAATACTTTGGTGATAGTTTCAGACGTGGTGGCTTCTGAAAGGAAAACAAACAAAATGTGTCTATTTTACAGTAATGAAAATCAGGCTTTTTGTACTTTTTGTGCGGGCGCGTGTGTGTGTGTCTATGTCTGTCTGTGTGTGTGGCAGTGGGCAACAGGGGAGTGTGATCCACCAGACAGGCCCTGATTAAAATCATCTTCACACTCACTTTTGGGAACCAGCAGCTCATGGTTATAGGGAAATGATGGCCTGGCTGATAGGAGACATCTACTTTCAAACTGAAGTCCAGGCTTCATTTCTCAGGAGCAAAGTCAATATAATTTAACAATTCCCAGATGCCTTAAAACACTATTGTGGATTTTGAAGGAGATTTTAGATTTTATTATCCTTTTGTAATGTTATAATCAGTTTGTACATCATGCAACTCTTGTGCGTTATATTAAATGATACAAAGCAGGAGGAGAAATAGAAGGAGGAGGAGGTGGTGGAGGAGAAAATGTAGTAATGGATATTATGGTGCTGTTTTCTGATTCTGAGAGACTTTACAAAAATCAGTCTAATTCTCCTGGGGCTAGTTAACAAAATTTCACTGTGTTGGCCAGGGATGAGATGAAATGAGAGCTCAACTAGAGATTCAGGAATAGTATATGTGTCCCAGATAGTTCAGGTGCTGTTAAGTGGGCTGTATTGAAACAGGAGTCCCAGGCCTAGCCTATGGGATGTGATTGCATAAGCCCTAGAAACCATATCAACAAGCATGTTCCTGAAGCTTTCCCACACCCACAGCTTTGCCTTTCCTCATGGCTCTCTCAGGTATTGCCATAGAGGTCCATGGACAGCAGAGGTCCTCCAGGTGAGTACCCTGGAGTGATTCAGCTGATGAAGGCCTCACTTTACCTTTGAGGCAGTGAGTTCTTCCTATCTCTGCCTAACAGAATGGGCAATGCTATGAAGAGCTAACTATTGAATGTTGCTACCTTTTCTCTCCCAAATGGACATCACTTGTCTTTATTCTGTTTTTCTTCTATGTCTGCAAAGGGAGGTGAAATTATCCAATTGGCCATAGGTTGCTAGGTCTTAAGGAGCCATATTAAAATCTGATGGAAAAAGATGCACAACATTCAGCAATTCTATGTATATGAGAATTCAGACTATGTTCCTTGAGCAGAGGGTTAATGGATTTTAAGTTTTATGTGAATACTTGCATATGCCAAGTGAAATACTTTCATACTTATATATATGACTAAAAAAATTGCAATATGCTTGGAGGTTAAGGGTGATGAGTGTAATTGACATCTCTTGGTTTTGCTTGCCCAGAATCCATTTTCCACTTTCTCTAGAAAGATAATACTTTTGTGTGTATATGGCAGATAGTGGGGATCATTCCATATGGTAATAGAGAGGGCTTTATTTGTATGTTCCCTCTCTCAAAGGGGTATATAGTATACCCAAGCCTGACCAATCATGTTTCTGGCCACAGAGCTTGGTTCAGGAATGGGCATGCAATTTCAATCAGATCCTTGGGGAAAAATACTCTATGCTGTGGTTGCTAAACTCCGGAGATATGACTCTTGGTCTGCTGATGGCTATCATGCTCCTACCATGGCTATCTTTTTTCTAGGAGATTAAGAGAGACACAGAGCCCTGAAGATGGCCATTTGGCTACCTGTATTCCGCCATGTTTCAAGCCAGAGCTCCCTATCAACATTTTGATTGTATAAACTGGTGATTCTCCCCTACTCTGTTTTTACTCAAGATAGTTTGAGTTGGGTTTCTGTTTTGTGCAACTAAAAGAGTTGTAGAAAATACAGAAATGGGTCTTCACTGATCTCTGCAACTATTTCCCCCACTAAAAGTGAGCTGATAATACCTACATGGCAGGATTGTTGTGAGAATTAAAAAATACTATGTATATGTTAAAGCTGGAATTGAAGGGCTATTTAGCACTATGTACTAGGCAAACATATATTTTATAGTTAATATTTTCTTCCTATCGTGTTCCAGGATTAAATTGTATAGTAGCCCTCATTTTAAAGCATGCTTTTACTACTCATCTTTCAAATAGAGCTATTTGAAGATCATTTGTTACCCCTTTCATTATAGACTACTTAACCTTTAGGGTTCACAGTCCTGTATAGTGTCTATGTAATTGTAATATGTATATTACAATGTATATACAAAAATATATATACATACATATAATCTATTGATACAGAACTTGGGGAAAAAACTCTAGATCCAAAGCACTTAACTACCTGTTACTAGATTCTAAGAAGGAAAAAGGATGACAAGCATCACATTAAGAACAAAGGTTAAAATTTTGTCTTTTTTACTTAAATCTGGTTTTTTAGAATGTCAGAAGGCAGTCAAGAGATAGTCCTATAGCACAGTGGGCCACCTATAACCTCAATAAAATCTCCTAGGATTTCAGGAAATAGATAGTACTTATCTTCCTCTAAGTTGCCACATAACTTAAGAATGCTATAGTAGAATCTTGACACCCATAATAATGGCATGGCTTTTCCATTTTCTCTCCTTGCTTTGAATCCAAACTTTCAACCCAATGGCCTACATGCTCTAAGTTCCAAGTATTAGCTGCTATATTTCAAAATATATGCTATATTACATATTATAGAACCATATATTAGACAATTAGTTGTGTGTGTATGTGCAAATGTGTGCCTTGGCAGTGGAAATCTATTTACATTTCAAATAGAATGTCTGGTGGGGTAAACATTAAGAAGGAATTGCAGTAACATAATTTTATTTGCACTACTTTGCTATTGGACAATCAGATTAGAAAGTCATTCCATAATGAAGCTTTAAAGGGACATGACACATGACCAGTAAAATTTGATGGGCAGAAGGAAACATGCAGCATGGGGTGCTGATGCAGGAGGTAGGCCATACAGAGCCAGAGATCAGCACTGGTTTAAGGGTACTTTGCGGTAAGGGGATGTGATGGAAAGGAAGAGGAAATATGAAACATGACTAACAACAAAACTTTCCCCAGGACTAGACTTGAGTGATATGATGATAACTGGGCACTCTGGGGCCCAAAGGAGCCCAGTGAGTGGCCCTTTAGAGAGCTCTGCAGTAGGCAGTGCCGTGCCGCTGCGACAGGCTTCCCTGGTGCACATTTATGCTATCACAGTACTCTAGGTGTCAGATAAAATGCATCATGTTTCCTCATGGTACTTTCCCAATTCTTTTTTTTTTTTTAATTTTTTTTTAATTATACTTTAAGTTTTAGGGTACATGTGCACATTGTGCAGGTTAGTTACATATGTATACATGTGCCATGCTGGTGCGCTGCACCCACTAACTCGTCATCTAGCATTAGGTATATCTCCTAATGCTATCCCTCCCCCCTCCCCCCACCACACAACAGTCCCCAGAGTGTGATATTCCCCTTCCTGTGTCCATGTGATCTCATTGTTCAATTCCCACCTATGAGTGAGAATATGCGGTGTTTGGTTTTTTGTCCTTGCGACAGTTTACTGAGAATGATGATTTCCAATTTCATCCATGTCCCTACAAAGGACATGAACTCATCATTTTTTATGGCTGCATAGTATTCCATGGTGTATATGTGCCACATTTTCTTAATCCAGTCTATCATTGTTGGACATTTGGGTTGCTTCCAAGTCTTTGCTATTGTGAATAATGCCGCAATAAACATACGTGTGCATGTGTCTTTATAGCAGCAAGATTTATAGTCCTTTGGGTATATACCCAGTAATGGGATGGCTGGGTCAAATGGTATTTCTAGTTCTGGATCCCTGAGGAATCGCCACACTGACTTCCACAATGGTTGAACTAGTTTACAGTCCCACCAACAGTGTAAAAGTGTTCCTATTTCTCCACATCCTCTCCAGCACCTGTTGTTTCCTGACTTTTTAATGATCGCCATTCTAACTGGTGTGAGATGGTATCTCATTGTGGTTTTGATTTGCATTTCTCTGATGGCCAGTGATGATGAGCATTTTTTCATGTGTTTTTTGGCTGCATAAATGTCTTCTTTTGAGAAGTGTCTGTTCATGTCCTTCGCCCACTTTTTGATGGGGTTGTTTGTTTTTTTCTTGTAAATTTGTTTGAGTTCATTGTAGATTCTGGATATTAGCCCTTTGTCAGATGAGTAGGTTGCGAAAATTTTCTCCCATTTTGTAGGTTGCCTGTTCACTCTGATGGTAGTTTCTTTTGCTGTGCAGAAGCTCTTTAGTTTAATTAGATCCCATTTGTCAATTTTGGCTTTTGTTGCCATTGCTGTTGATGTTTTGGACATGAAGTCCTTGCCCATGCCTATGTCCCGAATGGTGATGCCTAGGTTTTCTTCTAGGGTTTTTATGGTTTTAGGTCTAACGTTTAAGTCTTTAATCCATCTTGAATTGATTTTTGTATAAGGTGTAAGGAAGGGATCCAGTTTCAGCTTTCTACATAGGGCTAGCCAGTTTTCCCAGCACCATTTATTAAATAGGGAATCCTTTCCCCATTGCTTGTTTTTCTCAGGTTTGTCAAAGATTGGATAGTTGTAGATATGCGGCGTTATTTCTGAGGTCTCTGTTCTGTTCCATTGATCTATATCTCTGTTTTGGTACCAGTACCATGCTGTTTTGGTTACTGTAGCCTTGTAGTATAGTTTGAAGTCAGGTAGTGTGATGCCTCCAGCTTTGTTCTTTTGGCTTAGGATTGCCTTGGCGATGCAGGCTCTTTTTTGGTTCCATATGAACTTTAAAGTAGTTTTTTCCAATTCTGTGAAGAAAGTCATTGGTAGCTTGATGGGGATGGCACTGAATCTGTAAATTACCTTGGGCAGTATGGCCATTTTCACGATATTGATTCTTCCTACCCATGAGCATGGAATGTTCTTCCATTTGTTTGTATCCTCTTTTATTTCCTTGAGCAGTGGTTTGTAGTTCTCCTTGAAGAAGTCCTTCACATCCTTTGTAAGTTGGATTCCTAGGTATTTTATTCTCTTTGAAGCAATTGTGAATGGGAGTTCACTCATGATTTGGCTCTCTGTTTATCTGTTATTGGTGTGTAAGAATGCTTGTGATTTTTGTACATTGATTTTGTATCCTGAGACTTTGCTGAAGTTGCTTATCAGCTTAAGGAGATTTTGGGCTGAGACAATGGGGTTTTCTAGATATACAATCATGTCGTCTGCAAACAGGGACAATTTGACTTCCTCTTTTCCTAATTGAATACCCTTTATTTCCTTCTCCTGCCTAATTGCCCTGGCCAGAACTTCCAACACTATGTTGAATAGGAGTGGTGAGAGAGGGCATCCCTGTCTTGTGCCAGTTTTCAAAGGGAATGCTTCCAGTTTTTGCCCATTCAGTATGACATTGGCTGTGGCTTTGTCATAGATAGCTCTTATTATTTTGAAATACATCCCATCAATACCTAATTTCTTGAGAGTTTTTAGCATGAAGGGTTGTTGAATTTTGTCAAAGGCTTTTTCTGCATCTATTGAGATAATCATGTGGTTTTTGTCTTTGGCTCTGTTTATATGCTGGATTACATTTATTGATTTGCGTATATTGAACCAGCCTTGCATCCCAGGGATGAAGCCCACCTGATCATGGTGGATAAGCTTTTTGATGTGCTGCTGGATTCGGTTTGCCAGTATTTTATTGAGGATTTTTGCATCAATGTTCATCAAGGATATTGGTCTAAAATTCTCTTTTTTGGTTGTGTCTCTGCCCGGCTTTGGTATCAGAATGATGCTGGCCTCATAAAATGAGTTAGGGAGGATTCCCTCTTTTTCTATTGATTGGAATAGTTTCAGAAGGAATGGTACCAGTTCCTCCTTGTACCTCTGATAGAATTCGGCTGTGAATCCATCTGGTCCTGGACTCTTTTTGGTTGGTAAACTATTGATTATTGCCACAATTTCAGCTCCTGTTATTGGTCTATTCAGAGATTCAACTTCTTCCTGGTTTAGTCTTGGAAGAGTGTATGTGTCGAGGAATTTATCCATTTCTTCTAGATTTTCTAGTTTATTTGCGTAGAGGTGTTTGTAGTATTCTCTGATGGTAGTTTGTATTTCTGTGGGATCGGTGGTGATATCCCCTTTATCATTTTTTATTGCGTCTATTTGATTCTTCTCTCTCTTTTTCTTTATTAGTCTTGCTAGCGGTCTATCAATTTTGTTGATCCTTTCAAAAAACCAGCTCCTGGATTCATTAATTTTTTGAAGGGTTTTTTGTGTCTCTATTTCCTTCAGTTCTGCTCTGATTTTAGTTATTTCTTGCCTTCTGCTAGCTTTTGAAAGTGTTTGCTCTTGCTTCTCTAGTTCTTTTAATTGTGATGTTAGGGTGTCAATTTTGGATCTTTCCTGCTTTCTCTTGTGGGCATTTAGTGCTATAAATTTCCCTCTACACACTGCTTTTAATGCGTCCCAGAGATTCTGGTATGTGGTGTCTTTGTTCTCCTTGGTTTCAAAGAGCATCTTTATTTCTGCCTTCATTTCGTTATGTATCCAGTAGTCATTCAGGAGCAGGTTGTTCAGTTTCCATGTAGTTGAGTGGTTTTAAGTGAGATTCTTAATCCTGAGTTCTAGTTTGATTGCACTGTGGTCTGAGAGATAGTTCATTATAATTTCTGTTCTTTTACATTTGCTGAGGAGAGCTTTACTTCCAAGTATGTGGTCAATTTTGGAATAGGTGTGGTGTGGTGCTGAAAAAAATGTATATTCTGTTGATTTGGGGTGGAGAGTTCTGAAGATGTCTATTAGGTCCGCTTGGTGCAGAGCTGAGTTCAATTCCTGGGTATCCTTGTTGACTTTCTGTCTTGTTGATCTGTCTAATGTTAACAGTGGGGTGTTAAAGTCTCCCATTATTAATGTGTGGGAGTCTAAGTCTCTTTGTAGGTCACTCAGGACTTGCTTTATGAATCTGGGTGCTCCTGTATTGGGTGCATAAATATTTAGGATAGTTAGCTCTTCTCGTTGAATTGATCCCTTTACCATTATGTAATGGCCTTCTTTGTCTCTTTTGATCTTTGTTGGTTTAAAGTCTGTTTTATCAGAGACTAGGATTGCAACCCCTGCCTTTTTTTGTTTTCCATTCGCTTGGTAGATCTTCCTCCATCCTTTTATTTTGAGCCTATGTGTGTCTCTGCATGTGAGATGGGTTTCCTGAATACAGCACACTGATGGGTCTTGACTCTTTATCCAATTTGCCAGTCTGTGTCTTTTAATGGGAGCATTTAGTCCATTTACATTTAAAGTTAATATTGTTATGTGTGAATTTGATCCTGTCATTATGATGTTAGCTGGTGATTTTGCTCGTTAGTTGATGCAGTTTCTTCCTAGTCTCGATGGTCTTTACATTTTGGCATGATTTTGCAGCAGCTGGTACCGGTTGTTCCTTTCCATGTTTAGCACTTCCTTCAGGAGCTCTTTTAGGGCAGGCCTGGTGGTGACAAAATCTCTCAGCATTTGCTTGTCTGTAAAGTATTTTATTTCTCCTTCACTTATGAAGCTTAGTTTGGCTGGATATGAAATTCTGGGTTGAAAATTCTTGTCTTTAAGAATGTTGAATATTGGCCCCCACTCTCTTCTGGCTTGTAGGGTTTCTGCCGAGAGATCCGCTGTTAGTCCGATGGGCTTCCCTTTGAGGGTAACCCGACCTTTCTCTCTGGCTGCCCTTAACATTTTTTCCTTCATTTCAACTTTGGTGAATCTGACAATTATGTGTCTTGGAGTTGCTCTTCTCGAGGAGTATCTTTGTGGCGTTCTCTGTATTTCCTGAATCTGAATGTTGGCCTGCCTTGCTAGATTGGGGAAGTTCTCCTGGATAATATCCTGCAGAGTGTTTTCCAACTTGGTTCCATTCTCCCCATCACTTTCAGGTACACCAGTCAGACGTAGATTTGGTCTTTTCACATAGTCCCATATTTCTTGGAGGCTTTGCTCATTTCTTTTTATTCTTTTTTCTCTAAACTTCCCTTCTCGCTTCATTTCATTCATTTCATCTTCCATTGCTGATACCCTTTCTTCCAGTTGATCGCATCAGCTCCTGAGGCTTCTGCATTCTTCACGTAGTTCTCGAGCCTTGGTTTTCAGCTCCATCAGCTCCTTTAAGCACTTCTCTGTATTGGTTATTCTAGTTATACATTCTTCTAAATTTTTTTCAAAGTTTTCAACTTCTTTGCCTTTGGTTTGAATGTCCTCCCATAGCTCAGAGTAGTTTGATCTTCTGAAGCCTCCTTCTCTCAGCTCGTCAAAGTCATTCTCCATCCAGCTTTGTTCCGTTGCTGGTGAGGAACTGCGTTCCTTTGGAGGAGGAGAGGCGCTTTGCGTTTTAGAGTTTCCAGTTTTTCTGTTCTGTTTTTTCCCCATCTTTGTGGTTTTATGTACTTTTGGTCTTTGATGATGGTGATGTACAGATGGGTTTTTGGTGTGGATGTCCCTTCTGTTTGTTAGTTTTCCTTCTAACATACAGGACCCTCAGCTGCAGGTCTGTTGGAATACCCTGCCATGTGAGGTGTCAGTGTGCCGCTGCTGGGGGGTGCCTCCCAGTTAGGCTGCTCGGGGGTCAGGGGTCAGGGACCCACTTGAGGAGGCAGTCTGCCCGTTCTCAGATCTCCAGCTGCGTGCTGGGAGAACCACTGCTCTCTTCAAAGCTGTCAGACAGGGACATTTAAGTGTGCAGAGGTTGCTGCTGTCTTTTTGTTTGTCTGTGCCCTGCCCCCAGAGGTGGAGCCTACAGAGGCAGGGAGGCCTCCTTGAGCTGTGGTGGGCTCCACCCAGTTCGAGCTTCCCGGCTGCTTTGTTTACCTAAGCAAGCCTGGGCAATGGCGGGCGCCCCTCCCCCAGCCTCACTGCCACCTTGCAGTTTGATCTCAGACTGCTGTGCTAGCAATCAGCGAGACTCCGTGGGCATAGGACCCTCCGAGCCAGGTGCGGGATATAATCTCATGGTGCGCCGTTTTTTAAGCCGGTTGGAAAAGCGCAATATTCGGGTGGGAGTGACCCAATTTTCCAGGTGCGTCCATCACCCCTTTCTTTGACTCGGAAAGGGAACTCCCTGACCCCTTGCGCTTCCCAAGTGAGGCAATGCCTCGCCCTGCTTTGGCTCACGCATGGTGCGCGCACCCACTGACCTGCGCCCACTGTCTGGCACTCCCTAGTGAGATGAACCCAGTACCTCAGATGGAAATGCAGAAATCACCGGTCTTCTGCGTCGCTCACGCTGGGAGCTGTAGACCGGAGCTGTTCCTATTTGGCCATCTTGATCAAGAAGCTTACTTTCCCAATTCTTTAACCAGTCTGATCCTAAGTACCTGCTGTGACCTCAGATTTAATTTCTTCTGATGTTCAGTGGCATTTTTTGGGAGATATATTTTTGATTTCACTCAAAGATACCTCCTTCAGCTCATATTTTTGAGACGTTTGGATGACTTGAGAAAAGTATTCAAGTTGGGCACCCTGGATTTCCCTGGAGAAAGCCTACTTTCTCTGTTCCTTAGGGTCAATCAGGGATCCAAGTCAACGGAGGCTGTGTCATTTTCAACTTGTAGCTTCCAAGGTCACTCTAGTCATGCCCATTCCAGCTAGCAGGAAGGGGAAAGACTGGAAGTCATGTCTATAAAATTCATCTTAAGCATGAGATGCGGAAATTGCACACATCAGTTCTGCTCGCATCGCATTTGTGAGGGCTTAGTTACATATGACCTCTACTCATTGCAGGAGAGGCTGCAAAATATAGTCCCTAACTGGCCCAGACACCACTTTGTCACTATGGAAGAAGAGGAGAACAGATTTTGTTGGATACCCAGCAGTCTCTGCCATAGATAAGTTGACACAATTCCTTGAATCTGCCATATTCCATAATATATGCTATATTATATATTATGGAACTATGTATTAGACCATAAGCTCCCTATTCCCCTTGACTTTGAGAAAGCTTAAAGCTAAATTTAGTGCTCTCTTATAGTACATCATTTTCATTTTTTGATGTTTATTCATTATTCTGATCTGGTTTTTGATCTCCCTTTTTACTTACAATGGTCTTGTCTATCACACATTTTAGTATCTTACGCCATTCCAAATTCTTTCAAAAAGTGGGTGGGATATAAATAATAATAGAATTACACAATGCAGTAAGGTACCTGCACAAACAGCAGCTAATGTAAGGAGACTGAAAAAGGAACTATATTTGTTAAAATCAAATTGGCTGGCCTGCAAGAAGTGTGGGTAGTAGAATCTCTTTGGAGGACATCGCAACACTTCTTATATCCATGAGGTGGGCATGCAGTGGTGGCATACAGTTCAAGTAGTATAATGATAAAGAATGGGGTGACCCTGTGTCTGACAGGCAAAGTTGCCTATCAATATATTGGCATCTTATCCCATAATCTGTAAGAATTAGTATTTTGGTGCTACATAATAAAGTATTTTAGAGTATAAAAATTAGTTGTTCATATGCCAGCAACCACCATTAGTATTTTCAAAAAAGTGCAGTGAATTCTGAGCATCTAATATGTGCTTAGCACTCTGCTAATCTCCATGAGAGATGGACAACATGGTCTCTTCCTTAAGGATCTTACACATTTATAATCCTGAGAGCCATAATATACTAAACAGCAAAGTGTTTTTCATTCACCCTTCTAAACCCTAGCCCCTACATCAGTGCTAGGCACAGAGTGGACTCTCAACAACTAATGCCAATTGAATGAAAAATATTAAAATGTCACTTAATGCTGAACTGAAATTTGAAATAGATATGGGAAGGCTCAGAAATACGCAGGATTTCCGCTGATGTTTCTAAAGAATACCAAGGTTTTGCTTGTGTTGACTCAGAAAGACTAAAACTTGGTCACTCATTTGACAGGGAAATTCATAGTAAAACTGTTTAATAGCTCCTTCTAGATTTATTTGTCAGTGAGCCTGGATATTTACTCTGCTTCTTATAACTGTGAGAAAAAATGTATGTCTTTTCTCTAGGCATTTTATGACAATGTGTAGCTACCTAAGATGTGTGGGTACCCTGGGGGCTGGATAGTAAAGGATTAAGCTTTTAAAATATCTACCCACAGGCATTTATTAGAAGGTATGCTTCACATTTTATTAAGTTATAAGCTCTCCAAAAATGCTCATGTTTTAAATGTTTTTCATCTTTGTTGGTGTTTATCTTTGTTTTTTATGCCTAGCTTCTGCCAAAAAACTCCCACAAACTTTTAAATTCTTTAAAAAGGCACTTCAGTAGTATGTAAGATCTGATGTCTGTTTATATAGTTCTGTGCTTCTAACTAATGTGTTTAAAAATGTGTCCATGTATTTTTTATATGTATACACACAGATTATAATGCTACCTGGACAATGATAGAGCATTTCAACTTTAAATCTCTGTCATCTTTACTGAATGGCTTTCAGCTGGTAATTCTTTACCTTTTGGTGACATCAGAGATATTTTTCATTCCAGTGAACTCTATATGGCATTGTTGCATTTGATGATCTTTTTTTTTTTCTTTTTTTTACTTTATTATTATTATACTTTAAGTTTTAGGGTACATGTGCACAATGTGCGGGTTAGTTACGTATGTATACATGTGCCATGCTGGTGTGCTGCACCCATTAACTCATCATTTAGCATTAGGTATATCTCCTAATGCTATCCCTCCCCCCTCCCCCCACCACACAACAGTCCCCAGAGTGTGATGTTCCCCTTCCTGTGTCCATGTGTTCTCATTGTTCAATTCCCACCTATGAGTGAGAATATGCAGTGTTTGTTTTTTTGTTCTTGCGATAGTTTACTGAGAATGATGATTTCCAATTTCATCCATGTCCCTACAAAGGACATGAACTCATGATTTTTTATGGCTGCATAGTATTCCATGGTGTATATGTGCCACATTTTCTTAATCCAATCTATCATTGTTGGACATTTGGGTTGCTTCCAAGTCTTTGCTATTGTGAATAGTGCCGCAATAAACATACATGTGCATGTGTCTTTATAGCAGCATGATTTATAGTCCTTTGGGTATATACCCAGTAATGGGATGGCTGGGTCAAATGGTATTTCTAGTTCTAGATCCCTGAGGAATCGCCACACTGACTTCCACAATGGTTGAACTAGTTTACAGTCCCACCAACAGTGTAAAAGTGTTGCTATTTCTCCACATCCTCTCCCGCACCTGTTGTTTCCTGACTTTTTAATGATTGCCATTCTAACTGGTGTGAGATGGTATCTCATTGTGGTTTTGATTTGCATTTCTCTGATGGCCAGTGATGATGAGCATTTTTTCATGTGTTTTTTGGCTGCATAAATGTCTTCTTTTGAGAAGTGTCTGTTTATGTCCTTAAGAAGCATGCTGAATCTAGGGAAATTAAAAAAGTTAACAAATATAATTAATGATAATAGTATTGCCAGGCATAATAAACTTATTTCCTGCTTTGTTAAGTGACTTTTTGCTTTTCACATTAAATGAAATTAAGGAGGCTTTTGATAATGGGGTGCTTATTGAAAGTGCCAAAGGGGTGAAGTAAATCAAATCCCTAGGCATAATAACCTATGTAATGTTCTACTAGACAAGCAATTCAAATGGGGCTTTAAGAAAATTTTCATTTCTCTGTACTTTATGAAAGTTGTTCACACTTCAACAGCTAGGAACATTTCAAAAGCTTGCATGGGAAACAGCCACATATAGGAATTAATGCTATCTATAGAAACAGTGATTTAAATTGGTAACTTCTCCAAGTAAGTAGGTCTTATGCCTCCAGGGATGTTTTGTGAATCTTCTGAGAAGAAAGCTTTCAGGGAACCAAAATATCAATCCTTTCCTAGTCACCTATAAACATATAGGCATCTTGGACTTTTCATTATAAATTACTATAATTAACTCTTATGGCCTACCCAGTCACAAATTTTGGTTGGAAGATAAAATTTCTTATATTTGGAGAGATTTTTATCTTCCAAAATCTTTGACTAATTGAGTTATGCTTCCTTGAGTTGTGTATGGGACTCTGCAAGTAACTTTTTGGCAAAATGCTGCCTAAGTATTGAGCAAGACTGTCACCTTCATCAGGCCTCCAGTGCCATGCACAGGAGACCTCATTCTGAATAGGCCTGTCAGTCCAATCAGGTCTCTTATCTGCCCCCATCCCACCGTTTCACTGCGGCAACACCTTGAGCCTTTGCATATCCTCTCAGGTCCTTTATTCTTTGTTTCTTTCTTCCACAGTAGTCTTAGTTTTGGTTCCTTAGAAAGCAGAGCCTGAGGCAGAGGGTGTTTAATTTATTAGAGATTACAATCCCCAGGAAGCAGGAGTGGAGGACAGGGAAGTGACACAGAGGAGGAAGAAGAGCCAATACCAGGGTGTGCTATGGGGCCCGTTGCATATACAATGATTCATGCACATGATGCAAATGATTACTTGCTTCTAAGGGTTGTTCCCTGAGCAGTCATATAAATGACCTCTCAGGACTCTCCTTCAGTGGACAGAAAGGATGCTGTTGGAGTCCCCCTAGATTCTCTTTACTGGGCCTGCACACCCATCCCCCAGCTGCTGTGCTGGCTGCCAGAAATACATCACTGCCCCTTCTCTGGAAAATTGCCAGAAAGTCATTATAACAGGAAGTTTAGTCTCCAGCCTGAGGAGTAGCCCCTAGCCAATGACTGACTCACAGAAGGGTCAAAGGACTGTCCCCTTGCCTTGATTCATGGCCCAGAGCACCCTATGGGATCAGGCTAAAGCTAGTCAACTGCTGAGGCCAAATCCTTGGTTGGCTTCCTCCCCTGTCCTAAGGTGCTGGCCTCTTTTCCCTTTTTCTTGGGAATACTCCTTCAACGAATCACTCGAACAAAAATTTCTGCCTCAGATTCTGATTCCTAACACCAAAGGCGAATAATTTATCCACTGGCTCTTGTCTTGACTGGTCCTGAATAAATATCAAAGGGAAGAGAGGCAAGAGAGGAACTTAATTCAGGCCTGAGGTGCCATACTGTCGGGAAGTACCAGTATGAAGTCCATAGGAGCCTATGTGGCATTGGCTCACTGAGACAAGAGCTAGAACAAGAGACAGGTGAGGTGAGGAACATCTGAAATGCTCCATAAGAGAAACCTGCTATAATCTACCTTTTGGATCACTCATATCCACTTGATCCTTCCGTTATATCTGCCTCCCATCCCCATCATGATATGGGACCTCCAATACTGTGACAACTTGATGCCCTCCTCTCTTTTCCAGTGGGGAGCTACAGGTCACAGAGTTCACTTCAAAGTGGTGGCCAGCTACAGTCTCTGAAGGAGTAGAGGCAAGAAGGAGAGTTGAAACAGGCTATCGTCTCAATTACTACAGCTGGTTCTGAGGCCTTATTTCATAGACTTCATTTATTTTTTCTACCATGTGTTCTTGATTTCCCTTACAATTTGTCAAAATTTTGCTCATCTGAATTGCCTGTCTGATGGGATAACCCAGACTTCTTCCCCAAAAAGTCTGAGTCCTGTTTTTCTGTCCTTATTAGACTATGGTTGTTGTGACTGACTATTTACTCTAATCAACGGGAATGGAAACACGAGACACGCCCTGCATTCCAGATGCACTGATCCCTGCACCCTTGTTTAGAAGCAATACTAGCTCATCTTGTCAGTCAGAGTCCATCATCTTTGCCACTACAATCACTCCTTTATTTTCTTCCTAGTCTCCTGACACAAGGAGCCAAAGTGACAAGATTGTTAGCATAGTTGTAGAGATGTGGCTTTTGGTAGAAACTGTCTTCATTTACCTGTCTCCATCCTCACTTGTCAGAAACTAAAGTTGCAGGGCTGGTGAGCACACATTCTGCAAGTAGGTCACTGGGGGAGGTGGTTTAAATGGCCAATTTTATTTTTACCCTTTGGGTCACAGATACATATTCTAGCCTTTGAAGATATAGCCTCACATATCAGTCATTGCCTTTTGAATGACAACAACTCAGTCCTTAAATGTGTTGTCTCCAAGGGGGTGTCTTAGTTATGCCTTTAACAGGCCACTCCATGATCCAATGAGACTGGCTATTTCTGGCTGATGGAGATCATGGGAAGAGCAGTGGCTTCTGTTGTCTTTGGCCTTCTGTCATAGCCTTAGCCTTATAATAGTTCCCTTGGTCAGAGATAATATTACTGGGAGGTCATTTTAGTGGTTTCTACTAAGCTCTTTCTACCATAATGCCCCTATACCACAGGCCAGGGTATATATGTTCCATTATAAACCATGGAGAACAGGGACCTACAAGCTGGGTCCAAAAACTCATTGGATCATCTATCAGATAAACTTGGGGGAAAACTTCTCTTATCAACTGGTGACAATAAGCCCCTGTCTCTAAACATAAAACCATGATGATATCATTCACATCCCATATCTAGCTATTCTTGAAAAGTATGGTTATTCCCTTTCCCTGAGTGCATAGGCACTCTGAAAAATGGCAGCAAGTCCCTTTGGAGAAGAATCAGGATGATATTTATAGTATGTATGCATAGTAGCATTATAGAGTTCTTTCTCAAGAGGGACCGGGCCTCACCAAGGTAGTCTCTTAAGAATTGACTTAGATGTGGGAAGCACATGAGCAAACTATGCTTTTCTATTGTGGTGGCCAGTGTAACACTTCTACTGGCCAGATCTCAGTTTCTTTTTTATTACACGTGTCCAAATATTGTCTAGAAGCCTGGGGTGTGACACACCATCCATTCTCTTACCAGTACTCTCAACATTAGAGTCTCCCTATGTTTCTACCAGATCTATTCTGTTAACTCTAATTTCATCAGCCTCTGCCTTCTGTATTCTTGTGTCTCAGATGCTGGAAGATGCTAGATGAAATCAGAGTTGAGAGGACTCATACCAAACTCATGGTCTGTAGTGTGATTTTCAACCTCAGTATTGTCCTCAATCAGCTCTTCTATTTGTTCGCATCACCTTTTTCCAAACATTTGTCACCTTCTTCAAAACACATACTTAAGCACCGTTGCCCTTTTTCTCAGCCGACAAACTTCCTCCTCCAAATAGAAGAAAATGTGTCTGTCAAGGCCGGTGTCCCCCTTCCCTAGATGATGGAGCCTAGTATAGGGGCTGGCTGTAGAAGATAACATATAAATATTTGTTGACTGAATAATGGAAGATTCTGTAGCAATATCTCTACAGGATCTATGTATTCTCTAGAATATTTAAGACCATAATATTTACATTCCAGTTAAGTGGACACTTTAATGACCACCAAAAGCTTACCTCATAGGTTTAAATGCTTTCATAAGATGCCATTACAATATATGTAATTTTTAGTGTTTTTAACATACTCTGAGGATCACTCTCACCACTCAATTTTAGGAAAAAAGATGTTTTTGTTTCATTGGGTTTTGATATTGATATCTGGTGTACTTCATGTGATTTGAGGATAGATAGCTTAAATTATAGAAAATATTGTAATCTTGGGATTTTTAAGATAGAATTTACTTTGGCCTATTATAATAATAGTAAAAAATAAAGTTACATCTATTAAAGGCTTAAATGACACATTCTAGCTAGACTTGATTTTGCACTCAGTCACAGAATAGCATGTAGGAAAGTTTAAAAACAAATACAGTAATGTCTTTTGTAGATGTAGCCACGTGTTTTTGGCAGAACTCATGTTGGCTGTAAAAAAAGGAATAGTATGGTAGCGAGGCAAGTTGAAAGCTTTCCTCTGAGAATATTGATGAGTCATCTTTTTTATTGCTAGTTTTAAGCTGATGAACATTTGTTTTGAAAAATGTGAGTTTTCTCTATTGCTATGTTTAATTAAATGCAAAAATTCTAAAGTGGCACAACCGCAACCTTTAAGACTGCAAATTTAAACTCATAAAAGTCAGATAATGGAAAAGTGAAGGTTGTGATAGCAATGTTAACTCATCCATTGCATATAGGTTGCATTTTGCATGACTAATTAGTCAATTTAAGCAAGGGCATGCCAGTGAGGTACCTTTCCTCCCTCCCAACCCCCAATCTGTGACTATTTTAAACTAGCCTTTCTATATGCATCATTTAGTAAGAGCCAAAAATACTTTTAGCATAATTTAATGTTAGTATTTCTCTCTGAGAAGTTGTTTTAGCCTTGAAAATAACCCTATGTGGCCCGGATCAGCACTATTGTGGCCAGTTTCCTTCTAGTACATTTTCTGTGAAAAATGTTTTAATCTTGAATACATGGATGAGGGGAAAATACAATGATGGAGAAATTTCTATATTCACCTTATTGGAATATTTTCTAAGAGATGACTATTTAATGATCTTTTGGGGGACTTCATTGATAAACCCTTGAGATGGAGAATCCAAGACAAATCATGGTACAATAAAAAGAGTGTGGGTTTCGGAGCCAGACAACCCAGGTTTAGATCTTGATTCTGCCATTTAGTAGATATGTTATTGGAATTAATTTACTTAATTATTCTGATTTTGTTGGCATGATTGTAAAATGGAATATAAACTCTACCTTGTAGAATAGTTATGAGGATTAAAGATACTAAATGGTAGTGAATTATTATTTTATTATTATTTCATTATTATTTTCATAGGGAATACAGTTATAATGATATTCCAACAACATTTGAAATATTTCTGTCTTGTCACCCAAGTACTATTTAGTGCCAAATCGATCTGACACATTTCCTGATGTGACAGACAGCTGATACAGTTTGTAGGTTTTTGGCCACATAATTCCCTTCCCATTTCTCCTATGGCCCTCCTCATCCATTTTCCATGCTGCTGCCATAGTGATCTTCCTGAAGCACATGTGTGATCAGTTCACTTCCTTGCATACAATTTTTGAAAGGATCCTCTTGCCTTCAGGATAAAATTCCACAACCATCCTATGCTTTTGCCTGGATTCTCCACATTAGTCCATATGTCTGTGCCTCTGTGTATGTGCTGTTCTTTGCTTGGTGTGCCCTTATCTATCCTATCCACATGCTACACATTCTCATTTGTTCCTAATGACTTACTCTACGTGTGAACTCTTCCCAAAAGCTTTTTTTGATTGCCTTAGCCAGAATTAGCTATTCTTTCTGAGACTGGGAGAAGTTTGGTTCTGTCAGCGTCATTTTAGGCTTTTTATTATTTGTGTTGTGCTTGTCTGTCTATGTGTGTGAGTAGACATCCTGGAGGCTAGCGTCAGCATCTTACTCATGTCAGTATTTCCAGGTCTGGCAAACTAATCTGATAAACAGTAAATGTTCAATAATTGTTCAGATGAGATCGGGCGCATTCAGGGTGGTATGGCCGTAGACCAGGGTGGTATGGCCATAGACTCAATAATTGTTCAACAGCAATGCAGAGGTCTGTGTAATCAGCACCATTTGGGGATCTCTGTCTCTTGGAGTTGGCTTCTAGAAACCATTGGGAAGCATGCTGAGCTCATCTCAAAATCCCTCCCAAACACAACCCTCCTACCAATGTATAATATTTTTGGAGGGGACAAGTAGTAAAAGTAAAGCAACAATGTAAATGTGAAATTATTTTTACTGTAATACAACTCATTCGTTAAATTATAAATTATAACAATATATTTACCATGTTCCCTGTAGATGACCAGAACCCCAAAAGGAATGACTTCTTTCAGGTCCTCTCATAAAGAGGATGGACCAAGTTGTGTCAACAGTTGTTCTGTGGCAATATTATATGTGATATGTGGAGCTGTGAGTCGTTCTTTATTTTTTAAAATCCACATTTCTAAATGTGTAATAGCAGCTGTGATCTCTGCATCTAGCTGAAGAGTAGAGCCAGTCAGATATATGAGCCACCTGTCAACTTAGTGTCAGGATTTGACACAGGCAATAGATGAGTTTGTTGGGTCCATTATGTTAAGACATTTCCTATTTTGATATGGATTCTCCACCTTTAGGTTACAATATAAATGCAATTAAAGGGCAAGATTTCTTATTTTAGGCCAGATGGTGGGCCAGAGGGGCTACCTATTGAATTCTTTTGGGAGAGGGTAGGTGGAAATAAGAGCTGATAGAAATCAGTCAAATCACTGACAACTTTGAACAACAAATTTGTAAGTACTAATTTCAATTAGGCATTTTAATATCAATTAATCCACAGTTATTCTTCATTCATTGAGGTGAGGACCATTCCCATAAGGAACTGTCCATTAACAGGCTAGGTCCTTATTGCTGTAATTATAAAGATTATTTAAGCATAGGACCATGCTCTAAGAAGGGTGGTGGGTGGGGATGAGGGTGTTGATTTAGAATGACAGTTTCCTATATCTATGCAAGTAGAAAAGCATTCATTCAAAATAATACCTGTGCCTATTAAATATTTATGGATTTAAAGGTTTGCCTCCCAATAAATACTGAATTAATTCATTTGTAGCATCATAGCTTCTCTTATTAAAAGGAGTGGGGTGAATGGTGTCTTTTTTGTTTGTTTGTTTGTTTATTTGTTTGTTTTGAGACAGAGTCTTTCTGAGTCGCCCAGGCTGGAGTGCAGTGCGCGATCTCGGCTCACTGCAAGCTCTGCCTCCCAGGTTCACGCCATTCTCCTGCCTCCCGAGTAGCTGGGACAACAGGTGCCCGCCACCACGCCTGGCTAATTTTTTTCTATTTTTAGTAGAGACGTGGTTTCACCATGTTAGCCAGGATGGTCTCGATCTCCTGACCTCGTGATCCACCCGCCTCAGCCTCCCAAAGTGCTGGGATTATAGGCGTAAGCCACCGCGCCTGGCCGAATGGTGTCTTATAAAGATAAATGCGAGCTTCCTGTGTAGAATATGGAGGTTAGTTCAAGACAAGCTGTTTTAAGAAAATACACTATTATGTTTTAGATGGAATTTATAGCAAAAGAAGAGCTGATGGTGATCCTAAAACACAGCAAGTCTATTTTATCCAGAATCAGGAGCTTTGACATTTTCTAATGATTTCTATAGCAAATATAAAACAATTTGAGTAATCCAACTTTATGGATGTCTAATAATTAGATTAAAATCTGAATTTACAAGATTTTGTGATAAGATCATAGTTTTGTGTTTAAAAAATGATTATTTCTTTGGAAATTTGCATGCTGAGAACAGATTAAGCCCTCAGTAGGGTGTGTGGTGGGAATACCTGGAAGTTTTATGCTAAATTACAGCACAAGCTGGCTGTGGGTGATAGGATAAGAGTTGGTTATGCCAAACACCGCATGTTCTCACTGATAAGTGGGAGTTGAGCAATGAGAACACATGGACACAGGGAGGGGAACATCACACACCAGGGCCTGTCGGGGTTGGGGGCTAGGGGAGGGATAGCATTGGGAGAAATATCTAATATAGATGATGGGTTGATGGGTGCAGCAAGCCACCATGGCACGTGTATACCTATGTAACAAACCTGCACGTTCTGCACTTATCCCAGAACTTAAAGTATATATATATATATATACAGAGTTGGTTATGGAACTGTGAAGATCTAGGAATCACTAGAGATTGATTAATGTCATACTGCAAGCAAAATTTAGAATCCTTAACACATTCCATGTGGTTTTATGCTCAACCTGCTGAAGTACAATCAATTCAGTTTCTGAATTGAGTGAAGTCATAGACTGGATTTTATGCTATAGCTGTATCTGCAAATAATCTCCTTTTCACACAAGATCTCCAATTCACTATTTCAGAAACACTGACAACATGCAGAGGCAGGTTTTAGGCAAACAAGAGACATATTACTCAATGTTAAATATTTCAAATATTACTAGAAGTGTATATACATATTTCAAAATTCACTGATAAATAAAATCTCCTGTTTAGTTTTATCATCCCATTTTTCTGTTATCCCAGAGTTAAAACTCTCTGCATTTCATGTTTACTCTACCCATAGGTGATTTTGTTCCATTGTTGCATATGTATTTAACTGTAAATGAAGCAAGTATTATTTTGCAGGGTTTTAAGCTTTATAACTGATATCACACTTTATGTAGATTCCTCCCTTCTACCCCCAACAATATATTTCTGAGATTGTGTTATTAGATTACATTGAGTTTATCCATTTTTCTGTTAAAGGACATTTAAATCATTTTCAATTTTTTTGCTGTTAGAATTGTGCTATTTACCTGTGCATTCATTCATTCAACAAATATTTATTGAATATGAAATGTGCTATACACTGCAGTAGGTATTGGAGATACAGCAGTAAGAAGACAGACAAAAATCCCTCCCGTTCTGGAGGTTACATTCCAGTGGGAGGGGAGACAATAGAAAATAAAATAGAAATAACGAAAGGGTGTATTAGATAGTGATATGTGTTACAGAGAAAAATGAAGCATGAAAGAAGGCTAGAGCATGCTAGAGGGAGGGAAGTGTTATAACTTTTTAAGAAGCTAATAGGTAAGGCCTTCCTGAGAAGGTAATATATTCATATATGTACCTGGAGGAGGCAAGAGGGTAAGTTGTGTGGCTCTCTGGGGGAAAAGCATTTCAGGTAAAGAGAACAGTAAGCATGAAAGTCATAAGGAGACTGCATTCTTGGTAGGGTCAAGGAGTATCAGGAGAGCCATTGTGATTGGAGAGGAGCAAATGAGAAACAAATGATAACAGAAGAAGTCAGAGAAGGAATAGGGGCCTTGTCTTATTTACTGTAGTGAAACATCTCAAATAACAGTATTATGAGCATTTAAGAAAACAATTACAGGTGAAATTGAAACTTACTTTTTAGGCGATTGTCATTATGTGTTTCTTTTTTTTCTCCTTTGAGTGAGATGAAATGTTATTGTGGTGTTTTGAGCAAAGAAGTAACAAAATCATCCTGTCTTTGAACAAGATTACTCTGGCTGCTTATTTAAGGATAGATGAGACAAAGGTAGAAGCAAGAATATAAATTAGGAGGTTATTCAATAGTGTAGGTGGGAATGATGAGGGCTTAGATCCAGATGGTACGATAGAGGAGAGAGTAGTGGCCAAATTTCAGCTATATATTGAAAATGTACTAATAAGATTTTCTGAGGAATTTGATGTGGACTATGACAGAAAGAGGAGACTAGCATTTTGGCTTGAGCAAATGGGAAAAATGAAGTGGAGAGGTAGGGAAGATGCTGGGAAGATCAGATTGTTGGGAGATCAAGAGTTTAGTTTGCATATGCTAAATTTGAGATGCCTTTAGTTAGCCATATAAAGGTGTCAAGTAGGCAGTTGTATATGTAACTCTGAAGCTCAAATGAAATATGCATTTGAGAATGATAGTATATCTATGGTATTTAAAATCATGAATCTGGATCAGTGAACATGGAAAAGAGAAAAAAGGACAATGACTGAGCCCTGAAACACTCCAACATTAAAAGGGCAAGGAGATATAGAAGGATCAACAAAAAGAGCAGGAAGAAATAAGTGGTAAGCAAGAAGGAAAACCATGGGAATATATTGTTTGGAAGCCACATAAAAACAATGTTTCAAAGAGGAGAGAGTGATCATCAAACTCTGTTAAATTGGGGTAGAGAATTGACCATTCAATTGAACAATTTGGAGATTATTGGTGGCTTTTACAAGAGTGGTTTTTGTGGAGTGGTTCAGGGTGATTTGTTTCAACAGATTAGATAAATAGTACAATAATACAAGAGAAATTTGGGTCATCAATAATAAATAACTCTTTTGAGGAATTTTGCCATAAAAGAAAATAGAAAAAATAGATGTTTAAAATATTTTTAAGATGGGAGAAATAAGAGCTGGTTTATTTGATGGGAAAGACCTAGCTGAGAGGGAGGACCTGGTATTGTAGCAGAAAATGGGGAAAATGTCTGGAGTTTAAAGTATGCTAATAATCAAGTTTTTTGTTTTGTGATTTATAATTTCAACTTTCAGATTTAAGGGATATATGTGCAGGTTTGTTATATGGATATCTTGTGTGACACTGAGGTTTGGGGTATAAATGATCCTATCCCTCAGTAGTCAGCATAGTACCCAACAGGTAGTTTTTCAGCCCTTGCCTATCTCCTGCTCTCTCACCCCAGTAGTCCCCAGTGTCTATTTTTTCCCAAGTTTACGTACCTAATATTCATCTCCTACTTCTAGGAGAGAATATGTGGCGTTTGGTTTTCTGTTCCTGTGTTAATTTGCTTAGGATGATGGCCTCCAGCTGTATCCATGTTGCTGCAAAGAACATGATTTCATTCTTTTTTATGGATGCGTAGTATTCCATAGTCTGTGTATACCACATTTTCTTTACACAATCCACCATTGATGGGCACTTAGTTCGATTTCATATCTTTTGTGAATAGTGCTGCAGTGAACATACAAGTGCATATGTCTTTTTTGTAAAATATTTATATGCCTTTGGGTATTTATCCAGTAATGAGATTACTGGGTTGAATGGAAGTTCTGTTTTTATTTCTTTGAGAAATCTCCAAACTGCTTTCCAAAGTGGCCGAATTACTTTACATTTCTATGCACATTGTAATAGCATTTACTTTTCTCTGTAGCCTTGCTAGCATCTGTTATTTTTCTGTTCTTTTAATAATAGCCATTTTGACTGATGTAAAATGGTATCTTATTGTGGTTTTGATTTACATTTCTCTGATGTTTAGTGACATGAGCACTTTTTCGTATGTTTATATGTCTTCTTTTGAGAAGTGTCTGTTCATGTCCTTTGCCTGCTTTTTAATGGGGTTGTTTGTTTTTTGATTGTTGAGTTGTTTAAGTTCCTTATAGATTCTGGGTATTAGACCTTTGTGAGGCACATAGTTTGAAAGTATTTTCTCCATTTTGTGGGTTGCCTGTTTACTCTGTTGACTGTGTCTTTTGTTGTGCCACAGCTCTTTAGTTTAATTAGGTCCCACTTGTTCAATTTTTGTTTTTGTTGCAGTTTCTTTTGCGCATGTAGTCATAAATTCTTTCCTTAGGCCAGTGTTCAGAATGGTGTTTCCCAGGTTTTCTTCTAGAATTTTTATAATTTGAGGTCTTACATTTAAATCTTTAATCCATCCTGAGTTAATTTTTGTACATGGTGAATGTAGGGGTCCAGGTTCATTCTTCTGCCTGTAATTAGCCAGTTATCCAAGCACCGTTTACTAAATAGGGAGTCCTTTCATCATTTCTTATTTTTGTCAACTTTGTCAAAGACCAGATGGTTGTAGGTGTGTGGCTTTATTTCTGAGTTCTATATTCTGTTCCATTGGTCTGCGTGTCTATTTTTGTGTCAGTACGATGCTGTTTTGGTTATTGTAGCCCTATAGCATAGTTTGAAGTCAGTAATGTGATGATTCTGGCTTTGTTCTTTTTACATAGGATTGCTTGACTATTCGGACTCTTTTTTGGTTTCATATAACCTTCAGAATAGTTTTTTTCTAGTTATGTGAAAAATCATGTTGGTAGTTTCATAGGAATAGCATTGAATCTGTAGATATACACACCTAATATTAGAGCACCCAGATTCATAAAGCAAGTACTTCTACATATACAAGACGATAGCTAAGCAATTATGGTATGGGACTGCAACACTCTACTAACAGCATTAGATCACTGAGGCAGAACACTAACAAAGAAATTCTGGGCTTCAATTAGACATTTGACCAAGGAACCTAATATACATTTATAGACTGCTCCAACCATCAACTGCAGAATATGTATTTTTTTCTCATCTGCACGTGGAATATACTCTAACATCAACCACATGCTCTTCCATAAAAGTACATTTCAGTAGATTCTAAAAAATAAAAATCATATCACTTATACTTTTGTACCACAGTAGAATAAAAATAAAAATAAATACCAAGAAGACCTCTTAAAACTACACAACTATGTGAAAATAAAACAACTTAATCCTGAATGACTTTTGGGTAAACAACAAAAATAAGGCAGAAATAAAAAAAAATATTTGAAGTAAATGAAAACAAAAACATAACATATGAAAATCTCAGGATACAGCAAAAGCAGTGTTAAAAGGAAAGTTTATGGCTCTAAATGCCTACATGAAGAAGTTAGAAATATCTCAAATTAGCAGTCTAACATTACATTTAGAGGAACTAGAAAAACAAGAACAAACTAACCCCAAAGCTAGCAGAAGAAAAGAAATAACTATAATCAGAGCAGAACTGAACAAAATTGAGACCCAAAAATCCATAGAAAGCATAAATGAAACCAAGAATTGATTCTTTGAAAGGATAAACAAGATTGATAGATGCTAGCCAAACAAAAAACTGAGAGAGAGAAAGAGAGAGAGAGAATGATCATGTCAAATAAGCACAATCAGAAGTTACAAAGGTGACATTACAACTGATCCCACAGAAATAAAAAATATTCTCAGAGACTGCTATGAACACTTCTATGTACACAAACTATAAAATCTAGAGGAAATGGATAATTTATTAACACACAACCTCCCAATATTCAATCAGGAATAAATTGAAACCTTGAATAGACCAATATAAGGTTCTAAAATAGAATAACTCATCAAAAACCTACCAGCCAAAAAAAGCCCTGGACCCAGTGGATTTACAACAGAATTCTATCACATATACAGAGAAGAGCTGGTACCAATTCTACTGAAATGATTCCCAAAAAACCAAGGAAGGACTCCTTCCTAATTCTTTCTACAAAGCCAGCATGACCCTGATACCCAAACCTGTCAAAAACACAGTGAAAAATGAATACTACAGGCCAATATCCCTGATGAACATAAGCACAAAAATCCTCAAGCAAATAGTAGTAAACTGAATCCAGCAGCATATCAAAAAATTAATTCACCATGATCAAGAGGGCTTTGTCCCTGGGATGCAAGGTTGGCTCAACATACACAAATTAATGAATGTGATTCACCACATAAACAGAACTAAAAAGAAAATCTATGTGATCATCTTAATAGATTCAGAGGGAGCTTTTGATAAAGTCCAATGTTCCTTCATGATAAAAACTCTCAACACACTAGGCATGGAAGGATCATACCTCAAAATAATAAGAGCCATCTACGACAAACCCACAGCATCATACTGAATGGGCAAAAGCTGGAAGCATTCCCCTGGAGAACTGGAAAAAGACAGGGATGCCCACTGTCACTACTCCTGTACGACATCATACTAGAATGCTAGTCAGAACAATCAGCCAAGAGAAAGAAATAAAAGGCATCCAAATAGGAAAATAAATCAAACCATCTTTCTTCAGTAATGATATGATTCCATACCTAGAAAACCCTAAAGGTGCTACTAAAACTCTCCTAGACCTGGTAAATGACTTCAGTTAGGTTTCAGTATGTGGATAAAGAAAATGTGGTGCATATACATCATGGAATACTACATAGCTATAGAAAATGAGATCATGGCCTTTGCAGCCACGTGGATGGAGTTGGACGTCATTATTTAAGTGAATTAACACAGGAACAGAAAACCAAATACTGCATGTTGTTCTCACTTATAAGTGGGAGCTAAATATCGAGTACACATGGACAAAAGGAAGGGAACAAAAGACACTGGGGCCTATTTGAGGGTAGAGGTTGGGAGGAGGGTGATAGTTGAAAAACTACCCGTTGGGCATTATGCTGATTATGTGGGTGACAAAATTATCTGTATGCCAAACACCCACAACAAACAATTTGCTATGTAACAAACCTCCACATGTATCACTTGAATCTACAGTAAATATTGGAAGGGCAAAAAAGTTTCAGTATACAAAATCATTGTACAAAAATCAGTAGCATTTCAATACATCAATATCATTCAAGCTGAGAGGCAAATTAAGAACACAATCCCATTTACAATAGAAAAATGGATATTTTTATGATTTTGAATTTTAAAGAGATAAAGATATTTATGAAATTTTAAATTTGTTTTCTTGATTATTTGTCATTTTTTATCACTGATTTTTAAGAAATTCTTTCCTTTCTCAAAGCCATAAGAATATATTCTTATATAGCCTTCAAAAGGCATTATTAAGGGTTTTCTTTCCCCCTACATTTAGGCCCTTAATTCTCATGAAAATTATTTTTATAATTTCTTACAAACTAGTTTTATTTTATCTTATTGTTTTTGAAACATAGTTGTATGTGACGTTTCCTTAAGGAGAATCAATTTCCCCTGCACTGTTCATTTCTCTCCTCATTTGGATTTCCTCCTCTGTCATGTATCTGGTGTTACATGCGAGTCTGTTTCTGAAGTTTCTCTTCTGTGTTATTTGTCTGTGTGTCTATCCTTGCAAGAATACTATACTGCCTTTTTCCTCTTTGCTTCTAATAAGTCTTAGGTTGTAGGGCAATGATAGTCTATTGAATATATAGATAAATTTGGAATGAATAGACATGTTAATAGTGTTGAGTCTTCTCATCTGTATAGTTAGTATATCTTCCCATTTTCATCTTCTTTTGTGCCCTTATATGTTGCCTTATATCTTCTTATAAAGATCTTCTACATCTTTTGTTAAAGTCATTTTTAGATACCTTATATATTTTGCTGCTATAGTGAACAAGATGTATTTTTCTATTATACTTTCTATTTTATTGTTACTGGCATATGGGAAGGCTAATAGTTTTGATGATTTCATCTTGTATTCAAAAACTTTGCTAAACTATATGAACAGTTCTAATATGACGTCCATAGTTTCTCTTGAATTTTCTATGTAGATAATAATATTGTCTTCAGATAGAGTTAGTTTTGTTAATGACTTTCCAATTATAGTTTCTCATTTTTGTTGATAAGAAATGATAAAGAATATGCTTGTATTGACGCTGTTTTAATAAGAACATTTCTAAAATATTATTTATTAAGCACAGTGTTTGCTATATGTTTCTTCAGTGTCCTGTATCAAGTTACTGAAGTTTCCTTCAATTCCTTGTTTGTTAAGAATATTTTCATGAATAGCAGATGAATATTAGTAAGTGGACTTCTGCATCCAGTGAGATGCTACTATTTTCTCTGATAATCCATTAATATTGTGTGTTAGGTTACTAGCTTTGGTGATTATGACTCACTTTCGAATTCCTGAGATAAACTCTATTTTTTGTGATGCATTTAAAATGATAATCTGCTAAATTTGGTTTGCTAATATATTTAGAATTTTTTCTATGATCATAATACATATAATTGGTCTAAAATTTTCTTTTGCTTTTATTTCCCTGCTCTGATTTGGTTAAACTACGCTACTTGCATAAAGCATGCTGAGTTAGCCTTTCTTCTTTATCTGTTATCTGAAACAGTTTGCATAATAAAAAGTTATTTATTTCTTTCAGATTTAGAACACTTGTAGAACTATCTGTCTTATTGTCTGTTAGTCTTTCCACTGACTGTTTATGTTCCTTAATAGTCATCCATATCTTTGTTTTCTAATTTCTCTTGAGTAAACATTCTAGAAAAGGATCTAGTTTATATACATGTTCAAATTTACTGGCATAAATTTCTTCATAGATTTCACTTGTGCTTTTCAAATCCAAACTGTATTTCTAATTATGTCCCCTTTTCATTGCCATATTTTTACTTGGGCATTTCTCTCTCTCTTTCTCCCGTCCCTTCCTTCTTGCTCTCTCTCTCTCTCTCTCTCTCTTTTTCTTTTGTAGGCCCAGCTTCCACAAAAGGAGCAGTTTTTTGGTGCAGAGGTCAGCTTTCTCCCTTTTTATAAACCCTTTTTTGTTAGAATATCTTTTCAAAGAATCAGCTTTTGATTTTTTGCTCTCTGTTGTTGCCTTTTCTATTTCATTAATTTCTGTTATTCTCCGTTATTCCTTTTTCTCAGTTTTTTATTCTTAGCTTTGGTCTGTTATTTCTTATATAGCTCATTAGATTTAAAATAACTTATTTTAAAAAATCTTTCATTTTTCTGTAATTGCATTTAAGGCTATAGAATTTCCTCTAGATATCCCTTTAGCCATATACCATTAGTGATATATAACACTGTCATTATTATTCACTTCTAAATGTTTCATAATTTTATTACCATTTTCTCTTTAAATTCAGTGTACATTTCATGTATTTGAAAGTTTATAAATATATGTTTTAATTTTTTGCTTCCTAATTATATGTCAGAGAATAAGATATGCATGCTGATAATTGTTTGAAAATTTTTTGAGTCTGCCATTGTAGTTTATTTCATGGTTAACTTTTATAAATGTTTTATATTTTTCATATGTGAAAGAATGTATGGTTTCTATTTGTTCTCTGTAAAATTTTATATCTACTAAATAAAACTTTAATTTTTTGGTCAAATCTTCTCTAGGTTTTTTTTTATATTTCATTCATTGGTTTCTGATAGATATGTTAAAATCTCTCAATATAATTGTGGATCTTTCTGTTTCTGCATACAGTGTTTCCCTCTAATAGACACTTTCAGTTACTGGTGGTCAGCCATGGTCAAAAAATAGGTAAATATAATATAATAAGGTATTTTGAGAGAGAGTCCACATTGACATAACTTTTATTACAGCATATTGTTACAATTGTTCTATTTTATTATTAGTTATTGTTGATGTCTTACTGTGCCTAATTTATAAATTAAACTTTATTGTAAGTATGTACTTATAGGAAAAAACAGTATTTATAGGGTTCGATACTATCTGGGGTTTCAGGCATCCACCGAGGGTCTTGGATTATATCCTCCACAGATAATGGGAGATGACTGTATAATTCTTTCAGGTTTTTCTTGTGATATATTGAGGCTAGGCTATTAGGTACATGTATGTTCATGATTATTGTCTGTTATTAATGAAGTTTTCCTCTTATTGTACTGCTTATTTGTGCTCCTATTAATGATTTATGTGTCAGAGTTTAATTCATCTGGTAATACTGTTTTCATTTTTTATGGTAGTTAGCTCCCAGTCACTAACGCCTGTCTCTGAATTGGGAGCAAGTGAGCCTCTGCTTCATTTTGTGCTCAGGGCTTTGCCCCACAGAGATTCAATTTCTGTCCCACAGATATGTGTATATTGTTTTTGAGCTTGGCTATTTTAAAATCATTATATTTCATTAATCACTACGATGTGTTTGAAACAGAGGAGGTGAGTAAAAAATGCAAAATCTCAGTTACTCTGACTTTATGATTGGTATTTTTATTTGGAATCCAGAATGCTGGGTTTTGCTTTAATATTTAATTTTTATGGATACATAGTAGGTGTATATAGTTATAGGGTACATGAGATATTATGATACAGGCATACAATGTGGTGATAATCACGTCACAAAAAGTAGGGTATCCATCCCCTCAAGTGGTTTTCTTTTGCATTGCAAACAATCCAATTGTACTCTTCTAGTCATTTTAAAATGTACAATTAAATTATTATTGACTATAGTCACCCTGTTTTTCTCACAAATTCTAGGTCTTATTCATTCTTTCTATGTGTTTTGTACACATTAACCATCTCTACCTGCCTCCACCCCCAAGACCCCACTACCTATCCCAGTCTCTTGAACTATCCTTATATCCTAGGGATAAACCCCACTTGGGATTTTTTAATTCCAAACAGGCTTATATTTGCATGAATTCTAGAAATGTCAGATATATTTTAAAATCTTTCTTTCTTTTTTTATTATACTTTAAGTTCTGGGATATATGTGCAGAATGTGCAGGTTTGTTACATAGGTATACAATTCAAGGGATATGAAGGACCTCTTCAAGTAGAACTACAAACCACTGCTCAATGAAATAAGAGAGGACAGAAACAAATGAAAAAACATTCCACGCTCATGGATAGGAAGAATCAATATTGTGAAAATGGCTATACTGCCCAAAGTAATTTACAGATTCAATGCTATCCCCATCAAGCTACCATTGAATATCTTCACAGAATTAGAAGAAACTACTTTAAATTTCATATGGAACCAAAAAAGCAGCCCGTATAACCCAGACAATCCTAAGTAAAAAGAACAAAGCTGGAAGCATCATGTTATCTGACTTCAAACTATACTACAAGGCTACAGTAACCTAAACAGCATGGTACTTGTGCCAAGACAGATATATAGACCAATGGAACAGAACAGAGGCCTCAGAAATAACTTCACACATCTACAACCATCTGGTCTTCGACAAACCTGATAAAAACAACTACTGGGGAAAGGATTCCCTATTTAATCAATAGTGTTGGGAAAACTGCCTAGCCATATGCAGAAAACTGAAAGTGGACCCCTTCCTTACACCTTTTACAGAAATTAACTCAAGATGGATTAAAGACTTAAATGTAAGACCTAAAACCATAAAAACCCTAGAAGAAAACCTAGGTAATACCATTCAGGACATAGGCATGGACAAAGACTTCATGACTAAAACACCGAAAGCAATGGCAACAAAAGCCAAAATTGACAAATAGGACCTAATTAAACTAAAGAGCTTCCGCACAGCAAAAGAAACTATCATCAGAGTGAACAGTCAACCTACAGGATGAATGATCTTTTTAATGCATTGTTGAATTTGGTTTGCTAGTATTATGTTGAAGATTTTTGTCCTGTAGTTTTCCTTCTTTTCTTTTGCTTTTTTGGTGATGTGTCTTTGGTTATGCATCATGGTAATACTGGCCTTGTAAAATGAGTTTGGAAGTATTCCCTCCTCTATTTTTTTGGAATAGTTTGAGTAGGATTGGTATTAGTTCTTCTTTAAATGTTTGATAGAATTTAGCAGGGAAGCCATTGAGTCTGGGCTTTACTTTGCAGAGGGACTGTTTATTATGGCTTCAATCTTATTACTTGTCATTGGTCTGTTTAGGTTTTGGATTTCTTCATGGTTCAATCTTTGTAGGTTGTATGTGTCTAGGAATTCATTCATTTCCTTTAGATTTTCCAATTTATTAGCATATAGTTGCTCATAATTGTCACTAATGACCCTTTGGATTTCTGTGGTATCAGTTGCAATGTCTCCCTTTTCATCTCTGATTTTATTTATTTGGGTCTTCTCTTTTTTTATTCATTAATCTGGCTAAAGGTTTGTCAATTTTGTTTATATTTTAAGACAACCAACTATTTGTTTCATTGATCTTTTGTATTGTTTTCTACATTTCAAATTCTTTACTTATGCTCCTATCTTTATTATTTCTTTTCTTCTAATTTTGGTTTCAGTTTGTGCTTGCTTTTCTAGTTCTTTAAGATGCATCATTAAGTTATTTATTTTAAGTTTTTTTTTTCTTTTTTGATGTCGGCACTCATAGCTATAAACTTCCCTGTTAGTACTGCTTTTGCTGTATATCATAGGTTTTGGAATGTTGTGTTTCCATTATCATTTGTTTCAAGAAATTTTTAAATTTTCTTTTCAATTTCCTCATTGACCCACTGGTCATTTGAGAGCATATTGTTTAACTTCCATGTGTTTGTATAGTTTCCAAAATCCCTATTGTTGTTAATTTCTAGTTTTATTCCATTGTGGTCAGAGAAGATGCTTGATATTATTTCAATTTTTTTGAATGTTTTAAAACTTGTTTTGTGACCTAACATATGGTCTATCCTTTACAATTATTCCTGTGCTGAGGTGAAGAATGTGTATTCTGTAGTTATTGGATGAAATGTTCTGTAAATATCTGTTAGGTCCATTTGTTCTATAGAGCAGATTAAGTTCAATGTTTCTTTGTTGATTTTCTGTCTGGGAGATCTGTCCAGTGCTGAAAGTGAATGTAAGTCTCCAGTTATTATTGTATTGAGATCTAACTCTCCTTAGCTGTAATAATATTTGCTTTATATATCTGGGTGCTCCAGTGTTGGGTGCATATATTTACAATTGTTATATCCTCTTGCTGAATTGACCCCTTTATCATTATATAATGACCTTTTTTGTCTCTTCTTACAGTTTTTGTCTTGAAATCCATTTGTCTTATATAAGTATTGCTACCCCTGCTCTTTTTTAGTTTCCTTTGTTTTGAATCTATGGGTATCTTTATAGGTGAGGTGTGTTTCTTGTAGGCAGTGGATCACTGGGTTTAATTTTTTTTCCCATTCATTCATCCACTCTATGTCTTCTGATTGGAAAGTTTAGTCCATTTACATTCAATGTTATTATTGGTAAGTAGGGACTTAACTCCTGTCATTTTGTTATTTGTTTTCTGGTTGTTTTGTGGTATTCTTATCTTTCTTTTCTTTCTTCATGTCTTCCTTTAAGTGAAGGTGATTTTCTCTTGGTGGTATGCTTTCATTTCTTGCTTTTTTATTTTCTGTGTATCTGTGGTATGATTTTCTATTTAAAGTTACCATGAGGCTTGCAAATAGTATCTTATTACCCATTATTTTAAGCTGATGATAACATAACACTGATTGTATAAACAAACACATAAAAACTATTAACAACTCTTCATCCCTCACTTTTTAACTTCTTAGTGTTTCTCTTTATGTCTTATTATACTATCTGTGTCTTGAAAAGCTGTAGTAGTTATTGTTTTTGGTGGGTTCATTATTTATTCTTTCTACTTAAAACAAGAAAGAACCCCCATTCTGGTTTATATTATTCTGTGTTTTTCTGTGTACTTACTATTACCAGCGTGTTTTGTACTTTAAGATGATTTTTTTCTTGCTCATTGATATCCTTCTCTTTCAGATTGAAGAACTCCCTTTAGCATTTCTTGTAGGACAGGTTTGGAGCTGATGAAATCCCTCAGCTTTTATTTATCTGGGAGGGTCTTTATTTCTCCTTCATGTTGGAAGGATATTTTTCCCAGATATACTATTCTAGGGTAAAAACTTTTTCCTTCAGCACTTTAAATATGTCATGTTACTCTCTCCTGGTCTGTAAGGTTTCCACTGAAAAGTCTGCTGCCAGATGTATTGAATCTCCATTGTATGTTATTTGTTTATTTTCCCTTGCTTCTTTTAGGATCCTTTCTTTATTCTTGACCTTTGGGAGTTTGATTATTAAATACCTTGAGGTAGTGTTTGGGTTAAATCTGCTTGGGGTTCTATAACCTTCTTGTACTTAAATGTTGATATATTTCTCTAGGTTTGGGAAGTTCTCTGATATTGTCTCTTTGAATAAACTTTCTACCTTTATCTCTTTCTCTATCTCCTCTTTTAGGCCTATAACTCTTAGATTTGCCTTTTGAGGCTATTTTCTAGATCTTAAAAATGCACTCCATTGTATTTTGTTCTTTTTTTCTTTTGTCCTCTCTGACTGTGTATTTTCAAATAGCCTGTTTTCAAGCTCACTGATTCTTTCTTCTGCTTGATCAATTCTGCTATTAAGAGACTCTAATGCATTCTTCAGTATGTCAATTGCATTTTTCCACTCTAGAATTTCTGCTTGACTCTTTTTAATTATTTCAATCTCTTTGTTAAATTTATCTGCGAGAATTCTGCATGCCTTCTTTGTGTTACCATGAATTTCCTTGTTTCCTCAAAACAGCTATTTTGAATTCTCTGTCTGAAAGGTCACATGTTTCTCTTTCTCCAGAATTGTTTTCTGGTGCCTTATTCAGTTCATTTGGTGAGGTCATGTTTTCCTGATGATATTGATGCTGGTAGATGTCCATCAGTGTTTGGGCATTGAAGAATTAGGTATTTATTGTAATCTTTGCAGTCTGGGCTTGTTTGTGCCCATCTTTCTTGAGAAGGCTTTCCAAGTATTTGAAGGGACTTGGGCCCCAAGCCCAATAATACTGTGGATTTTGCAGACTTGTACAGGTATTGCCTTGCTGGTTTTGGATAAGATCTGGTAGAATTCTCTGGATTAGCAGGCAGAGACTCTTGTTATTTTCCCTTACTTTCTCCCAAGCAAACAACAGTCTCTATCTGTGCTGAGTTACCTGGTACTGGGGGTATAGTGATGCAAGGACCCCTGTGGCCATAAGCACTGGGACTACGCTGGGTCAGAACACAAGCCACCACAGCTCTGGCTCTCACCCAGGGCCCAGTGTAACCACTACCAGGCTACTTCCTATGTTCACTGAAGGACCTAGGGCTCTTGATCAGCAGGTGGTGAAGCCCACCACGTTTGTGCCCTTCCCTTTAGGGTGGAAACTTTCCTCAGGCCCTGGGTTGGGGGTGGGCCCAGAGATGCTGCCTGGGAGCTACAGATAGGAGTAAAAATCCTTAGAAATTTACCTGATGTTGTATTCCAGTGCGGCTAAGCTGGCACTCGAACCACAACACAAAGTCCTTCCTTTTTCCATAGGTAGAGAAGCCTCTCCCTGTGGCCACTACCACCACCAACCCACAGCAGGTTTTGCCAGGCCACCACCAATGTTCACTTAAAGCCGAAAAGCTCTTCGGTCATCTGAAGAGGTAGTGAATGCTGCATGGCTTAGGACTCACTCTTCAGGGAAATGGGCTCCCTTTTGGCCCAGGTCAGGTCTAGAAATGCTTTCCAAGAGCCTAGGCCTGGACCTGGGGACCCTAAGAACCCACTTGTTGCTCTACCCAACTGTGGCCAAGCTCGTACCTAAGGTACAAGACAAAGTCCCCTTTACTTTACCATCTGTGTTTCTCAAACAGAGAGGATCTTTCACCATAGCCGCCACAGTTGGGAATGTGCTGGGTTACATCTGTATTCAGCATGTAACCCAAGGCCTGGGTATTGCTGCTGGTTATTCAGGGCCCAAGGGTTCTTTAGTCAGCAGGTGATGAATCCTGTCAGGAGTGCTTTCTTCCCTTCAAGGCAGTAGGTTCCCTTTTGGTCCTGGGTAAGTTTAGAAATGTCATCTGTGAGCTAGGGTCTGGAATGGGGTCCTTGCAACTCTGCCTGATGCCCTATCCTGCTGTGGCTCAGCTGGTATCCAAGACCCAAGACAAAGTCCTCTTTACTCTTATCTCTCCTCTTCTTGCTTAAGGAAGCAGAAGGAAGAAGTCACTTTTGTTGCTGTGAGCTGCACTGCCTAGGGATGGGGAAGGGGTGGCTCAAGCATTACCTTTGCTGCCATGACTGGTGTCTCCCTAGGTGACTTGCCACCCTAGTCCACTGGCTCTGAGTTCAGCTTAGTACTAGGAGTTGCAGTCCTTGTGTCCTAGATTCTCTTTCAAGTTTACCCAGGACCCCAGAGTATTTTGGTCTGCAGTGGTGAGGCTTGCTCAGAAACTCAGATTCCGACCACTGAGATAGGCAATTCCTCTCTGGCTAGGTCTGGTCCAAATGTTCCTTGTTCAGACATTGGCTGAGCCCAGAAGAGCTTTACTCTCTACTGTGATAGGGCAACACTGAGTTCGATGTAAAGTCCCACAGTCACTGTGTTTTCCCCTCCCCAGGTGCACAGACTCCTCGCAATGCAAGGCCACTGCCAGGGAATGCTGGAGGGGTGATGCTAGCAATTGAAGATTGTCTCTCCTACCCTCTTCAATGCCTCTTTCAGCAATATGAAGTTAAAACCAGGTATGGTGATTGCTTGTCAGATTTTTAGTTCTTGTGATGGCACTTTTCCGTGTGCAGATAACCATTAAAATTTGGTGTTCCAGTTGGGGTAAAGGGCAAATGGTATAGGCTTCTATTCTGCCATCTTGCTCTGCCAGCTAGAATACTGCTTTTTAAGGTATGATCTGATAATTAGTTTTGTCAGAATCACCTGAGGTGCTTGTTCCAAATACTCCAAACCAGATTAGAATCTTGGGTTTGTAGTAATGGTACTTAGGAATCTCCATTTTAAACAAGGTTTGGAAATGATTTTCATGTGCACTAGTTTGTGAACCGTTAGTCTTGAACATGATGCAAACCATGTTTCTAATATTCCATAATATTTCACTGAATATTCAGAAAGATGGCTCTGTTTTTATGTGTCTACAAGCTCTCAGGTGAGGTAGATGAATGTCATAGCTGAGGAAGCTATAGGTTTGATATGGCTAGTGGAGAAACAGTTGTAAGTCCTATGATAAAGTGTTGGGTGACCTTGGGTGTAGTATTTAGCTCTCTCAAGCCTCAGTTTTTCCTGTGTTAAATAGATCTGTTATGTTGAATAAGTGAAATGTTATTTATCAGTATTGGCATCTAATACATGTTCAATAAATCATAGTTGTAATAAAGAGAAGCATGGCGCAAAATTAGTTTTTGAACTTTAAAAAATAATATTTTAAGACTATGCCTAATATCTTAGAATAGGAATTGGTATATTTTGGAGGAAGATTGATAGAATGTATATGAAAAGTTTGAATAATGAAAAATAGCTGTATAAAAGATGACTTGCATTTGACTCCAGGTATATGTTATAACTCATGTTTCAATAATCCCTTGTTTAATTTTTATACCCACTTGAAATTTAATTATATTCTACAACAAAATTAAGTAAAATTGGTTTTAAGTTTCTTTAAAATCGATAGGTATAACAAAGTGAATTGACATTTTCAATAAGAAGTGAACTGACATTGCATTAATCTCAGATGATAAAAATGTTTTCAGCATTGAAAACAGGCATGGTTATGATTGATCACTGGTTTACCACCTCTTATTAATTAATACATTTTGAAGGAATATTTTTATGTATACAAAATCTCGTTAATATTTGGAATATAGTTGCAAACATGAGTTTATTTTAACGAAAAGATCAGGATAATCAAGACAAATGTTGAAAAAAATTTCAAAAGATTTTTCTCTTGTATTTCATTGAGAATAAGGCTTATGTAAAAGCAGATTGTTTGAATCTCCGTTTCTAGTCAATCCAGTCCCCGTCTTGACTGCCAGTTCTGCTGCATTCTAAATAAGCGACTGTGAGCAATTCTCATTGCTTTTCTGAGTCTCACTTCCTTCTGTATAAAAGTGGGAAAAATAATAGCACCTACATCATAGCACTGTTAAAAGGATTAAATAAATTACTTCATAGAAAGCTTTTAGAACGCTGTCTAAAGTTTAAGACCTTATAAATAGCAGTTATTAGCTATTATTTTCATCAACTTTCTACCTAACATGTTCTAGAAATCACCGCTATTTTTAGTGGCCTCTTTAGTCTGTAAATAAATGTAACATAAATAATAACACTGTTAGGCACTTACTGAGTTAAACATTGTATAACTCCATGAGCAGGTACTGTTATTACCAGTTTACAGAGAGGGAAACTGAAGAACAGAAAGATGAAGTCAATGGGCAGTCATAATTGCCAAAATTTGAACCCAGGTTTCGTGACTTGAGAGCTTGTTTCCTTTTTTTTTTTTTTGAGTAATCTCATTAATTTTATTCAATAGCAAATTTGAAGTACATATTTGTGGTAATATGAATACATTTTGCTATATTTAATAATGCTTATTTATTTATTTATTTTTATTATACTTAAGTTCTGGGGTACATGTGCAGAATGTGCAGGTTTGTTACATAGGTATACACGTGCCATGGTGGTTTGCTGCACCCATCAACCCGTCATCTACATTAGGTATTTCTCCTAATGCTATCCCTCCCCTAGCCCCCCACCCTCCAACAGGCCCCAGTGTGTGATGTTCCCCTCCCTGTGTTCATGGGTTCTCGTTGCTCAACTACCACTTATGAGTGAGAATATGTGGGGTTTGGTTTTCTGTTCCTGTGTTAGTTTGCTGAGAACGATGGTTTCCAGCTTCATCCATGCCCCTGCAAAGGACATGAACTCATTCTTTTTTATGGCTGCATAGTATTCCATGGTGTATATGTGCCACATTTTCTTTATCCGGTCTATCATTGATGGGCATTTGGGTTGGTTCCAAGTCTTTGCTATTGTGAATAGTGCTGCAGTAAACATACATGTGCATGTGTCTTTATAGTAGAATGATTTATAATCACTTGGGTATATATGTAGTAATGGGATTGCTGGGTCAAATGGTATTTCTGGTTCCTTGAGGAATCACCACACTGTCTTCCACAATGGTTTCACACCAACAGTGTGAAAGTGTTCCTATTTCTCCATATCATTGCCAGCATCTGTTGTTTCCTGACTTTTTAATGATCGCCGTTCTAACTGGCATGAGATGGTATCTCATTGTGGCTTTGATTAGCATTTCTCTGATGACTAGTGATGATGAGCTTTTTTCACATGTTTGTTGGCCGCATAAATGTCTTCTTTTGAGAAGTGTCTGTTCATATCCTTCACCCACTTTTTGATGGGATTGTTTGCTTTTTTCATGTAAATTTGTTTAAGTTCTTTGTAGATTCTGGATATTAGCCTTTTGTCAGCCAGATAGATTGCAAAAATTTTCTCCCATTCTGTAGTTTGCCTGTTAAATCTGATGATAGTTTCTTTTGCTGTGCAGAAGCTCTTTAGTTTAATTAGCTCCCATTTGTCAATTTTGGCTTTTGTTGCCATTGCTTTTGGTGTTTTAGTCATGAAGGCCTTGCCCATGCCTATGTCCTGAATGGTATTGCCTAGGTTTTCTTCTAGAGTTTTTATGGTTTTAGGTCTTACGTTTAAGTCTTTTATCCATCTTGAGTTAATTTTGTATAAGGTGTAAGGAAGGTGTATAGTTTCAGTTTTCTGCATATGGCTAGCCAGTTTTCCCAACATCATTGATTAAATAGGGAATCCTTTCCATACTGCTTGTTTTTTATCAGGTTGTCAAAAATCAGATGGTTGTAGATGTGTGGTGTTATTTTTGAGAACTTTGTTCTGTTCCATTTGTCTATATATCTATTTTGGTACCAGTACCATGCTGTTTTGGTTACTGTAGCCTGGTAGTATAGTTTCAAGTCAGGTAGTGTGATCCCTCCAGCTTTGTTCTTTTTGCTTAGGATTGTCTTGGCTACACAGGCTCTTTTTTGGTTCCACATGAAATTTAAAGTATTTTTTCTCATTCTGTGAAGAAAGTCAATAATAGCTTGATGGAGATAGCACTGAATCTATAAATTACTTTGGGCAGTATGGCCATTTTCACAATATTAATTCTTCCTATCCATGAGCATGGAGTGTTCTTCCATTTGTTTGTGTCCTCTCTTATTTCCTTGAGCAGTGATTTGTTTGAAGAGGTCCTTCACATCCCTTGTAAGTTGGATTCGTAGGTATTTATTCTCTTTGTGGCAATTGTGAATGGGAGTTCACTCATGATTTGGCTCTCTGTTTGTCCATTATTGGTGTACAGGAATGCTTGTGATTTTTGCGCATTGCTTTTGTATCCTGAGACTTTGCTGAAGTTGCTTATCAGCTCAAGGAGATTTGGGGCTGAGATGATGGAGTTTTCTAAATATAAAATAATATCATCTGCAAAGAGAGACAATTTGACTTCCTCTTTTCCTATTTGAATATCCTTTATTTCTTTCTCTTGCCTGATTGCCCTGGCCGGAACTTCCAATACTATGTTGAATAGGAGTGGTGAGAGAGGGGATCCTTGTCTTGTGCCAGTGTTCAAAGGGAATGCTTCCAGTTTTTGCCCATTCAGTATGATATTGGCTGTGGGTTTGTTATAAATAGCTCTTATTATTTTGAGATACATTCCATCAATACCTATTTTATTGAGAGTTTTTAGCATGAAGGGGTGTTGAATTTTATCAAAGGTCTTTTCTGCATCTATTGAGATAATTATGTGGTTTTCGTCATTGGTTCTGTTTATGTGATGGATTACGTTTATTGATTTGTGTATGTGGAATCAGCCTTGCATCCCAGGGATGCAGCTGGCTTGATAGCAGTGGATAAACCTTTTGATGTGCTGCTGGATTCAGTTTGCCAGTATTTTATTGAGGATTTTTGCATCAATGTTGATCAGTGATATTGGCCTCAAATTTTCTTTTTTTCTTCTGTCTCTGCCAGGTTTTGGTATTAGGATGATGCTGGCTTCATAAATGAGTTACGGAGGAGTCCCTTTTTTTCTATCATTTGGAATAGTTTCAGAGGGAATGGTACCAGCTCTTCTTTTTACCTCTGTTAGAATTCAGCTGTGAATCCGTCTGGTCCTAGGCTTTTTTTTTTTTTTTTTTTCGTTGATAAGCTATTAATTACTGCCTCAATTTCAGAACTTGTTATTGGTCTATTTAGGGATTTGACTTCTTCCTGGTTTAGTCTTGGGAAAGTGTATGTGTCCAGGAATTTATCAATTTGTTTAATATTTTCTGGTTTATTTGCATAGAGGTGTTATATTATTCTCTGATGGTAGTTTGTATTTCTGTGGGATCAGTGGTGATCTCCCCTTTATCATTTTTTATTGTGTCTATTTGATTCTTCTCTCTTTTCTTCTTCATTAGTCTTGCTAGCAGTCCATCTATTTTGTTAATCTTTTCAAAAAACCAGCTCCTGGATTCATTGATTTTTTGAAGGGTTTTTTATGTCTCTGTCTCCCTCATTTCTGCTCTGATCTTGGTTATTTCTTGTCTTCTTCTAGCTTTTGAATTTGTTTGCTATTGCTTCTCTAGCTTTTTAAATTGTGATGTTAGTTAGGTTGTCAATTTTAGATCCTTCCTGCTTTCTCCTGTGGACATTTAGTGCTATAAATTTTCCTCTAAACACTGCTTTAGCTGTGTTGCAGAGATTCTGGTACATCATGTCTTTGTTCTCATTGCTGTCAAAGAACTTATTTATTTTGCCTTAATTTTGTTATTTACCCAGTAGTCATTCAGGAGCAGGTTGTTCAGTTTCCATGTAGTTGTGTGGTTTTGAGTGAGTTTCTTAACGCTGAGTTCTAATTTGATTGCACTGTGGTCTGAGAGACGGTTTGTTATGATTTCCGTTCTTTTGCATTTGCTGAGGAGTGTTTTACTTCCAATTATGTGGTCAATTTTAGGCTAAGTGCAATGTGGTGCTGAAAATAATGTATATTCTGTTGATTTGCTGTGGAGAGTTCTGTAGGTGTCTATTAGGTCTGCTTGGTCCAGAGCCGAGTTTAAGTCCTGAATGTCCTTGTTAATTTTCTGTGTCATTAATCTGTCTAGTATTGACAGTGGCGTGTTAAAGTCTCCCACTATTATTGTGTGGGGGTCTAAGTCTCTTTGTAGGTCTCTAAGACCTCGCTTTATGATTCTGGGTGCTGCTGTATTGGGTGCATATATATTTAGGATAGTTAGCTCTTCTTGTTGCATTGATCCCTTTACCATTATGTAATGCCCTTCTTTGTCTTTTTTGATCTTCATTGGTTTAAAGTCTGTTTTATCAGAGACTAGGATTGCAACCCCTGCTTTTTTTGTTTCCATTTGCTTGGTAAATCTTCCTCCATCCCTTTATTTTGAGCCTATGTGTGTCTTTGCACAAGATGGATCTCCTAAATATAGCACACCAGTGGGTCTTAACCCTTTATCCAATTTGCCAGTCTGTGTCTTTTAATTGGGCATTCAGCCTGTTTTCATTTAAGGTAAATATTGTTATGTGTGATATTGATCCTGTTATTATGATGCTAGCTGGTTATTTTGCCCATTAGTTGATGCAGTTTCTTTTTTTTTATTATTATTATTATCTTCATGGCACCAATGGTCTTTACAATTTGGTATGTTTTTGCAGAGGCTGGTACTGGTTTTTCCTCGCATGTTTAATGTTTCCTTCAGGAGCTCTTATAAGGCAAGCCTGGTGGTGCCAAAATCTCTCAGCATTTGCTTGTCTGTAAAGGATTTTATTTCTCCTTCGCTTATGAAGCTTAGTTTGGCTGGATATGAAAATCTGGGTTGAAAATTCTTTTCTTTGGGAATGTTGAATATTACCCCCACTCTCTTCTGGCTTATAGGGTTTCTGCAGAGAGATTTGCTGTTAGTCTGATGGGCTTCCCTTTGTGGGTAACCCAACCTTTCTTTCTTGCTGCCCTTAACATTTTTTTTCTTCATTTCAACCTTGGTGAATCAGATGATTTTGTGTCTTGGAGTTGCTCTTCTCGAGGAGTATCTTTGTACTGTTCTCTGTATTTCCTGAATTTGAATGTTGGCCTGTCTTACTAGGTTGGGGGATTTCTCCTGGATAATATCCTGAAGAGTGTTTTCCAACTTGGTTCCATTCTCCCCATCACTTTCAGGTACACAAATCAAACGTAGGTTTGGTCTTTTCACATAGTCCCATATTTCTTGGAGGCTTTGTTCATTCCCTTTCATTATTTTTTCTCTAATCTTTTCTCATGCTTTATTTCATTAAGTTGATCTTCAATCTCTGATATCCTTTCTTCTGCTTTATTGATTCAGCTATTGATACTTTTGTATGCTTCACGAAGTTCTCATGCTGTGTTTTTCAGCTCCATCAGGTCATTTATGTTATTCTCTAAACTGGTTATTCTAGTTAGCAATTCCTCTAGCCTTTTTTCAAGGTTCTTAGCTTCCTTGCATTGAGTTAGAAAATGCTTCTTTAGCTCAGAGGAGTTTGTTATTACCCACCTTCTGAAACGTACTTCTGTGAATTCATTAAACTAATTCTCCATCCAGTTTTGTTCCCTTGCTGGTGAGGTGTTGTGTTGTGATCCCTTGGAGGAGAAGAGGTATTCCAGTTTTTGGAATTTTCAGGCTTTTTATGCTGGTTTTTCCTCATCTTTATGGATTTATCTTCCTTTGGTTTTTGATGTTGGTGACCTTTGGACGGGGTTTCTGTGTGGACGTCCTTTTTGTTGATGTTGATGCTATTTCTTTCTGTTCGTTAGTTTTTCTTCTAACAGTCGGGCACCTCTGCTACAGGTCTGCTGGAGTTTGCTGTGGATCTATTCCAGACCCTGTTTGCCTGGGTATCACCAGCAGAGGCTGCAGAACAGCAAAGATTGCTGCTTGTTCCTTCCTCTGGAAGCTTCATCCCAGAGGGGCACCCACCAGATGCCAGCTGGAGGAGAACTCATGTTTCTTATCACCATACTTCGATATTGCTGAGGGAAACACTTGCCATTTTATCAAGGATTATCAGCACAGGGATTGTGAATCCTAAACATTTATTTGGAGTTAAAGATTGGCTTATCAAAGGAAATCTTTCATAAGATTATTCTCAGTAGCTGAAATAATAAGTTAATTTTTATTTCAATAATATGCATATCCTTCTATTTTTTCACTCTTTCACTCCCTCTTCTTCTCCCTCTCCTTCTCCCCAACTCCTTTCCTGCACCACAATCCTAAATGCTTATCTATCCATCCATAAAAGGGAATTTTTGGTGTCTCTTTATAAAGTGAAGGGTGTTTATAATGGCACCCGGGTCAAGCTTTATTGTACGTTGTTTCATTTATTTCTATAAAATAGCTTTTTAAAATATCTTCTATCAAAAGTAAAATTTCACACTGAAGAATCTAAATTATTAAAGGCTGATTTACCATCTTTCATCAAGAAAAATTGATTTTCAGAACATAACTTTAAGGGTGTATTCAGGTGCATTCATTTTTTTTTCCTGACAGAGTGCAAAGATTAATTTACCATCACATCAATAAGAAGGAGTGATTATGACAAACTCCTGAGTTGAGGATAGTCATTAAAAGTAAGCAAGAGATATTTCACAGGTCAAGTATTTTGTCTGTGAGCCTTACTCTGGCTATTAGTTTAAAAATGCTGCTCTCCAAGGCAATTTAATTCTTACAGACAGATCTTCCCTTTTATAAGGTTTTATTTTTTTAAGAGATTGGATGGGGAGGGGTGATTAGCATTAACTCTTTTCAACATAATAGACTACAAATTTGTGATTTCATGGCCTAATGAGTTGATGTACCTTCTTAAATCTTCAGAGTGTTCTTGGGTCAACATTATACATTTATTGCATAATAGAGCTAAAGTACTGAATTGGTCTGAAACACTAGAGGCTATGTTTCTTTAAGTGAATTTTTCTTAAAGCAAAATTTGTTTATAGAACAGTAAATGTTTACTTTTGGCTATGGAGAACCATGGTATTATGATCCTGTAAATATTAACTGATAGTTTTTGATGGCTGCAGGAAACCTCTGCTTTTATAGAGTATTCTTGAAAGCAACTTTAGGACCAGATTTAATATCCTAGAAGTTATGCTGGAACTAAACTTTACCAGCTTGCTTTTGGGATTGACTATATAGGCAAATATAGTAACACTTCCAGTATCACTTAAAGGTTAATAGGTTTCCCCACGTGGCTGTTAGAGGCAGCTAAAGGCTTCTTTCAGCAGAAACATTCTTTCAAATATTTATCATCTAGCATGGGCCACGCACCATGCCAAGGTTTGGGGACACAAAGACAAATTATGGCCTCTCTCATTTTTTAAAAGAGCTCATGCCAAAAGGGAGATTTAATACATATATAATTGTGACACAAATTGTGTAAGTTTTGTTAGAGATATATAGAAAATATTGTGAGAATAGACGTCAGAAAATTATTTGCTTTGTTGAAAAGAGTTGGAGAATTGTTCACAGTAGAGCCATGCCTTAGAGATGAGTTACCTTTCCAGATAGAAAAAAGAGAGGATTCTAGGGAGTGAAAACAGCATGTGTTGAATAAAGTTCAAGCCCCTTAAAGGCCTGACCTTTAGGCCTACTTATTTATATTCAGCTTGTGCTGTTGCCATTAGTTGTTTATGTTAGCCTTCTCCTTTCCAATTTTTTTTTGTATATGACTTGGTAGCTGACACCATACATTGGCTGTTTTTTTTCTCCCTCCCCATTATGGATAGTCTTTTACACATTTATGCATCTCTTTCATTGATTGCTTATGTTACTGGGAGTTTGCTGGTATACCAAATCTGCTATCCTATTTTATCTTCTGTAGCAGATGCTCTAGTTATTTAGAGTTGGTTAATTCTTGGAATTGCTTTGAATGTCATGTAAATATTGTTATTATTAGTTTGTTAAAATGATTCAACCAGTCTTTTAGGTGTGGAGTCTATTGCGCTTTTTCAAATTAGTAATCAAGTTGTTTCTGGAAAGTGAGAGTCAGTGCTGCTATGTATCTCAACCACAACTTGTATCTAGGACAAATACCTTACCAGGTCCCTAAGACTATGTTTCTCTCTGAGATGTTGGATAATTCAGACTTCTCAAAGATGAAGGCAGCACAGCCAAGTGGTAAGATTTGACAGACTTGGAGTCAAATCCTGGATCTTTCACTACTAACTGTGTAACGGTGGAGAAATTATTTAACCTCTCTGAGCCTTTGTTCTCCATATGTAAAATGGGACAATATTTATTCACAAATATTTGTTGACTGCTTCCTATGTGCTAGGCATTGTTGTTCTGGTGACATTCTAAGGATTAGAAGATTAAAGGAGATGATGTGTGGCACAAAGTTGATGCTCAGCATTAGCAAGTCATAGTTCCCCTCATCTTTACCGTAATTCACTTTATTTCATTAGCATCATTTTCTACGGATGAATTAGTTTTTATTGGGTCTTTCTTGGTCCCTTTACAAACTCTGGGCTCCAGACAATGGAGATGTTCACATGGCCAGCTTGGTGTTTAAAAAACAAAAGAATTTGAATAGTTTTAAGCAGGACATATTCCCTAGTTAGTCACATGTTCATCCTTCCCTGTTATATCACCCCAGGCTCCTGGATTTCAGCCTTAGCTCTATATCAGAATCACCTGGGGGCAATCATATATAAAGATTCCCAGGCTGCATCTCCAACCACCCACATTAGAAGCTTCAGGAGTGGAACCCAGGAATTAGTATTATTAGTATTATTTAAAGTTCTTCAATGTGCAGCAAAGGCTGAGAACCATTTGGGGGCCCTTTCATCTATTTAGATGAATGGTGTAGCCCCTGAAGACAATAAATATCAATCCTGAGAGATGGTCCTATGACCTTGACTTCTAGGAAGGCCTCCTTGTTTTATGTAGCCTTTAGGCTCCAGCCCGTATCCTGTCATCATTCAGTTATGAAGCTCTCTTTTGCTAATGGAGGCCAGTCATTCTCAGGTTCCTGTCTGCCTCTGAATATACTCCCTGAATTGGCAGAATTTCACCATGGGTAGATATGCAGTATTATCCTGATACTTGTTTTCTGAGATCCTAGGATTTTCCCCATAAACTGTGAAACCATCTCTACTCTGACTCATTCCCTAGAGGTTGGGGCTATAGATCACACTGCCCTCTGTGGCTGACCTACCTTCATTTAGGTAGCTGCATTCAGAATTCAGATGCAAGCTGACCCAAATCTTTCTAGTTAGCTACTTAGCTATTTTCCCCAGAATGCTATTTCTCTTGTGCTCCTGTTAGAAGTGCTGACCCCCAAATGTAGAAACATTAATATGAGAGGAAATAACAACAGATGTGTTGTTCTGAGCTAGAAATAGGGAGAAGGGGTGAGTGGCAGCCAAGACAGTCAATGATGATTTTCAGAAGAGTTAAGAGTAAACGTAAGTAATTCCCATCTGTGTCTGACCTAATTTTTCTATCTCTCATAAAGTGTTTAAACACATATTTTGGGTCTCTTAGCTATATAATTTCAGTTGTTTAATAGCCTTAATAAACCCTTTTGTATATGTTTGCAGTAACCTATTTGATCTGTGAAATTGAATGCCCAAGTAGATCATCTGGGGGAACTGCAAACACTTGCCTCTCTTTTGTTGTTTCTCATGAACTGTAGTGATTAGACACTAAGAGAGTGACCAATACAAACTATGTCTGAAATCACAATTACCATTTGAACTCTTGCCATGCATTTAGGGTTATGTAAACAGCTTGGTGGGCTTCACAGAAGGCAACTCTTAAGCTGCTTCCATGAAATGGTGATGCATAATCCCTGAACAAACATCAATATTAATAATCCTGTAACAGTTTTATGATAGTGGTAATAAAAATTAAGGCAGATTCCTGGAATCATTTCTCTCCCACTCTGTGATGAATGCATCTTTTATCGTGAGATTTCATTGTTCAGGGTCTTTGGTAATCGTGGAGCAAATGGCCATGGTGGGTTTTTGAATCTCACTATTATTGATGTGCTTTATTTAATTCAGCTTTTCAATTTCTCCTTTTAGCCTGAAGTTACACATTAATTACTCTTGTGTTTGTCATAGAGTCATTGACCTAACTTGAGATAGTCAGAGTATTTTAAATTTAGCAAATTCTTCCCCAGCCTATATTAATCTAATTTGTTCAACTCTCAACTGGTAAGTGTAACCTGAATCTCACTTCTTTTGTTGTTGCAGTCTGAATTCAGTAGTCTTCTTCTGGATAACTATTTCCTTTTGCCTCACCCACTCCTTTAACAGCTTTTTAATCTTTGTTGTTGAAGATCTTGCTTCCCTTCTGAGCTGACCTATTGCTAAATACACTTGACAAGACCACAGGAAAATGTCACCTTTCTCCCTTACTCTCCTCCAAAGAGGACCTGATCTATATTCCTGTTGATCTACAAAGAATGTTCACTAAAACATGACCTTGAGTAGGTCACTTGTGTTCACAAAGAGAGCTCCAGTGACTCCTTATTTGTTTTCTTTTCAGATTAGTGTTGGGTCTGAAGTTCCAAATCCTGCTGCCTCTGTGAAGTCTTTCTGCTCATGCTAGAAGCAATATCACCTCTTCTAGAATTGTAAAGTGCCATTTTCCATACCACTTATAATATACTGTCTTGTAGATGTTTTTCTGTCGTCTGTATTTCATCCCTCTAATAGATGATAAATTTCTAGAGGATGCCTCCCACAGAAAAAGTGCTCAATAAATATCTGTCATTGGTGAAAACAGATTATAGATGATATTTTGTTGGAAGATTGGAGGCAAAGTCTCAAAGGTAAACCTATAATTTTAGGCTCATTCCCTCCCCCACAATATTTGTTGAATACTTAACAAATATTGTTATTTTTTTTGGTATTTGACAGGGATTTTCTCTTTCAATATTCTAAGCCCTATGAGATTAGCGCTATTAATATTTATGGTTGGGGAAACAGAGGCATAGAAAGTTTAAGTAATTTATCCAAGGTCACATTGCCAAAAAAAATAGGTAGTTTAGACTTGAAACCAGAGAGAACTGATTCTACAACTGGTGCCTATAAAGTTTGCACATCTTACTTCACCCCATCTCATTTGGACATAGTTTGGAATGGACTTAGGAGGTCTGAGTATCAAGAATCTGTGGCTCATGCAATATCAAATCCCTTAGACATATTTCAGTCATTGCCAAAACATGATTTCAATTATCAAGTTTTCAGTGAAGTTCTGATAGTGCTAATCTTTACCCATCAAGAAAGAGGAGAGGTGCCAAGCCCCCTGAAGAGCTATTCCAGTTGGAGCCTGATGTGAAGGTGGTGGTGCGTATAATTCCACCTCATTAGTCAAGCCCGAAGTGTTGTAGATATGCCACATTGCATTGAATCTATGATTCCATGGAAGGCAAGATGTACTATCTTTATTATATTATTAAGAAAGAGAAAAATAACTGCCAAAATAAACATGCTACAATGATTTTTCATTACTTGGGCTTTTAAAAATGTTATACTTACTGAAAGCACTCTTTTAGTCTTGTTTAGGCATGCAAACAATATGAATTTCTTAAGGTTTTATATCTGAAATCTGACTATCCAATGTCTATGTTTTCCAGATAATATCATCCTCTATGCCACTGAGAGTATTAGTAAGGCAGTATTTCTGAAAGAGCACTCCACCACTACCTCTGGGATTTTCTTGCAAGCTACTGATACCATCTTTGCAAGAATGGAGGCAAACATTCAGGCTACCAGAATTTAATCTCTGTAATTTCCTTGCCAACAGCCATAATAAATGCTTCTTGTTTTCAGGTGAGGTGAAATGTGAAAAAGTGTTCATCAGAATTGGTGAAATATGGCAATTACAACTTTATTTAAAACAATGCACGTCACTTTTTGAAAATATTTGAAAACTTCTGCTATAGTCAAAAGAACCTTGGTCTTAAGGAATCAGAGGACCTGGGTTGAATACTAGTTCTCTTGACTACCTATGGCAAGTAACATAAACTGTCTTAACTTCCTCTGAGGAATAAGCAATTTACCTTGTGGGGTGATTGCAAGAATTAAAAGAAAATTTAAATTCCACAAAAGCAGAAATAATTCTATCCTGTTTGCCACGATCTTTCTATTCTCTCAAGAAGTAACAGGGACCTAGAAAGAATAAATGAAACAATGAATGAACAGTTAATACATAGCAAACTACATGTAGAACTGTCTGTGTTGGAATGTTGCCATGGTGGAAGGCAGTATGTTCTAGGAGAAAATGCAGCAAAAAATGTTTCAGTAAGGAACATTCTTTAGTCCCTCTCTCTATTTTTCCCCAGTCATTTTGTGGTTTTGGCTGCTATTGGCTTGTATCTGCTTCCCAAATGCTAGTAATTTCTTCCAATCTAAAGTTGCTTGTTTATTTTCTTGTATATTGTAAAACAAAGGCAACATAATTGCAGGCCAGAAAGCTATTTTCTCACTCTTGAATTCTTAAAAATGTCATTTGTTCTAGGTTTTTTTCGCATGTATTTATTATTGAAATATTAAGAGACACAAAAAACATGGAAAAGAAAAAAATCATTATTTCAAATTCCTAACCTAGAGAGAATAATTACTAATACTTTTTCTTACTTAATTGGCAAAATATATATTTTTTTGTAATTTGATTTTTCACTTCATATAGTTGCATATTTCTCCATATACTCCATTTAAATGTTCTTCACAAATATTGTTTATGATACATGCTCTATTATAATCTATTTAAGTAATCTAAACTTCCTGGAAATTTAGGTCATTTCCAATTTTTCACTATTTAAAATATCACAGGAATGAACATTCTTGAACATTTGTATTTATGTACATTTCTGATTTTTTAAGAATAAATTCTTGAAAGTGGATTTACAAGGCCAAAAGATATACAATTTTATTCTAATTTAGTTGAGAATATTTTAATGTAACTAAAAGATTTATCGAGAATGTGGTAAAATAAGAAGGAGGGTTTTGAAGGTGTGCCTGCCCAGAATTGCCTGGTGGGCTCTGCTAGATTCATCATCTTCCCTCTTTCTCAAGGACTTGTCTGTTGTGATATGGTTCCTGAGTGACGTTTGTCCTCACGAGGTGCTAGGACTGTCAGATGTTAGGAGTGCTAAGCCTCTTACTTATCTTTCTTTTTTCATCCAAAAAAGCTGAACGTGGTGTCCTCACTAAATGATGGATAAGTATGATGAACAGATCCCATTATTTCCTCATTCCATTCACATGATGAATGAGTTAGAAAATGAATGCAATATCTGAGCACCAGAGGATCTGATTGTCACAGTATGAAAAGCCTTTTAGTGATAACTGCATACATGCACCCATATTACTCCCAACAGAGCCAATGCAATCTAGTTCGAATGGTAGATGTACTGACTCCCATGTGGGACCATTGATGTTTTTACAAACCATTTGCAGCCCAGTATCGCTGTGTTTTGCCAAGTTGCATCCTCCCAGTGAAGTCCAAATGGAACTAGAGAGAGAGGCTCCATTTTTGCTGCAGTAGGAAATAGACAAGGGAAAGTCTGGATTACACTCCAAAATTATAATGCAAACCTGCCCCAGAAATGTGTATTATTTTTCTGAATGTGTTCCAGCTGAACCACAGGAAAAATAACAACCAAAGACCATAATGGCTCATTGGTGGATATTGTGTCCCATCTGTTGGTGGTAGTGAGAAAGGCTCTAGGCTGTCACATCCAAAAAGCTTGCCGGTAAAAAAAAAGCCAAACTCCCCTCATGGCATTTTTCTGCCTATGAACTCATTTTGGATATCGTGTATTAGGAAGAAAAGGTGTAAAAGTGGTTGAATGTTGTTATACACTTTTATGAGGGGAAGTAAAAGTTTTACACGTTGCTTGGTTCTTTCTAGTGGAGGGGATGAGATGGTTTCATAACAAGCAGCAGGCAAGGCTTTGTTGAGCCAAAGGCTTTGATTAGGATTTCTACAAAGTGCTATATTCTTTGGTTAACTCTTAAGCATTTAGTAACTCCCTCCTTAAGGAAAAGGATACACCTGATTCTGTTTATGGACCAGTGTGTTGGTCATTGATTCTTGCTCTTGCAGCTTCAGGATTCTGGCTTAAATCAGATTTAGTTTGTGGATACAAAGCTGAATTCAACACCAGCCAGGCATTAGCATGAAAACTGAGTTGCCCCCAGGAAATATCCATCTCAGACTCAATATGAAAACCTCAGTCACTGCAGAAGTGAGGCATTTGTGCCTACACAATCATGCCTATCCTTTGGATTCTGGTTCTGCCCTGACCCCTCACTGGACTCATGTCTGAATCCTGACACAGCACAAGCACTGTGAGTGAAATTAAAAGTACTATTTTAGTCTTTAAAAAGAATTAAAACATCTGGGCCACAGCAAAGGCCCAGAGCATGGGCAGAGCACTGGGGAAAATCATGGTGGGAACTCTAGAGGAACCTTGCAGTGGAGGTTTAGTGCCCAGAGGGACAGATTTACTGAGAGCACATGTGACTTACCCACTGTAGATTTTTGGAGTCCTTGGTCATGGGAGGTGGTAAGGAGCTGAGAGTGTTCAGGACAAGTAGAATCATGACCCAGTGAAATTTGAGCTATTTCTGTTAATATGACCTCATTTACACACTGGGAAATTAGAATCCTCAAATCAGCATTCAGTTTGCAAGGTACTCATGAGAATCATTTCGTTAAACAGTATTAACATTGCAGAGGCCTAATGCTACAGAGACCTGATATTAACCATACTGAGACCTAACTGTAAATGAAAATTAGGGGGACTAGTCAAACAGAACCATGCTAAGGGGCAGAAAAGGTTTGAACTTGCTATTTTTCCTCTCACAATGTATACACAGTGGGAATATGGCATTTTTGCCCCAAGCCGAATGGCAGTTTACCTCTGTCATGGGGTTGGTGGGCAAGGTGGGGGAATGTGTTCCAAAGTGTTAGGGATTTTTAACTCACATGAGGATATAAGAGGACTGGTTTTTTGGATCTCCATGTCAGTTAAAAATGCGAACTAGTTCAGAGGAACACTCTGTGGTACATGTCATGCTCCTGAGCTTGGCGTGGGGTCAGGCTACGGCTGTCACATGTAGATTTACCAAGGTCCAGGCGGTGTTCTGAGTTCTTTACGTATTATCTTATTTGATCTTCTCAGTAACCCTGTGAGTCAGGGACTACTATAACTCCATTTTAAAGATGAAGAAACTGAGACAAAGGGAGGCTAAGTAACTTACCCAAGATCCTCTGGCTGGATAAGTGGCATACCTGGAATGAAAACGTAAGCATTCTGATTCCAGAAACCATACGCTTAAGATGCTGTACAGATGCTCTTAGTGGTCATTCTCACCTTTTCGTAGAGTTCTTTCAAAGGCATGGGATCTACAAACGTGTGTGTGTGTGTGTGTGTGTGTGTGTGTGTGTATTGGTGAGGTATTGGAAGCTGTATGGTGCAACAAATAAAAATATGAGTCTGATATTTGAGGAATTTTATATTTTTTGAAGATAGTAAAAAATTGAAATAGAATTTAAGGGTATCAAGAAATGGGCATTACAAGTTCTTCAAAGTCATTAAACCTTTCCTCTTGAAGGTAAAAGCCCTGTATCCTACTCCGTGATGAAGAACAGCAGCCTGATTTAGTTTCCTACCCTTTGACAGAGTGACCCATCACTGTGTACTCCCCACTTGGCATGGAAAGGATTAACTTTGATCTGCTGAGCTGTATTTTATAAATAGAATTAATCACAGGCTGTGGGGAGATGAGGTCATCAGATTTACACCGAAGCTTTAATGCAGTGCAGACATTGAGGTCACATCTGCTCAGCTCCTGTCCAAATGGTGAAGCTTCCCTTCTGCATGAAGTTACTTGGCCTGGACTCCTCAAACAAGGGCATTATTTTTCAAACAAGGGCAATCCTTCTGCTTTCTGGTCCATTTTAGAATGAATAGAGAGCCTGTTAGAGTAAAAGATATGTTTTCATACCATTATTGAGGTCCAATCACAGTTACATTTTCTTGAATTTTCATGAATTTTTCTACTACAACTTGCTTTTCTCATTCGTAAGAGGAGGGGGAATACATTTTGCCTGTCCATTTTTGCATTCTCTTTGGGTTCCAGTACATAGACTTGGTAAGGAACTAATGAGCTACCTTAAGGCAGAGAAGCCCCATTTCTGGGGCCTCAAGAAAAAATTTAGTAGTTATGCATCTTTCATCTGCAAATATAGAGAGAGTTTCTAACTTAAGCAAGGATCCCCACATTATAAGCCATCTTTTGTATCTGAGATTTTCTTGCCAGAACACACATACACACTCATACATACCACGTGGAACTCCAATATTGATAGAAGAAATGGCTGGAGTCACTCCTGTATCTCCTCTATTCCCCACCTTTACTATTTTCTACCCTATAAGCAAGCTTAGTTCACAGCTAATCAGTAATGTGCATTTAAGATCTGGTTTCTTTCTGGAGCACATTGGACTTAGAGTATCATTCAAAGCTGGATTGATTTCAGGCCACTCAGGTTTTCAGTACCTTCTAGGGCAGAACTCAGAGAGCTTGTTTGATCTGTGATCTCCTTGAGCGCTCTCTAACCCACTTAAGCTTGTCTTAAACACAAATACATTTGAGAGGAGACCTACCATTTTGTGGCAGAAGAGGGCTGGAGGGTCAGGGAAAATCCTCTTGGAACTGCTTAGGATTGGAATAGTCTTCTCAGATCCACAGCACTCAAGATCAGGCTCCTAAAGCCTGTATAGGCAATTGCTGGACTTATTCAGAAGGGCCATAATGCCCTGCACTGCTGGAGGCATACATTCGGAGAAGTGAGTGCTCATGGGACAGCCACTGTGTGTTTTAGAGGCAGATAGAGCATCTCTGGGTCTGTTAATGTGAAGCTAGAGATGGTTTACCAGTGGCCAACTACTTCACAGTACAGTCATGCAGAAAGCACTCAAGTGTCGTGGGGTAAAGACGTCAGAAGGAATTCACAAGTGAAAATGCCAGTGAGTAGTCACAGTAAGGGCCTCAAATATACAGGAGGCTACAAACATGCAGACCCAGTCAAATAAATCTGGTGAAGGGGTGGGTTAATTTGGGTCCTTTAAGAAGCAGACTACAAGCCAGGATTCAATGTGACTGGGTTATATTAGAGTAATCACCTGTTAGAGAAAAGGCGCAGGAATCTAGGGGCGGCAGGGGAGCTGACAGACCGTGGCGCACCACGGGCAGGCAAATTGGGTGGAGGCATCACAGATAGGTGACCTAAGGAATGTCGAACAAGGCCTTTGGGGTATCTCTGAATCCAAAATTGCCTATTAGAGAAGTCCCAGGTCTCCCAGGAGTAGGCCTGCCTTAGTATCCCTATCACTTCAGTCATCCACTGGCAACAGCTCAGGAAGTATGATCTCACTATACATACGGTGATGGATTTCAGAGTGCAGCAGCTGGGGCTCTAGGCCAATTACATTTTCTGTAGAGGTCTACAAGGAGCATTCTCACAGCTGCTTCAATAAAGGACTGACTTAGTGTGTTTAAAAGCATGCCTGGAGCATAAACACCACTATCTGTATGAAGGTGGAGAAGAGAGATGCCAGTTTTCTGAGGACAGTAGAAGAGCCCTCTCCTTTAGTGAAAGAGAGCAGTCTCATCTCCTTACAGTTTCTGCTTTGAGAGTGGAAGGGAGGAGGAGGCAGCGTTTGAAATGGGAGAGAGGTAAACAACCAGCCATGGGAGGTGGAGCTTTGTCTTCATACCCATCACAGAGCCAGCAAAGAGGAATCAGCACCTTCAGCTCAGGGCCAGGTTGCAGCAATGGTAGTAAACAGCCATAATGGAGAAGACAATGGCTGGAAGAGGCGACTCCCGCAGTGGCAGCAGGGGTACAGCAGTTCTGCGGTGACCAACAATGCGGAGCAGCATCATCCCTAGGTCAAGGCAAGGAGGGCCAAAAGTAGGGGTAACTGTGGCTGGATTCCATGGATGCGAATCAGAGAAAAGCATGGATCAGGAGCTCAGGGTTCCAGCCATTTCACAGCTGCGGAGCACTCAGGGGCAGTTGGCTTTCCTAATACCTGTCATACTGCTCGTGCCAACGAAAGAAGTTTCCTTTTTCTCTTTAAGCACAAGTCAAGCATGATTAAACCAAGAAGTGACTGAAAAGGATGTGGAATACAGACTATACAGTTAGAAATAGTCTGACTTTGCAGAGCAGAAAACACTCAGTAAATACAAACAGCAGGTAAATAAGTTTCCCATCTTGGTTCAAGAAGAACATGGAGTGTGTTGAACAAGAAGAACCAACTCTTCAGAAATAAAATGCTCCTAGTCACTGGCTGGCAGTCCTTCATTATTTTTTTTTTTTTACACAGGCCCCACTGAGCCAAATAAAGGGGAACTAGACAAATTAGAGGGACCTGGGTCCCCATTCCTGGAACTTGCTAGCAGGAGGGTATCAATCAGGCTTACTAAATTAGCATTTTTCTGATAGCAATGCACAAAGCCTTTTAATGATGACTTTGGAGTCTCTGAGCTTAGGCTCTTGACTGCCTGTTCCTAAGCAACAGAAGGATTGGCAGAGAATGTGTTTTGATGTATCATTAAATAAAGGCTGTACAATGCTGAAAACTGTGGGCAGAAATTGGGATAATTGTATTTATTTTTTGGTGTATTATGTTAAAAAATAAACAAAAATCCTTTATGCCCTAGAAAATGTGCTCTCACTTGTGTTTTGTCTCTCTCTTGTTTTTGAACACTACCTTTTTTTCCGCTCCTTTTCATCCTGCAATTTAAGCACAGAATTTCTCCCTTTTTATGGATAGCATTTCAAGCATTTCTTCAGCTCTGTTTCTATTACAGAAAAATTGGATCACATATTATACTATAATGGACAAGGGGATCTGAGGGATGCTCTGGCAACCCTCCTTATTTTATTCTCACAGAAGCTATGTCAGAGAGGTGAGGGTTTACCTCGACTCAACGTGTCTTTAACTTGTAAGATTCATCATCGTTTCCTCCGTGGCACCTCTCCTGACTTCACAGAGGTACAGTGTTGTGTCATCTTGTTTGATACTCTACATTCACTACAGTCACCACTCAGTTGTCTGGATACTATATTGCAGTGGTTGTTTACTTATTCATTTCATTAGTTCCGTGGTGACTCCCTTGTGCGTTGTCTCACACCCAGAGCTTGATACGGTACCTGACTTGCAATAGGTAATAAATACACAGTGAATGAATTATCTAAGACCACATAACCAATTAGTGATGAAACTAGGACTAAGAGCTTGGTTTCCTATTTTCTAGTTGAATGTTTTTCCACGACCTACTGCAAATATTAGAGGGATATGGAGAAAATGAACACATTTGGAGGATGTGTTTTCCTGCTGCTCTTATTCAAGGCGAATGAATCTCAATGGTACAATAAAGATGATGAAATCTGATTAACTATTTCTGCTGACTACAAGCCACGTGGGCTTCAGCTCGGTCTCTCCCACGGGCTGATCCACCCCATGGCTGAGGTCCTTCATGGAGTGAGCTGGCCTCTACCTTTGATCATTCTCTTTTTCTTCATCTCATTTAACAAAATAACAAAGTATCTATTCTACAGGAGCTGAGTTAGCCTCTGGTGATTCAATAGTTAATAAAAACAGGTTTCATACTCACATGGACCTGAAATCTGAGCACATGCAGCCCCACTGGCCCTCCCACCTTTACTCCATGCGACATCCTAACTTTCAAATTCTTTAATTACAGAGATCTCCAAGATCAGGAAGAGGTCTCTAGTAAGTTCCTTCTATCCTACACATTTTTCTTCCTCATTAGTCAGACTCTGATAAAGCTTTCTCTACCCAGAAGTGATAGCTGGGTCACTCCCCCTCAAACCTTACTCTACATTCGCCGCCTAACTTTCTCACCTCCCATTCATTCCATAACCAGCTACAATCTGGCTCTTGTTCCTCGTTTCTGCAACCCACCTTCACTGGTCTTCACATCAATATTTCAGGACATTCCTTTGTCAAAGTTTCCAGTGATTCCAAATAAACTTCATAAAGTTTCAACACTTATTTTACTTGTTACCTCTATGGTATCGTAGGTCCCTGACACTTGGGTGGAAATATATCTCAAGAATATTTATGCATTCTAGATTCTTGAATATCACCATAACGGATAATGTCATCATAACTTGCAAGAGATTGCAGCTTAAGAATTTCCTGATTCATACTCTTAACGAGAGTTAATGTGTCCTTGACAATAAGTAGAAGAAGGTGAAGCCACTTAAAGAAGTGGATGCTCCCTGCTAAGTGGCATGCTCTCCACACCAGCTGTGGGCTCAAGTTTGCACCCTCACTCAGATTTTAAATTGCTCCTTGTCACTGGAGTTGAGGTTTCTCGAATAACTGAAACTAAAAGTTAAAGCTATATAACTATATAAAGTAGCCTCTGGCTACTCACACCACCTTCAGAACCTTGTCTTTGGATTCCTCAATCTGTTTCTCTCAAGCCTTCAAGATGAGTTCCTTTCCTTGTACTCACCCTTTAAGTATTGGTGTTATGTAAAGCACTGATCTCTGATGATTTCTCTCTCTTTTTTTTTGAATAAATTCTGTTGTGCTGATGGGTTTGACCACTCCATGTTTTCTGTATATTTAGCCTCTAGTACTGTATGATGCAAAGCATAAATGTGTGTACCTACCAGCGTGACTTCTGTGTTATACTGACATCGTTCTCTCATGTTCTGATAGTGAATGAATTTGCGCTTATTATTCTCTATTTGGCTCCCCCACTCCCCAGGTCTATTTTCTGCTTGTCTTGTCTCTGCTGTGTGCATTGGAAGGCTGACCTCTGTGGTCTGCACCACCTGTGGTCCTTAATGTTCAGCCAGTCAGAGGAACTGGTTGGATATCAGAGAACAAGAAAAAAGAGAGGCCAGGGCATGTATTCCCCTTCCTCTCTCCCTGCCTTGTAGCAATTCTGGGGGTCACCATTCTTTTGTGGTCATAACTTTTGCTAAGTGGCACCTTTTCCTTTCTCCAGTTTTCACTGTCAACAAGAATGTGGTATGTTCTCTCTTGCTATTGCTAGCCCCCTGTTGCTTCACCATTCTCTTGGTGGTTTCCTTAACCATGCCCAATGCCACTGTAAATAGTGCCTTCATTACAAATTTCTTCAGTTAAGCCCTTCTGAATGTGCCATCTGTTTCTTCCAGGGTGCCCGAGTGATACAAAGCTGATTCACCTTACAGAAACAGGCATCAAATAATCTCCCACCCTTCCTCAGCTACCTTAATTATTTTTCACATTACCTTTTGCAATCTTTACGGAGTTTAAGGCCATGTGCAAGGGAAGATCTCTGAGACCAGAGCTCCATATAACCTTAGGAATTAAGGGCTGAGCAAAAAAAGAGGCATCAATGAATAAGGATTCAAGGAAACAAAGAAACAGATTACTAATTCTTCTCCTTGATATATTTTCCTTAGTACCACCAACATGAACTTTCTAAAATTCAAGTCAGATCTGATTAGTTTCCTTAAAACCTTCAATGGCTCTCTGGTGTCCATAGAATAACATTTGTATTCCTTAGTATGGTACAGAATCCTTTCATGTTTTGGCTTTTACTTATGTTTCTCTGTCATCATCTTTTGCTGATCATTGTACAAGTTCCAGTGCCCCCCTTGGCTGAACTATGCCACATTTTTAGCTCAGTATTAATAAACTTTTTAAAAAAAGTCTCTTAACTCCAGTATATAGTAGCTTATCTAAAGCTACCTGTGAGAGAGACCTTGCTTCAAACTTTCTTGAAAAATCTACTCCATTAAAATTTCAGTTTTGCACATTCAGAAGCATTTGATACAGAGTGGGGAGCTGACATACAAATTAGCCCAGGATCTGGAAGGCACACATCAGTGAAAATGATAGAAATTTCCAAATAACTTGTTCACCCTAGCTTTTTCTCAGATCTTTTTACTGTGTCTTTATTTCTTTTAGAAATAGATTCTTCCTTTACAGTGTATATTCCAATAATGCTATAATAAATATGGAGACATTTTCCATGACTATGAGGGTTTCCATGATGGAACCACCATCTAGTGGCTTTGGAAGAAAATAGGAACAATTAAGAATTCAGAGACAGTCCACCATCAAATTATAAATTTGGCAGTTTTAATTTTGGAATTAAAACAGCCAGATTGTGTTCATTTAAAATGTTTTATATTGGCATAACAGATGTTTTCCCCTAAGAATGTTCTTAGCAATTAAAATATATAGATACATAAAGTATGTGTGTGTATATATATATTTTAATTCAGTGTTATGTGGTATTGTGGTTTTTATGTCACCAGCCAGAGGAAATTTTAAAATGGTCGTATTAGTAGACATCTTAACAAACTCTTCTTGTACAAACCCTGATTCAAGGAAAAAAATACCCTGAGATATCAAAGCAGATGGTTGTCTTAATCTAAAAAAATCTCAACAAGGAAGACTCTACAGCTTCATTTACCAACTCATATTAGGGCCCACAAAGAAAAATTGCAATTTCTAAAGAAAAAAACATTTTACTTACAAAATTTTTGATGCTTTGTTTTGTGGGAGATCAAGGGAAATGGTTAGTATTTTGATAAGTAAATTTATTTTATTTTATTTTACTTGGATATTTTTGAAATTGACCTAGGTAGTTGTATTAGCCAGGATTCTCCAGGAAAACATAAACCATTTATGTAATTCCAACTATGGAGGCTTTATTCCAGGGAATTGCAGGCTTAACAGGAGATCAGAAAGACTGGAGAGGCAAAGATCCAGGAAGCCAACAATGATGTGGTTTCAAAACTAGTGGTTCTCCAGGTGGAAGCTTCTGCAAATCTGAAGGAACCCTATGAAGTGCCTGCTACCATCTCAGCCTTGGGTGCTGAAGCAACCATTCTCAAGGAACTGCTTCCCACAATCGCAGCTGCCTTCCACCAGCCAGGAAGCTGCCATGAATCTTGCCTGTGCTTTCTGCTATGTGTCTGCCTCCAGGGAAGAATGACTTCTCCCCATTTCCCAGCTTCCAGCTTTTACAACAACGGCTCCACACTGGCAACTGTAACCCGGAACCATATGAGAAAGTGGACTCTTGGAATGCTCTTCCTGCCTTCCCCTCTCCCAATGCAGAGGAAGCTGTAGAGGTAGGTACAGTAAGGGGAAATGCACAATGCATACTTTCAGTGATAAAAGTGATATCTTTAGTAGACAATTTCAAATGATATTGGAAAATCCTTAAAATATTTGTATTAATTTTTGTTGGCAAGAAGCCAAAATGTATAATGGAAAGAGAAGGGTCTTTGGGATGGATGGATCTGAGTTTAAATCCTGGATTCACTCCATTTTAGCTTGGTGATCTGAAGTAAACCATTTAGACTCTTGTTTTTTCGTATATAAAAATGTGGATAATGATATTCATTTTGAAGTCTTGCTTTGAAAAATAAACACAATAATCTATGTATAACACTTATTTGGTGTCACAGGGCCTGGCATGTAACATGCAGTTGGTGAATGTTAACTCTAATAAATTGAAGCTGGGGACTGAGGTTAAGAGCCATAGCAAATTGTTTCTATGCCTTGACCAAATTACAATGTTGTTGTTACATTTGTAATGGCTTGACTTTCCTCTTGTAGCACATTGCTTACAACTTTCAGTATCAATAAGCTTTTCTTTCTTAGTGTGTTTCTTTTACAATTTTCTCTTACTGAAATAGCAGTACAAGGACAGCAGCTTGATTTAGAAACTCTGCCAGTAATTGGCTATGTCTCCCTGAACAATTAAGTTACTTTCTCAAATCCTCAATCTTCTTATGTGTAAAATGATGACCTGGAAGTGTGGGAACAGGAAGAAAGAATGACTTAGATTGATTGATTTTTAAAAATTCATTTGCACAGCATTTCCTTGCCTGCTTAAGTCTCTGTATTAGGCACTATGGGGGTGATTAAAACAATGGGTACAAAAATGTGGCTCCTGCCATTCAGGGCAATATAATCCAGTAAAATAAAAAATATCAATGAGAGACTCATAAAATATAGAAGAATCAGAACTTCTGGCCTAAAATTATTCTGTTTTATTGTGGTGATAAATCTAGTCAGCATGTCTGAAGCTCCTTGGAGAGGGAAGTAAACAATACTTGTTTTAGAAATACTCCAGTGGTTCACAAGGTAGTGTTTCTCATTGAAAAGAAAAGACATGCTGCAAAACAGAAATGATGGGTTGGGTTCTATAGTCATCCTCCTGTTAACAATTTGGAACACACTTTCTGAACACCTGCACTGGAATAGACCCTGTGCTTGGATGTGGGTATCAGGATAAACTATTTTACCTGCCCTCAAGGATTTTCCATGTTAGCTGTTTGAATGTAACTTTTGCCTGATTGGTATATACTAGTTACCAAAATTAATGTGAGTAGGGTTGGAAACCTGTCAGTCCCTGTCTTTGCCATTATATCAAAACTTAATTCATTTCAGTTTTCTCTGAAGTTTTGACTAAGATGGCTTGGTTCATCCTCTTACTGGTATTTGATTTAGGAATATGGGTGGTGTTGCCTTTTGTAACGTTCCACCAAATTAAATTCAACGGAGTGTAATTTTGTGTACTGCATACACAGTCATCATCAGTAGAATGTTAATTAAGAAAGCAATTTGGAAAGCAGGGTTGGTCTCAATTTAAATGTACTTTTAACTGTGAAAACTTATGACCTGCATATATAATTGACATTAAGTTGCACTAAGAAAAATAGGTAAGTTGTCTATTGTTCAAGTGGTGTTGAAATAAATTAGAAAAGTTGCTGCTAGATTGATGTTTCAGAATGTGTATTTAAAAGATTAAAAAATACCTCAAAGAATCAAACTGTCAGTTTACTACAGCAGTCATTCCAGCCTTTAGTATTTTTTCCCAACAGGGACATATTTCATATTCAGACAAGTCCTCCTTTCAAAGATTTGTAGCTAGGCAAACACTAATGGATGGACTATCACTCATGCACGGGGAGAACCAGTTTAAGGTTTAAGGTATACTAATCATTCTATTAATCATTAGTCTTTGACTTTTCATACTCCAAACTGTTTATCCTGGCTTTTCAAATTCTGTTGCAAAACAAGATTTTATTAATTATGCACTAACCTTTACTCATTACTGTTTTGTGCACGTGTTGTGGGTACCACTTCATTTTCAGAAGCACATGGCTATAGCTATTGCCGATGATCTGTAACGTTGTTTATAGCTCAGGCCATGCTTCATAATTAGGACAGTAGTTCTCAATTTGAGGGTCTAGTATTAAAATGGGTTTTCTTTACTACATTAAGCTTTCCTGCTAACAGATTGTCGTAGAATGTACCACCAACCATTCCACTTGCATTATCTCCAAATAAACCTAAAGTTGCTTTGAATTAAGATCTACAGAGATTTGTTACAAAGTAAAGGCAATTTTGGAACTAGAAAAGACAAATCCCACTGATATCTAAAATCTAAGATATTTTGTTCCGCTTGGTCATTTTACAGAAATGGAGAGTGTGAGAAACAGATGTTTAAGTGCAACGTGATTGTTTTACTTTTCTGCTTAAAATCCTTTACACGTTCTCCTTTCTTTTCTTTCTTTCTTTTCTTTTATTTTTTTTTCAGGCTAAATTCCCAACATCTTGGCTCAGCCTTTCATTATCTGGATTGGCTTGGCTTCTCCACCCTCATCTTTCACCACTCCTCCCCTTATCCACCACCGCCAAGCATCCTTAAAATCTGGCCTTAGTGAAATCCTTGCCTGTCCTTGATGATTTCCCTTTCCTGCACCTGGAATGTTCCCTTTTATCCCCCCTAACTTCTAGACACAGCTTAGGCAACAACTGCTTTGAGCAGCTTTCTCTGACCTTCAGAATTAAGAGAAATATAAAAAATTTTTAACCAGAGATACTTTTCCCACCAAATTACCCGAGAGTGTGATGTGATATACCACAGTTTATTCCAAACTGGGTAACAGACTCTGTCACAGTATGCCTAACATTGTGCTTATTGATGTCTATTGCAATTTCTATTTATTGGTTTGTGTTCCCCTCTGTTTGTCTTTAACATCTATATCTCCAGTGCCTAGCACAGTTCCTAGCACAGAGTAAGAGCTTAGAGCTAACATGTGCTGAATGTTACTGCATGCCAGGCTCCTTATTACGTCCTTTGCATGCATTAACTCATTTAATTCTCATTATGACCCTGTGAGCCAAGAGCTGTGATGATCTCTACTGAACAGATGACGAGTTAGAATAGCAGGAAGTTTGGTCCATTTTCCAAGATCATTTAGTAAATGACAGAATCAGGATCGGAATAGTAGGATCCCAAAGCCCATGTTTTTAACTGGGACATATCTCCTTTGTAGAGGACAGAGTCGCAGAAATATTTGTTAGATGAGTAACAGTATAAGTAATCAGTTCCATGTATTCAGTAGCAAAGTTAGCAAAAGCTCCTGAGTCTCTGAACTCTCAGGCCAGTGAGCCTCCTTTAACAGTGGTCTGCTTTGTACTTTGAGAGTCAGAGGCACAGTATAGAAAAAACCCCGGGCTGACATCTGCATTCTGGTTGTCTTTCCCTGAACAGGCTATTTGACTTTAACTAAGTACATTTCCATATCTGGGCCTCAGTTTCCACAGGTGTGAAATGAAGTGACTGGACTCAATGATCACCAAGGAAACTATCTACTTCAGTTTTATATTTCCTGGTTATAATGTCTTCAAAATGTAATTAAAATGAATATTTCAGGTGACGTTATCAAGTATTTCAAAATTAGTATCTATATTTTATAAATAATACTGCCATCCTAAATTATAGTTAGTTCATAAATAAGATAGGGAGTCTGCTCCACCAGTCCCTAGTGTCCTTGGAGAACCTACTTGGCCTCACCAATTCACAATGCCTTTCTCTCTGAAATGAGACTAATGATAGCATCTATTGCAGAAGATGACTGGGAGGATAACGCATATGTTATGGGCTGAATTGTGTCTCCCTAAATTTCATAGGTTGAATTTTTAACCCTCAGTACCTCAGAATGTGATCATATTTGGAGATAGGGTCTTTACAGAGGTAATCAAGTTAAGATGAGGTCATTAGGGTAGGCCTTAATCCAGTACAACTGGTGTCCTTATGTAAAAGAGAAACTGTTCACCGAGACATGGACAGAGGGAAGCTGATGTGAAGATACACAGGGAGAAGATGGCCAACTACAAGCCAAGAAGAGAGGCCTAGAAGAGGTCTTTCCCTCACAGCCCTCAGAAGGAACTAACCCTGTTGGTACCTTGATTTTGAACTTCTAACCTCCAGATCTGTGAAACAATAAATTTATATTATTTAAGCCACCAATATGTGGTACTTAGTTACAGCAGCCCTGTAAACTAACATAGTATGTAAAGTTTGCCTCTCAGAGGCAAGTGCCCCGTAAATATACACATCTTCATCATTTGACAACAATTCCGTGTTGCTCATGAAAATAGGTATTTAGATTTTTGATTTGTATTTTCATGCTTTGTTTTCTTATGTATCATAAACAATGACTGGATCTAGCCTAAAATTTTTAATGTGAAGTTTAGGGAGTGAAGGGGTATTACCTCTACTTTATGAATGGGAAAACAAAGCCAAAGGGAAATTTGGCTTTTCTTTCCCCTTAGGCTGCTTATGTAATTATTGTAACTAGGGTTTTATTCCTAGATGAGCCTCAGAATTCAATTCCATACATTCAATGCCAGGCATTGTCCTATGGACTTAGGCTAGAAGGTGAAATGATATAGACCTTGCTCTCAAACCTACTGCATCTTGCTGGGGAGAAAGACATATAGACTAATGTAGTACCAATGTTGGTTACTCATCCTGTGGTCATTCTCTTTTCTGCTTCAGTTTATAGGATCTCAGTTTTGTGATTGTGACAATTTTTCCAGGCCTAGGTGATGAATTATGATTGGTGTATCTATTGATGTCCTGTGTCTCTTTGCCAGAGATCGGTTATGAAACAAGCATATGACCAATTTTGGCTAAGAATACCTAAAAGAAAGTCTGTGTTGGTATTCTGAAGCTAATTTTTTACCTGATGAAAAATAAAGTCCTTTTGCTCCAACTCCTTACTTCTTGCTTAGGACCCCATCCTGTGAAGTGAGGATGCCTGGAGCCATAGAGGCCATTTTGCAGCTCTAAACAGGAGGAACATCACAGACATACTAAGGATGGTAGTGAAGCCTGGATCCATCATGGCTTAGTTTATCTACTGCACGTGGCCTAGAATGGCCTGAACTCTTAATATGTGAGATAATTAAATGGCTCTTTCATTTAAAAACTACTCGTAGGCATTCTGGTTTTTGTAGCTCAAAGCATCCTAATTACACGACCAATAAAAGTGTACAAAAAATTAGGCTGGGCGCGGTGGATCACGCCTGTAATCCCAGCACTTTGGGAGGCCGGGGCGGGTGGATCACGAGGTCAGGAGATCATCCTGGCTAACATGGTGAAACCCTGTCTCTACTAAAAATACAAAAAACTAGCTGGGCATGGTGGCGGGCGCCTGTAGTCCCAGCTATCCGCGAGGCTGAGACAGGAGAATCCCTTGAACCCGGGAGGCGGAGGTTGCAGCGAGCTGAGATCACGCCACTGCACTCCACGCCTGGGTGACGGAGCCAGACTCTGTCTCTAAGAAAAAAAAAAAAAAGTAGAATTAAAGAGAACTTAAACCTACGGGATTAATATCAAAAAGAGATGAGTAGTAAATCCTATTTTGGAAGAATCAAAGGCTTTTGGAGGAGCTATCACTGAACTTCGTTTTAAAGGATGAAAAGTAGTTTTCTAAGTGGACAAAGGGCAGAAAGTAATTCTAGACAGTGAAGACCGTATATGCAAGGGCAGAGATGAGTGAGGCCCTTGGATATCAGATAAACCACCAGGAAAGAAACTTTTGGTATGGAAGTGGAAAGTGAAGGGTGATAACTATAGAAGATGAGGCTAAATATGTGGTAGGGGTTGAATTCTCAATGTTTTATGTGGGATGCTTAAGAAACCAAACTGTATTCGGGGCAGATGATGAGCACTTAATTTTAAGCTGGAGAGAAATTGTGGTCACCGTGGTCACATTTGGGGTTTGAAAAGGCATTTCTTCCAAGAATAAATGCATAAAGGATTGAGTGTGTGTGTGTGTGTCTAAGCTAGGAAAAGTTATTCAGGTACAACACAATGAAAGCTTGAACTAAGGAACGGCAAAGAATTGCTCATCAGATCATTCATTCACTCAACAACTATTCATTGAACATCTTCTGTGTTAGTGTTCTCCAGGAAAATATAACCAATAAGTTGTATATAGTTATATAGATGGGTGGGGGGAACGTGGAGCGAGAGAGGGAGAGACAGAGAGAGGGAGGGGAGGAGAGACAGAGAGGGAGAGAAAGTATTTATTATAAGGAATTGACTGTCATGATTATGGAGGCTAAGAAGTCACAATATCTGCAGTCAGCAAGCTGGAGACCCAAGGGGCCTGATGGTACAACTCCAGGCTAAGTATGAAGGCCTGAGAAGCAGGAGAGCTGGGAATGTGAGTTCCAGTCCAAATCTGAGTCCAAAGTCGGGAAAAGACTGATGTCCCAGCTTAAAGACAGTTAGACAAAGAGAGTGGACTCCCCCTTACTCAGTCTTTTTATTTTATCCAGGCCTTCAACAGATGGATGAGACCCTCCCATGCTGGGAAGGGCACTATGCTTTCCTCAGTCTACTGGCTAGAATGTTCATCTCATCCAGAAACATCCTCACAGACACAGCCAGAATAATATTTGGCCTAATGTCTGGGCATCCTGTGGCCCAGTCAAGTTGACATATTAAATTAAGTATCACACTTTCTCTGTGCCACATACTTCTCTAGTCAATAGGAAATTATATCAGTGAATAAAAAAACAATACTCTCTGCCTTCCAGACCTTGTATTTTAGTGGAGGGAGATGAATAATAAACAAGATGAGAGTGAGGAATAGGGTTTCTTCTTGACTTTGGCAACTGGGTTATCTGGTGACACTGCCATGACTGAGCTAGATAGGAGGAAGACCGGAATCTGGAAGGAGCCCTCTAGCTACCCATTTCCTCTTTCTCCCTTTTCTCTCTTCAGTTGTCATATTTTTATGTGTTCTTCAGAGCCCCACTCCCTGCTAGGCTCTGTCATATCATGCAAGTTTGCCATCAGTGGGAGATGGGAGTACCTTTTGCCTCCAGTCTTTCCCTAGGGATCCAGTGGCAACTTTAGATTTAACAGTCTTTTAATTAAAGATAAAATTAGCATCTACTATGTTGCAGTTTGCAAAAAGAAGACATGGACTAAAAAGTGCCTGTGAGTTATAAGGAAGAGATTTCAGTATGTTGGAATGATTGGGGGCTGCATTTGATCTCTGCCTTGAAGAATGGATAGGATTTCAGAATGTGAATTGTGAGGAGGGAAGATTTTCTATGCCACTGGTTCATAACCTTGGTTGTATATTGAAATCTTCCTAGGGAGCTATAAAAACACTAATGTGTGTGCTGCACCTCTAGAGACTTGATTTACTTGGTCTGGGGTGACATCTGGGCAACAGGATTTTAATATCTTTCCTAACAGTTTTTAATGGGAAGCCAAAATTAGGAAGCATTGCTTGAGGGAGAGGGGATCAAATGAATAAAGATGCCAGGTAAAAATGAATGCAAGGAGTGTCTGGGGATGGTGATACCAGATTCCTAGTGTGTGTTTGTGTGTGTGTGTGTGTACACGTGTGTTTCATCTATGGAAAAGATAAGTATGGGTCAGACTGTAGTGTGCCCTGAGGGCTATGGTTAGAAAGTAGGGAAACCACTGAAGCGTTTTGAACAAGAAAGAACATAATCAAAGTATATTTTCAAAGAGATATAACTTATAATTAGGAAATCAATTGGTTTTAAATAGAGCTTTGGCAGAATTAAAAATATGGGCAAACAGAGCTCTACACCAGTGCTTCTCAGATTTTAATGTGCATAAGAATCACCTGGGGATTTGTTAAAATGCAGATTTTGATTCAGTAGCGCGGGGTGAGGCCTGAGACTTTGCAGTTTTAATAAACTTCCACGTGTCGCCTATGCTACGGATCCACAGGCCACTTTTTGAATAGCAAGGCACGACTGGTCTGAGAGTTTTCATGCCAGGAGCTAGAGCCGTGAGAAACATAAGCTAAAGCTAAAAATGGTACTGACAATTCTTTATGGTGATTTTCCATTTTTTTCATAAGCCCAGAACAAGGACTGTGTCTTATTTATCTTTCTATTCCTGTGTTGACTTGACAGGGCTTTGCATTCCTTGCAATTCATATTGTAATTCCACTGAAAACATAGATTCTGGCTCTCTCACGTCAGCCACAGTCCTTTCCCATTCTTTTTCTCTCTTTCTTCTGGAAAATAATCCATGCTGATTTAATAAGTGTTTTTAATTAGTGTTATTTCTGCTTACAATGTTTTCTGTTAATTTTAAATATCTTCAGTTAGGAGCTTCTACAGCAGCTGTAGAATTCTGGCAACTTTAGTATTTTTTTTTATACAGAGTATAACTTCATTATTTTTTACTGAATTTTACAGTCACTCATTTATAAAAGAGCTAATTGTGTCTGTGTGTTCTCCACACACACATATATAAATATATATTCTGTCTAAAACTGCATAGATTTTGGTTTTCAAAAAGAAAGATATACTATTTCTCGGTTTATTATGTCTAGGTGAGACACGTTTTCAACTATTTTGTACTAACCTCTATACTTCAGTATCTAGCAATCTATCCTTCATTATGTTAAATGCATTTTAAAAAAGTATCCAGTGCAAAATCCACAGATGACTCCCTGGCATACAAAATGGGTTCACCCTATAAAAATGCAAATTAACTGTATGAAAACGTAGGCCTTGAGCATTTGTATAGAAAATAAAAAAAGGCTTCTAACTGAGCCCAAAGGAACTCTACCGACAATGAGCTGATTAGCGGCCACGGTAATGACACTGGATACATTACAGTCTTTCTCTGAAGATTCTTCCTGAGTGTTTAACTAGAAATTCAAAAGTTTTTAATCAGAAAATCGTCTGCCAAAAAAGGAATTAAAGACCTGTTAGGCCTTTGCAGAGCAGAGTAGACCCATATCCTCTCAGTCTGAGATTATATGGGCATTGTCAATTTCCTGAATGAGGGCAGAAATTGTTCAGTAATTGGATCAAACTCTGAAATGGTCAATGGACAAAGAGAAGTAATTATTTGAGCCATGGTCAGCAAGAGCCTCTAAGCCTTTGGCAGTCTTTTATCAGGGCTATCTGGAAGTGTGTACATGCAGTTGTGTTAGAAAAGCTGGTTTATGATAGTCGCACATGGTGGCAATGATTGGCAGAAGGAAGCTCCGGCCATTTCTTGCCTTCTGCAGGAAAAAGTAGCCAAAGCTTTGTAGCAAGCTGATGTTGTGTGTGTATTCTTATTTTAAATTCTCATAAGTATGACATATGTGCTACTGTATTTAACTCCCATTCACAGTGTTTAGTGAGTGAAAAGCACCAGAATTATTTTGATGAAACTACCAATGGCCTTTCTTACTGTGCTTCCAAAAACATTGTATCATGTAGCAAATCACTCATTCTGATGTGTTTAATCCCTGTGGCTTTTATTTTGCTTCTACCCATGGTTAGTAAGAGTGAAGAGGAGGAAAGCCCATGCAAATTACCAGGGCTTAGTATCCTAGAAATGATCCCAGGCTTGAGGACCAATCTTCTGTGCATGATCTTAGCCAATTTGCTCTTGCTGGAGAGTGGGCATATTTTTTTCCTGCTAGGATTCTTGGCGGCCCTGCCTCTCTCTCTTCACTTTTCTCTTGTTTACTTTCCACAAGAACTCTGTCTTCATGATTTGCTACTTATGCTGTTTATTGTTTTCAAGCTTTGGACTCACTCATATTGTTTTAATTTTTTAAATTAATTAATTAATTTGTATAAGTGCAGTTTTGTTATATGGATATATTGAGTAGTGGTGAAGTCTGAGCTTTTAGTGTAACCATCACCCAAATAATATACATTGTATCCATAAAGTAATTTGTCATCCCTCAAGTCCCCCCACCCTTCTGAATCTCCAGTGTCTATCAATCCACACTCTATGTCCATGTCTATACATTTAGCTCCCGCTTATAAGTGAAAACATGTGATACTTGTCTTTCTGAGTTGTTTCACTTAACATAATGGTCTCTAGTTCCATATATGCTGCTGCAAAAGACATGATTTCATTCTTTTAATGTACACCACATTTCTTTATATATATGTAACATATATCATTGTATCATGTAGCAAATCACTCATTCTGATCTGTTGTATCATATATCATAATATGATATATATCATTATATATCATATATTATATATCATTATATATCATATATAATATGATATATAATTATTATGATATATAATTATATATCATAATATGATATATAATTATTATGATATATCATTATATAACATAATATGATATATAATGATATATATAATGATATATATGATATATATATCATTATATATATCATTATATATATAATATTATTGGACATTCCTCTATCTTCTTTTGGAAGTATTTGTTCAAATATTTTAACCATTTAAATTGGTTTGGTCTTTTTATTATTGATTCATAAAATGTTAAAAATATATTCTGGGAATTATTTTATTGTTGAATATTTCAAATATTTTCTGTAGCCTGTAGTTTGCTTATTTTATTATACATATTTATATATATATCACATTTTGTTTAATCATCTGTTGATGGACACTTAGGTTGATTCCAAATATTTGCTATTGGGAATGGTGCTGTGATAAACATATGAATATAAGAATCTTTTTAATATAACAATTTCTTTTCTTTTGAGTAGTTACCCAGTAGTGGGATTGCTGGATCAAATGGTAGTTCTATTTTTAGTTCTTTGAGAAATCTCCGTATTGTTTCCCATAGAGATTGTGCTAATTTACATTCACACCGACAGTGTGTAAGGTTTCCCTTTTCTCCCTATCCTCGCCAATATCTGTGATTTTTTTGAGTTTTTAGTAATAGCCACCTCACTGGTGTAAGATGGTATCTCATTGTGGTTTTCATTTGCATTTCTTTGACGATTAATGATGTTAAGCAGTTTTTCATATTGTTGGCCATTTGTATGTCTTCTTTTGAAAAATGTCTATCTATGTCCTTTGCCCATTTTTAGTGGGATTATTTTTCTTTTGTTGTTGTTGAGTTGTTTGAATTCCTAATTCTAGAGTATGTAAGGATAAAGCCAATTGACCCACATGAAATTTTGCTCTTTGTAGCAGAGTTTTCCTGTTTCTTTTTTCAATGCAATTCAGTTTGCTAATTAGACAAGTTCTATGTTAACATATGTTCTGAAGCCTGACCCCTGATGACAGTAAGAACTGGCAACTTTTCAGCTTTTTCTCCTTTAACTTCACCTTTTTCTCTTTCTCCTCAGTGGAGATATTTTATACCTCAAAGCAATGCACAGATTTAGTAGAGAGAGCCATGAGACTGGAGAAGGCCATTTCAAAGGCATTAGGGAAGATCCACAGGAAGATGACAGAGACTTGAAACAGAAGCCTCAGCAGACACTGCCTGGTCAGATGACTCAAGAACCTGATGGGCCGTCCTCAGTGTCCAGATACCCTACATACCTCTGGGAACTTCAATAAAGATCTGGAGGAGAATGTGAGACCCCAGTAGATTAGATATCTAATAGATTAGAAATCTAACAGATTACATTCATATCAACTTCATTAACAGGTTAATAAAAGTATGTCTTGCAAGGATGTTGTAGGACTTTTCCTTAGTTCAGCTAAAGATGTGGTCCTTGTCATACAACCGCCAAAATTAGGCTTGCAGACAATTTGAAGGGTGAGAAAAATGAGATATATTGGGAAAATGAGTAAAATGAGATGTATCCCTTTTTTTATCGCCCAGGAAGAAAAGGGAAACAGGCACTCCGCAAAGCCAGGGTCCTGCTAGTAGGCTTCCCGCTTTGCAGATTGAATCCCAGGGACCATACTTAGGAAGAGGAGAGAGAGGCCAGGCTCCTCCCCCTGCAAAGAGCGTGAATTTCCCAAGGCTCCACCCCAGTGCACATTCCTCCCAGTGCGCAGGACTTAGGAGGTTCTGCCGGGGAGCCCTTCCTACCTGGCTGTCTCAAGGAGGCCTACCGTCCTCTTTTTAAAGCAGCATGTATCGTAAGTCCTTTTTTAAACTTTTTTCCTTTCCCTCTTCCTTTTAATTCTCAATATTTTCCCTTGAATAGTATGATTAGAAGACTTAATGCTCTTTTTTTAAGTTGGGAGGGAGAAGAACTCTGTTAAGAAATAAAACTGGCAACAAGCAGTTCTGTTTTCTGTGAAATAGGATGGCCAAAGAAAAGCTTCCTGGTGGTTACTGAGACAGGGCAAATCTTGCATTGAGGAAGAGCTTAAAGCTGGAGATGGCTGGGCCATGTCACACACCGCTGTGAAAGCATCTGCATACAACCTGGAGACTTTTAGTCTGTAGAACATACAGAAAAACATCACCTCATTAGGTACAAGCTTAGTTTTGTAGCATAGATGCAGTCGGTGGCTGTTACTGAGCACGCAGAATAATAACGCTTTGCTCCAGGCTCAGTTAGGAAATTTAGGGTGTACTCCTAGGCTTATCTGAGATTCGTTGAAGGCTGACTGGGTGAAGGTTTCTTCTGAGGAATAGCCTCTCTTACTGCTGAGGTTTGTCCCTAGCACTGGAAGACCTGTCACCTGCTAAGGTTGCTGAGTCTTTCAGGAAATTCACTGCCATGTATCCAATTAGTGCATTTTACTCTTCAAGTAAAGATGGTAAATAAGGAGAATATTTGAAAATAGAAATCGAGGGAAAGAAAAGATAAAAATAGCACAAGACTGTGATTGTCTAATTTTTCAACTCTAGTGAATAAGTGTAGGCATATATTTTTCTGATAAACTCAGAAAAATGAGTTTGACAAACTCAGTTAAAGGCCAAAACTGTGATTAAATTTTTCTTTTTGAAAAATACAGTTGTTTAGCTTGAAGAGAGCCTAGAATACTTAAAAAGGCAGGCTCTAGCTGAGAGCAGATTAATGCAGACTGACTATTTCCAGCCATCAGGAGAGGCAGAGGAGTGGTCAAGAGAGAAGGATGGGCTGGGCGCGGTGGCTCACGCCTGTAATCCCAGCACTTTGGGAAGCGGAGGCAGGCAGATCATGAGGTCAGGAGATTGAGACCATCCTGGCTGACACGGTGAAACCCCTACTAAAGTAAGTGAAACCTTTACTAAAAATAGTAAGGTGAAACACCTTTAGTAAGGTGAAATCTCTACTAAAAATACAAAGAATTAGCCGGGCATGGTGGCGGGTGCCTGTATTCCCAGCTACTCGGGAGGCTGAGGCAGAAGAATGGCTTGAACCTGGGGATGGAGCTTTCAGTGAGATCCTGCACTTCAGCCTGGGCAACAGAGCGAAACTCTGTCTCAAAAAATAAATAAATAAATAAATAAATAAATAAATAAATAAATAAATAGAAGGACGAGCACCTGTGTGGAAAAGCCCTCTCTCTGTGGCGGGAGCTGACTATCAGAGAGATGACAGGCAAGGCCAGAGAACTGCAGAGGAATCCAGAAAGTTGTAATGAAAGTTTAGAGTCAGGAAGAACACTGAGAAAACAGACACCTGGAACAAAGAAATAAGGAGGAAAATAGAGGTGATGGCCAGAGAAGGCTTTGAAATTCCAAATGGCCAGTCTTACTGGTAAGGAGTTTACAGATGCAGCTGAGGTCTTGGCCCTCTGGATGTTAAGAATTGAGCAAAACCAGGGGTGTATGTAGGCTCTGACGAAGCAGACCGCAGCTCACCAGGAGGTACCATCTCTCTGATAAGAAACCTTCTCCTCTTTTGTTTTTTCTCTATTTTCTTTTTCTTTTAAAACATTTTTTATTGTATATATTTAAGGTATGCAACATGATGTTTTGATATACTTATGTTGATCTATGTATGCACAGGGAAGTGACTATTACAGTCGAGTAAATTATTAATAACATACCCATCATCTTTTGTAATTACCTTTCTTTTTGGTGGTAATTGTACCTAAAATCTATTCTCCTGGCAAATTACCCATGCATAATGTATTATTATTATATTGTTAACAATAATCCATCGTTATGTTGTACATTATATCTCTAGACTTATTCATTTCACATATTTACGACTTTGTACCTTTTGATTTACATCTTCCTATTCCCCTCACCTGGTAATCACCATTTTACTCTATTCCTATGTATTTGATTTTTTAATTGCACATATCAATGAAATTATGCAGTATTTTCCCTTCTGTGTCTGGCTTATTTCGCTTAGGACAATGTCATCTAGATTTATCCAAGTTGTCACAAATGGCAGGATCTCTTCTTTAAAGGCTGAATAGGTGCTTCTCTGTTCTCATTCTGCTCTGAATCCTCTAATTCTCTTCCACACACTGGCCAGGAATCTGCCTCCTTATCTGGAGCTTTCATGCAACACCCTTAAGCTGAAGAGTCTTTCTTCTGGGCTGACTCCCTCTTCTGCCAGGCTGTGACTGATGCCTGCCTGGGTTTGGCCTCCTCTTGACTCAAGATTCTCCTAATGAGTATTGTTCCCACTACTTTTCCTGTTCAACTGGTAATATTTTTAATTGAAGAGGACCTTTCATGAACATACAAACATGGCAGGGTGCCAGTTGTGAACTTCCATTATATTTTAAATTTCTTCATGTTAGCAACTGTTCTACTTTTTGCCTCTCCGTGAGTGTTTTGCATACATATGGTAGCCATTTGTTAAGCCTTACAGAATAATTATTGTCCTGTATCTGGCACACTTTCAGATAAGTTAATCTTTCCTAACACTGTTTTTTTAAAAAATACATTCCTCATCCTTTGTTTCTCTTATTGACGTATCATATACATTAGTAAGATGCACAGATCTTAAGCATACAATTTGTTGAGTTTTGACAATTCTATGCACCTATGTAATTCTCACTCAAGGTATAGAACAATTTGTCACCCATAAAATTCCTTCATGATCTTTTCTAGTCAAATTCCCAAGCCCTGGAAGAACTAGTGTCTGATTTCAATAATCACAGGTTAGTTTTTCTTGTTCTTATACAGTGTAAAAATGAAATAATTTAATCTGTGTTCATTTGGACCTGGCTCCTTTTGTCTAACACAGTGTTTCAAGATTAACTCATGTTGTTGCATGTATTAGTGGTTCATTGCTTTTCATTGTTGAGTAGTATATCTACCACAATTAATTAGTTGATGCCAATGTCAATAGACCTTTGAGTTATTTCTAGTTTTTAACTCTGATGAATAAGACTCCAATGATCATTCTTCTACAAGCTTTTTAAAATGGGCATTTTTTAATTTTTGGGGGTAAATATCTAGAACTGACATTGCTAGGTCAATATGGTGTTTTCAGAGTCATTATGCTGTCTGTATGAAAGTTCCAATTGTTCCATATTCTTGTCAGCATTCAGTGTTATCCAGTAGTTTAGCCATTGAGCTTGTGAAATGGTATCTCTTTGTGGCTTTAAATGGTATTTTCTTAGAGTACCTTTTCAGATGCTTATTGGACATTCCTCTATCTTCTTTTGGAAGTATTTGTTCAAATATTTTAACCATTTAAATTAGGTTTTGGTCTTTGTATTATTGATTCATAAAATGTTAAAAATATATTCTGGCAATTATTATATTGTCAAATATTTCAAATATTTTCTCTAGCCTGTAGTTTGCTTATTTTATTACTAGTTTTTTGATAAGCAGAATTTTCTAGTTTTACGAAGCCTGATTGTTATATTCTTAATTTTATGATTAGTGATTTTTAGATTCTGTCTATCTTTGCTTTCACCAAGGTCATGAAAATATTTTCTTTTTCTTTTTCCCAGAAGCTTATGGCTTTAACTTTTACGTTTATGAGAAATCTCAAACTAGTTTTTTTCTGGAAGTCTTTCACATCTCTTGTTAGTTTTTTTCCGAGATATTTGATATTTTCTAGTAATATTGTAAATTGTATTGTTTTAAAAGTTTTAGTTTTCTGTTATTTTTTGCTTATATATACAAATACACTTGATTTTTTTGAGAACATTCTAAGCTCACTATTAATTCATTTTTGAAAACTCCTGAGGATTTTCTGTGTATACAATCACATTATCCATGAATAAAAAACATTTTACTTTCTCCTTTCCAATACGATGGCTTTTATTTCATTTTCCCCCCTCATTTACTATGTAGAACACTTAGTACAAAGTTGAATAGAAGTGATGATAGTGGACATTCTTGCTTGATTCCTGATCTTAGGGGAGAATCATTTCATCTTTCAGCCTTAAGTATGATGCTAGCGTTAGGTGCCTTTTATCAGGCTCAGGAGACTTCTTCCATTTCTGGTTTTCTTACAGTATTTTTTTAAAAATATATCAGATAGGTTTTAAATTTAGTCAAATTTTCTTTTATTGTGTGTTATTATCCTTTTTTATACATTGTTGTTTAATTTGCTAATATTTTAAAAGACATTTCCCACCTTTAATGATAGGCATATTGCTTTGTTATTTTCTTGCAATGTATGTATCAAGTTTCGATATCAGGGTTATTCTGGCTTTATAAAATGACTAGGAAAATGTTTTGTATTTTATAAAGGAGTTTGTGTAGGATTGTTATTATTTATCCTCTCTTTCTCATCCTGAGACTCCAGTTACAGTTGTTTCATCGTTTGATATCATCCTAACAATATCAGAAGCTTTATTCAGTTTTTTTCTATTCTTTATTTCCTTTTGTATTATTATTTGGATAATTTCTATTAACCTGTCTTTGAGTTCACCAATCCTTTCTTTTGCTCTTAAGCCTGGTTGATGTATTACTTCTTTTTAATATCATAATTTTTCACATCCAGAAGTTTATTCTGGTTCATCCTTGTAGTTTCCATTTTTCTGCTGAAATGTCCCATCTGTACACACATGTTTTGTTTTATCTCTTCTACATTAGCATATTTAACATATTCATAATACTTATTTTAAAGTTCTTATCTGCTAATTTCAATATCTGGGTTTTCTCTGAATATGCCTCTACTGATTTTTTTTTTTACTCAGGATTTGGCGTAATGTTTTCATGCTTTGATATTTCTTGTAAGGTTTTATTGTATGTTAGACAATAGTATAAAAAACCCAGTGGAAACTGAAGTAGATAATATTTACCTCTTGCATCTCCCATGTATTAGTCTGTTTTCATGCTGTGGATAGAGATATACCCAAAACTGGGCAATTTACAAAAGAAAGAGGCTTAATTGGACACACAATTCCACGTGGTCAGAAAGGCCTCACAATCATGGCAGAAGGCAAGGAGGGCAAGTAACATCTTACGTGGATGGCAGCAGCAAAGAGAGAGAGCTTGTGCAGGGCAATACCCATTTTTAAAACCATCAGATCTTGTGAGAGCCATTCACTATCATGAGAACAGCATGGGAAAGACCCACCCCCATAATTCAATCATCTTTCACCAGGTCTGTCCCACAACATGTGGAAATTATGGAAGCTATAAGATTAAATTTGGTGGGGACACAGAGCCAAACCATATCATTCTGCCCCTGACCCCTCCCAAATCTCGTATCTTCACATTTCAAAACCAATCATGCCTTCCCAACTGTCCTCCAAAGTCATTAACTCAAAAATCCACAGTCCAAAGTCTCATCAGAGACAAGGCAAGTCCCTTCTGCCTATGAGCCACTAAAATCAAAAGCAAGTCAGTTACTTCCTAGACAATGAAGGTACAAGCATTGGGTAAATACAGCCATTCCAAATTGGAGAAATTGTCCAAAACAAAGGGACTACAGGCCCCCTGCAAGTCTGAAATCCAGTGGGGCAGTCAGATCTTAAAGCTCCAAAATGATATCCTTTGACTCCACATCTCACATCCGGGTCACAGTGGTGGAAGAGGTAGGTTCCTATGGTCTTGGGCAGCTTCACCCCTGTGGCTTTGCAGGGTACAGCCTCCCTCCCAGCTGCCTTCACAGGCTGGTGTTGAGTGTCTGCAGTTTTTCCAGGTGCATGGTGCAGGCTGTCATTGGATCTACCATTCTGGGGTCTGAAGGACAGTGGCCCTCTTCTCACAGCTCCGCTAGGCAGTGCCCCAGTAGGGACTCTGTGTTGGGGCTCCAACCCCACATTTCCCTTCCGCACTGCCCTAGAAGAGGTTCTCTGTGAGGACCCTGCCCCTGCAGCAAATTTCTGCCTGGACATCCAGGCATTTCCATACATCTTCTGAAATCTAGGCAGAGGTTCCCAAACCTCAATTCTTGACTTCTGTGTACTCTCAAGCTCAATGCAATTTGGAAGCTGCCAAGGCTTGAGGCTTGTGCCCTCTGAAGCCATGGCCCGAGCTCTACGTTCACCCCTTATAGCCATGGCTTGAGTGGCTGGGTGACCCAGGGTACTAAGTCCCTAGGCTGCACATAGCATGGGGTCCCTGGGCCCAGCCCATGAAAGCACTTTTTCCTCCTTGGCCTCCAGGCCTGTGATGGGAGGGGTTGCTGCAAAGTTCTCTGACATGCCCTGGAGCTATTTTCCCTATTGTCTTGGTGATTAACATTAGACTCCTCATTACTTATGCAAATTTCTGCAGCTGGCTTGAATTTCACCTCAGAAAATGGGATTTTCTTTTCTATCACATTGTCAGGCTGCAAATTTTCCAAACTTTTATGCTCTGTTTCCCTTTTAAAACTGAATGCCTTTAACAGCACCCAGGTCACCTCTTGAATGCATTGCTGCTTAGAAATTTCTTCTGCCAGATACCCTAAATCATCTCTCTCAAGTTCAAAGTTCCACAGATCTCTAGCGCAGGGGCAAAATGCCACCAGTCTCTTTGCTAAAACATAACAAGAGTCACCTTTGCTCCAGTTCCCAACAGTTCTTCATCTCCATCTGAGACCACCTCAGCCTGGACCTTATTGTCCATATTGCTATCATGCTTTTGGTCAAAGCCATTCAACAAGTCTCTAAGAAGTTCCAAACTTTCCTACATTTTTTTTTCTTCTTTTGAGCCCTCCAAACTGTTCCAACCTCTGCCTGTTAGCCAGTTCCAAAGTCGCTTCCACATTTTCAGGTAATTTTCAGCAGCACCCCACTCTACTGGTACCAATTTACTGTATTAGTTTGTTTTCACACTGCTGATAAAGACATGCCCGAGACTGGACAATTTACAAAAGAAAGTTTAATTGGACTCACAGTTCCACTTGGTTGGAGAGGCCTCACAATCATGGCAGCAGGCAAAGAGGAGCAAGTCACGTCTTATGTGGATGGCAGCAGGCAAAGAGAGAGAGCTTGTGCAAGGCAATTCCCATTTTTTTAAAACCATCGGATCTCGTGAGATCCATTCACTATCATGAGAACAGCATGGGAAAGACCCACCCCTATAATTCAGTCATCTCTCACTGGGTCCCTCCCACAACACGTGGAAATTACGGGAGCTACAAAATGAGATTTGGGTGGGGACACAGAGCCAAACCATATCACCCCAAAAGGCTTAGGTTTAACTAGAATTTTTATGGTTCCCTGTAGAATATAAAGTTATACAGTTGTCTTATAGTATTCTGGTGGTTTGCCTGCTGTAACCTTGAAAATCTGATTTTCTATGGTCTGGTATATGGTATACCCAAATCAGGAAGTGATATTTTATATTTCCAGGAAAAACAAAACAAAGCAAAAAAAAAAAAAATCCTTAAAATTTTGAGTGTAAACCAAAGGTAACACCTAAAAGGTAACAGACATATTTACATTATCTGCTTATTCCTTATAAATATTTATTTTGTGATTCACAGACAAATATAAATGACTGAAATTATTGTTGAAATTCAGTGTTAACAGAAATCTGAAAAATAACACAGATAAAACCTCTCCTTTCTCATTGGATCACATTGCAGCTTAACTTTTTATGTACAGTCAGTCCTCTTGTACATCCTCAACTAGAATGTAACTCCATAAGGTTAGATACTGTATTTTAGTTGCCCTTCAACTCTTTTCCTTTCAAGGAGGAAGACACAACAAAAAATTCCAGATGCATTTTGTTCTTTTGTATGCGACGTAGCTAATGACTAGTCTGCTTGTGTTGAATGGTATATCCAATACAATGCCGGGACTTAGGCATCCCGTGTATTTTCAGTGAATATATAAAATCTAACATTTAGCTAAAACAATGCAGATGAAATCCATACCTTGAAAAGTCTTATTGAAGATAACTGGCAGCAGAGGTTACAATTACCTCTTTGTATGAATGTGTGAGAAAGGGTAAGAACTAGACCGTTTTTTGAGTATGATGATACTTTGTAATTATATTGATTGATTGGCCTGGGGGATAGGAATTCTGTAGGGTACCTTTCCTCACAATGACATGTTTCAAGCTCTCCTCCATTTCTGAATCATTTTAGGATACAAAATAAGAAACTTTGGCTTTAGTTTTTGTTTTACATTGAACACAGTTCAATATTTCTTTTGTGTGCTATTCTTGAACATTGATATAGACCTTAGGGACATTTTAAATTGTTGGTGCTAGCTAAAGATGGTTTCAGAAGTGTTAAGGAGGCTACTCTAAGATATTTGTATCATCGGGCTACCAAAGAAATGGCCTGTGAAGAACCACCTTAAAAATTATAGTGATTAGAGCTAAAGAAATTACAAATATGAAAAAAGCTCAATGTTGTCCCTAGAGGTAGTTGTGAAATTAGATTCATTTTCTAAATTATCAGAGGAAAAAATATTTTAACAGAACTAATTTGAAAGATTTATTTATATTATTATACCTTATTATAGAATGAAATGGATAACATAGATATTTACAGGAATAATATCCTTGCTTCAGAATTTTTTAAGGAGGAAAATTATTCCTCATGAAGCCTCATCAAGTGAAAAGAAAACGTGAGGGGTAGATAATGTTTGTGATGAGCACCTCAGCCATGATTTTGGTCCAGATGTTTTATTTCCTATGATTCCCCTATTTAATTAGTAGCAGATTCAAAATAGTCACAGATGTGAGTTAGTGAAATGATGATGATGAAACCATTACACTGTATAATTGTTTTAGCCATTCCAGTTATTTTTTTTTTTCCTTCTCTAATGGTCTGTCATGCACTCTCATCACAAATAAAATTTGTGCATTGGGGAAAGGCTGCATCATGTTGTGTTTGGCAATGGTTACCTTTGAGATCATTTTTCTTAAATGATTTTGGATTTTCTAGATGTTTTGTGTAAATTTGACATAGATGAAATAGTAAAAAAAAAAAAATTAAAAACAAAACAAAAACAAAACCCCATGTGGACCAGAAATCTGCGCCACCTTAAACATTGAATTGTTGGATGGAAGTTTGTTGGAACAACTTCAAAGATGGAAGCATTCACTTCTTAGTCAAGGAAGAAAAGCAGACATGTTGGGTTTCAGATTAGAACTCTAAATAAGGGCCCTGGATACTAATACAATGGTTCCTATTTCTAAACAATTTTTCTTCATTTGCTGAAACACACTTTTATTTTTCCCTTACCCTGTGTGCATTTTTTACTTTTATACAATCTATACCCATCATTATATCAACATCCATTTTAGCTATTTCCAAGGGAGTTCCTGGGCATTCTGTAGGTTTATTAGCAAAAATATAATTATGTTCCACTATTTGATGAAGTGCAAATAATAAAAATAAGCAAAATGCATTCTCACTGTACATAATGGCTTACTTGCAAAGAATCTGGATTTCTATAGAACTGGTCATTATTTCCTGTGTTCAGATGTGCTAAGCTCAATCCTTACCTTACTATAGTATTTGTTGTAATAGCAGGTATGACTTGAATTCACTGCAGAGATTTTTGGTTGTTTGTTTTTTGGTAACAGCAAGTAGGTCTTGGCTCTTGATATCCTGGGTAATAGCTTTCCTTCTATAAATAGGCTATACTTTTTTAAATTTATTTTTTATTTAAAAAAAATTTTTTTGAGACAGAGTCTTGCTCTGTCACCAGGCTGGAGTGCAGTGGCACCATCTTGGCTCACTGCAACCTTCGCCTCCTGGGTTCAAGTGATTCTCCTGCCTCAGCCTCCTGAGTAGCTGGGACTACAGGCACCTGCCACCACACCCAGCTAATTTTTTTTTTTTTGTATTTTTGGTAGAGTTGGAGTTTCACCATGTTGGTCAGGCTGGTCTCAAACTCCTGACCTCATGATCCACCCACCTCAGCCTCCCAAAGTGCTGGGATTACAGGCATGAGCCACTGCACCCGGCCTCGGCCTACCCATTTTTTTACAACAAAATTGCTCATGGTTAATCAGTTATATGTGTTTGATTTTTGAAGTCCATTGAGCGTCTGGATTGGATATCTTAGGCTTTCTTAATTTTAGAAAGGCAATCTTGTTGCTGCTGCTGCTGCTATTGTTGTTGTTGGTGATGATGGTGGTCACTAGGCAAATGATTAATTTGTCTTTTCAGTGAATTTCCACCGCTTTTCTGCTTATATGTTCCTCCTGATACATAATAGAGGCAAGAAGGAAAATGTTTGTGATTATGGCTATGTATTTTTGTGTATTTGGTGCTGCCATGCCTGGTAATAACTGTAAGTGGATGATTATAACAATCATGGTCTGACAAGGACAAGGCAACTGAGGAAGGACTCAGACTAATTGGTGTTAAAGGTCTGCATCTCCTCACTAGACATACAACCCATACAACCCAAAATGCTGGCTAAAGGTGAGGGAATTATAGAACGGCCAGTGGAGAAGAAAACTAATGACTTTCAATGACAATGTTGGGACCATCCCCCCTATATAGAGGGGATGAGGGCTTAGTTTCCTAACCATCCTTAAGTCTTTTTTTGGTGACTACAATTAGCCATCCCTTAGAAGTGGCTGCTCTCTAAAAGAGAAATAAGATTTTTTTTTTCTCAGAAAAGGATGTAAGGGAATCTGAATGGCACAAGGGGTAAACTGTGTTGGATCAGTTTAAGTGAATCCCTGGGTTTGCTTGGCCATGATTTTCTGCTAGATGTCATAGATGAGTCTCCAGAGATACCTCCTGGAGCCAACTGCATTTTCATGGACCTTAATGGAGGTGGTGTCAATCTTTATTAAAGGGAGTCTAATGGGATTCCATTATTACCTTTCATTGGAGGCAGCTGTTCTGAAGTCCTCATGTTGCTCATGGGCATGACTTGACATCTTTTCTCAAGCATAATGCTCAGAGCTTCTTAGCTCTTTCTCTGGGTCTTCACAGTTGCTACTGAGGCACAGGATGCCCTGGGCTCTTCTGAGTGCCCATGTGCAATGGCTTAATAGGCTTAATAGGCTGAGTCCAAGTAGCAGCTGGTGGGAAGGTGGGAGTATCTGAGTTTGTATCTGCCCCCTACTTGCCCTGCTTGCACGTCTTCCATAAGCACTACCCATGCTGCCATTGCTGTCTTGGGGTCGGGCATTCTAGAGACTGCCATATTGGTCTTTCCGGTGTAACCTGGAAGTTGGGAGGTATTTGGTGCACTGTGGAACACACAAGGCTGCAGATGTCCCAGTGGACTGTTAGAAGAAACACTTCTAACACTTCTAAGAAGTACATCATACTTCCTGAAGACATCTTCGTTCATGAGACATCTTATGAGATTGAACACTCAACTACATTTGGTGGAAAGCTGAGACTGGCTTAATAACATTCTCCTCTTTATTTGCTCTCCCTCCTTTTTTGCCTCAGACCCTTTTCTTTTTATTCACATTTCCCAAGTATTGAAATCCCTGAAAGAGTATTGGCATGCAAATTTGGTCACAAACTCTTTATAGAAAAGGGGGCATAGGCAGTGATTTTTAAAACTTACTTTGATAATCTGACAAGAGAATGGGGCTGCCCTTGTTCACCATAAATCACATAGTCAAACTCTTACTCCACTATGTTTTATTGTATATTAACCAATTCATTTCTAGTCATCTCCTAAGGAGAATTACAGCTCCCTTTAGATAACGTAAACTAGTGCCCAGATGTGAAATTGTGTAATGAAACACTGCCTGAACTTTGAGTGTTGAAGACCATTTTTTTAACAATCAAAACCTCAGGGACCACAACATAATGATGTTTTTATTGCTGACAAACTGACACGAGGGACTCAGAATTACAGAGAAGCAACATTTCAAGAATCAAAAAGCATTTTCACAGCACATTAGGGCTTTGATATGTTCCCGAGTTATAGAATACAAGTTTTGGAGCTTTTCAAACTTCCTTGAATGAGGTGCTTCCTTCCAAATGCCAGCCTTTTTTAGGAGGTGAAAGCTGGAAATCTTGTCTGAAGGGGCGCTTATAAGTGTATAATGGTGACTTAAGATGGAAACAGCTATTTTGACCTTTCTACTTTTTCTGTTGGCTAAAAACCAGAAACAGCAAGAGTAAACTTTTACTTTTTCATGTGTTTTGAAATAACAAAAAATTCTTGCACTTTCAGAGTTGTTTAATAAAAACAAAGAAAATGAACATATAAAACCAAATGATGTAAAATGGCCTTAATTAAATTGAAAGTTGAAGCATATCACATAATTTTTGATATTTTGGACTTACAGAATTAAACTAGTAGAAAATAACTAATTTTCTAACTTGAATTTTCAAAACCAAGGAAAATTGAGAGGCAGTCAGTGTGCAGAGGCAGTCGTTGGCAAAAATTCATTTTTTATTCTTATAATCTCAATTCTATTAATTATTGAAGGAAATCGCATCTTCAGAGCTCAAAGCATAGTGTTAGAATATTTCCCAACATTGAAGAAAATCTGATTGTCCTTGACAAAATAAGTTATTAGGTTAAAGATATTGAATTGCCATTTTTGTGCTATTTAGATCCATCCCAAGCAAGGATCTAAAATGAGTGTGAGCACACATGGAAAGCTTAAAAAAGAAAAAAGTACAATCATTATATACATTTAATGAACACCATTTTAATGTTCTAAGAAGGATAAGGGAGGCAGTCACTCTTGGTAAACTAAACAATTTAAGGAAAAATGGTCCTTGAAGAATTATTGATAGTTCATAGGAAGTTTGTGAACTTATTGCAGGAGTGAAATTGGGTATGGGAAATAGGACTGTATTGTTTTCTGTTGCTGTGTAACAAGTGAACACAAAGGTGGTTGAAATAACACAAACTTACTAGTTCACAGCTCTCTAGGTCAGAAGCCCAGGTGGGCTCACCTGGGCTCTTGGCTTACAAGGTCAAAAACAAGGTGTCGGCTCTTGTCTGGAAGCTCTAAGGAAAAATCTGCTCTCAAGCCCATTCAAGTGTTGGCACATCTAGTTGCTTGTGTTTGTGGGTCTGAGTCCCTCTGTCCTTGCTGTCTGTCAGGGGTGTGCCCTCAGCTCCTTGTGGACCCTCCAATTTCAAAGCAGCAAGTGTGCATCGAGCCCTACTCATGCATATCTGAGACTTCCTCTTCTAGCTTCCTGTCTGCTACCAGCCAGAGAAGTGTCTTTTCCTCTGAAGTCTCCTGTGATTAGATCAGGCCCACTTGAATGATCTCTCTTTTGTAAGGTAAACTGTGCCACATAATATAACCTTGAAGTGATGTCACATTCACAGGTCTGGTGATTAGAGTATGGAATCTTAGGGGCCTCTCATAGAAATTTTGCCTTACCACAATGCTTTTGTAATATTGAGTGGGTGCAGAAGGCTAACTTAAATTTAGCTGCCTGTCTTTGCCTCTTTGCTTTTCTTCCCATTCAGTCAGATTGTCTGGCTTCTTTGTACCACCTCAGAGTAGAGTGGTTGTTGCATACAAAGCAGAAGTAGTCTGTGGTTTTTTCTGGCATTTGCTTTGAAAATTTAAGCCTAAGGAAGGTAGAAGTTGCCAGCTATTAAAAAAAAAATCCAAAACAAAACAAAACAACAAAACTATTTTGTTCCCAAACAAAGGTAGTAGAATTCCCCCTCCTTTTAGAGATGCCCAGCTGAGGAAAGATGAATGTGATGCAAGCAGAGAGGTCTGATTCCCAGTGTGCAGTTATAGGGAGAGCAAGATCCTTGTTCTGGAACTGCTGCTAGATTGCTAGGCAAAGTAGTTTGTAGTCAGCCTCGTGAAGGGCTTTCTCAGGTGTGTCACAGAAACACCTGCCAGTCACAAATTTCAAGGGAACTTTAAGAACTGGGACAGTAAATATCTCAGTGACAATCTGTGTGGACTGATGATGTAGAACCTTCTTCTCTACTGTTTTTTTTTTAGGAAGCCCCCTAGATCAGCTCTTGAAACTGTAGCTTGACCTAATAATAAAAGACCTCAAGAAATACAGGTCAAATACAGAATCAAATTATTTCAGAAAATAAAGTTATACATCTTGTGTGCCTGGGTATATGGACTGGGATTCTTACATGCTACCTTCTCTTCTCCCCACAGTTTCTTCGTCTAACCTCCTCCTACTCCTTATTAACACAAAAGGGGCAAAGTCTTGTTTACAAACCCTACAGGACCCCTGGCATCAGGAGAAATAAAGTGCTAGATGGTCTATTCTGTAGAGCTATCAAAGCTAATGAGATACAAGACTTCGAGTTATGTGCTCCAGAAAGGTTGAACAATGCAGAAACCATTGACTTTGGGCTGTATCCTGCAGTACTGGTCCGGTACTATCTTCTTGGCTCAAAGATGAAGGCAGCATGTCTATCTTGGGATTCTAGGATAAAAGTAACAGTATGGTATATAGCTGGAGTACATTTGTATGTACTAGAAGATGTTCACTGGTCCTGCTTTTTGCCTTTGGAATCTCACCAATCCTGTATTATAGGCTAAGTTACGTTGCAATAGGAAAACTCTACAAATCTTGGTGGATTACAAAAACAAAAATTTACTTCTTGCTTATACTGCTTATTTATCCTTAATGAACTGTCACTCTGTGCTGTGACAACTTCATTGCAGGATCCAGACTGAAGAAGTAGCCCCTACCTGGGTCATACCAATCTCACGACAGGGCACAAGAGAACATGACACTTAAAGCTTATCTTTGGAAGTGGTATATCTCGTTGTTTTTATTTTAATGGCCAAGTGTGACACATAAAGGCTGATATCAATAGGGTGGAGGTGGATAATTCTCTCATGAGGAGAGGCGTAATCATTTAAAAATATGTATATAATCTCCCATAAGTACTATTCCTCCAAAAGCCACTAATATTTATTTCTAACCCATTCTCTGTAGTGATTTTTATATTCTGAATTGAAACTGTTATGTCTATTTTTCCTTCTACAATAAAAATAAAATTCTCCCTATTTTTTTCTAATTTGCAATATCACATATTTATGTTTCAGACATTTTTTGTTTTACTATTTGGAGCTTAAAACACACCAAACAAAGTATTTTGGGGTTGTGCCAATTTCTCTCTCTGTGACATTCTTGGGTGCTCCCTTTCCTGGAAGTTGTCAATTACCCCAGTGCCACCTGGATCAGGATGCTGGTGCAGTTTCTAATGACTGCAGTAACTGGAGACTCTAAGCTTCTTGGGCCTATTATTTTTATTTGCTTAATTTTTCTATTTCATATCACACTTGCAAATTTGAAATTTGCAATAGTGAATCAAGATATAGAAAGAGTATACTCATATGTAGAGCAGGCAGGCAGGCAAGACACACCTTTGTAAAGACTACCCTTTACAATAATGAAGAGTAAGGAAAAGAAGAGATTAGAAAAAGGAATGTATTGGTAGCTTATGCCTTGTGTCTGTCTCTGTTCACGGTTTATTAAGTAACCAGCATGAATGTGGGCTCTGTGAGATTCGGTCTTACGTAATAAGACAGAGTTCATTGGTCCCTGTCGAGGTTAATGAGCTCATAACTTCATCATTCGTTTTGTTTTACTTTGTTGATAATATCTTCACAATCTTAATGATTCACATAATTGCACAGACATTAAAAATTAATTTCAACTCAGAAATCTTGAGATACACAATAACTGCACATATATCTGAGGGGAAGTTTTGCTCAGAAGAGAATTATTTCAGCTCTGAGACACTAGGGGATGAATATGAACAGCCACAGAAAAAGTATAGGAAAATGAAAAATGGACTAATAGTATAAGTTATGGACAGAAGAATTCTGTCTATACCATGTATCAAAAATCATCAGGTAATGAGTTTGAGGCTGTTATTTGAGGTTTATCCAAAGTCTCTTTACTATATGTATTCTTTGTTATCTTTTTAATGTTTGGTTTTTTTTTTCACTCACATATTGTGTGACTTCCAACATTTTATTTTCATTTTATTTTCATTGTTCAGTTTAAGAAAGCAGAAATAAATATGGCACAAATTTCTAACACATTTTTTTCTTGTTAGAAAAAAACAAGAACAAGGAATGATTTATGATTTTATTTTTATTATAGAAAAATTTAGTCTCAGTTCCGCCTGGCAGCACCAGAATCTGAGAATCTTACTGTTAGTAGAAAATGGGGGAAGATGATGTTCCCATATTCCAAGGTCATAATGGGGTTTTGAAATTTTGTAGCTTTTTGTTTGTGAGCGGCGCACAGGGTACAAGGAGCATTGAGTTGCCTGGAACCCAATGGCCAAGGATCCCACGTCCTTGGGCACATAGTGTGGCCATGTTTGTCCTTTTCTTGAGGGCACTTTCCCTAAGTGCTGTGAGTCTGACTCTTCCTCTCCTTTTCTAATCTTATCTCCCATATCTCCCATCTCTTTTTCTAGTCTGGTGAAAATCAGTATTCCTTTGTAGTTGCTTAAGATGCACTCCTTTCATTTTTGCCTTCAAAGGCACTATTTTCTGCACAGCAGAGAAGCTATTGACATAGAAGCTGCTGTGTTCATGTGATCCGCATGTTGCTAACACTCTGAGTGGATCTAGGATGTTTCATGTGTAAATTATATGTCTGGTTCTTCTCTTTTCAATGAGTGAATGACCCTACTTTGTCATATAATAAATATTTCTTGTAGGTGTCATAGACGAAACTACTCTAGAAATTGAATGCCACATGATTCCACACCAACACATGAATCAAACAGTATGTCTTGCTTTTTTTACACTTGAGCTCTGAAGAAACCAGACTGTCTGTCTGCATTCCAATAGATGTTCTACCTTTGTTGACACAGTTTTCATCTTTTAGCACCAGCTTTGACAGTCTTTTCCCGGAATAACAGAATTCAGGGAGTTCCCATTGCTTAAGTATTTTTTTTGTTGTCAGTTGTTAACTAATTGATTCCTCCTTCATGTCTTGACTTTGCAAACCATCTAAGCTTGATTGTATGTCTTAATAGAATTGTCTTGGTGCTGTAACCAGTATTTTTTAGTGTATTTCTGAAAAGCTAAAGTAATGATTAGTATTATATAATTTTTGTGGTTTCAAAAATGACAGTTAATGGTGGTGCATTTTGGGTAAATAGAACTTCAAGTGCACATTATCAGGAGTCCGGTAATATTGGTGACAGGGAAGTCCGAAGGGCATAATGAGGTTTATGCTTCTGTGTAAAATGTGGGAGGTTAATAAGATGTTGCTTTTGTGAGGCACTGGGAAGTTAGATTGCTGAATGACACGAGCATTGGTAAGAATTAGGTCTGTACCACGGGCCAGTGACTGAGGGCAGGCATGTGAACAGTACATTTTATAATCAGTAAAATATAACATGTTATGCATATGAACTTTGGCACATATTTCAATTATGAATGAAGGCAACAAACCACTCTGTAGGAGCACCTGTGACTTTATCATCAATAGAAATCACAGATGTTTTTATATCACATCACAGTTGTTGCAGATACTTCAAAATATCGTTTACACTCACTATTTTAAAATTATAGGTGTTATTAGATATACTATTACCTCTTATGATTTAATGTGCTATAAAAGAAGCATATATATTACTATATGACAATAAAAATTTGATACTTGTACTTAATTGGTTTTCTTTGTAATGCTATTTATTTTACTTCGTGCATTTAAAAACATTATTCTGAGGAGAGGTCTGTGGCACAAAAGATTAGAAGCCTCTATTTTGATTGGTGACCTTGTTCTTGCTAAGCTACCAATAAATACACTCCTTTTTCTAATCCCTTCTTTTCCTTACTGTTCATTATTGTACAGGGTGGTCTTTACAAAGGTGTGTCTTGCTTGCCTGCCTGCTCTACTCATAAGTATACTCATAAGTATACTCTTTCTATATCTTGATTCACTATTGCAAATTTCAAAATTGCAAGTGTGATATGAAATAGAAAAATTAAGCAAATAAAAATAATAGGCCCAAGAAGCTTAGAGTGACATTTCTGAGATCTAGGATGCTACATAACAATGGCCAAATCAGAATACAGTTCAAAATATCTAGTGTGTTTATCCAATTACAGATATCTTTTGGATTTACAGCTATTTATGCATTTTGCAAACCTTTCTAAGAGAGAGTTGCTTGAGGATAAGGAACCTAATTTGTTCAACATTATATTCTTGCAAAAATCCTGAAATTTAGTAGGCATTCCATTAATGTTTCTTGAATTCTAAGTGAGAAACAAATGCAGTTTTGCAGAGAGATGGAGAATATGCATAGAGCTTCAATTATTGTGGCTAACATCCTCTGGATGTTGCTGCCCACCATTTTTTCTGTAACAATGGAGTCACTAGAGACATGTAAAAGAAAATGTACTTCTGCAATTAAAGCAACAGTCACCTACAAAATAAACATGGTTGTATAGCTACGTTGGAATGTTATTGAAGCTCTCATAGTTACGACATCAATGGAAATAAATTGGTTCCACACTAGGTCAACAGCTGTTTTAAAGCAGCAGCTGCTTTTCCCTGAGATTACAGATACTGTTTTTAGTATACAGTGTCAGAACATAATTTTATTAATTTGAATGACGTGACATCACCTTTGGAATGAAATAGATACCAACAGATTTAAGATGACATATGTTTCTCTTTTTTTCTTTTGTAGCTGTATATTTTATTCCAATTACAAATACACTTAAGAGATGTAGGGAAAATGGACAATTTTGTACTATAAAAGCCAATGAATATTTGCAAGAAACAAATGGTACTTGTAATAATGATTTTTAAGTATTAGCTGTTTCTTGGTGTACATACAATACAATTGATGAAAGATAAAAATATTCTTCCCCATACTATCCAACAATCTTGATCTTCATTTTTATTTTCATTGCATTCATAAACTTGTAAGATAGTATACATTTTATTTATTTTATTATATATATTGTGGATTGTCTGTCCCCACCTAGTAAAATTTGAGCTCCTTCCGGGCAGGAATTTTGTTAACGGATACATCCTAATGATCTAAAATGATGCTTGGCACAAAGTAGGCATTTAGAAAATGTTTGTTGAAAAAAATGAATGCCTACATAACTATAAAAAATATAAAAAAATTTAACATGTGTCTTTGTCAACTTTCCAGTTTCAGATTTATCTCTAAATCTTCTGTAGTCAGTCATGCCCTGGTAGCTTAACATCACTTCCTGGACACTTTTGAGTAACTTTAATTGCTAACTATAAAGTTTAAATTTAAGATACGTTATAACTCTATTAATGATGACTGTGGCCTAAAGCAACATAGGGAATTTCCCTTGGGCTGGTTGGGATCTATTCACTAGTAGTAGTGTAAGTGTGTCACTCTCTTAAAGATTTTGTAGAATTTATGAAATGTTAATATTGATATCTATCAATTTCCTATAGAAATGTTAAGGATGAACCAGAGAATTAGTATTAAGCTTGAGCCTTTCAGGAAAATAATCAAGAACTAATTCTGAAGATTTGCGTCGTAGTAGTTGAGCACAGCTTTTCAACCACTGTAGAAATTCAGACATTGAGTATTTAGACAGTTAGTTAAGTAACAGGGTAGAAGGGAAGTTTGTAAAATGAAGCTTTGGTTTTGCCTTCTAAAGATTAGTGGTTTGAAATTATTTTCTCCTTCTTAGATATTGAAATGACTTTTTAATTTTCTCAATTCCTATCTTAATTTCTAATTTTTTATTTAATAATTCATATTCTCAACCGTGAGTATTCTTCCATATGTTGAAAAAAAGAAAAAAATTGGTTTCTAGAATGGAACATAAAACGACCATTGGATTATTTATTGGCAGGTGGAGATGTCATTTGAAATAAAATATGGGGCAGATAGTCATGAAGCATCTGAATCAATGCACTTACTCCCAGTTACTTTGTGAGCAGCCGCTAACTGTGCACTCCTCAGGAAAGACATGAGACATCCTTAGACTACAGAACCATACTGGCTTCATTTGATTATTTGAAAAATCTTTGCTCTTAGAAAGGAGATAAAAATCAAGTATGGTTTTTTCCTCATGGCAATAAAACAAATAGCTGAGAAGCAAAGTGTTTAGACAATTGCCATTAATTATATTATTAATAAACCCAAGAGCAGAGTTAACTGGATTCAACAAAAAATAAAGAATTGAATGTGGCAAAAAGAAATTTGTGTGTGCTGACATGACCACTTTTCTTTTTGCCCATATGCCAGCAATGATAAAGAAAATAAATGAGCAAGGGAAGAAAGAAATATCTTTGATACAGTTGAGGTCTGACCAATTTGAAAGGAGTTTTAGACATGGGATGAAGAGAATAAGGGTGTACTAGCCGTCCTACCTTTGTTGCTAGCATCTTCTATTCCATGATTGTACTTCAACTCATGTGATCCTAAAAATAACCCTGTGAAATCAGCATAATTCTCATCTGCGTATTCTTTCTGAGAATATGATGTTCAGAGAGGTAAGAAATTGAATTGAGCTCATTTAGTTAGTACATAGGACCCAAGTCCAAATTTTCTGATTGTAAATTCCATGCATTTTCTAATACATTATGCAGCAGCTCCTAATTTCAAACATCTAGGGGTAAAACTATCCTCCTAGATTCCCTAGAAGAATATCCCTGGTAACCATGATTCTGGACCTAACATGCTCATAGGTTTCATTATCATTTTTGCCCTAAGAAGACTGCGTGTTGCTTGGCATCTAAGATTGTTTTGCTGATGTGAGCTTAAACACGGACCTGCATTTAAGGATTTCAGAGCTTAATATTTTAGTGGGAAAACAAGCAGCAGAGAGGATCTTCGGGCTGAACTATTAAACACTGTAGATAAACCAGGTACAGGACACATTAGCTAATATCTCACTGAAGCACGTATATATGCTAAATGAAATACTAATAACATGTAGGCATAATTACAGTGTGATTCTTTTTAAAAATATTAACCCATCATCTCTAGGGTTTTAACAAGATAAAACCCTTATCTCTGAGTAACCAGATAAGTTATTTTCTACATAATCTCAATCCTGAGCTGTCCTAGTCAGCCTGCAATCTATTTTGTCTCCTTAATCCATATTGGCCTGGCTGTTTTTCTGCACTAGTATTAATAGGCTTCCCTTACCGGCAAGGCCTGGGCACACCAGGTATTGCCTTACAAACTGCCTCAGATAATACTCCTGTGTGACTGACTGTTGCTTCCGTGATTTTAGGCAACAAAAAGGGTTTTATTCCTCGAGCAAAAGACTTTTGAGCATTACCTGAAACTCAAAACTTACCTGGCATATATGAAGCCTTATGTTAAAAAGGTTACCACATAATTTGTTGCCCAAAGAAGTCTCTTTGAGGGAACACTATTAATAACGATACCAGGACAATAGATATAAAAAGTGATTGTCTCAAGCAACCCAGGACCTATGGTCACCCTCTCAGTAAAGCATTCCCAAATGAGTGAATAAATATAATGCCTTTCACTCTCTGTTAACGTTCTGCCTAGGACTGAAGTTCAGGAAATCGAAGTTAGTCCTGCTCTGGGAGTCTCAGCCCAGATGGTTCATCTAAGCACTCATCAGTTTAACTATTTTGTATCTTCCTGCAGGTAGGCAACAAGGAAAAGATCAAAGTATTGTGGTTGCCAGCTTTCTACAGTTACCTAAAACGGGAATTCTAGTACCTATGTAGAGCTGAAATTTAAGAGGTCATATTTTGAAACACTTTCCATCATTGGAATCTGTGTAGACATTCCTCCTGACTTTGAAAAAAAGGCTGATGGTATTTTGTTACAAAACACATCATAGGATCTGTCCTCCGGATAAGCTCTGGTGTCTTTGTAAAAGATGTTTTTTCTAAGCTTGTATATTCTTTCGTAGTGTGTGTAATTCAATGATAAAAGGCAAAAGGTCAACAATGAATGTGAAGCTCCATTTTCATGATCTATTCAGGTATGAAAATCTTTAGATGAGACATCCACAATGCTCTCTGATCACCTCTGATTGGAAGCTGTGATGGAATCGTATTTTTATGCAAATAAAAAGACATTAACTTTGGGAAAGATATGTAATGACTCCCTTCTGGGGTTCCAGGAAGTCTGCTGAATTCAAATGCATTTTGGATGCTATAAATGATACTAATGTGAGGGAAGATGGACTATGTTCAGGAGAACTGCTCTAAAATTCTTATCAACTTGTGGTAAACCATTACCACAACTCTTCACATCATTTGCAAAATATCAACCTTTCTGAATTTCTGCATCTGTTTGAAAAATTAAACATTTCTTTAGAGCAAAAGTTTTACCAAAGATAAATACACCATCTTCACGTGGAACAAAGTGTCTGATTTCATTTAGCTCTCATTGTCTTTTAACATGAGGTTGTCCTTTAGGTCCTTTTTTTAAACGATTTTATGCTCATGTTGTATTAACAGATTCAGTCGATATAAACACATATGAATGGGAATATTTTTGGCTGCCAAATCCACAGTTTTTAAACCATTAGATATATTGAGGATCTTGTCTCTTTTAAAAATTAAAATCCCAATGGGAAGTTGACTATTAAGCAGTTTTATATTTGATATCAGTATCAAGTTATTAAGAATGGGCATATTATAATGTGCTTTGAGGGCAGGCTGATTTCTGACTAATACACATTTGAGAGTTGACCCGTACTGGCTCTTGTATATATGTGGGTTTAATCATCAGAGGCTACTGTGTTGTTAAATACATAACTTTCATCACATTCTTGAAGCATTTTAGTGATGTGAGAGAAATACAAGTTATGAGTATCTAAATTCAATCAAAATTGAGCCTATGGTTGTATACAATTAATACCAAACATACTGAAACAATAGAAAAATATACAAGAAATGGGATATATGCAGAGCAGTAAGGAAATTAGAAAATATTGCAATATTTTAAGTGAAGGAAGAACATTTATAAAATAATTTAGTAGTAGTTTTTTCCTGGGCAGTGGGTATCGGGTAAATAGGGATCCCATTAATAAATATTTTGGTAGTGGACTGGATTGGATTTGATAAGTACATGTGCTGAGATGAGGGACAAATAAGTTGAGGGTGACTCCAAATTTTTCAGCTTGGGTGAGTGAGGGGATGATTATGCCCTGAAAAGGTCACAGGAAAAAAGGAGGGGTCACAGTACAGAGAAATAAAGTTTGCACGGTGATGAAAGCCAAATGCCATTATTCTGGAAATAGTATTTTAGAGTGTGATTTGAAAGTAGAATACCAAGGAAACAAAACCTATGGTGGGGAAGGAATATTCCAAATACAAAGACTCTGAGAGAGAACAAGCTTTGGGAATGACTGCCCACAGAAAGGAGGTTCTCTTTGTTCCCCCACAGAACACGAATACAGATGTATGCTTAAAATGGCCCAAAAGTAAAGGTGAACATTTACCGTATATGTTCATTTTCCAACTGGAGTACCTTGAGGACAACTTGGATGTTTTAAAATATTTTTTATGTCACATAGCAATTATACACACATATAATGATTAGTTCTTTTTGGTCCTGTTTAGCGGTGATAAAGAAGGAGGAATTCATTTTTTGTCACTTTGCAGGATGTTTACATAACTCTTTCTGCCTGACTATAACAATAAATTTTTTCCCTACGTGTAGCAATAACAAGGTAAACATCTTGATGATAATAATAGGTAACACGTACTGAGAATTTACTAACTCCTGAGCATTTTGCTAGTTAGGATGCCTCATTTCATTTGATCCTCAAAGCACATGGAGACTTTATTGATATGTCTTTTGTTGAGACAAGGAAAAAGAAACTCAGGGAGGTTAACTAAATTGCCTAAAGTTACATAGCTAGTAGATGGGGAAGCTGAGATTTAATTTCAGAAAACCTGACTCTAGAACTGGTAGTTGTAGTTATTATGCTCTTTAATAGGAATTTGTTTCACATAATAGGAATTTATGTTTGGATTAATGTAATTTCTCCTACTTAGGCACTATCATATACATAAGTAAACATTTTATAAAGTAGAAAAAATTCACCCTTAGGAAGTAAAAAGCCATGTATCACATTTGGGAAGAGATGCTATAATATAAAAACTCACCATTTATAATTTGATTTAATAATTTAGAGAAGGAAAAGGTGATTTTTTAAAGTAGAGTAACAGGGTGTTAACATTTCCATTGCATTATTTTTATATCTTGGCTTATTATGTCAGGAAAGAGAAACTGATATAGTCCATTTTTATATTTTTGTATATATTCACTTGTAATACACACACGCAACAGAGAAATTGGCTACTGCATACTAAAAAGGTAAATGCAATGGCCAACTGTGATACGTCTGTCTGCCATGTGCTTACAGAGCAAACTGCATGCTGTTTCTCCTTTTCTGATTTTTACAGTGAAAGTCTTGTAAGGGGAATTGAAAATTCAAAAAATTGCATTTGCATTATTGTGTATTACTCTGAGGAATAATAGGTCAATATCAAAGACAGCACAGTGTTAACCAGTGTTGTGGTGAAGGTCAGTAATGAGGCCCGCCCAGAGGCTCAGCAGAAGTTCAGTACTCAAAGCCCTAGGATTGTAGAGAGCCCAGATTATAAATTATATCCATTTAATCTTTGTTTCCATGATTCTCTAAAGCTGCTTATGTGAACAGCTGATAACTCATACCTCCTTGTTTATGACAACTATTATATTAAGAGCAGAGTGACTCTGAATTTAATCTGTACTTGACATTTCTGTAAAAAATCACCTTGTCATCTTCCCTCAGGAACGTTCCCATATATCCTTGGGTTGCCGCAGTCTAAACCCTCAAACTTCATCGGCTTCTTTTTTCTTTTGACAAGACACACCACATACACACAGACACACACACACGCCCACACACTTATATAGCCTCAAATGCCTTTTATTATTCCTGGATTTATTTCTTTTATGCAGGAAGGTCAAAGAAAATCATAGTGTATTTACTCTGATTTTAAAGTGGAGATTTGTGTACCATCATAACAGAGAAAATTAAAGAGTAGATTGTTGATTTTTTTTCTTGCATCTTCTCTGGAGAAAGCACTATTGGGGTATAGAGACACTTTTAACATAATCTTTGATCTTTACAAACTCAGAATATGGTGTCTGCAGGAGGCTGAGTATAACTCTACCTCTGTTTAAGCTGGAGAGAAGTAACTTTTATTCTGCAAATGTACTACCATTTGGCATATTTATCATTATTTTAGTGAGCAGTGTTGAACAGGATTAGAGTAAAACTGTATCATAATGATCTGCCACATCCAGGATAATAATTCCAAGTGTCTTACCATTATCTTTGGGAAAGTGAAGCATAGCTGCATTACTGAGGAACATTTTTACCCAGTGAAATTCTTACAGTCTGACTGTTTTTTCTCATGTAGTAGTAAAGTTCCTTTTTAAGCAGTGATGTGCTTTTGCCAGGTAGATATTCAACATGATGTCCATATATTTTGCTTCAAATGCAAGTCTTCAGCTTAATAAGGCAAATTCTGTTTTCTTGTGTGTGTGTGAATGAAAAATTAATCAGGTATGTTTTTAGGGAAGATTATGACTTCTAGTTCTTAAAGTAGCAATGAGTATATGTTTGTATTCATGAGAATGCTCATGATCTTCCAGTATGTGCATCTTTCCTATTACTTTTCTTGGAATGTCAAACATAGTTTTGCACTAGGGCTCTTGAAAGCTAGATGAAACTTAAATTTGTTAATGTTAGGCTAAGCCATTTAGCAAAAAGATTAGAAATAAGTAGTTTATTTCTGTCTCTCATAATAGCCTAGAAATAAGTGATCCAGGGCTGAAGGGCTGGTGGGGTGGCTTTGCTATCCCAACATAAGATTTAGTGGTGGCACTATTGTCGCCATTTCCTTGCCAGTAGAAAGAAGGTAAAAGGAAGTACAGACAGAAAGAATTAAGGACTGGAAGTTATGTCTATTACTTACACTTATATTCTATTGTTTTACATTTACTCACACCACTACACTTCACTGCAAGAGAGATTAGAAAATGTAATTTGTAGGTGGATGGCCACGGCCCGTTGAAGTTCTAGGGGCTCTATTATTCTGAGGAAGAAGGGGTGACAGAAGACTTCACCATGATCTCCCTCTCTTGTCATTTAAATATCCCTATTGATCTTTCTCCTCTGCATAGAACATACACCCCTCTGCAAGAGAGATAGTGATAAATCCAATACAGTTACTTCACCCAGCTCAAAAATCTAGGATCTTGGGGCTGATACCTAACCTCTCCAGCAGGTCTTGTTGCAGCTGTCTGAGGTTCACCAAATTATAAACTGAAAGGCCAGGTGTCTTCCTACATGCTCCCAATACCAGATGTACAATGGGGAGCAGCCATAGGATAATTAAAAGTTCCACATTCAAGAGGGAAGTGTGGAAGTATCTCGCAGTTATTGGTCCAGAGCATTTCTCAGATCCTACTGGGTAGATATTGTGAGACTTCCCTGCCCTGATATGAGGATGAGTTTCTTTGTGGGCCCATCTTTCCACCTCTGTTCCTGGATTCACTCAATCCCTTTGTCATTGGCTCTGCCTCTGGGATGTTCTTCTGTTATCCTCCTTGGGCACATTGGAAGAAGGTGTTGCAGATTGTGCTCTCTTGGGCATCGTTCAGCTTTGGCAGCCAGCTTCTTGCTGGTGCAGAACTATCTGATGGTTACTTTAATGATGAAATCAAAAGTTTATTTGGGTCTCATGTAACTGACTGAATAATTGTCCCCTGAAGATATCAGGTCCTAAGTTTTGGAATCAGTGAATGTTGCCTTCTGAGGAAAAAGAGTCTTTGCAGATATAATTGAGGATCTTGACAAGTGGAGATTATCCTGGATTATTTGAGTGGATTCTAAATCAAATCCCAAATATCATTCTAAGAGAAATAGAAGGAAATGACACACAGAGGAGGAGAATGGATGTGAAGATGGTGGCAGAAGTGCAAGTGATGCATCCAACAGCCAAAGAAAGCCAAGGATTGCCAGTAACTGTCAGAAGCCAGGAGAAAGGCATGAACTAGATTCTCTCTGAGAGGCTCCAGAGAAACCAGCCCTGCTGGCACCTTGATTTTGGACTTTGGGTCTGCAGAACTGTGAAAGAATACATTTCTGTTGTTTTAAGCCACCAAGTTTGTGGTAATTTGTTACAGTCGTCACAGGAAACTAATACACCTGGCTTAGAATTTATTTGGCAACACAATTCCTTCAGAAACTTAGTAAGCTTCAGGCCTATTTGTTCCCAGCAATTCTATGTGAAAATAGCCACACACAAAAATCTGTTCTGGTCATGGTTCTCAAACCTGTCAAATCTCCTCATTTGGTTTACCGGATTCTGTACTCAGTCTGCTTTTCTGTCTTTTAATTTAGAGTTAGCTATTCTAAGGTCATCTTAAAGGATAAATTTAATCTTATTTTCGCAGCTGGGACAGCTCCCAGTCACATTCTTATTTCTTGGTATTTTCTGGGAGGTACAAAAGCATTTGGTTTTTCCAACCTGTGAAATCCCAAATTTCATGCTTCTCATTTAACTGATTACAGGCTACAGGTTGAGAACCTCTTCTAGCAGATTTTCCCCTAGTTTCTTCTTGCCAACTGGAAAGTTCTTGCTTGAGCTCAGATTTCTCATATATAATAAAAGCAGCAATGGCAGCTATCACATCACAACATTCTGACCTTTCCCAACCAAGTTCCCACAGCTGTAGACTCAGTACATTTGTAATCTACCTTCCATGTCAGCCCATAATATAACAAGGTCAGCAGCTTCCCAGCTTCAGCATCTGTATCTGGCTACATGTATCTATATACATGTAGATACACATACAGACATATATATGCCATTATATATACACATATATATTTAAACATAGGTGATGTTTTCGTTGCACCAATTTCCTACTCTCAGTGCTAATTCGTATGCTCATTAGGATGTAGGTTAAACTGCTATACACAGAGACCTCCAAAAACAGTGGGGTAAATAAGACAAAAGTTTACTTCTCTTACATAGCAATTTAGAGGTGAATGGTCTAGAACTAGTGGGGCATTTCTACCATTTTCAGCATGCACGGCTTCTTAGGTTCTTCCAGTCATTGCCTCATCCTGCTTAGTAGAAGGGGTTGGCAAAGATCATGTCTAGGACTAGTGTCTTTAAGAAGATGACCTGGGAATTATAAGCATCATTTCCGCTTACATCCCATTGGCCCATGTTCATCCCTTAGCAGCAACAAGCTACCTGAAAAATGGAATCTGTAGCTGGGAAACCACACGCCCAGCTACATCTTGAGGTTTCTGTTACTAAAAGGAACAATGGCTACTAGTGAACAGTAATCAGCCTCCGTTGCTCATTCTGCAGCGTAAATAGAGAAAAGGGTAGAAAAACTGTGCAAAAAATTAAAACAAACAAAACCTGCAAAAATAGATATTTTCTTTGCAAGCAAAATTTTGGGACTTGATTTTTCCAATTATTTCTTAAATATTCTACTTCAATTCTTTCTACAGGCATAGTATCCAAAAGATTACAGACCCCTTCTGACTATAACTTTGTTTTGAATGAATCACTGGTAGACTTGTCATCCCTGTGAAGGCATTGCTCTGTCACAAGCAATTTGTTCCAATAAAAATTATTATTAGAATGGGTCTGTAATGTCTACATTCTGTATTAATCAGGATTCTCTGAGAGAAAAGGAGCCGACAGAATGGATATATGTATATTTCTTACAAGAAATTGGCTCACATGATTATAGAGGCTGAGAAGTGCCAACATTTGCAGTGGGTAAGCTAGAGGACCAGGAGAGCCAATGGGGTATGTCATAGTTTCAAAAGCTCACAGTCTCAATATCCAACAAGAGCAGATGTTTCACTTCAAGTCTGAAGTCAAGAAAAGACCAAAATCTCAGGTCACCAGTGAAGCAGGCAGGCAGGTGAATATGTATATCTACTGGATATGTAAACAGTCACCACTTAGCAGTGAGCAATAGTATGAGCCTCACATTTATATAATGCTTTATACTTTTCAGAATGATCTTTGTTCATTATTTCATTAGAATTTTACAAGATAGGAAGAATTTGGTCTTTATGTGAGATTTAAATTTTTGTGAAGTAACTAGTTCACACAGTTAACATATGTTTGCTTTGGGCACATTCATCACTTCATTTGTGCTCCTTTAGTAAACAACCTTGCTTTTCCAATTGTGTATCAAGATTTGTTTTTATCTTTAAACTTGTAAATTTTTATTTATAGGGAGAAGAGTTATGAATAATAGAAATGTAAATATTTTCTAAAATGGAAAGCCTTGAAGGAAAGCGTAATTCAAATGTATGTCATCTTATTCTAAAACTCAGTCCTATCTGTAAGGGGGTATTTATTTCCAACTATAATTGTGTCTTGTGTTTTGCTAACTTCTTACATGAAATAATTTCAAGTTTACAGGTAGGCTGCAAACACAATATAGAGAATTCCTACATACCATTTGTCCAGACTTACCAAGTTTGCTGCATTTCTCGCTCATGTTCTCTCTCTCTACATATGTATAGTAGATATGTATATACATATAACACATATATACATTTTACTGTTTTTTCAAAAATATATTGTGTACGTCACACTTCTTTATCTCTTAACGTTCCAGTGTGCTAAAAACAAGAATATTTTCTTGTGTAACCATTTACGGTTATCAAATTCAGAAACATTGATATAATAATCTGCTTCTCATACTCCAATTCTGACACTTGCTCTAATAATGCCCTTCTTAGCATTTCCCCCTCTCCAATACAGGGCCCAGTTCAGGATTACACATTGCGTTCCATCTCCTTTCATCTAAGACAGTTCCTCAACTATTTTTTAAAATCTTTTGTTACATTTTTGAAGAATACAACATGGATACTTTAAAGAAAAGTATCCCTTCATTTGTGTTTGTCTGATGTTTATTTGTAATTAGACTGAGGTTATGTGTTCTTGCCCAGAATACCACAAAAGTGGTATTGTGTTCACTTAAGAGTACCAGATGTGGGCCGGGCGCGGTGGCTCACGCCTGTAATCCCAGCACTTTGGGAGGCCGAGGCGGGCGGACCACGAGGTCAGCAGATCGAGACCATCCCGGCTAAAACGGTGAAACCCTGTCTCTACTAAAAATACAAAAAATTAGCCGGGCGTAGTGGCGGGCGCCTGTAGTCCCAGCTACTTGGGAGGCTGAGGCAGGAGAATGGCGTGAACCCGGGAGGTGGAGCTTGCAGTGAGCCGAGATCCCGCCACTGCACTCCAGCCTGGGCGACAGAGCGAGACTCCGTCTCAAAAAAAAAAAAAAAAAAAAAAAAAAAAGAGTACCAGATGTGGAGGTACATCATGTCCTTCGGCCCCTCACTGAGGATGTTAATTTGATCACCTGATCGAGGTTTGTCTAGTTTCTTTAGACTACATAGTTATTTCTCTTCCCACCACAAATTAGTAAGCAATGTGTGAGCAGATTGTGTAATGTCTTTTTAAGAGTAGCTGAGTTAAGAGAATATCCACTGTGGGTGTCATGGCTAGGCTTTCAGCACTTAGCCCCGGGTTGGCCAAAAGGCCTAGCAAGAAAAGTGTCCATGGAATATTCAGAATTTCCTTAGGTTGTAAGAATTTAGGACCTTCATCACTCTTGATGCCCTTGTCCAGATTACATGATATAAATTATGAAAATTATGAAATTATTGCTCTTGCCAATTTTATACCTCTGAATTTGCATTAAGAATGATTTGTAAATTGGGTTTTCATTGCTTGTAAACTCATTTTATTTAAGATTATTATAAGAAAATGGGCCAGTCCTATTTGTTGGGATCAATCACATTTTGCAGGCTTTTGAAAAGTTCATCTGGGTGGAAACAGCCATGTTCAAATGAGAAACTCTGGGTTCCAATTAAATCTAATAATCTCACATTTACACAGTTACTTACCTGTGGTCTATATCCCAATTATTTCAGAGTTAAGAATAATATGTCTTTAGGATTGTGCTGTCCAATATGGTAATCACTAGCCACATGTGGCTATTGAGCAATTGAAATGTGCCTGGTCTGAATTGAGGTGCACTTTAAGTGTAAAATATACTCTGAATTTTGAAGACTTACTATCAAAACAATAATATAAAATATTTTAATAATTTTTATATTGGTTATACATTGAAAGTAGTTTGGATTTATCAGGTTAAATTAAATAGAACTAATTTGACATGTTTCTCTTCCTTTCTAAAATGTAGCTACTAGGAAATTAAAAAAATACATATGTGGCTCACATTATCTTTTTGTTAAACAATCTGCTTCAGGCTTTTCATTTTACAGAATGAATAACAAGTTTTACATCTCTATAGACAAAGTACAATTCGACACTTATTAGACTTGATCTCTGTAGTAAGAATGTGTTTCTTACATGAATTATTGTATTTTATATAGATAAAAGATAAACTTTCGTGTTTTATCTACAACCAACAGTCTGGTATTTCAAGAGGTAACATGTTAATGAGGAGAAATGGTGTTGCTACGTTTCTTTCTTAGCCTTATAAATTTGTTTGTGCAGAAATATTTACAAGTAATCGTCATTAGTTGAGACTGTTTCTAAATTGCATTCCTGACTGGATCAGTAAAAAAAACACAGATATTATGTGGACTTTGCTATGTAATGGATTATCTTTCATGATACATATGTATAATAGTCATAAACATGGCTGTTATTATTAAGGGAAGTTCGTGAAAAGTGTGACGAAATTCATTTTGGAGTGAGTTCCAAAGTAATGACCAGTGATAAATTTAACAAAAATCTTGCTTTAGTTCTGATATAATTTTCAAAGGAAGTGTACAAAATGGACAATCTAAAAGAAACGTGCTAAATGAAATGGAACTAAGTAATCACTTAAATGAGGGATTCTCTCACTTTTGATTTAAGAGATCAGTAACTTTCAAACAAGTTTTTGAGATCAAAAGTAGAATCTAAATAAAGACATTAAAAATAAAGCAGCAGCAGCAACAATAATTATTTGTGATCAATAGGATATCAGAAAATAAAAGATACCATTTTAGAATAAAGGACACTCTTTTAAATCGAATTAGGTCAGCTTTATTAAAAACCCACTGCAAAGGCTTTATTCTTATTTTACTATAGAGTGTTGAAAATGGTAATGGATTATATCATTTTCCAGAATGAAATTAAGAGTCATTAATTAAAATAGACAGTGATTGATTTAATGTGAGGTTTTTAAGTCTTATTGTTTTATTTTTGAGAACTATTTTACCCTTTTACCTTAAAACTTGCAAGTAGACTAAATATTTCAAAGTTATTTTAAATCTTATAATAATTATTTGCTTTATTGATATATAAATGTTGATATGTCTTCTCAAATCTGTATTTTTATTATTTATTTACTGCCTTTTAAAATATTCATTAGAAGCACTAAAATATATATTAACATTCTCCATGGTGGCTTATATATAAGAATAGTTTAAAAAGTAGAATTTTTACATTAAACAATTCTTAAAATGTTTGAATTTTGCTGTTATGATCCTCTATTCAGAGCAGCTACAATGCTTTATATTAATTTTTCTCAGGAAAATGTATTAAATTGCAGTGGTATGTGACCATGGTTAAAATTGTATTTGGTAAAACAAACGAAAAGGAAGAAACAGGTTCATTTTTTTTCAGCGAGAAAAATAAATCGAATATTTTCTTAGATAATCAGTTGAAACCTTAGGGTTTTTTATATATGTAATTCATAAATTGTATCATACCAGTTTTAACATTCTTAAAATGTTGACCATCAGTGCATCACAGACTTACCATACCATGACTATAAAATGTTTTCCAAAAGAAAACAAAAAGTTAATAACTTACATGTCCTGTACATTTCTGTGTTTTTAGTAGAGAAAGGATTTTGCCATGTTGCCCAGACAGGTCTTGAACTCCTAGCTCCAGTGATCTGCCTGCCTTGGCCTCCCAAAATGCTGGAACTATAGGCATGAGCCACCTTACCTGGACTGATTCCTAGATGGCTAGATGATATTTTTCCTACCTATATAACTGATAGTAGTTATGTTACAGTCAGTGGGAAAAGCAATCTAAAATGACTATCTTCCATTACTTTTAGATAAATTAATTTAAAAAATAATTTTCTTTTATCTAGAGTTAGATTTTGCTTCATATAACAGAAAAACAAAACAAGCCAGAAAAACAAAATAGAAATACCAGTGGCCTTTGTGTTGATTTATTCTATGAACAATTTATTCTATAATCTGAATATTATTACTCTAGGGGTACTTGCAAAAGCTCCACGAGATCATTAGGGACTCTGAGACCCTGCTATCTTTCTCCTGTGTCACTTTGCAATGTGCCATCTATCTTCAATGACAGCTGCTGGAGCTCCTCCCATCACTCTCACATTCCAGGAAACAGGAAGGAAGAGGGAAAGGGGAAGAGAAAAAAAATCAAGAACCAGTAGTCAAATAAGCTCCTGTTTAAGAATCTTCCTGGAAGTCCTACACAAAACTTTTACTTACATATCATTGAACAGGTCTTAGTCAATGACCACATCTAGCTTCAGAAGAGTCTGGGAATGTATATTTTTTGGGTGGTCCCAGTACCATCTTGAACAAAATCAGGGTTCTGTTACTAAAGAAGGAGAGAGTGCCTACTACACAGGCAACCAGCAATCTTTGCTACATATATTATAACTTATATGGCACATATATTTCTGGTTATTAATGTAAGTAATTAAAAGATACTTCTATTAGGTCAAAACATTTGCAAGTACCAACATCTGATAAGTTTAAACACATAAAAGTGGCAGTTAGGTATGTTTCAGCCCCATTCAAATGGTTTCTGGCAAGTTGCATACCTGAGTTCCCAAAACTCTCTGATTATAAAATATCTAAAATAGTAGAAGAAACATTTTAAACACAAACATTTTAAAAACAAACAAACAAACAACTTTTATATCATTTCTTGGTTCTATTGGAAAATATGGGCAGTTAAGAAGTGAGAATATGCATTTTTGAGATAAAGGAGCTTTGAAACTGCTGCATCTCTTAAGGGGGACTTAGAACTTCTTTACCTGAGTGATGCTGGTGGCTTCCATATATATATATGGAAGTTTATTAAGGAGTATTAAACTCACATGATCACAGGTCTGGAAGCTGAGGAGCAATGAAGCCATTCCAAGTCCCAAAGCTGAAGAACTTGGAGTCTGATGTTCAAGGGCAGGAAGGATTCAGCATGGGAGAAAGATGTATGCTGGGAGGCTAAGCTAGTCCAGCCTTTTCATGTTCTTCTGTCTGCTTTTATCCTAGCCGTGCTGGCAGCTGATTAGATTGTACCCTCCCAGATTAAGGGTGGGTCTGCCTTTCCCAGCCCACTGACTCAAATGTTAATCTCCTTTGGCAACACCCTCACAAACACACCCATCCTTCAATCAATCAAGTTGACATTCAGTATTAACCCTCATAACTTCCTTCTCAATGAAAATTGCCTTGACTACTCTAATAGTGCAACTCCCACCATACTCCGCACACTCTTTATTCCCCCATCCTGCTTTGTTTTTAATTCCTGTATCTCTTAACATGTACCATACAATTTACTTATTTTATGCCCGTTGTTTGTTTCCCAGTCTTCCTCCCATCCCCAATAGAATATAAGTGCTACTAGGGAGGGATTTTTGTCTGGTTCAGTGATGATCCCAAGTATCTAGAACATGGCTGACAGTGCATTATGACCTCAGTACATATTTGTTGAATGACTACTCAAGGACGGGTATGAGATAAGAGCTATGTCCTCTAAGATCTTCAAGCTAGGTTTGTCCTTGTATTTGTTAGCCTGCCCTAACAGTCTCAGGGAGATGCTGACACTGCTGTATGCTGGCAAGTGGAAGTATGTTTCCAGGACCATAATACAAACATCTGGTCAATTCAAAAAACAAGTAGGTTGACTGATTTTATTTTTACCCATGAAAGTAACTTTATCTGACTCCACAAATCTAGTAGTGATATTGGTGCAGCCTTAGATTGGATTTAGGATTCTTTTATTGCACATTAAATAATTGTAATTGCTGTAATGGACAACAGCACTATGTTTGCATTATCTACTGACTTTATGCCAGGGTCAGGAAGCAATAAAGTGGTAATATCTTTTGCATTTTGAGTTTTAAACCAATGTATTGTTAAGCAGACAAAGATGCATTGATAATTTTTTTCTTTGTGACATTAAAAACAAAACAGAAACTAAACTACCCTGACAAACTTCTTAATAAACTCCTAAGCTGCTCTTAAATTTACATGTGCTAAGGGAGGAGCAACAGATAATTTCTTAGTTGTTCTCTATTACTACCAAAACATTCAGAGGTTCACTGGAAATAATGTAAAAAGTCATAATCCGGGAATAGTATTATTACCCTTTCAGACAATAAGAAATGGAAACCGTATATTCAATTCCTGCAACTTATGCTGGGTTTCCAGCACCAGAAGTGCATCCCACTTTTTAGTAAGTAAGTGTGCTGTTAAAAGACTGTGTGGCCCCACCTGCCCGCCTCATCCCAGCTTTAATTTAAAATATTAAATGTTCTTCAGTGGTTTTCTAAATATGCTTCTGGAAATTTTCTTGGGTTGCATTCAGGGAGGAGAGTAGACAGGGGAAAATAAAGTGAGTGTTTCTGGCTACCATTTTGTAGTCAACCAACTTGCCTTCCAAATCTTCAAAATATTGGACATCTGTGAGAACTTTCATTTGAACACAGTGTTATTACATTTAAAAATTGTCTTGATGAGTTTTTTTTTATATCAAAGAATACGGAGATCACACGGTACTTCACTAGTCTGTTTCCTACATTTATAACTGAATGCAGTACGACAATCTGCTAGAAAAGCAAGGGATCTCTTTAAAACACTACTTGGTAAATATGTGTTTTTTGTTTTTCTTAAAGAAGGCTACAACTATATATGATATAAACATTTTAATACTTTCATCAAGCCTAGATAGATGAATAAACCTTTCATAAATGGAAGTATATTTTACCTATTTTTTCTGGCTCTGGAGATTACCAAGTTCTAAACAAAATAACTAATTTTACAAGTTAATTGGTGTATTTTTTTCTTAGTAAATAAACCTGTAATTCTTTGCAAGAACTTAAAATTTTCATGAATGCAAATTGTATGTTAAATATGTGATGAAAGAGACTTTAATTGTAACATCAAAACCTTGCATACTTATAAACATAGGTATTTTACACACACAGGCTTGTATTTGTTTTGATAGAGTGAAAATTCACAAAGAAATTGGTGTTCAGATTATGATCTAAGCACATTTCTAAGCATTTGTTAAATCCTGACTGATACATTGGATAACATAGTGAAAACTGACTGCAATTTCTCATATCTAATGATGGTTAACAGTTCAGAAAACAAGCTCAGAATTCACACTCTCATAATGGGGATGTGCCACTGTCAAGTCACTTAGATATAATTACGATTTTGTAACCATGATGACTAAGTGTGTGTAATTAACAGAACTGAACTTTGAGTGTGAAGTAAATGTTGTGAAAATGTATTTGAGTGCTAAAATCAGAAAATGTGTTAACAGTTTATTCTGTTTGAAATTATGTATTTAAGGTATAAAAGATGATGTTTTGATATATAGTCATGTATCTCATAATGATATTTTGGTCAATTATGGTGGTCCCATAGAATTATTATACCATATTTTTATGGTAACTTTTCCATGTTTAGATACTTACCATTGTGTTATAATTACCTATGTTATTCAGTACAGTAACACGTTGTACAGGTTTGTAGCCTAGGAGCAATAGGTTATATCATACAGCCTAAGTGTGTAGTAGGCTGTGCCATCTAGGTTTTTTTAAGCATACTCTATGATTAGACTTATTCATCCTACATATCTGCAGCTTTGTACCTTTTGACCCATGTCTTCCCATTTCCTCCCTCTTCTTCCCATGCCATTCTCAGTAGCCACACTTTCACTAAAAGACAATATAATACCTATGCCTTCTGCTTTTCTAGAAAACAAAAACAAAATAAACAAAAATCCTAATGAAACACCCAGTGAGAATATAGTGAATGGACTTTTGCTGTGGTTGAACTTCTGTCCTTCAACCACTTTTGTCATGGTTAAACTTTGTTTCCTTGAAATGTAATTTGTATTAAAATATTTCAGAGAGTTTCAGTGAGGTACTAAGAATGTGTTTAGCTTCAGATTTTTCCATGTTAAAAAAGATGCCAGTTTTTGTGTCTAATTTTTGCACGCTGGCCTTTGAACCCATTTCAGATATGAATGAAAGGAAGGAAGAAAGTCAAGTTCAGGAAAACCCTAAAGTATGATACTCTAGACTTGACCTAAGGCTAATAAAATCTTATGTGACTTGCTCCTTCAAGGGAAACAGGACCATCAGATTTTAAAGGGCTTGGTTTGGTAATGTTGTTTACAGTTCAGTTACTAAATTTGGTTGTTACTAAAGTTTAGTCTGTTGCTCTCATTTCCACTCACTTGTTTTTTTTTACTATTTTTACTTATGCTTTTAACTTCTCATTATAAACAAATGTATCTGTGTTTCTAGCGTGGTCCTTTAGGAAACAAAATTCTAAAACTCGGTATGTTTCGCTCATTCTAATTTCTTAGAAAATCCCATAGAAGATGTTTAATGCACATTCAGTGAATCTTTGTGTGTTTAAAAACAATTTCTTAGTTAAACCAGGTTCCTTCTGTTTTTGCCCCAAAAAGACAAGATGTAAACCTTTTCATGGAGTACTTTGCTTCACAAAATATTTAAATATTTGTGCTATTTAAAATTAATTAAAAGACTAGACACCTTCTTACTACATTCGTAGTAACCTTCCACTTGAAGAGGCAGGAGACTTCACTATGTACCTCCCCTTTGCACACTAGAGTGTTAGGAAGGACACATACTGTAATACATATGTTATCATCCTTACCAACTCAGAATTTTCTACCTTCTTTTATTGGAAGTTCTTGTTTTTAGGTTTTGCTAATATAATGTAATGGACAACTTACTATCCTTACATCTGATATCAGTACTCCTTTCGGGGGAAAAGTTCTCTGAGAACACAGTTCCTTGAGAAGCTTGAGGCAAAAGGTTATACACTGAAGTCCTGAATGTCAGGAGACCATGCCAATGTGCCAGGAAGTGAGGGGAATAATCAAACACTGGTTCAAAATGGCAGAGTCAAAGGGTTACAGAGTGTGAGCTACCCTGCTCTCTTATTGATCTAGGGTCTTTGTTTTCAGTGGAGGGTGGTTGGTGAGGGAAGAAAACCTCTTTGTATCTCTTTTAGGGAATCTCCGATTCATAAAGGAAATCAGGTTATATTATGTGTTGTAGCCTGAATAGTTTCATCTAAACTAGCTCCATGCAGCCCATAATTTTTGAAAATTTCTTCCAGATTGTGACATGACAATGTCAGTTTCTGTTTCTGGTATTGTAAATATTTTTAACTTTTTTTGTAAAATTCTGTATTATTCAGAGAAAAACTGGGGAAGGCTGAAGTGGGGACTAGAGACTACAGAATTTATGAACACAAAATTTTGTGCGTCTATTTAAATAAAATTAATGTCTGTGTTTATATATACATGTATATTACATTATTTGAATAATATTTTTCTTAAACATCTGTGCATGTATACACACATATGCATACGGAGATACAGAGAAAAGGAAAATATTGCTGGAAGGATAGATATCCAAATATAAACAGTTGTTTTACTGGGTGTGGCCTTATAGAGAACAAAATTTTTTATTCGCTATTTATTATAATTATGTCGTGTTTCTTGAAAACTGAGATGTTAACAGAAGACTCTTCTCCTAAAATCTAGATGAGATTGCTTAGAGCCCTTCATTGCACATAAGCTGCTTTTCCAAATACCTCTTGGGTGAAGAGTTTATATTTTCATGCTTACATCTGACCCTAAACTCTTATTTTCCTAGAATTCATTTAATTTAGGGATTGCACCACCCTTGCTTGCTGCCTGTATGCTTCTGTGTGGAATCTCAAATGTAATCCTTGAGTTCTAGCCCAATTTTCATAAAAAGCTATTTTTACTGGGCAACTGCATTCAGCCAACTATACTGGCAACCTGAGACAGTGATGAGGAGAGCTTTATCATGCAACAATGCAAGCGATTTCAAATTATATTAGAACATCTTTTGTTTTTTAATCCTCTGTAATGTGGGGTTTCTCATCAGCTGCTTCACCTCTCCTAGATCCTAGATCCTGGTCTCACCATCTTGACTGCTTCTCTCCTTGACCCTTCTCATGTCTCCTCTCTACCCTCCTTTGTCCCCGGATAGCACAGGTAACTCCAAACTGTTTTCATCTTGTTCTGTAGAGCAATGCAGTTCTTCCTAGCTCCTTATCCCAAATTCATTATAATGTTCAGAACAAAAGAACCCCTTTGGAAAGAACCAGAAATTTTGGTTAAAAATAGCACTTTTCTCCATTATACTTTTTTAGTAAGAAGGGTAATGATAAAGTTGGTTTTCTTTGTTTCTACCAGGCTCTCTCTTTCTCCAAAAGGTGGATGACAGAATACAAAGTGAGAAAGCACGCTTTTAACTTGTTCCCGATTTTCATTTTCAATTTGTTAGAAATCTGAGGACATCAGCGTTTTAGAAATGTGGGTGTCACAAGAGCAGCCTTCCTGAAGGCATACCGGTCAGAAAGCTGTGATGGCCACCCCTGGTAGAGTGACATTGTTATCTGGATGAAAATGTGGAAGATTCATGGGTAAAATGAAAATGCGTACCTTTCCTTTGTCCTGATAGTTGAAATTTTAGACATTTTCACAAGGTTGAACTTCTTTTAGAAGTAAGGAAGCAAGTCATGGATTATTGCCAGGTTTGAGCACATACTTTGTAATTTTACAAGTGCAAACATATTTTAACCTGTTCTTGCTATTTAATCTTCTCTGGATATATGACCTGGATCAGGTTCAACAATGGATTAGATGGATAAGAACATAAGTTATTCCTCATCAGAATTTATTTTAAAATGTGGTTATAGGTGAGATTTCTGCTGTAAGATGACCTTGATTTAAAATGGTATGTACAACTTTTGTTCCCAAGAACTATTCTGTATGTAACTTGCTGTCTACAATATGATCTACTAATGTGGTGGCAGAATTTGTGTGACTGATAATTGTGTACTTTTACTTACAACCGTTAGGACATTGAGCTGGGGGAGTACTCTGGGCTTTTGACCTAAGCATTCTAGGTTTGATGTTATTTCTGAAAGATCATTGGCATATCCTCCAGCTTGTATTTTCTTAGAAGCAACTGATAAAACCTGTTAACACATTATCACCTTTCTCTTTCCTTAGTGCAACATTTCCCCCATTTGATGTTGGAGTGGTATTAAAAATTCGGTTTCCTAGGCCCCACCCTACACCTACCAAATTAGACTTTACAGGAGAGCCCTACTGTTATGTAGGAGATATCACATTCTGATTCTGTATGGACTTGAGGGGGAGTTTCCAAGATGTTTAATAAGGTATAGATTTTTAAATGCACAGTTATTTTCCAATTCTCTCCTCATTCTTCTACCCTCTTCTTCCCATGAGGATATTGAGTTGGAGATGGGGAGGGAGGACAAGTAAGGAGAAGAGAGGATTGCTCACTTGGTACAATTATGATCTGGTTTTTGAATCCCCTTGGTATGGCAAGTATTCAAATACTGGCTCTTTTTTGAGAAGCACAGCAGAGGTTTTCATTTTGGTCTATTCATAATATGAGTCTTTGAGAGAATTTCTTGGGGAAAGAAGAGCTTAGGTTTCTGGAGCTTAGAAAATAACCAGCTTGGGGATAAAAGATCAGTATCTTTGTCTGATAAATACCCACAGTTTCTGTGGTTGATTGACTTGAGTTTGTAGAGTATGTAGGGAAGGTAAGGAATCCTGAAACTCCTCTTTAGAATGTGTGGGCATAACATTCTTTATTTTCAGATTTGGACTTCAGCTGTGAAACTACAGCAAAGATTTAATAACATTGTTGTTTACAAAGTAACTCTTTTCTTGTTGGTTTCAGAGTTATTTTATATATTAATATGGTACCAATCTTTTTCAAATATTTTTCATGACATATTGAGATAATCACTGTTTTAAATTTGAAAAATTAATCTAGGTCAAAGTTTTTAATTTGAATAGTCTAGGTCAAAGTTTCTAATAATTTCTAATTTTAGCCATATCTGTCATCTCCACTAATAGATTCATAATATTAAGCAATTATTGATGTTCCTGGTTTGTTATTTTTTACATGTTAAGATTGACATGTAAGCGTTTTAATTAATATATTGTATCTATATTCAATAGTAAGATAGGCCTGGGGTTCTTTTTTTCTTGAGCTATATTTTGGTGTTTAATATCAGGGCTATGCTAGGTTCACAAATAATATTTTTTTGGTTTTATATATTCTGTGTTTTGGAAAAATTTATAAAGCACTGGAGTTTTCTGTCCCAACTCTAGTTTATGATTGTGGTACATCCCAGGAGGATTATGAAACCTATGGGATGGGAAGGTCGGTCTGGTTACGGCTGAGTCAGGATAGCCTGAGTATAAGAGGTGAGCTATTTTTTTTTCCATGACACCAAGGATATTACAATCTTTTCAGTCATTACTGTACCCTGAATACTTTCCTTTCAGCTGCCACAAGCCACTCGGTGAGGATCATAAGGAAGCAGGTGCTCCTTTTGGATGAAAACAAAGTGTGCCTTTTCCATCCCAGGAAGAAAGATAAAAGAGCTCAAACTTTCCTTTGACACATGGTGCTGAAAAAGTTTGAGAGATCATTTTATCTTTACCATGTTGCTATGGTAACCTGGCCTTCTGTAGCTAATTGCGTGTTTCCTTTATTCGTTCTTGCCGAGTAGAATGAATTGCACCCATGTTCCACATTTCCAACAACAAAAGTGAGGAACTCAGAAATATGGACTGACAATTCTGTGTATTTGAAAATTTGCATTTAAGAATAATTATTGACTGTATAAGGGAGACAGGGACTGTGAATTTGAGAGTCCTCAAAAATAAAATAGAACATTTCCTTTTAATCTTTATTGATGTTTTTGTTCTCTTGCATCATTTGGCTTTTGGTTTAAAAGATGAGGGCAATGTTGTAAGTTTTTTTTTCCTTTTGAAGACACCCAGCCAAGAAGTGAAGCCATGAGTGAATGGCTTGGCATAGGAGTGGATGTTTGCAGCAAATCATGAAGGAATCTGTCCTATTCAATGGTTAACTTGAGTGTTCCTTTGATAAGACATGGAAGTAAATTAAGATGAGGCTGTAATTTAAAATTCTGAATAATTCATGCCCTACTTCCAATGGTTCTATCATAAATGAACCCCCTTTGGGCTGACATAATTTTTTAAACTCTTGTAGCACTGATGGATATAAAAATTTTACTTTCTCATGAGAATGTAACATTTGTCTAACTTTAGTAAAAACAAGAAGAGACGAGAACCTTAGAAAAATGCTATCTGTGAGTAGGTCTGACCACAGCTACAGAAGAATTATGAAACCATTGTGTTTAGTAAGTTGTAGTCAGTCTATCTGAAACCACATTTGGCAAAGATCTGTAGCGCCAATCACTCAATTATTAGGGCATACCAAGCCAACATTAATTATACCACAAATTCTGATAAAAATGGCTATCAGTTCTCTTTGAATTAGATGGCTTTATTTTAAATTTAGAGTAATGAACTAGGCTTGGATAATTAATTTAACTTTGAAGTTCAGATAAACATGTTATAGTGATACAATCATTATTATAGGTAGAATAGCTGGAGATTCATGACCATTCACAGGCAGTGGTATTGCTTCATGCTATAAGCTGGATAAGCCAGATGGTAAAAGAGGGCAATGTGTTTAAGTTGAAGAGATGGGGTAGTGTCTGAATGGAGAAACCAATATCTCTCAGCTTATTACATTGATAATTATTAATATATCTCTAATATTTTAAATCTGTCATTTCATCATGATAGCTTTAGGAAGTAGATAGAATTGACTTAATTTTATAAATAAGTGAAATTCAGGCTCAGAAAAGTAATTTACGCAATGTCAGAAAGATAAAAACTTCCCCAAAGAGGAATTCAAATGTAAGTCTGTTGGTCTTTAAAGTTGCTTTTCACAAATGATGAAGTGCAATTAATTTTGGAGAGAATGTTTATGAAAAACTATGATGGCCATTTTATTCTTTTAAGCCTTGAACTTTAAGGAGAATGCAACTAGGGACAATTGAGGCCTCAAACTTCCTTTGTGGCCTTCTCTACCTCTCTATAGCTCCACCAAAGGATGAAATAGCGTGATCTGAATTGTCATCATAGTCAGTCCACTGACGGAGCTCCATTTTCTGAAAGAGGGGCTTTTAAAAAGGTTAGAAGTATGGCCTGTGTGAACACGGTTTAGACACTTCCCCACCTCTTCTTTCCAAGCCCTTAAGTAGAAGGTGGCCTAAGAGTGCTTTCAAAGCTAATTCATGAAAGTAGGACACCATCCCTATTTACTTATCATTATTCTATAAAGGTGTCTTCCCTGGGTCCACCCAGGGAAGAATGACTGTGATCTGGGGGCAGATTTCAAGTCCTTTCATCATAATACCACCTAGAAGCACCCCAGGCCCATCCTCACTTATAATGGAATGAAAAGTGAAATATTCAGCAAAAATGTCAGTGTGATTGTTTATAGAGCTGTGGCTGAAATCCTAGAAAACAAGAATATGAAAGGAACGCAGATGTGAAGGAAAGTAACAGCAACCTGTGTGGGGTGAAAATTTTGCCTATACGAATTAAATAATAAAAATATGAACAGGTTAAAAAGAGTTGTCTGTGGAAGTAACTACTTAATCCTTGGAGATATGTAGGGAGTCAAACAAATCTCTAGTAAATATAGAGCTGAAGCCCCTATTAATATAGCAATTAAACAAGCAATTTAGGTAGAAACATTTTAGAAGCTGCTCTCCCTTAGAAACTTTGTTCAGTCTTAAATCCTTAATAACCACTAAGCAATAATACCATTTGACTGAATTTTTGACCCAGGAATCTTACACTGCCTAACGTCGCAATTTGCACCTCCCTAAACTTTCTGCAAAAATATGATACAATCTTAGGAAAATAAGAAAATAAATGCAGAAGGGAAAAACCAAAGCACAAAAATCAAAGCAAACTCACAATGTAAATATTTTTGTGTTCAATTCAGGATAATCATTATGTTTGTTATGTAAAATGTTTGTAATATTTAACAAAATGCAATATTTAAGTGTATATATAATGTTTAATTTGTTAGATTTACAAGGATCATGCTTAAGAAAGCATTTATTGGATAGGTGAAGTTCTTACAAATTAAATATATTAGATGTATAAATCCAGTTTAAAATATTGATGGAAATTTAAGTTAAATTAAGGACAGATTGCTGAGGAGAGTTTAATTTGTTCAACTTCAGTTAACAAAACACTAATAGAAAACAAGCAGCCAGATTGGCTGGATCTGAATGTTAGGACTGTCACTTATTGGCTCTGTGATCTTGTACAAGTTACTTAACCACCTCCTGACTCAGTCTCCTAATTTGTAAAATGCAGATAATAATCATACCAACTTCATAGGTTTGTTGAGAATATTAACAGAGTTAATACATGAAAACAATTGAGAGCACAGCTTCATGTATAGTAAGCTTTATAAACATACTTGTTATTGTTAGCAGCAAAAATGTTTGTTCTCACCCTCTACTTACCTTTAGCTTTTCACCTGCCTCTGTGTTCTCCTCCGGCCCCTAGCCCCACTCACGTCAGGGTAGGTCCATTCTCTTCTGGTTTGATGAGGCCACTCCTTTGACTTTATGTTTATAGTGTCTTTAAATGTTGTCTGCGTTAAAGACATTTTGTAGTTGAAAGAACACAGTCCTAATCCCAAAAGTAATACTGATTTGTGAACATCACTTGCGTTTCTTAAACTCTACTGGAATATATATATATATATATATATTCTCCGTAGTAATACTTATTAATTCACCATTTTCTCCCAAATCCACTTCCTTCACATTCCTCAGCCTGCTCACACACCTTTCTTCTCTGACACTTTCCCCAGCCTGAAACTGATTTTGGTCCTTTTTCCTTTCCTCATTTTTGTACCTCATTTTTTTGGTAAAAGCTCAAATGCCTGTTCTGGCAGTATAGAGGTCTTCTCAAAGCATAAGGAGGATAAGAAACTGAATGGGGAAATAAAAGTGCCTAATAAGTATTTGTTGAATATATACGTATAGTGTTTTTGCTTTACTTATTAATGACGTTTGTATTTTTGTAAAAATTTTTTGAATAAGTTTGGTTCATGAGAGTAGTACCAACCAAAGTAATGTCACTTGACCTGATGAATTTGAGGGAAATAACATTTTTAAAGTAATTCATAAACCCAAGTAAAGTAAATTCATACCCTGAGGGTACAACTTGGAAAATTCTTTTTGTAATTGAGAGTGCTAACACTTGTTCGGCGTATTGTGTGTTTGGAATCCATATAAATTTAACTTATTTCTTATGTCTTTGCTCAAGGTAGACGTTATTATTCCCATTTTACAGCTTGGGAACTGAGCCTCAGAGAGGTTTATTGATTAGCCAGAGGGTCATGGGACTGTAAGTAATAGAACAGGGCTCTGAATCTAGGCTCAAAGTTCTAAAGCCTGCAGATCTTCATATCCTACAGCCTCTGGGATATAGGTGAGGCCCATGGAGCCTTTACCTCACCTTGGTGAGCTCTTAGTTTGAGACCTTTCCAGGTATACTAGTTTACTATCAGTTTATAAATTACTTATTGGGTTAAACTGTGGAAACTGTCATCCTATAGAGCTTTCCTTCTTTTTTTGTTTTCTGCAACGACTGTTTCACATTTCTCTTCTTTTCTAGGTAATCTATGAGAATATTTAAGAATCTCTATATTATAAAACTCCCTTTTCATATAAGGTTATTGAAATTTAACATATTTGTTTCCAAAGAGTTTTCTTGTGTAGAAATTGTAGAAAATGTATTTTTAGTGAAACCACCAGTGAATATTGAAAAAGTTGTTAGTTATAAGCACAGGTCTGGGAATGTCATTATGTAAATTTAATGGGAATTTTATATTTTATGTTTACAAGAATACATTTGGGAAGATATTCCAGGTATGCACGTGCATTAAAGAGGAAAATCCTAAGAAATAAGGAAAAGAATACTCTCTTTTGGTTTGTACTGTTAAACGTTATCTATTCACAATGAATTAAAACAGGTTAGAAAACCTTTTCATTTAGGTATTGGAATTTATAAAACTCTATTGAAACAAGTTTTAACACTAACAGAAAAATAACCACCTAATTGACCATATAACTGAAATAAGTCAGTTTGATTCCAGAGGCTGAGCACAACTATAAACAATAGTTGGAAATGAATGGCAACAAAATTAAGTA